>NC_000015.10:50776874-51401874 GCF_000001405.40 Homo sapiens
ACCACCACGCCCAGCTAATTTTTGTATTTCTTTGTAGAGACGGGGTTTCACCATGTTCGAGGCTGGTCTCAAACTCCAGGTTTCAAGCAATCTGCTCACCTTGGCCTCTCCAAGTGTTGGGATTACAGGTGTGAGCCACTGTGCCCAGCCTGAAGTTGTTTATTTATAGGAGCCTCCAGATTAATAAACTATCACCCAAAGCAAGTAAATGCAGTCAGATCTTTTTGATGCACAAGGATAATTTTAGACTTCTAAGATGCCATTTGTTACACAGCAGTATACTTTCCACATGACTTTTCTGGCTCTATTTTACTATGATTCTATGAAATATGCCTGCTCAGCAGAAAACAGATTCAGGATTTTTGACTAATAGTGCAATTCCACTAATAGCCACTGCTATTATGTGCAGAAGGAATAAGAAATATTGTGTGCAGGAGGAATGAGGAATAAACCAATTCTGCCTCCCCATGACACCAGCCAGGCACGGTGGCTCATGCCTGTAATCCCAGTACTTTGGGAGGCTGAGGGAGGCGGATCACCTGAGGTTGGGAGTTCGAGACCAGCCTGGCCAACATGGTGAAACCCGTCTCTACTAAAAATACAGAAATCAGCTGGGTGCAGTGGCGCGCACCTGTAGTCCCAGCTACTCAGGAGGCTAAGGCAGGGGAATTGCTTGAACCCGGGAGGTGGAGGTTGCAGTGAGATGAGATCTTGCCACTGCACTCCAGCCTGGGCAACAGAGCAAGACTCCATCTCAAAAATGAAAAAATAAATAAATATAAATTAGCATCTTAAATCAGTATTTGTCAGTTGTGTGTGTGTGTGTGTGTGTGTGTGTGTTATTTTGTTTTGTTTGTTTGTTTTTTTAATGTGGAGTCTCACTGTTGTCGCCCAGGCTGGAGTGCAGTTGTGTGATCTTGGCTCATTGCAACCTCCACCTCCTGGGTTCAAGTGATTCTCCTGCCTCAGCCTCCCAAGTAGTTGGGATTACAAGCACCTGCCACCACGCCTGGATAATTTTTGTATTTTAGTAGAGACGGGGTTTCGCCATGTTAGCCAGGCTGGTCTCGAACTCCTGACCTCAGGTGATTCACCAACCTTGGCCTCCCAGAGTGCTGGGATTACAGGCGTGAGCCACGGAGCCTGGACTTTAAGTCAGTATTTAAATATTAATACCAAGTATCCAATTTGGCAGGAATGTTACATTCATAACAATGTGTAGCCTGACCCCCATGAGTTTTTTGCTGAAAATACAAACTATATAATTATATTTTCTCTTTAAGAAGTCTTGACATTATTAGACACCTCCCCTGGTTTTTCTTGTTTTTCATTAACTTATACTTGGCATTCTGTGTCAGGTGTACATGCCAGAGATCACGATGATAGGGCCATGTGATATTGCTGGCCTAGTCTAGGCATTAGTGTGCAACCCCATCAGCAAGTACAGCCGGTCATTTGCAGTCACCTGGATCAGCTGAGATGGGAACATCAGTTTAAATGAAAGTGTATTTAGAGAGGTGACCCGCTGTCACGAGATAAAGACCGAAGGCCATGAGTTTAAAATTCAGTAACAAAAGGGTGGAGCTCTGGAAACTGGGAGGAGTGAGAGAAGTATTTTACAACTTATGAACATAAATGGGCACTATATATCCTTTTAAAAAAAATATAATTAATTTTCTTGAGGCATGGTCTGACTCTGTTGCCCAAACTGGAATGCAGTAGCGCAATCCCAGCTCATTGCAATGTCCATCTCCCAGGCTCCAGTAATCCTCCCACCTCAGTCTCCCAAAGTGCTAGGATTACAAGAGTGAGCCACCATGCCTGGTCAAAAGAGCACTCAGTATATATTCTTTTTTTTTTTTTTTTTTTTTTTTTGAGACAGAGTCTTGCTCTGTTGCCCAGGCTAGAGTGCAGTGGTGCAATCTCGGCTCACAGCAATCTCTGCCTCCCAGGTTCAAGCGATTTTCCTGCCTCAGCCTCCTGAGTAGCTGGGATTACAGGTATGGGCCACCACGTTTAATTTGGTATTTTTAGTAGAGAAAAGGTTTTACCATGTTGGCCAGGCTGGTCTTGAACTCCTGACCGCAAGTCATACGCCCACCTCGGCCTCCGAAAGTGCTAGGATTACAGGTGTGAGCCACTGTGTCTGGCCCTATATATTCTTTAAATTTACCTTTTTTCTTGAAGTATAATATAAAGACAGGAAAGTGTACATATTGCAAGTGTAGACTTTGATGAGCTTTCACAAACTCAACACATCTGTGTGACCAGCATCCTTTCAAGAAACTGAGCATTTCTATCTACTCAGAAGTCCCTCTACTGTTCTCTTCTAGCTGGCTTTTGCTCCCAAGAATAACTGTTTTCTGACTTCAATCACACATATTAGTTTTGTCTCTTCTCAGATTTTGTTCAGCTCTATGTTCAGTAACTTTTTGTTGGTAGCTTGAAACTGGCCGTAGTGGAAGTATTTACGCCACAGAAATCGGCAAATCAGGGTGTTGCCCCCATCCCTGAGCTAGATGTTAAACATTTATGAGCACACCACCGAGTACAGAAGTAAATAAAACTAACAAAAATCCTTGCCTTCATAGAGCTCACATTCTAGATGGGGAGAAAGACAAAATAAGTAACTGAATTATGTTAGAAGTATATTAGAAAAGGCTGGGCATGGTAGCTCACACCTGTAATCCCAACACTTTGGGAAGTCGAGGTAGGAGGATTGCTTGAGCCCAGGAGTTTGTGACCAGCCTGGGCAACATAGGAAGACTCCATCTCTACAGAAAATAAAAAAAACTAGCTGGGCATGGTGACACATGCCTGTAGTCCCAGCTACTCAGGAGGATGAAATGGGAAGATCGCTTGAGCCCGGGAGGTTGAGGCTGCCTTGGGCCATGGTTGTGCCACTGCACTCCAGTCTGTCTCAAAAACAAGAAAAGAAAGAAAAAGTATATTAGGAGAGGAAAAACACTAAAGAGAAAAGTTAAGTTGAGTAACTTCTTTTTTAAAAAGAAGTAAGGAGTCTGGGTGGTGGTAAGCATTACAATTCTAAATAGGGTGGTCAGGAAAGGCCTCACTGAGAACATAATATTTGAACATTAATTGAAAGGAAGGGGAGGAACAAGCCGTGAGTATAGGTAAGAGAAGAGTAGTTTAGGCAGAGAAAACAGCAAATGCAGAGACCCTGAGGCAAGAATGATGCAAGGGGGCCACTAGAACTGGGGCTACATGAGTAAGGGTAGATAGCGCAGGAGCTGAAATCCTAGAGGTAATGAGTGAAGGTAGTGAGGGGTGGAAGACCAGATTATGAAAGGCCTAGAAGGCCATTGTGAAGACTTGAGATTTTTTTTTTTTGAGACGGAGTCTCACTTTGTCACCCAGGCTGGAATGCAATGGCATAGTCTCGGCTCACCGCAACCTCCACTTCCTGGTTCAAGCAATTATCCCACCTCAGCCTCCTGAGTAGCTGGAACTACAGGCACGGGCCACCACACCCAGCTAATTTTTGTATTTTTAGTAGAGACAGGGTTTCACTATGTTGGCCAGGCTGGTCTCGAACTCCTGACCTTGTGATCCGCCTGCCTTAGCCTCCCAAAGTGCTGGGATTACAAACGTGAGCCACTGCACCTGGCCGAATTGAGATAATTTAATAGGGGAAAGTATAGTTTTTTATACAGCTAAAATATTAAGTTATCAAATGTTGTCAGATTCCTTGCTGAATTCAAAGGTGACTTTTGGATTGCTTTCTTTTCTTTCCCTTTTTTTTTTTTTTTTTTTTTTTTTTTTTGGAGACGGTGTTTCATTCTTGTTTCTCAGACCGGAGTGCAATGGTGCAATCTCGGCTCACTGCAACCTCCACCTCCCGGATTCAAGCGATTCTTCTGCCTCAGCCTGCCAAATAGCTGGGATTACAGGTGTCCGCCACCACACCCAGCTAATTTTGTATTTTTTTGGAGAGACAGGGTTTTACCATATTGGTCAGGCTGGTCTTGAACTCCTGACCTCAGGTGATCCGCCTTCCTTGGCCTCCCAAAGTGCTGGGATTACAGGCGTGAGCCACTGCGCCTGGCCTGGATTGCTTCCTTTAGGCTGGATTAGCCTCTAGACTTGTGTTGTTCAATAAGGTAGCCAGTACTCACATGTGGGTATTTGAATTTAAACTTATCAAAACAAAATGAGAATTCAGTTCCTCTGTTGTACTAGTCACATTTCAAGTATTCAATAGCCACACTTGGCTAATAGCTACCATGTCAGGCAGCACAGATACTGAACATGTCCATCACTGCAGAATGTCCTATTGGACGTGGCTACTCTAGAGAGCAAACCTTGCTGGGGTGGACTATAGTGGTTTTTAGCCTTTTTACAGATGTTGCATTTGCCCTAGCAGATCTTTTGGCAAGAACACCTTGGTACAGGAATCCTGGAGCCATTTGATTTCTGCTCAGATTGTAAGTTTCTATTTCAGGACCTTATATCTAAAAGTAGCTTTATATAAAACCTGTAATCTTCTCCAGAGACATCCTCTAGTATTCATTTATATATTCATAAAAAGAGAGTGATCACTGGCTATTACCTTGCTTGTATAACCTGTTGTGAAAAGCAAGGATGGCATTGATGCAAATTACTGGTCAAAGATGGCCCAAATTATAGCCTAGAGACTTTAATTTATTCATTTATTTATTTTGTGGCTGTTTTTAATGCATGCATTCAGGTTAAGATGTGATTAAATCAGAGATGTAAATTGCTCTGAGATATAAATTGCTCAGAGTTAAGAAGTGCAAAAAAAAAAATCCCATAATCTTTTTTGTGAGAAAGGATGCTTTTTAGCATGAATTCAGGGTTATTCACCCCATCCTTTCCTCAGTGCTCCCACTCTGGGTGTGGTATGGGACTGTTAAAACTCTGGCCAGGGACTTTTCTCTAGTTGGTGAAATGAAGGAAAAGCACTCACTCAACTTCATTAAAAAGGCAGTTATCCTGTGAGCTTCTAAACTGGCTTATGTAGAACAGAATGATCCATGAGCAGCTGGGAGCTCACTCTCTATATTCTGATATGAGATGGGATCTTTGGGGGAACATGTGTTTCATGGGCATAGGTAAGCACAGATCCTTTGAGCTAAGGAGGCCTGGCTGACACCTGTGGTTGCATGCGGATACTTCTCTGAGTTGGGGTCGGTCTTATCTTTTTCCTCCTCCCTCAGCCAAAAATAGCTCAGAGATCTCCAGACTGGCAGCAGAGTCGCTCCCAACTTGCCCTCTGAGAAGACTCTGAAAAGTTTGTTCATGTTAAAATATAAATGATTGGCTAGGAAGAAGGGTAGCTCATGCCTGTAATCTCAGCAGTTTAGGAGGCTGAAGCAGAAGGATCACCTGAACTCAGGAGGTCAAGACCAACCTGGATAACACAGTGAGACCTTGTCTCTAAAAAAAAAAAGAGAAAGAAAGAAAGTAGCCTGCTGTGGTGGCTCATGCATGTATTCCCAGCTACTAGGCAGGCTGAAGCGGGAGGATGGCTTGAGCTCAGGCGATGAAAAGTACAGTGAGTTGTGATCGTGCCAATGCACTCCAGCCTGGGCGACACAGCAAGACCCTGTCTCAAATTATATATATATATATATATATATATATAGGTTTAGTGGTTACTTCTTCCAGGAAACTGAGCCAACTGCCTTGTTGACTTAAGTCAAAGGAATAAAGCTGGTTGGGTGCGGTGGCTCATGCCTGTAATCCCAGAACTTTGGGAGGCCAAGGCGGGTGGATCACCTGAGGTCAGGAGTTGGAGATCAGCCTGGCCAACATGGTGAAACCCTGTTTCTATTAAAAAAATACAAAAATTCACTGGGCGCGATGGCAGGCACCTGTAATCCCAGCTACTCGGGAGGCTAAGGCAGGAGAATCGCTTGAACCCAGGAGGCGGAGGTTGCAGTTGAGCTGAGATCGCGCCACCTGCACTCCAAGAGCGAAATTCCATCTCAAAAAAAAAAAAAAAGGAATAAAGCCTGTGGAATTTCAGACATCAGCTAAGCATCTCTAGTGCTCCTGAACTAGTACCACATTCACAGTTAGGGGAATGTACCTCCATTTTGCCTGGGACAGTCCTGGTTTATACCTATTACCCTTGCGTATTTATTAACAGTGCTCCCTTTCACTCTCAAAATGTCTGGATAATAAATTAAACAGTCACCTTATTTTATAGCTCTTTCTCTGCCCAAAGCCTAATTAGACTAATAGGTACAAGACAGAATATTTTCAAAATTACTTCCTGGAGTCAGCTTCCTCTAATCGTCTCTATGCCTTTTTCTCCTTTTTCAATTTTCGTTCTCAAATTGGAAAGCACCAGGAGACAAATGACAGTGCCTGCAATCTTGTTTTTTTTGAGCAGTTGTTTAAATAATGTAATACATCTTGGTTCTTGAATAAAATCCTAAAGAAGCACATCTTTCCTAGGTTACTCCTTATCAATTTAGTAATTCTTTTTTCAAACACTTCTTTCTGTTTGTCTAGAAAAACTTGCTTCCTTAGAGAACGCCTTTTATTGAATTATTTCTGGCAATTTGATTGGATTGATTCAATTTTTTATTTCTACAACTACAGTGACTTGGTCCACAGATTTTAGTCTGGTAGGCATATAATTAGAATTTGTTACAATTTTGCCTTTAGGTCCTATATCTTATGGGAGATGAGGGCGTGTAGTGTCTAGCATCTGCAAAATGCATTCCCAGCTAGTCTTGCCTAGAGGCAACTGGAACACCAGGCACTCGCAGTGAGCTACACCTGTATGCATATAAATGGCATTTTAAAAGGAAGAAAGCATAAAGCCACAAACTCATAATGTTCCTTTAGAGCTGGACTGGAACTATAAAAAGCACATAATTTAGACACACTTTTAGCTGTTCTAAGTTTTCTATTGGTTGTTATAAAAGTTTATGTATATTCATTTGGATTTTTTAAATCAAGCAGATATTTTAACAGTTCGCTTTACTTGTGCAGCTGTTTTCCCTAAATATGTTGGTTATTTAACTTACAAACTTGCCTTTATAAAAAGTCAGGCTAAAAAGGATTTGTCTTGACCTTTTACTTGGCACTTAGATTATAGACTTTCTAAATTCAAGCATTACCTAAGAATTTTCATAATTTTGTCACTGTTGCCCTTTGATTCCAAGTGATTAGAAGTTAACCTATTTAATGTCCTTAGGAGCAAAGGGTTAAATCCTAGCATCAAGGTTAGTTTAAAAACAACAGTTGGCCTCCTGTACAAACATTCTCTTCCATTTATAAACACACTCCTTTTTTTCTTTTTCCATTCTAAATGCCAGTTTACAATTCAGTGAGATAGTTTTCTATTTATAGTGTCTTCACCTTAAATGTTATCCCTCAAATATCAGCAGTTATTTTTAAAACAGGAAAAAAGGATATCTACTTTCACACCAAAAAAAACTACATTGACCAAGAAAATAATCTACTGTAATAATACCGAGAGCATGAAAACTGTTAGTGCAAATGAGTTTATCTATCATTAATAACAGCCCAACTCTTCCCATCAACTGAAGAACTTAATTAGACAAAGAGACAGTAACTAAGTAGAGATAAAAATGAAAATGTAGGCCAGGTGTGGTGGCTCACACCTGTAATCCCAGCACTTTGGGAGGCTGAGGTGGGCGGATCACCTGAGGTTAGGAGTTTGAGACCAGCCTGACCAACATGGCGAAACCCCCGTCTCTACTAAAAATACAAAAATTAGCCCGTCGTGGTGGTGGACATCTATAATCCCAACTACTCAGGAGGCTGAGGCAGGAGAATTGCTTGAACCCGGGAGACAAAGGTTGCGGTGAGCTGAGATCGCACCATTGTACTCCAGCCTGGGTGACAGAGCAAGATTCCGTCTCAAAAAAAAGAAAGAAAAGAAAGAGACATGATGTTCATGGACTAGGCTTACTTATTGGGGCGGGGTTTGATGGGTCCCAGGTGCAGGCTCTGATTCAGCTTTGTGAGTTCTGAGACTGAATTTTATCAGGACATCTGTAAGAAATCACAATAAAACTGGATGGGTGAGGTGGCTCATGCCTGTAATCCCAGCACTCTGGGAGGCTGAGGCGGGCAGATCACTTGAAGTCAGGAGTTCAAGATTAGCCTGGCCTACATGGTGAAACCCCATCTCCACTAAAAATACAAAAATAAGCCAGGCATGCTGGAGCGTGCTTGTAGTCCCAGAGCTACTTGGGAGGCTGAGGCAGGAGAATTGCTTGAACCCTAGAGGCAGAAGTTGCAGTGAGCTGAGATCACCCCACTGCACTCCAGCCTCGATGACAGAGCAGGGCTCCATCTCAAAAAAAAAAAAAAAAAAAAAGGAAAAAGAAAGAAAAGAAAAAAGAAATTACAAGAAAACTAATAAACAGGCCAGGTATGGTGGCTCACGCATGTAATCCCAGCACTTTGGGAGGCCAAGGCCGGCGGATCACGAGGTCAGGAGATCGAGAACATCCTGGCTAACATGGTGAAACCCCGTTTCTACTAAAAATACAAAAAATTAGCCAGGCATGGTGGCGGGTGCCTGTAGTCCCAGCTACTTGGGAGGCTGAGGCAGGAGAATGGCATGAACCCAGGAGGCAGAGCTTGCAGTGAGCCAAGATTGTGCCACTGCACTCCAGCCTAGGCGACAGAGCGAGACTCTGTCTCAAAAAAAAAAAGAAAACTAATAAACAAGAATCTTCATGTATTTATTTTTTTAACTTCAAAAAATTTATATTTATATATGAAACTGTACATAAATGTCTGTATATATGCATGCCTACATGTGTTAATTTATGTATTTTTTATGTATTTAGATCTTAGGTACCGAGGGTTGAATTAAATGGCATTCTTCAGTAACTGGCATGTTATCACTGTTGGTCCCATGAAGACCCCCCATTCTATCTATGTACCTATCTATTCATCCATTCATTCCATTTTATCACCATACTGTTTCCATTCCCCTACTCCCATTGGCAATTTAATGTATTTAATAGATATCTTTTTATTTGAATGTATTATGCAAAATATGTATGATTTTATGTGCTTGCTATGGGGTACACCTGATCCATTATATCCAACCTATTCTTTTTTTTTTTTTTTATTTGAGACAGAGTCTCGCTCTGTTGCCCAGGCTGGAGTGCAGTGATGTGATCTCGGCTCACCACAACCTCCTCCTGGGTTCAAGCAATTCTCCTGCCTCAGCCTCTCGAGTAGCTGAGATTACAGGCATTTGCCACCATGCTTGGCTAATTTTGGTACTTTTAGTAGAGACAGGGTTTTACCATGATGACCAGGCTGGTCTCAAACTCCTGACCTCAGGTGATCCATCCATCCCGGCCTCCCAAAGTGCTGGGATTATAGGCATGAGCCAGTGCACCTGGCCCAACCTATTCTCTCTCTCAGTGGTGGCACCCATGTTGCTTCCTATTCCCCAGCACCATATACATTTCTTCAGTGAACACCCTCTTCTTACATGCTCCCTGAGAAACCAACTACTCCATGTAAACTGATTTCTCACTGGGCTTTTAAAATATTGTTTAAAAATCTATTCTTTGCCTCTAAGTTAAAATATACTGGTCTATATTTTTAATCTGTGAACTTTATAGTTTTACCATTCACATTTAGGTCTTTAAATGGTCTAGGTTCCATATGTGATGTTAGATGTGGATTCTGTTTTATTTTCTTCCATATGGTGAACCAGTTTTCCAACATCTCCTACACAATCTGTTTCTTTCATAATGACTTGTGGTTCCACTTTTATTGCACAATAAATTTCAATCTGGAAATGGGTTGCCGCGGAGCTCTTCTCTTAATCCATGAATTTATTCCCAGTGAGAACTTTGCACTTTCAGAGAAACAAACACTTGTGTAGATTTATCAGAGAACTCCACACACCCATCCCTTTCTGGTATCCAATTACCTGGCAAGTCAAATGAAGAATCAGAAATTTTCTTGGTGAGTATGGAGTTAAGATAAAAGATATCTTTTTAAGGGATATTTTTATGTGCACATCTAATCCAGAAAAATAATCCCTGCCTTATAACAGAATAGCTCTCTGCTGAGCAGAACATTTGTAATTAGACAATGCTTATTTGGCTCTTCATCTCTAGGTACTAAACAAATTCTTCCCCTTTTTTATAGCACACTCATTCTTCAGGCTGGCATGGTACGAGTCATCAGAGTTAAATGTGTATAGAACAATCACATTCCAGGCTTGCCTTCTGAGATTTTTCCACCTCCCATCAGTGATAGGCAATTCAACAGACGAGAGGTGTTATAGCTTTGAACAGAGGTTCATTTGAATCCCGGCTATATTACTCCTTAGCTATGACAGACACTGTTTAATGCCTACCTATCAGCCTTTTTCACCCTTTACTTCTTCTACCTGTATTTCCATCAACTCCTAGGTCTTTTTTTTTTTTTTTTTTAAACGGAGTCTTGCTGTGTCGCCAGGCTGGAGTGCAGTGGCGTGATCTCAGCTCACTGCAACCTTTGACTGCCTGGTTTAAGCTATTCTCCTGCCTCAGCCTCCTGAGTAGTTGGGATTACAGGCACGTGCCACCACACCCAGCTAATTTTTGTATTTTCAGTAGAGACGGGGTTTCACCATGTTGGCCAGGATGGTCTCAATCTCCTGACCTCGTGATCCGCCCGCCTTGGCCTCCCAAAGTGCTGGGATTAAAGCCGTGAGCCACCTCACCTGGCAACTCACAGATCTTTCTTACTAGATTTTTTCCATTTGGCTATGTGTGCAGTCTCAGGGAATAAATCATATTTATAGTTTAGGGCTATAAATATGATGCTTGGAGCAGAGGTAGCCACCTTGTGACCATGAGAAAATAGCCTAAGTTTTTTTTTTTTTTTTTTTTTGAGACTCACTGTCACCCAGGCTGGAATGCAATGATGCGATCTTAGCACACTGCAACCTCCGCCTCCTGGGTTCAAGCGATTCTCCTGCCTCAGCCTCCCGAGTAGCTGGGATTACAGGTGCCCACCACTACACCTGGCTAATTTTTGTATTGTTAGTAGAGGTGGAGTTTCACCATGTTGGTCAGGCTGGTGTCGAACTCCCGACCTCAGGTGATCCGCCCACCTCAGCCTTCCAAAGTGCTGGGGTTACTGGCTTGAGCCACTGCGCCTGGCCAATAGCCTAAGATTAAAAAGTCTGTTTACTTATGATGGTATATCAGAAAGATAGAGGGCTGAGTGCAGTGGCTCCTGCCTGTAGTCCTAGGCCTTTGGGAGGCTGAGGCAGGCAGATCACCTGAAGTCAGGAGTTCCAGACCAGCCTGGCCAATATGGTGAAACCCTGTCTCTACTAAAAATACAAAAATTAGCCAGGTGTGGTAGCAGGTGACTGTAATCCCAGCAATTTGGGAGGCCGAGGTGGGCAGATCACCTGAGGTCGGGAGTTCAAGACCAGCCTGACCAACATGGAGAAACCCTGTCTCTACTAAAAATACAAAATTAGCCGTGTGAGGTAGCGCATGCCTGTAATCCCAGCTACTTGGGAAGCCGAGGCAGGAGAATGGCTTGAACCCAGGAGGCGGAGGTTGCAGTGAGCTAAGATCACGCCACTGCACTCCAGCCTGGGCAACAAGGGTGAAACTCTGTCTCAAAAAAAAGAAAAGAAAAGAAAGAAAGATAGAGAAGGAGACTGTGTTCTGAAGGAAATTATAGAGTTGTTGAATTAATCCTGGAACCACCTACCTCCAAATCGCTCCGTTAGGTAAGCAGTAAGTGCTCTTGTGGCTTAAGCACTTGATATTCAAAGTGTGGTCTGCAGACCAGTAACGGCGTCACTTGATTGCTTATTAGAAATGCAGAACCTCACCCCACCCCCACAATGAATTATAATCTGTGTTTAACAAGATCCCAAGTGATTCTTTTTTTTTTAAGACAAGGTCTCACTCTGTCACCCAGGCTGGAGTGCAATGGTGTGATCACAGCTCACTGCAACCTTGACCTCCTGGGCTCAAGTGGTTCTTCCCACCCCAGCCTCCCAAGAAGCTGGGACTACAGGCACCGGACACCACACCCAGCTAATTTTTGTATGTTTTGTAGAGATGGGGTTTCGCCACATTGCCCAGGCTGGTCTCAAACTACTGGGCTCAAGTAATCCACCTGCCTCAGCCTCCCAAAGTGCTGGGATTACAGGTGTGAGCCACCATGCCCAGTCCCAAGGGATTCTTTTTTTTGGGGGACAGAGTCTTGCTCTGTCACCCAGGCTGGAGTGCAGTGGCGCGATCTCCGCTCACTGCAAGCTCTGCCTCCTGGGTTCACGCCATTCTCCAGCCTCAGCCTCCCGAGTAGCTGGGACTACAGGCGCCCACCACAATGCCCGGCTAATTTTTTGTACTTTTAATAGAGACGGGGTTTCACCGTGTTAGCCAGGATGGTCTCGATCTCCTGACCTTGTGATCCTCCCGCCTCGGCCTCCCAAAGTGCTGGGATTACAGGCGTGAGCCACCGCGCCCAGCCGTGATTCTTACACAGATTAAAATTTGAGAAACACTGGTATAAGCTATTCCTCATAAGTTTTTATTTCTTGCAGTTGAATCCATCCTAATTGACACTCTGACATTCGCCAAGTTACCCAAGACATACAAGCCTCATTTCCTTATCTGTAGTGCTAACATAACCATCCAAGGGGTTCACTTTGCCCCCTGCCTAGACAGAGCCCATTTATCAAGTCAGGGGAATTGCAGTAGAGAAAGAGTAGTTCACGCAGGGCTGCTGTGCAGGAGACCAGAGTTTTATTATTACTCAAATCAGTTTCCCCAAGCATTCGGGGAGCAGAGGTTTTAAGAACTTGGTGGGTTGGGGGAAGCCAGTGAGCCAGGGGTGCTGCTTGGTCAGGGATGAAATCACAGGGAGTCCAAGCTGTCTTTTTTGTTTTTATTTTTTTGAGACGTAGTCTTGCACTATCGCCCAGGCCGGATTGTAATGGCGCAATCTCAACTCACTGCAACCTCCACCTGCCAGGTTCAAGCGATTCTCCTGCTTCAGCCTCCTGAGTAGCTGGGATTACAGGCGCCCCCTACCACACCCGGCTAATTTTTTGTTTTGTTTAGTAGAGACAGAGGTTCACTATGTTGGCCAGGCTGGTCTGGAACTCTGACCTTGTGATCTGCCCGCCTCAGCCTCCCAAAGTGCTGGGACTACAGGTGTGAGCCACAGCGCCCAGCCTCAAGCTGTCTTCTTGTGCTGAGTCAGTTCCTAGGTGGGGGCCACAAGATCAGATGAGGCAGTTTATCAATCTGCGTGGTGCCAACTGATACATCAAGTACAAGGTCAGCAAAATATCTCAAGCACTGATCTTAGGAGCAGTTTAGGGAGGGTCAGAATCTTGTAGCCTCCAGCTGCATGACTTCTAAACCATAATTTCTAATCTTGTGGCTAATGTTAGTCCTACAAAGGCAATCTAGTCCCCAGGCAAGGAGGTCTGCTTTGGGAAAGGGATGTTGTTGTCTTTGTTTTAAACATTTTTGTTTTCAACTATAAACTAAGTTTCTCCCAAAGTTAGTTCAGCCTATGCCCAGTAATGAACAAGGACAGCTTGGAGGTTAGAAGATGGAGTTGGTTAAGTTAGATCTTTCAATGTCTCAGTCAGAATTTTGCAAAGGCAGTTTCAATCATCATAGTATTGGCCTTCTAAAAATGCTGCAGTGATTAAATAAATAAATAAAAAGTGCAGCATAATGCTTGGTGCATATTAAACACTCAGTGTTAGCTGAGTGCAGTGCATGCCTGTAATCTTGAGGCGGGTGGATCACTTGAGGTCAGGAGTTCGAGACTAGCCTGGCCAACATAATGAAATCCTGTCTCTACTAAAAATACAAAAATTAGCCAGGCGTGGTGGCAGCCACCTGTAATCCCAGCTACTCAGGAGGCTGAGGCAGGAGAATTGCTTGAACCTGGGAGGCAGATGTTGCAGTGAGCTGAGATCGCGCCACTGTACTCCAGCCTGGGCCACAGAGCAAGACTCTCTCAAAAACAAAACAAAACAAAAACAAAAACAGCCACTCAGTGTTAGCTATCTTTACTGGACTCTGCAGGCACCCTTAGTGTAGGTGGTGACGTTCGTGTGCAAATAGATTTGCCCTTCCAGCATGGAAACTGGGTGTTTCCAGGACATCTGTGGGGTGAGGGCTTTTATTATCATTGTTGCTGCCTGGAGTGTAGGACAGACTACTTAAAGCAGCTGCTTTCCTGTGAATTGCTAATTGACAACTTGTATCTACAAGCAGCAGGTTTGATTTTATTTTCTTACTTTCATAAGCTCAATAATAGAAGTCATTGTTGAGAAACAACTAGGCCTATTTAGCTAGGTAGTAAAGTTACAAGCCAACTAATGAAAGGAAGACATACTTGGAAGAACTGTAGGACAAAAGTAAGATTAAGGAAGGAAAACACTTTAAAGCTTGCTTACACAATGACTTTACAATAGGGCAACTGGCTGGAACCTTTGTAAAACGATGTCGAGTCATCAAAACTTTAAGTTTAGGTGTGGGTAGGCTGGATTTAACACAATAAAATAATATGCGCATGTCAAACATGTACCAAATGCAGTATATCCATATCTCATAAAGATATAAGGCCCTAAAACAATTAACTTATTTATGATGCTCTACGATTCAAACACATTTATCATAATTAAAACAAATTCATTAAAATACGAAATGCCAATGGGAAGACAAAATACCTCTATAACCTCTGAAGTGTACTATCTCAGAACTCATCTGTAGGGCACCGCAGAGGTCACTCTAGGCTGGAGAGGAAGGTCAGGAGGATACCTTGCTCCAGACCCACCCACACCAGGTAGTAAAAGATAGGCGTGGGCCCAGCTGAAAGTAAATGCTCTGGCAATTCAGCACAGCAAAGGGGCCTCAGTAGACTTCAAGGGAAATGGGCATAGTTGAAACAAATGATTGGTCTGCCAACTAGGGCACCAGGGCACAGTAAGATTCCCCAGCAAGAGTGGGAGGCAGGGTATGAAGAGGACAGACAAAACTCAGGACTCCAAATGTACAGAAAGCTGGCTTTAGGATGTTTACCATGGTTCATTAGTATAGAATGTGCTTCTGGAATAGGACTCAGCAAAAGGAAAGCAAAGCAAGGTCTTACTCCTAGGAGCTCCTGGTGTATGAAGCTAAAATCCCCCAAATCAAGACTAAGTTGTGCAAGCAAAAATGGAACTCAGGCTCAGGAAGCAGTGCCCGTTACCAGAACAGGCTACCTCATGAGCATAAAAAGCTGCAACTCCTGGACAGGCACAGTGGCTCATGCCTGTAATCCCAGCACTTTGGGAGGCCGAGGCAGGCAGATCTCTTGACATCAGGAGTTCAAGGCCAGCCTGGCCAACATGGTGAAACCCCGTGTCTATCAAAAAAACAAAAATTAGCTGGGTATGGTGGTGCGTGCCTGTAATCCTAGCTACTGGGGAGCCTGAGGCAGAAGAATCACTTGAACCCTGGAGGCAGAGGGTCGCAGTGAGCCGAGATAGCGCCACTGCACTCCAGCCTGGGCGACAGAGCGAGACTCTGAGACTCCGTCTGAGAAAAAAAAAAAAGCTACAACTCAGCTCTTCCATGAAAGGCACTGACCAAATTTCAGGTTAGATAAAGCAGGGAGGAAGCGTTAGACAACACAGGAGTCAAGTGGTCAACGCTAATGAAAGGACCTGCTCCTTCCTTCCAAACCCTTATACATTGCGGGTGATGACTGGCGTATACCAAGCTGTTTAAGTGCTTTTTATTCCAGCCCTGGATGGATCAAGGAATGGGGGAATATAATGCTCTGAATGTAACTGGGGCTTTTTTGTTTTGTTTTTGTTTTTTTTTTAGCTGGAGCCTGGCTCTTTCACCCAGGCTGGAGTGAAGTAGTGCAATCTCTCAGCTCACTGCAACTTTCGCCTCCGGGGTTCAAGCGATTCTCCTGCCTCAGCCTCCTGAGTAGCTGGGATTACAGGTGTGTGCCACCATGCCCAGCTAATTTTTTGGTATTTTTAGTAAAGACAGGGTTTTACCATGTTGGCCAGGCTGGTCTTGAACACCTGACCTCATGTGATCCATCTGCCTCGGCCTCTCAAAGTGCTGGGACTACAGATATGGGCCACAGTGCCCAGTCAAATGTAATTGTTAATTTCATTTGTTCATACAAAATCTCAATGGTTAAACAATAACTATTTTCTATTCGTGTCATGGTCCAATATATAAATAAACTGGTTGGGGGTGAAGTGGATGGAGGCTTACTCCACACAGTCATTCATGGACCCAAAAGCCAAGTATCTTTTATCTGGTAGCTGCAGTGTCTTCTTGGGCCTTGGAATCCTCCGCTCGTTTTTCTGCATCTGGTTGAAGAAATGAAGAGTGAGGGAGAATCTCAAGTTCAGTGTTTTATGGGATAGGCCCAGAGACAGATACATCATTTTGCTTACTTTCCATTGGTGAGACTTAGTCACAAGGCCCATACTAGTTGCAAGACAACTGGTAAATATTTTGCAAAAGTATGTTAAGGAAGAGAACACAAATTTAGATAGAAGAGATAGCCATTCTTCCATGACAGGAAAAGAAAGGAGAGATAGCAACAGTAGGAATGAAACGGGTGGATAGCACTATGTTAAAATGGTTTCCCTTTTAAAAAGTTAATTTACATTTTATTTTATTTTATTTTATTTTATTTTTGAGACAGAGTCTCGCTCTGTCCCCCAGGCTGGAGTGCAGTGGCACGATCTCAGCTCACTGCAACCTCTGCCTCCTGGGTTCAAGTGATTCTCCTGCCTCAGCCTCCTGAGTAGCTGGGTTTATAGGCACGTGCCACCATGCCCGGCTAATTTTTGTAGTCTTAGTAGAGACGGGGTTTCACCATGTTGGCCAGGTGGTCTCGAACTCCTGACCTCAAGTGATCTGCCTGCTTCAGCCTCCCAAAGTGCTGGGATTACAGGCGTGAGCCACTGTGCCCGGCCTACTTTTTATTTTTAAAATGTATATTTTTTTAAGAGACAGGGTCTCCCTATATTGCCCAGGCTGGTCTCAAACTCCTGGGCTCAAGTGATCCTCCCACCTCAGCTTCCCAATGTGCTGGGATTACAGGCGTGAGCCACCACGCCTGGCCAAAAAGTCAATTTACTTATGGGGAGAAGCAAGCTATAATCATGTAATAATTCATTGATTTATTCACTACTTTATTCAGTCAATAAAAAGTTCATTGAGGACTGACTGTACTGGGCCCATAAAGATGAACCTGTTTAACAAATTATAATATTGTGATTTACAATAAAATATGTACATTTGGTTCTCTGTATCTGTTCTGCATGTCAATGAAGAAAAAGAGGCATAAGACCAGACTGCAAAGCAGTAAGACAAGGCCTTTACTGGGGTCTTAGGAGTTGTAATTCAGGAGACATACATTTGGCTGGAAGCCAAATTGTGCTCCAATAAGAGGGAGGAGAGAGGAGATTTATAAGGAAGTTAAGGGTGATTATGGAAGTTGTTTTGAAAGAATTATCATTGGTGAAGGCAGCTGGCTTAGTACGTGAGTCTATAATTCATTGGTTGTTGCTGATCAGGAGTTGCAGTAGTGGTGAAATTCAGCTGTTTTCCAGGATGTTGTGGTGATTGCAGTTTGGCCCAGTTCAAAGGTAAAGGCAAGTTCCTGGGTTTTCAAAAATCCAGGTTGTAGGTCCTTTGTAGAATGGCCTCCTGACTCCATCTTAGAGCTCTGAGCCAGAGGTACCATATTGTATGCCATATTTCATAGTGGATTGAACTAACCACACATTGAAAATATTTGGGAAAAAAAGGATAGTTACATCTGTATTGAACATGTATAGACATTTTCCTTGTCATTATTCCCTAAACAATACAATATAACAACAATTTACAAATCATTTAATTGTATTAGGTATTATAAGTAATCTGGAGATGATTTAAAGTATACAAGAGGATATGCCTAGGTTATATGCAAATACTATGTCATTTTATAAAAGGGACTTGAGCATCCAGGGATTTTGGTATCTGAGGGAGGGCCTGGAACCAATCCCCCAAAGATAGCAATGAACGACTGTATGTATTTGATCTTCTTCCCTGTTTCTTGGCATACAGCCCTTAAAACCCTTGAATCTCCTGAGTGGTAAGAGTGTCTTTTGTATGCTAATGATATGACTGATGGCTGGGGGCCTCTAGATAGCTTCAGGATTGGGGCTGATCACTGGAAAGACTGAGCCATGATTGGCGCTTCCAAAACTGCCATAGAGGGGAGAGGGTTGAGTTGATCGCCAATGGCCAATGGTGTAATCAATCATGCCTACATAATGAAGCCTCCTATAAAAACCCAAAAGGACTGGGTTCAGAGAACTTCCAGATAGTTGAAAACATGGGGCCGGGCGCGGTGGCTCATGCCTGTAATCCTAGCACTTTGGGAAGCTGAGGCGGGTGGATCACGAGGTCCGGAGTTCAAGTCCAGCCTGGACAATATGGTGAAACCCCATCTCTACTAAAAATACAAAAATTAGCCGGGCATGGTGGTGGGTGCCTGTAATCCTAGCTACTCAGGAGGCTGAGGCAGGGAACTGCTTGAACCTGGGAGGCGGAGGTTGCAGTGAGCTGAGGTGGTGCCACTGCACTCCAGCCTGGGCGACAGAGAAAGACTCTGTCTCAAAAAAAAAAGAAAACAGAGGTTCTTGGAGGGTGCTGCTCCCTGAGGGGGCATGGAAGCTCTGCACCCATCCCATATGCTATGAGCTATGCATTTCTTCCGTCTGGCTGTTCATCTGTATACTTTGTAATAAATGGGTAAATGTAACTAACTTGTTTCTCTGAGTTCTGTGAGCTGTTCTAGCGAATTAATCAAAGCCAATGAGAGATTCATGGGAATCCCTGATTTATAGCTGGTCAGTCAGAAATACAGGTGACAACTTACTGTTCGTCACTGGCATCTGAAGTAGGGGGCATCCTTGTGTGACTTAGCCTTGAATCCGTGCGATCTGACACTATTTCTAGGTAAATAGTGTCAGGATTTAATTGAATTGGAGGACACCTGGCTAGTGTCTACTGCAGAATTACTTGTGGGGTTTTTTCCCCACACAGACCTGGTGTCAGAAGTATTGTGTTAAGTATTGTGAGTGTGGGAAAAACACTTTTGTATTTTTACCTTTTGTTTTGCTTTTTTGTAGAGACAGAGTCTCCCTATGTTGCCCAGGTTGGTCTCAAACTCCTGGCCTCAAGCAATCCTCCTGCGTTGGCCTCCCAAAGTGCTGGGATTACAAGCATGAGCCACAATACCTGGCCTTTTTTCCTCTTTTTTTTTTTTTTTTTGTGAGATGGAGTTTCGCTCTTGTTGCCCAGGCTGGAGTGCAGTGGTGTGATCTCGGCTCACTGCAACCTCCACCTTCTGGTTTCAACCGATTCTCCTGCCTCAGCCTCCCAAGTAGCTAGAATTACAGCGTCTGCTACCACACCTAGCTAATTTTTGCATTTTTAGTAGAGGCAGGCTTTTACCATGTTGGCCAGGCTGGTCTCAAACTCCTGACCTCAGGTGATCCACCTGCCTTGGCCTCCCAAAGTGCTGGGATTACAGGTGTGAGCTACCACATTTTATGTAATTTCACTGAAAGTTTTTCTTATATGACTGTGTGATAAATCAGTTTTAAAATGAAAAGAAAAATCATTTTTAAATTTTCATGTTTATAAATCTCTTAATAGGCTATCTTTTTCATGTAACCAGTTGGAAAAAATACAAGCAGTAACAGGATTATAATTCCTTAATAATATGGCAACGTAGTATATTTTGATGAAACATTCCATATTCCAAGACTATGTGTATAACTTTTAGTGTCAGAAGGGTGAAGAGATTAGGAAGAGGATAGAAGGATTAATAAATGGATTATTTGCCATTAAAATCTTCTCTTACTCATCTTGTGATTAAGTCTTCAGGAGTTTTTAGTGTGGTCTTCATTACAAACTTGTATAAAAGTTTGCTTTTTAATTTTATTTTAACAATTACGAGACAACAAAACAGTTCTTTGCTGCTTACCATTGATCAGTCACTGTGCTTAGAGCTCTATATTCTCATTTAATCCATATAAAAAATCCTTTAGGTGCCATTATATTCCTGTTTTACAGGTAAGGAAAATGAATCTTTGAAAGTTAAGCCACATATGGTCGCTTATGCCTGTAATCACAGCACTTTGGGAGGCCAAGGCAGGTGGATCATGAGGTCAGGAGTTCAAGACCAGCCTGGCCAACATGGCGAAACCCCATCTCTACTAAAAATACAACAATTAGCTGGGCATCGTTGTGGGCCTGTAGTCCCAGGTACTTGGGAGGCTGAGGCAGAAGAATTGCTTGAACCCGGGAGGCAGACTTTGCAGTGAGCCGAGATCATGCCACCCCACTCCAGCCTGGGTGAGAGAGCAAGACTCCGTCTCAGGAAAAAATAATAATAATAATAATCATCTGGCCAAGACATTGAGTTGGGATTTGAACCCAGGCTGATGGATTTCAGAGTTCATAGCTTTTTCCAGGTTTACTTATAGAAAAGATGAGTGCAAACAATAAGATAATTGATAAGACTTTGAATGAAAAGAATTTTTTGGCCGGGTGTGGTGCCTCATGCCTGTAATCCCAGCACTTTAGGAGGCTGAGATGGGTGGATCACCTGAGCTCAGGAGTTCAAGACCAGCAACCAGCCTGGCCGCCACAGAGAAACCCTGTCTCTACTAAAAAATACTTTATTTTTTCCTTTTTTTGAGATGGAGTTTCGCTCTTGTTGCGCAGGCTGGAGTGCAATGGCACGATCTCGGCTCACCACAACCTCCGCCTCCCAGGTTCAAGCGATTCTCCTGCCTCAGCCTCCCAAGTAGCTGGGATTACAGGCATGCACCACCATGCCCGGCTAATTTTCTATTTTTAGTAGAGATGCGGTTTCTCCATGTTGGTCAGGCTGGTCTCAAACTCCTGACCTCAGGTGATCCACCTGCCTTAGCTTCTCAAAGTGCTGGGATTACAGGCGTGAGCCATCATGCCCGGCCAAGAATTTTTTATCCTTTGGCATATATTTCAATCTGGGCCATCAAGCACAATTTTCAAAGAAACCCTCTTTATTTTTCCAATCCTGTCGTGCAAGAAATATTCTTGCTGCATAGCCCTGGGGATGCCTTTTTTAATTCCCTGAACTACTGCAAGGGTAGTTTGGCTGGGCCTATTAACAAGTCATAACATGAAATCAGCTGTGACAGGCCTTTCTGCCTCCTGTCTTCAACTTTCCAAGTGTCAGAAAGGTGGCTTAACCTGTACTTCCAGTTTATACTGCCACCAAGTAGAGAAAAAAAAAAAAATGTACCAAGAATACACTGTGCCAATTGCTTAAAGATGAAACAATTTTATTTTCTTTTTAATAACATAATTATCCCATTAGGCCAAATATTTACAATGTGAAGTTCAATTCAGTAGTGGTGAATAGGATTTTTTTACTTGAAAGATTGAGTTGTATAATTCCAAATGACCCAGCCACACAACTAATGAATTCATGGTGAACATTCAGACTAAACATGATCAAATGTAACCTTTGGTTAGAAATACATATTTCCAATATGATATCCAGCGAGTTTCTGAATATTTGAATTGTTTTGTTCATTTGCAACGAAAATAGATTTATAGTTTGTGTCTGTGTGTGTGTTTTTTTACTCTGGTTATTTCTCATTGAAACCTAAAAATCCACAGGGGCAGGAAAGGATAGATTGACAGGGTACCCAGAAAACAAGGACTGTTTGCAGGTTGACTCTAACCCAGAGGCATTGACAACAGAGTGTGGAGAAAGTTCAAATGCCAGATCTTGATTCCCAACATTGATTATGGGAACAAGAAGAAGACAAAGCACATGCTGCTCGGTGGCTTCTGGGTTTCTGGTCTACAGTGTCAAGGAGCTGTAAGTGCTGCTGCAGTGCAATAAATCTTACTGTGTTGGGATCGCTCACAATGTCTAAGAACTGAAAAGTCATAGAGGAAAGAGAAGCCCGGCTGGCCATGAGTCACCAATCCCAAGGCCAAGTTGCACAGCAAAGAAAATTAATAGACAGCTGTCAAAAGCTGTTAAGACAGCAGGCCTCAAATAGAGTCATTCATGCTGAAGTTCAGCAAACTGAAACCTAAGTTGTATACCTGTAAGATATGATCTTCTGAGAAATCAGAAGACAAATTATAGCCAAATCCCATTAAGCCAACAAGATTTTGCCTATGTCCCTATAAGGAAGATAACCTCGAAATGACAAATCTGCTATTTGTTTCTTGTTTCTGTTTTTCTCCACTTTTTTTTGTCTGTTAAACTCACCCACTCTCTTTAGCTCATCAGAGCTCCTTTCTATTTTGTAGACTGGATGCTGCCTGGTTTATGAATTGCCAATAAAAGCCAATCAGATCTTTGAAACTTGGCCAGGGATGGTGGCGCAAACCTGTAATCCCTGCACTTTGGGAGGCCAAGTTGAGCAGATCACCTGAGGTTAGGAGTTTGAGACCAGCTTGACCAACATGGTGAAACCCCAACTCTACTAAAAATACAAAAATCAGCCAGGCAAGGTAGCAGGTGCCTGTGATCCCAGCTACTCCAGAGGCTGAGGCAGGAGAATGGCTTGAACCTGGGAGGCAGAGGTTGCAGTGAGCAAAGATCACCACTACACTCCAGCCTGGGCGACAGAGTGAGAATCTGTCTCAAAAAACAAAAAATGAAAAACAAAAGCAAAACAAAACAAAAAAGATCTTTGAAACTCAATTTGTTGAAATTTTGTTCTTTCTCACACCTCATGTGTAAGTTTTAGTTGTGTTAAATAAAACCATAAAAACTCTGGGGAAAAAAAAAGATTCAGATTCCCGAAGCTCAGAGTTCCTTGTACAGGTGTTAACTGGCCCTATTTACATTATCTTGTGGGGAGTGGGACTCGGGGAGCTGGCTCAAAAAATTCAGACACTGTAGATACTGCTATTGCTGTGGGTAATAAACTATTTTTATCTTTGATCCAGGAGTCTCATGTCTTCTATCAACATCCATGAAACTATGACAGGCTAACATGTTAACTTGTAAGTAGGGTACAATCTCAGATCCCTTACAGTTCTTGACATAAGCTGTCTCTGGAGGGAGAGACTACTTATTTCACTGAATAATATTACACGCCAGGCAGGATGATGAGTACTGAGAATACAGCTTACTTAGCTTGGTACTACTAGTAGAATTGCACTGTAGTGAAACTACTAAGCTAGTTAAACTCAGAAGGTGGTCAAACTCAGACTAATAAAATCCTAGCTGCAATTGTGATCACAGTTCAACAACAGGATGGAGATCATATGGTTTTTAGTCTTCAGAGAATGAATGCATTCTCTGCAGATGGCAGGGAGCTGAGAAACACAAAGAGGTTCATAGGGACTTATAGAATTCTCTCCCTTTTTTTTTTTTTTAGATGGAGTTTCACTCTTGTTGCCCAGGCTGGAGTGCAGTGGTGTGATCTCAGCTCACCGCAACCTCTGCCTCCCGGGTTCAAGTGATTCTCCTGCCTCAGCCTCCTGAGTAGCTGAGATTACAGGCATGAGCCACCATGCCCGGCAAGTTTTGTATTTTTAGTAGAGACGGGGTTTCTCCATGTTGGTCAGGCTGGTCTCGAACTCTGGACCCCAGGTGATCCGCCCACCTTGGCCTCCCAAAGTGCTGGGATTACAGGCATGAGCCACCCACCGCACCCAGCCAGAAGTCTCTAAAACAGTACTCCTCAGCCTTTAGAATGTCAAGAAAGAAGATGCCTTTTAGATGGACTCACTCTTTCTATAACTTTCCTCTGAATAAACTGTCCTAAAGAGTGACAGTAGGAGTATCACTTTCTGGCCCACAGATCAAAGGGCATGTCTACTGTGCAGACACCTGGCGATGAGCTATTTGTAAGTGGGATTTCTAATTTAGGTTTGCATCTAGGATGGGAGAGAGGCAGGTACTACATTAAATGTGGGCACAACCAGTAAACAGAACTGCACCATGAAGGATTGGAAAGTCATAAATAGAGAAAGTCTAGAGCCCCAAAGCTGTGGGTGAAACAGAAGTGGTTTCAGATACAGGACCCAAGAAACTGAGTTTTTAATAGATAGGGGCTCCATCAGAAAGTAGGATGTCATTTCCTTATGATGATAGTAAGCAAGAGAACCTGGCAGGCAAGACCTAGCCAGTAGTCTGGGCCTAGCAGACAGTCCACAGGTGCTAAAATAATTTAGTAAATAAACAGAGTATTCTAGATTCATCTGACAAGTTAGATACAAATAAGTATCATATAGTGTTCAGCACAAAGAAAACGTGCCTGGCAGTGGTGAGCACCTGTAGCCCCAGCTACTTAGGAGGCTGAGGTGGGAGGATCACTTGAACCCAGGAGTTTGGGTCCAGCCTGGGCAACATAGTGAGACCCTGTCTCTAAAATAAAATAAAATAATAAAATAAAATAAAGTACCTGACACTGACACCTAATATGTGGTAGCACAAAACCAGGAGCTTGGCCGGGAGCAGTGGCTCATGCCTGTAATCCCAGTACTTTGGGAGGCTGGGGTGGGTGGATCACCTCAGGTCAGGAGTTTGAGACCAGCCTGGCCAACATGGCAAAATACTGTCTCTACTAAAAATACAAAAATTAGCAGGGTGTGGTGGCGGGTGCCTGTAATCCCAGCTACTCGGGAGGCTGAGGCAGGAAAATCGCTTGAGGCTGGGAGGTGGAGGTTGCGGTGAGCCGAGATCACACCACTGCATTCCAGCCTGGGCGACAGAGTGAGACTCTGTCTCAAAAAAACAAAAAAACAAACAACAACAAAAAACAGGAGCTTACACATGTGGCAGGCAAGAGTTTGGTCCCTCACACTGGGAGCAAGAATTCATTAATCCAATAAAAGTATATTGGGGCCAGGCACGGTAGCTCGTACCTGTAATCCCAGCACTTTGGGAGGCCGAGGCAGGCAGATCACTTGAGGTCAGGAGTTCGAGACCAGCCTGGCCAACATGGTGAAACTCCGTTTCTACTAAAAATAAAAAAATTAGTTGAGTGTGGTGGCGCATACCTATAATCCCAGCTACTTGGGAGGTTGAGGCAGGAGAATTGCTTCAACCCCAGGAGGTGGAAGTTGCAGTGAGCCAAAATCATGCCACTGCACTCTAGCCTGGGCAACAGAGCGAGACTCTGCTTCAAAAAAAAAAAAAAAAAAAGTATATTGGGGCCAGACGTGGTAGCTCATGCCTGTAATCCCAGAACTTTAGGAGGCTGAGGCAGGAGGATCGCTTGAGGCCAGGAGTTCAACACCAAACTGGGCAACATGCTGAGACCCTGTCTCTAAAAAAACGGAAAGAAAGAAAGAAAAAAAGTATATTGGTACTGTTCTAAGTGCTATGGAGGGAGAAAGCAGTGAACAGGACAGACAAAAGTCTTTGCCCATTTTTATTCTAAATGAAGTTAAATCTGGCTCTGTACCACATTGGTCAAGGGAGATGGGAAATCTGGGTTTTGTCATGTTTACTTTGAGGAGGGGGGCATTTCCTAGGGTATCTTCACCTTCCCAGGGTCCTACACATTCCAGAATATTCAGAGGTGAGCCCTCTGGTCTTCAGACCACACTGGCTACCACTGCTGGGTGTTGATCCTAGTCCTGTGGTTTCTTGGCTGGCCCACTTCTAATATTTTCAGGGTCTAGGATGAGAATACAAATGGAAGTTTATATTAAATATTTGAAAGTTATAAATCAGGCCAGGTGCGGTGGCTCACACCTGTAATCCCAGCACTTTGGGAGGCCGAGGAGGGCGGATCACGAGGTCAGGAGATCGAGACCATCCTGGCTAAAGTGGTGAAACCCCGTCTCTACTAAAAATACAAAAAATTAGCCAGGCGTGGTGGCAGGCGCCTGTAGTCCCAGCTACTGGGGAGGCTGAGGCAGGAGAATGGCGTGAACCCGGGAGGCGGAGCTTGCAGTGAGCCGCGATTGCGCCACTGCACTCCAGCGTGGGCGACAGAGCAAAACTCCGCCTCAAAAAAAAAAAAAAAAAAGAAAGTTATAAATCAAGCTGACAACCTCTTAAATAGGTTCTGTCATTCTGTCTTGACAAATATATTTTCATAACAAGCTGGAAGTCCTTGTTCAAATTTAGAATTTGAGGACTTCTTGGGCTTCTGCATCTGAATGTGCAGGTGTAAGAAAAGCTGGCCCTAGGCCCTAGCTTTGGCCTCTGATGATATTGTGATTAATAATAAGAAATATATATTGGGTCTTCTTCCTTTTCCTACACAGAGCTTCATTTCCTGGGTGATTGCAGTGTTTTGTTCTAATGAGGCATCTCTCAGTGGCCCCTAGATAGCTTAAGGATGGGGGCTGGTTGCAGAGGAACCATCCAGGTGATTACAGGGTTGGAACATTCAGCCCCATCCCCTGACCTCCAGGCAGGAGAGAAGGCTAAACATTGAGTTGATACCAATGGCCAGTGATTTATTCAGTCATGCCTATATAATGAGGCCTCTATAAAGACTCAGGAGAACAGTATTCAGAGAGCTTCCAGGCTGGGGAATGTGTGGACATGCTGGGAGGGCAGTATACCCAGAGAGGGTATGGAAGCTGCATGCCCCTCACCACATACTTTGCCCTATGCATCTCTTTTGTTTGGCTGTTCCTGAGTTGTATCTTTTATGATAGATGGGTAAATGTAAGTAAAGTGTTTCCCTGAGTTCTGTGAGCCATTCTAGCAAATGATTGAGCCTAAGGAGGAGGTCATAAGAACCTCTGGTTTATAGACAGTCTGCCAGAAGCACAGGTGGCAACCTGGACTTGTGATTGGTAGTTGATGTGGGGGCAGTCTTGTGGGACTGAGCCCTTAATCTTTGGAATCTGTACTGACTCCCACTAGATAGTGTCAGAAGTGAGTTTAATTCCCAGTTGGTGTCCATAGAGAATTGGAGAGTGGCTTAGTATGGGAACAAAACCCCACACATCTGGTGACAGACATGATGTATTGAGAGTGGTGTGAGGATAGAAAAAAATAGTTTGTTTTTCCTGTATATTTGGCGTTTTTTCCTTCTTACACTTCCCCTCTTTCACTTCCCATCCCAGCTCTGTTCAGGACAATAAAGGAACTTGCATGCATGTGTGTGTAGACCAGCTTACACATCCAAGCTCTGTTCACCAATCCCCATTCCTGCCAAAAAGTCACCTTTTAACTGTCCTTCATGTGAAGGCGTGTACACAGAGGCATGGCTGCCTTCAGGAATGTAAATCCTGGAAAGAGACTGGCTCAGGACCTGGAAATAGTTCAGGCCATTTGGGCTGGGAATTCTGGGGTCCCATTTAGATGAAGCACGGTCTACAAGGGTGAGGTGTGGGCTCCAGGTGGACATGCCCCTTGTGGACCTCTTCTCCCATAAAGAGGGGCACAATCCCATGGAGGGCCAGAGTAGGGCTCTCTAAAGTGTGGGACCCAGGACAAGAGCTCATCTCTCCTAGGTGTACAGGTGGTTCTGTCCTTGTGGATAGGTGATTCCTCTACTTGTTTTTTTTTTTTTTTTTTTGAGACGAAGTCTCACCCTGTTGCCCAGATTGGAGCGCAGTGTTGCAATCTTGGCTCACTGCAACCTCTGCCTCCTGGGTCCAAGCGATTCTCTTGCCTCAGCCTCCCAAGTAGCTGGGATTACAGGTGTGCACCACCATGCCTGGCTAATTTTTTGTGTCTTTAGTAGAGACAGGGTTTCACCATGTTGGCCAGGCTGGTCTCGATCTCCTGACCTCGTGATCTGCCCTCCTCAGCCTCCCAAAGTGCTGGGATTACAGGCTTGAGCCACCATGCCTGGCGATTCCTCTACTTTTGAGCACAGGTTGAGCCAGAGGTGTATACTAAAATTGGAAGACTTGAAGTCTAGTGACCAACCCTTCTTGCCCCCTGCAGTGCGGCACACTGCCAAGTCAGCTATCACGATCAGAGGCCTTGGACCCAAGTACTGTGTGGGAGCACACATGTCCCTGATTTTCTTGAAACCTATAAGCACTTTCTCCTAAACTTGGGGAGATAGTCCCCAAATAACTTTATTTCCAGTATTGGTCTACTTCTTCTCCCAACCCTTGGTGCCTCCTGCCACCTCCAATAATCCAGCAATATCACCTCCAAGACTAGATAGAAGGTTGTATTCTAAGTGTCAGGCAACTTTTAATTTTGGCCCTGCGACATTAGGGCTATTAACCATTCCCTGAAGCAGAGGGCTACTTTCTTCAGATGAGTGAGGCAAAAATACCTACAGCAGCCTGAGCAAAACACAGATTAACATCTCAGTTCCCCCCCAACAGATACATATTATCTCATTCATTTCTTTTTTTCATTTTCTTTTTATTTTTGAGATGAAGTCTCACTCTGTCGTCTAGGCTGGAGTGCAATGGCACGATCTCGGCTCACTGCAATCTTTGCCTCCTGCGTTCAAGTGATTCTCCTGCCTCAGTCTCCCAAGTAGCTGGGATTACAGGCATGCACCACTACACCTGGCTAATTTTTTTTTTTGAGACAAAGTTTTGCTCTTGTTGCCCAGGCTGGAGCACAATGGTGCGATCTCGGCTCACTGCAACCTCTGCCTCCTGAGTTCAAGCAATTCTCCCGCCTCAGCCTCCTGAGTAGCTGGGATTACAGGTGCCTGCCACCACCCCTGGCTAATTTTTGTATTTATTTTAGCAGAGATGGAGTTTCACCATGTTGGCCAGGTTGGTCTTGAACTCCTGATCTCAGATGATCCACCTGCCTCGGCCTCCCAAAGTGCTGGGATTACAGGCATGAGCCACCATGCCTGGCCTAATTTTTGTTTTTTGTTTTTGTTTGTTTTTTGAGATGGAGTCTCACTCTGTTGCCCAGGCTGGAGTGCGATGGCATGATCTTGGCTCACTGCAACCTCCGCTTCCTGGGTTCAAGCGATTCTCCTGCCTCAGCCTCCAGAGTAGCTGGGACTACAGGTATACGCCACCACGCCCAGCTAATTTTTTTGTACTTTTAGTAGAGACAGGGTTTCATCATATTGGCCAGGCTGGTCTCAAATTCCTGATCTCAAGTGATCCGCCCGCCTTGGCCTCCCAAAGTGCTGGGATTACAGGCGTGAGCCACCGCGCTTGGCCCATTCATTTATTCATAACGGTTTTGTTAAGGAAATTAAACTGAAGCTCAGGAAGATCAAACAACTTGCTTAAGGCCATAAAATAAGGAGAAGAACTAGAATTCATTTCCAGAGCTGTCTTACTTCAAGGCTTGTGCTCTTTTCACCATCCACCAGCATCTACCACATCTAAGAGTTTTAAAGACATTTTATTTTTGTTTTATTTATTTATTTATTTAAGATGAAGTCTTGCTCTGTCGTCCAGGCTGGAGTGCAGTGGCGCAATCTCGGCTCACCACAACCTCTGCCTTCCAGGTTCAAGCGATTCTGCTCTCTCAGCCTCCTGAGTAGCTGGGATTACAGTCACAAGCCACTGCACCCGGCTTATTTTTTGTATTTATAGTAGAGACAGGGTTTCACCATGTCGGCCAGGCTGGTCTTGAACTCTCAACCTCAGGTAATCCACCCACCTCGGCTCCCAAAGTGCTAGGATTACTGGCGTGAGCCACAACGCCCAGCCAATAAATTTTAAAAATCAAATTTGTGAAATTGCTGGCCAAAGGGTGTTATGTAAGTATTCCATTCATTAGAATAGATCCTGAGATTTGTTTTTGAGAATCCAAAGTATTACAAGGGATATAGTAAGAGGGGAATTGGAGCCATTAGGGGATGCATTTCTATAAAGTGATCATGCAGCATTTTATTGAAATGTGGACTGTATGCTGGACAGCACTAAGGGATTAGCGAACTCATTTTGCATTATTTAATTCCAAAAAGCCACTAAGATGCTCATCAGAAAAGCACTGTCAAAAGTGGAAATAGATAAATGTCATCTGTAAATAAATTAGAATTGATTGTGAAATATTTGGTCAGGGCCGGGTGCAGTGGCTCACACCTGTAATCCCAGCACTTTGGGAGGTTGAGGCAGGCAGATCACAAGGTCAGGAGTTCAAGACCAGCCTGACCAACATGGTGAAACCCCGTCTCTACTAAAAATACAAAAATTAGCCAGGCGTGGCAGCGTGTGCCTGTAATCCCAGCTACTTTGGGAGGCTGAGGCAGGAGAATTGCTTGAATCCGGGAGGTGGAGGTTGCAGTGAGCCAAGATTGCACCACTGCACTCCAGCCTGGGTGACAGAGTAAGACTGTCTCAAAAAAAAAAAAAAAGAAAAGAAAAGAAAAAGAAATATTTAAATATTTGGTCAGTTCTTATTGTTTGTTGTCCTTCCTTTTCTTCCTTCCTTCCTTCCTTCCTTCCTTCCTTCCTTCCTTCCTTCCTTCCTCCCTCCCTCCCTCCCTCCCTTCCTCTCTCTCTCTTTCGAGACAGGATCTCACTCTGTCACACAGGCTGGAGTGCAGTGGTGCAATCTCGGCTCACTGCAGCCTCCACCTCCTGGGTTCAAGCAATTCTTGTGCGTCAGGCTCCCGAGTGACTGGGATTACAGGTGTGCGCTGCCACATGCGGCTAATTTTTGTATTTTTAGTACAGACGGAGTTTCACCATGTTGGCCAGGCTGGTCTCAAACTGCTGACCTCAAGTGATCTGCCTGCCTCGGCCTCCCAAAGTGCTGTTTCTTTATTCCTATCATCCTGCTCAGGGCAGAATGTGTCCTTCTAAAATGTAGGGCAGAAAGACTCCTGAGGTCTGGTTTTGTTGATGGTTTATATTGCTTGTTGTGAGTTCCAAAGATACACATCCTGAGGGAATAACAAAGACTTATTAAACTGTAACATTTAAAATCATGGAACACAAAGCTTTTTTTTTTCATTACTTTTATGCTACAACCCAGACACTATTAAGTACAGATCCTAATTGCCTCACTAATTTAAGAAGAGAATGAGGAGTAAGATAGGGAAGGGGGAAAGAAGCCAAGCAAAGGTACAATTTCAGATGATGTCTGGCCTCAGCCTGATCCTGTGGAGAGCTCTGGAGCATAAGTCATACCTTCAGGCTTATCTAGCTTTGAGGCAAATAAGTTTTGCTTTCATACTCAGACACTACTCAGGCAATGGCTATGGTTCCCTTGGGACAATTCTGGGTTTCGGGGAATAATAGTGAAGTGGATTGATTGAAAGGAAACCAAACAGAAAGTGGGAGATGGGCCCCAGAGCTAATAAAAAAAGGATCAGAGAAGCTGTGGGTGATGCACTGACAGTATCAGCTATGCCAGAGACCATCTATTCTATAGGTTAATGCTTTCACTGTAGGTCTGACTCTTTCAATCAACAGGCAAAAGCTTCATTAGCAACAAGTAGTTGTAGAGGAAGAGACTCTCAGGGCTTTGAACTGTTTAGAGTAGCCTAAGGAATTCAAACATTTTCCTACCCAAGATTCCAGGGGAATCAGAGTAGCAGGAATATGATCATATCTCCTAATACAGTGTCAAAAAACCTTTTAGGCAATTGATCGCTAAGTACAGACCGTCCCCTACTTATGATGGTTTGACTTCCGATTTTTCAACTTTATGATGGTACGAAACCACTACAATTTTGAAGTAATGTACAGTATTCAATAAATTACTTGAGATAGTCAACACTTTATGATAAAATAGGCTTTGTGTTAGATGATTTTGCCTGACTACAGGCTAATGTAAATGTTCAGAGAACGTTTAAAGTAGGCCAGGCTAAGCTGTGGTGTTCAGTAGGTTAGGTGTATTAAATGCATTTTCAACTCGAGGTATTTCAACTTGGATGGGTTTAGCAGGTGGTAACCCCAAGGTAAGTCAAGTAGCATCTGTAAATGTCATGCTACCAGCACTTTAGGAAAGGTAAAACATTTATCAGACTCAGACAGTCCTTATAAGCTTACACTATAGCCAGGTAGATGAGATTCACATGCATGAAACAAGTATGAGCAACACTGGACACGACATAATTAAAGACTGTTGAATTCTGAAAAAAGAGGAATAGACTCCTGTTGGGTACACTCAGAGACTTACAGTATAAGTGGTGAATAAGATCGGATCAAGTCTAAGCACGCAGCTATTCAACAAATGTAAACGATGTCTTTGTGCCAGATGATACGCATTTCAGGGCTTAGGGCTGGGGGACAGATCACAGGTTAGTGTGATAAGTACAATGATAGAGGATGCATTTTGGGGAATTATTTGTGTGCTGTTAGTATTTTTTAGTAGAAAGCTCAATTACTGCATTTCATTGAAGTTAAGTCCCATGAATTGTAAGATATGCCATTATTTTGTTTAGCATAATGAAAAAAAAATAACCTGCCAGTTAAGCAATGAATATGTATTATCAATTGTAAGAAATATCCGAATCACAGAGGTGTTACAATGTAAAAAAAATGTTCATTTTAGAACCAATGAAACAGGGTTAGAGGAGACTTACTTTGGATTTAAAAAAATTTTTTTTTCTTTTTTCTTTTGTCTTTTGTTGTTTTGTTTGCTTGCTTTCATTTTATTTTATTTTATTTTATCTTTTGAGATGGAGTCTTGCTCTGTTGCCCAGGCCAGAGTGCAGTGGTGCCATCTTGGCTCACTGCAACCTCCACCTCCCAGATTCAAGCAATTCTCCATGCCTCAGCCTCCTGAGTAGCTGGAATTACAGGTGCCCACCACCATGCCTGACTAATTTTTGTAGTTTTTTTAGTAGAGATGGAGTTCTGCTATGTTGGCCAGGTTGGTCTCGAACTCCTGACCTCAGGTGATCTGCCAGCCTTGGCCTCCCAAAGTGCTGGGATTACAGGCATAAGCCGCCATGCCCAGCCTCTCTTACTTCTAATTAGAACTAGTTCAGTCTTGTAACAAAGACCAATAATAATTTATGAATAGTAGCTAATATTTATCAGATGCTCAGTATGGACATGACCTTGGGCTAACTGCTTTTTACCCATTACTTAATTTAATTATTTCTTAATCCATTGAGCAAAGGTGTTAGTATCTCCGTTTTACTGATGGGTAAACAGATTTAAAGAGGGTAAGCAATTTACCTGAGGTCACACAGTGGCTGAGTATTCCAGCAGAGATTGAAATGCAGGTTTGTCTATCTCCCAAGTTTATGCTTTTAACCACTGGGCCACTAGGTGATCTAATAAAGACCTGATTTCCTGCAAAGGAAAAAAAAATTAAGATATTTCATTCCAGTCAGCATTTACCAGTACCATTTTTTTCTGAGGGAGCTGTTAGATAGCAAAACATTGTTCTGGCAACTAATAAGAAGACTATCTTGAGACTAATGCATGACCTATCTTAAACTATGACTATATTTCTGATGTTACTATTGCATAACTAGACTTTCTACAGCCTTTTCGAATTATACTGCTGGATAATGGATTTTAAATTGCATGTTTAAGTAGAATAAGAACTCTATAGTTAGTGGGTTATACTTAAGTGACCACAGAATAGATAAGGTACCCAATTAAAGAGTACATTTCTTCCAAACCCATAATTTGTGTTAGGATATTTAATTACCATCCTCTATGTGCAGGCATGAATTTTGATCCAGTAGCAATGAAGTCTGGCCCAGAAGTTTGCAGACTCAGAATTATTTATCAGCAAGTATCACTTAACTCGCATTCAACAACAACTGTTTACATTCACAGACAATTTTGGGTTGTCTGAATTTAGAAGAGGTTGGCTAATCCTTGATTAACTTGAGGTAATGGATAGAATTCTAAGATAAAAATGTCAGTTTGCTAGCATCTTAATAGGCTTAGTCTGATCACCCTATAAACTGAACCAGGAGTTTTTAAACTTTTTGGTTTCAGAACCCCTATACACACAGAGGACCTTAAAGAGCTTTTCCTTATGTGGGCTGTAACTATCATTATTTACCATATTAGAAATTTAAATGGATACAGCCATAAAAAAGAACGAGATCATGTCTTTTGCAGGAACATGGATGGAACTGGAGGCTATTATCCTTAGCAAACTAACGCAGGAACAGACAACCAACTACCGCATGTTCTCACTTACAAGTGGGAGCTAAATGATAAGAATTTATGAATACAAAGAAGGAAACAACACAGTGGGGTCTTCTTGAGAAGGGTGGATGGGAAGAGGGAGAAGAGCAGACAAGATAACTATTGGGTACTGGGCTTGATCCTGGGTGAGGAAATAATATGTACAACAAACCCCATGACATGTGTTTACCTGTGTAACAAAACCTCACATGTACCACCAACCTAAAGTGGAAGTTTTTTAAAAAAGTATAATAGTGTTAGCAGTGGAAGTTATTTGACTCACACAGCACCAAAATATGTTACCAGTGGCGAATCTCTATGGGTCTGCAGCAACTTTAATTCCTACCACCTCAGAAAAAGAATTCGACTGAGGGGCATAAGACAGAAGAGACTGAAGCAAGTTTTAGAGCAGGAGTGAAAAAGTTTATTATAAAGCTTTAGAGGCCGGATGCAGTGGCTCACACCTGTAATCCCAGCACTTTGGGAGGCCAAGGCGAGCAGATCACCTGAGGTCAGGAGTTTGAGACTAGCCTGGGCAACATGGTGAAACCCTGTCTCTACTAAAAATACAAAATTAGCCAGGTGTGGTAGACGGTGCCTGTAATCCCAGCTACTCAGGAGGCTAAGGCAGGAGAATCACTTGAACCCGGGGGGTCAAGTTTGCAGTGAGCTGAGAGTGTGCCATTGCTCTCCAGCCTAGGCAACAAGAGTCAGGGAAAAAAAAAAAAAAAAAAAGCTTTAGAGCAGGAATGAAAAGAAAGTAAAGTACACTTGGAAGAGGGCCAAGCGGGCAACTTGAAAGACAAGTGCGCAGTTTGACCTTTTGACTTGGGGCTTTATATGTTGGCATACTTCTGGGGTCTTGCGTCCTTTTGAGAGGTGACAGTGTGCTGGCAGCCCTCACAGCCCTCGCTCGCTCTCGGCGCCTCCTCTGCCTGGGCTCCCACTTTGGCGGCACTTGAGGAGCCCGCCGCTGCACTGTGGGAGCCCCTTCCTGGGCTGGCCGAGGCCGGAGCTGGCTCCCTCAGCTTGCGGGGAGGTGTGGAGGGAGAGGCGCGGGTGGGAACCAGGGCTGCACGCGGTGTTTGCGGGCCAGCACGAGTTCCGGGTGGGTGTGGGCTCAGCAGGCCCTGCACTCGGAGCGACCGGCCGGCCCTGCAGTCCCTGGGCAATGAGGGGCTTAGCACCCGGGCCAGCGGCTGCAGAGGGTGTGCTGGGTCCCCCAGCAGTGCTGGCCCACCAGCGCTGCACTCGATTTCTCGCTGGGCCTTAGCTGCCTCCCCGCGGGGCCAGGCTCAGGACCTGCAGCCTGCCATGCCTGAGCCTCCCCCACCCTCCGTGGGCTCCTGTGCCGCCCGAGCCTCCCTGACGAGTGCCGCCCCCTGCTCCACGGCACCCAGTCCCATCAACCACCCAAGGGCTGAGGAGTGCAGGTGCACGGCGTGGGACTGTCAGGTAGCTCCACCTGTGGCCCCGATGCGGGATCCAGTGGGTGAAGCCAGCTGGGCTCCTGACTGGTGGGGACTTGGAGAACCTTTATGCCTAGCTAAGGGATTGTAAATACACGAATCGGCACTCTGTATCTAGCTCAAGGTTTGTAAACACACCAATCAGCACCCTGTGTCTAGCTCAGGGTTTCTGAATGCACCAATCCACACTCTGTATCTAGCTACTTTGGTGGGGACTTGGAGAACCTTTGTTTCAACACTCTGTATCTAGCTAATCTAGTGGGGAAGTGGAGAACCTTTGTGTCTAGCTCAGGGATTGTAAACGCACCAATCAGCACCCTGTCAAAACAGACCACTCGGCTTTCTGTAAAATGGACCAATCAGCAGGATGTGGGTGGGCCAGGTAAGAGAATAAAATCAGGCTGCCCGAGACAGCAGTGGCAACCCGCTGGGGTCCCGTTAGACACTGTGGAAGCTTTGTTCTTTCGCTCTTTGCAGTAAACCTTGCTGCTGCTCACTGTTTGGGTCCACACTGCTTTTATGAGCTGTAACACTCACCGCCAAGGTCCACAGCTTCACTCCTGAGCCAGCGAGACCACGAACCCACTGGGAGGAAGAAACAAACTCCGGATACGCCGCTTTTAAGAACTGTTAACACTCACAGCAAGGGTCCGTGGCTTCATTCTTGAAGTCAGTGAGACCAAGAACCCACCAATTCCAGACACACTTTCTCCCCTTCTTCCCTTGGGGTTGGCTGTCTGCATGCGCAGTGGCCTGCTAGCACTTGGGAGGTGAGCATGTGCAGCGTGTTTACTGGAATTGTACGCACGCTCACTTGAGCTGTTCTTCCCTTAGGAGCCACATGTCCCTAGGAGGTCATATACCAGTTAAACTCTGCCATTTCGCTTATTAGTGCGCATGTCTGAGCCCACTCCACCAACTCTTGAGAAGCTACTGATCACCAGTTTCAGGTTTTTCCTATCTGGAGGGAGACTGCCTTTCCCTGGCGCGGGCTGCAACCAATGATTTTAGATAGACAGTTAACCGCCTGACCATTACCTGATGGTTGCCTGACATTCCTGGTTGGGGGTATGGTGCGGGGAGCCCTCTCCTGCCCTGTTCATGTCTGTCTACTTACCTGAGGTAACAACAGTAGGAGCAGTAATAGCAAATTACATTGTTCATTTCTTTTCTTTTGGAATCTTTTAACTCAATCATGTTGAAAGAGCCTCAAATCAGCCTTGTGTTGATGAGGTACTTTTGCTGTAGTACCTTATCAACACGATAATGTGAGCCAGCAAATTTTAAGTCAATATTCTTTTTATACCCATCTAAGCAATGCTTGGCTACATAAACCACATTTTCCCTATGCTATTGTATTAAAGAATCCAGAAAATTGTATAAGGCAGTGCTCTAAATATGTTACCCAGCCTGCTCTTTGGAACTTCTAAATCCTATAAAGAGAGAAAAGTTAAAAAATTTAAATCCAGAAATTTAAAAACTATGTATTAATTCATTTAAAACAATAATAATATCTCATTACATGTTAATATAAATAACATGTTTTATGAAAAATAACTACATTTCCCCAAACAAAAACATCTCATGAGAAGAGTGGCATTGTTTCACATTTTTGCAAATCTCTTTCATACTTGGCTTAATAAAAGACAGCTGAATTCTCTTAGCTGTATTCGCATTCTGTCTTTTATGATATCACATGTCACATGACCTCAGCAAAACTAATGTTCTTTTGAGAGAATTGAGGTTTAAAAAAAGGGAAATAACATAGGATTATATTATAGTATTATGTTATAATGAAATTAGTTTTACTTTAAAGGCTTCCTGAAAAGGTATTGGAGACTTCTGGGAGTTGAGATGGGGGGCGGTCCCTGGACCACCCATTGAGAACCACTGAACACAAGGAAATGCATTATTCATAGTTCAAAGATACAAATGAAGAGGTAAAATAATATTAGATAAAATACTTTCTACTGGCCAATATTCTTTAAAGGTTTATTTCTTTTTTAAAAGAAATTGTGGTAAAATATATATAGCATAAAAGTTTACTATTTTAACTATTCTAAGTGTATAATTCAGTGATATTAAGTACATTAACATTGTCATATAACAATTACCACCATCCATCTCCAGAAAATTTTCATCTTCCAAAACTGAAACTTCATACTCATTAAATGATAACTCCCCATTCTCCCTACCCCCCAGCCTCTGGCAAATACCATTCTGCTTTTTTATTTTTTTTATTTTCAGAGACAGGGTCCCTCTCTGTTGCTCAGGCTGGGGCTGGAGTGCAGTGGTGGGAATCATAGCTCACTGCAGCCTCAAGATCATGGGCTCAAGGGATCCTCCTGCCTCAGCCTCCTGAGTAGCTGGGACTATAGGTGTGTGCCATCACACCTGGCTATTTTCTTATTTTATTTTTTTAGTGAAGGATCTTGCTATGTTGTCCAGGCTGGTCTCAAACTTCTGGGCTCCAGAGATCCTACCCCCTCCACCTCCCAAAGTGTTGGGATTACAGGTGAAGCCACAGTGCCCAGCTGTACTTTTTGTCTATGAATTTGACTACTTTAGGTACCTCACATGAGTGGAATCATATACTATTTGTCCTTTTATGTCTGGCTTATTTCACTTAACAAAATGTCTTCAAGATTCATCCATATTGTTGCATATGTTAGAATTTCATGTCTTTTTAAAGCTTAATAATATTCCATTGTATGTATATATCACATTATTTATCCATTCATCTGTTAATGGTGACTTGGTTTGCTTCCACCTTTTGGCTATTGTTAATAATGCTGCTATAAACATTGATGTGCAAATATCTGTTTGTGTCCCTGCTTTTAATTCTTTTTTAATTTTTTAGTCAATAACCATTTTGCCAAACTTGCCAACAGTTCTTTTGGGTAAATACTCAGAAGTGGAATTACTAGGTTATATGGTAATTCTATGTTTAATTTTTTTAGTAACCACCATATGGTTTTCCTGTGTCCACATTTTAAACACTTTCTGTTTCTTGTTAAAACTTTAAAAATACATCATTCAGAATACTAAAATTATTTTTATTTTTATTTTTTGGATTTTGTCCAATAACTAACAAATGTCCACTGAGTAGCTCATGGATTTGGTATATAATATAAAAGATTATGAGTTCTCTGGAAGTAGCTTTCTCATAGTCTGGCCTTTAAGGAGCTCTCAAACTAGACTAGAACATGAAAGTAAATTCCTCTAATAAAGGAATAAAGATAAGAGAGTAGTTCTGAAATGGTGACTCTCAGACCATGAGTGATCAAATACACCCTCAGGTGGTCTGGGAGCTGTCAGAAAAATCAACAGTTCACAGCCAAGCACAGTGGGCTCACGCCTGTAATCCCAGCACTTTGAGAGGCCGAGGCTGGTGGATCACTTGAGGTCAGGAGTTTGAGACCAGCCTGGCCAACATGGTGAAACACCATCTCTACTAAAAACACAAAAATTAGCCAGGTGTGGTTGCGCACACCTGTAATCCCAGCTACTTGGGAGGCTGAGACAGGAGAATCGCTCGAACCTGGGAGGCGGAGCTTGCAGTGAGCCGGGATCATGCCATTGCACTCCAGCCAGGGCAAGAGTGAGACTCCGTCTCAAAAACAAACAAACAAAAAAACAAAACAAAAATCAACAGTTCACTATTATGCCAGTGTCTATCCTTTGTCGATGGTACAACTTTGAGAGACAGTCCCAGTAGCATGACCCTGCCCACTTGCGAATTTAGAGAGAAGGACCTATAAAATGCTGCATACTTATGCTTGCCAACACCCATAACTCTAAGGGCCAGAGACGTTTCCAGAAGTTCTTTCTAGAAAGAACAGAGGAACAGGAAAGGACAAGGAAGAGAAAGCTTGCCAGAAGAAAGGAGTGGGCAGTGGTTTTAGGTGTGTTTGTGTTCTCTTTACCCTGAGGCTGTAAGGTTGGTGGTGCTTAGGTAATCTGGGTTGTAACTCTACCCTCCAAGGCTTGGGGGCAGATAGGGCAGGCTCACTTGGCTGCCTGCCTATGCTTCAAGGAGCTCTGCAGCTAGGTAGTAAAGCAGTTCACAGCAGAATTGGTGTCCTTATCTGGTAATACTGGTGGGAGAAGTTGTTTAAACTATTTATGTATTTCTTCCTCTTTTCTTCTCTAACTCCCATTTTCTTCTCTTACTAGCTTTCCTTTTCGCTTCAAATTTTCACTTGCTAATATGCGACTGCATGTTTGAGTGTGATGACTTTTTGGTGCAAATATTCTGCTGTCAAGATACCCAGTTTAAAACAGCTTTGCCATAGAATAACTTTAAGGTGAAAAAAATTAATAAAATTGATTTACATCTGTTTCTTTCAAGGGCGATGCCTATAGGATCTGTATGAATTCCAAGAATTACTTAGATTTCACTGGTAAAAGAACAATCAAATATGAAAATTATGATTTCTGTTTTGGTATTCTTCTGAACTGTTGAGAAAGCAGATCCCAACACTCAATAGATTCCGTACTAGGAAAAGTTTTTAGGATGAAACAATAAAGTTTTCCCTTAACTCTAATGGTTTATATACTCCAATGAAGTTCAGTTTTGAGCCTGAACACAAGGAATGATGTCAAAAACTCCCAAGTCTTAAAAATACTCACACACACACACACACACACACACACACACACACTCCTAAAAGAAACCCTTGCCTGCTTATTGATTGTTTGGGAAGATACACACATGTTACACAGAATAAGAAGGAGATGTCATTTAGATAGTAATAAATGGTACAAATCACATTGTAGGAAAAAAAAGAGAATAGTTTTATATTAGAATAATGGCAAAAAACACAGAATAACTTTTTTTTTTTTTTTTAGACAGGGTCTTGCTCTGTCTCCCAGGCTGGAGTGCAATGGTGCAATCTCAGCTCACTGCAACCTCCGCCTCCCGAGTTCAAGCGGCTCTCCTGCCTCAGCCTCCTGAGTAGCTGGGATTACAGGCATCTGCCACCATGCCCAGCTAATTTTGTATTTTTAGTAGAGATGGGGTTTTGCCATGTTGGCCAGGCTGGTCTTGAACTGTTGACCTCAGGTGATCCACCCGCCTCGGCCTCCAAAGTGCTGGGACTACAGGTGTGAGCCACCACGCCTGGCCAGAACAATTTTTGCAATATATTCCAAGGTATCAATAAAATTAATCACTGACAATGCAGAATGTTACATTTGCTAAGCACTACATAGTTTATTTTCAGAGACCACATGTTTTACTTTTTTCTGTATCTCCATTGATAACAGAGGTTGATTCTAAGTTTCTGATGTCCAATATGGCCTATTTTGGCTATTCAGGGCCAGGTCATAACTATGGCTATTCTGCTAGCTATTGTGTCCACCAGCATGACAGGAGAGGCCACTGTCAAAGAAAACAGTGAAAAGAAGTTCAAACAATTTAGTGTTAGAATCAAGTGTGCCTTAACAAAAGCTGTGTGAGTTGGATCACCGGTAGCAGTGATCTTCCTTCCTTCTTTCCTTTCTTTCTCTCTTGTCCTTAGATCTGTTTTTTTGTGTTGCTTTTTTTGTTTTGATTTTTGCTGTTCCAGATTTGTTCATTAATTCTGTAATAGCATTGTTTTGGTCCTTTGGCCAGTTATTAAATATAATCTCTCAGTGCCACATCCACCCTTTCCTAATGTTGTTTTATGATGCTGGAGCTGGGACTATGCAAACCACATTTCTGCTTTGCCAGTTGCTCTCTGAGGTGTTTCCAATAGGGAATATCAGAGAGAGAGAGTGAAAGGCTGGAGGAGGGAGGATGGACTTCCTTCTTTCCTGTTGGATTCCTCCTCTGTATAGCAGTACCCCAGCCTCATTTTTAACTCTGGCTGAGTAAGTTTGATCCAGTAGCAGCAGAGCAGCTATACAGTCCAGGTTACAGTCACAGTTTGCTTAATACTTGCAGAACTAACCTCATCACACCCCCTCAAATACCTAATATCAGCTGGTCAGCACCACTTCCTTAGAGATTTTGGTCGTAATTCCATGGAGGCCCTTCTCTGAGCAAAAAGACCATAGCACCAGCTAAGCAGCGCGTTCTTTTCAGAGATCTGGTACTCAGTTTTTTTGGGCTTCTCCTCCAAGCTTCTAAGTTTTAATTATTCTAGCCTTTTCCCTTTATTCCTCAAGCCCCAGGGATAGAAGCTCCTTTTTATAATCTGTCTATAATCTGTATATCTATCTATAATCTTAGTGTTTTATTTTTCCCTTGTCAGTTCTTGATTACCTAGTTAGCAGTTCTTGAACTCTTTCTGTTAAAGTAAGTAGTATGGTTTCTGGCTCCTAATTAATATAGTTTTGTTTCCTAGATTCTGCAATCTCTTATTTTACTTATTTTTATTTTTAATTTTTTTTGAGATGGAGTTTTGCTCTTGTTGCCCAGGCTGGAGTGCAATGGTGCGATCTCGGTTCACCGCAACCTCTGCCTCCCAGGTTCAAGTGATTCTCCTGCCTCAGCCTCCCTAGTAGCTGGGATTACAGGCATGCGCCACCACGCCCGGCTAATTTTGTGTTTTCAGTAGAGATGGGGTTTCTCCATGTTGGTCAGGCTGGTCACAAACTCCCGACCTCAGGTGATCTGCCCGCCTCGGCCTCCCAAAGTGCTGGGATTACAGGCATGAGCCACCATGCCCGGCCATGCAATCTCTCTTTTACACCTTTTATTATGTTATTTTATCATTTTGTAATAAGTTATTTTATCACAAACATGATAAAACAAACAGCTCTTACATTTTTCTATTCTCTGTGTTATGTTTAGATAGTATTTGGTGTGCCATCCTCCTTTCCTTACTGCTGCTTTCTTTGCTTAGTTTATTTGCATAGTTGCTGTTTCTTTTATCTTGTTAATGCTTATGTTTTTCATAAAGCTTCATTTTATATTGTTCATGTGTAACATGGGCAACTCTTTTCTAGACATTTTTTTTTCTGATAAAAACATGCATGAGTAAATCTCTCAGCACTTTCTCTGCCTATTTGATAAGTATTTATGTTTTTCTACAGCTACAGTTTTAGGAAAAGATAACAGGAACAGATTTATTAAGGTGCAGGAAATGAGAAATGAATGCACTATATTTTCTTATCATAGGATCTCAGAAATGGTTACATGATGAAGTATCTCTTTGCTGGGCAATGACCTTTCCTAATTTTAGAAATCTGTCTGCAAATATGAATCATGCTGAACAGAGTATGGTCATGTTTTTATCAAAAGAATGGACAATTAAGGACAACTTGTATTAAGTGTATAACTAAGTAATATTCATTTTAAAAACCTTTTATTTTATCTTTCAGATTGCAAAAATCAGGTAATCTGAAGACAGAAAAAAATGTACTGTGTCACCTTACTATCTTTGGTACTGCTAATTGGATCAGGGCTGTGGACATTGGACCGTGGTCAGAGATCTATGATAGTCTTGTGGGCAAGCTCTGCCCCGCAAAGACCCCTCAATATTGCATAGTAAATGCCCCAAATAATCAGGTACTCTTTTTGAAGACATTTCAAGTTGAGACATAAGGGAAATAGTTTGGTAGTAGTAGGAATAGTGGAAGCAGAGTTAAAGAATATCCAAGTCTCTTTAAAAGCAGAGTACCTGAAGAGGGATTGAGAAGTTAATATTACTTTGATGATGACAGTGCAACAAAATGTCTTATACCTTAAGAGATTCTAGTTCTGAAACTATGTGTCAGTCTTCATAATCCATTTTATCTCTCAATAAGCCACCATTAGTTAAGGTAATTGAAAACTTAAAAGATTGTAACTTACAAAGACATTTAACTTGTTTCTGATTTTTCAGTCTTGCATATGAATAACTTCATGTACATAGTTTTAATCTTCTGTTGAATTAGTTCTACAGCATAAACTCCTAGAAGTGGCCTTAGGGTTTCAAGAAAAACATTGTGGTTTTTGCCACCTATGTTGCCATATTACTTTCCAAAAGGATTGTAACAATTTATCAGCAGGATTTGAGTATGGATTTCACTGTAATCTCATGTGTTGATTTTTTTTCCTAATTTTAAGAATATATAATTATGCCCTCAAAGCTTTCTTAGTTTACATGTTTTTGATACATATCAAATATTGTTGAGGCCGGGTGCGGTGGCTCACGCCTATAATCTGAGCACTTTGGGAGGCCAAGGCGGGCTGATCACTTGAGGCCAGGAGTTAGAGACCAGCCTGGCCAACATGGTGAAACCCTGTCTCTACTAAAAAAAAATACAAAAATTAGCCAGGTGTGGTGGCACATGCCTGTAATCCTAGCTACTCAGGAGACTGAGGTAGGAGAATCACTTGAACCCGGGAGGTGGAGGTTGCGGTGAGCTGAAATTGCACCATTGCACTCCAGCCTGGGTGACAGAGTGAGACCCTTTCTCAATCAATCAATAAATGAATAAATAAATAAACAAAAAACCATAAATATTGTTGAGAAAATTTTGATGAACTTTATGCAGACCTAAAAGTCCTCACGCCCTACGGACCAGCAGATGCAACTTAAAACATGTAAATTGATGACGTTAGAGTTAGCAATGTGTAAATCTTAGATTGAATTTCTAGTGGTTGTGAACTTGAAAACAAAGGCCCGATTAAACGTAGACCACAATATGAGATTGACAGGCTTCTGCTTGGACTAGACGTGACCTCATCAGTGCTTCAACAAAAGGCCATTATTCATTGCATTAATTTCAATGTGAGGATTAGCTTTTATTCCAAATGATCTCAGAAAGTTTTGATCTTTAGACCAATTTTCTACTTGAACCCAATCTATAAATGCCAAGCTAATGCTTCTACTATGATATAGCTGTCACTTTTGATAGGATGTCTTTAGATTTTATTGTGTCCTAAAGTTACCTGTTCTGAATAAAGAAAACATTTTCCAATTTTGTTTTGATGGCTCTAATTGCTAAGAACTTCCCAGTATGGAAAGACAAACAGATAGAAAGCCACAGTTAACATCTGTTATTGGATCTACTCTCTGCTTTCTTAAGATCATCTATATCAAAGTAACAAAAACAAAAACAAAAACAGAAGGTAATGTGAAAGGATCTAGTCCAAATGGCTAAGCAGAATCCTTTTTACCCCACTCTACACACAGAATGTTGGACTAAAAGTAATAATAATAATTTAAGAAATATGTACCCAAGCTCAAAAATCAAGAAAAAAAAATTCTCCAGAAATGCATAGATATAAAACGGAGAAGGAGTTGAAGCTTTGATGCCCATAGGAGGAACCAAATTGATCTGTGTCTTTGGGGTAGGGTAAATCAAGGGCTGCTGCCCTTGCCTGGTGCCTGTGGGGAGCGGCAAAATTACTACACTGTCTAAGAATGGGGACCAGGAAAACCCAAAGGCCAAGAGTTGCTGCAAAGGTGAGCCACCTCTACATAGATGAAAACAGGATGACCTACAAGCAATAGAGGTCTTAGGGAACCACCTCTGAGTGAGGGTTATCCTAAATATCGGCTGTCTAAAACCAAGAAACAAACATCAAGATTTGCAAAAACCCACAGGGCTCGGGCATAAGTAACAACGAAACCATCCCATAGGGAGGCTTCTATTACCCAGATATTCATGGAACACCATAGAATTTATAACTCTAGCTAAAGAGAAACTCTCAGGCAAAAAATATAAAATACATAAAGAGCACATTTGTGTTCGAGCTGGATTAAAAAACTAAATTAACGTCTAGATACTTTTAATGAAATGGGAGAACAACAGAAAAGGAAAAAATATTCTAAAACTAACAGAAGGTTAACCAGAGAGGAAAGACAATTGGATTTCTCATTAGCAAGAATAAATGCCAGAAAACAGTAGAATAATATCTTCAATGTGCTGATGTTTCATTATGAGTGTGTGAATGTATAATTCCATTTTTAATAGCTGTCAAAATAAAAGTCTATATTGTGATTATCACTGAAGAGTAAAGGTAAAATACCTTTGCAAATGTACAGACAGTTTATTATCCATAGATACTTGAAAGAACTACCAAAGAATGTACTTCAACAAGAAGGAAAATAAATCTAGATGGAGGAGTGGACACAGAGAAGAATTGAGCTTGGGAACAATAACAGCTGAATTTTGTGAAGTATGTACAATTTTGCTTTGGGAAATACATTTCTATTCTATGTCAAATATAATGGTGAAAGACAAATTCTTGCCTTTGCAAATTTTTCCAGTAGACACTGAAGTTATAACCGTCATAAAAGATATCAAAAACATTTGGTTTTCTTAATGTAATGCCCAGACTTGTACCACAAGTATTACACACTTTTTAAAATGAAAATTATACATTCACACAGTTATAATGAAGCCTATAGTTAGAGGCTGAGTAAAAAGAAAGGTCAGCTTTTAATTTGGAATTAACTGTTTTAAATTCTGATAAGTGTTAATACTTAAAGTGAGTTGGAATTCCCAGTATTAATCAGGAATAAATGACTTCAATCTCTAAACATCCTGCACTTGGTCTGAGGTGAGTTGGTCTCATTGCCTTTGACTTTTTATAACCTTTCAACTTCTTTCTTGAATTAAAGGGTTTGAAGAAGACTACAATACTTATTACTGCAAACCTATATTTCTGTGGTTGTAATGGGCATATTAGCAGTTCTGAGGTTGACCTCAACTTTTAAATACCTTATCATTTGATATCTCATTTTGAACATGTTATTTTCTACTTACTTCTGTCATTGGTATTTTTCTTCGTATGAGGTCAGGTGAGTTACTTCAAAGTGAAAACTGTTGCTCAAATAAATTTTAGCCATTTCATGCTAAGCACAGAGCATTTTACTCAAGTAATTTAGAAAATTTTAAACGATGACATCTCTCAAGATGTCGATGAAGAAGTATTAATGTTAGACATGATACCTATCTGTGTAGAATGTATAGTTTGTTGGGAAAATGAGACACACAAACCTGGATGGGGCCAGTTTATGGGTGTCTCCACTGACAGATTTGAGCAGTTTGAATTTGATAGGGAATGGAGATTGGATGACTTTCCAGAGTAAGCAAGTGATATTCGAAAAAGCATGTTTCAGAATAATATAAGTAGAAACCTAAACATTCTCTTATGATCTTTGCAATTACTGCCAGCTCTTTCTTATCTACATCAAGGTTATTTATTTATTGTGAAAACTAATCTCAGCGAATATTTAGACTAGAAACTGGAGTCAGCCTGTCACTCAGCATGCTTGTGGCCTGTCTTCTTTACCATCTGTTAATGTGCTCTTTGGAATGCAAATTTTAACATTTGCCTAACCAAAACATAATTAGAAAGATAACGTTGCTGTCAAAAATAATAAAATCCAGCATAAATGATTTTTTCCCTATAGTCATTTTTTTGGCTAAAATCTGTATTTTTTGACCTTATAAACCACTTTCTTCTATGGCACACCATCCTGTTTTTCTCTTTTTTAATTATAAAAATAATACAAGGACAATTTTGTGATCTAGCTGTGGGGAAGAACTTATTAAACAAGATGCACAAAATACAATCCACCAGGCAAAAATCAGGGCTATGTATGGCTGCATATGTTATTCACTGCCCAACTTCAGGGGGCCATTTACATAGATATTGTTGTTGTCTAATGTGGTGGCCTGGTGAGAAATTGATAGATTTGATGAGACACCATACACAAACTTAGGATGGAGGACAGAGCCAGAAAAGATATTGTCAATGTCTAAAACTAACTAAGGATATCTAGAACAGCATCTCCAATAGAAATATAATTTGTGGCTTGCACAAATACAAGCCAGCCATGTATGTTATTTTGAATTTTCTAGTTGCCACAATATAATAAAAAGCAAAAATAAATAGGTAAAATGTATTCTAAAAATAAATTTTATTTAACATATCTAAAATATTATAATTTCAATTTATTATAAAGATTATTGAGATGTTTTGCATTCTTTGTTTTGTACTGAGTTTTTAAAATCTGGTGTGTTTGTTATACTAACATTATATCTCAATTTGGACTAGCCATATTTAAAGTACTTGAGTGCTCTTGGCTTACTGGTTAATGGCTAGTGGCTACTGTACTGGACCGCACAGCTCTAGGACATAAATGATACTAGTGGAAATCAATAAATAAAAGGAAACAACAGAAAAATGGAGAAAGACTACAATGAAGCAGCATATTGAAAAAGAAACCTGAGGACTTCAGGGGTATTCCATCTCACTAGGAAGAAAAAACTTTAAACAACTAGGCACAATTTTATATTCACCAAATTGGCAAAAACAAGATATTACCGAGTGTTGGTGAAAATGTTAGAATTGAGAACTCTCATGACCTGCTGGTAGAAATGTAAACTGTTGCATCATTTCTAAGCAGCAACTTGGCTTTCTTGTTCTTATAGCAACATGATGTGTTGAGTGAAAAAATAACAAAATGAGGTCTGCAACATAATGTCACATATTTAAATACATTTAAATTTAAACACAAACTCCAAAAAACTCCACGTTTTTTACAGGGCTATATGTGTATGCATGTATATATATCCCTTAAAATATGTATATATATACATGTATATATATATATATGGACATAAAATTAGAGTGGGTATCTCGGGTAGAGGGAGAAAATGGGATAAGAATAAAAATGGAAAAAATCATACTGCTTATAGTTAAAAGTTTATAGTACAGAAGTTCTCATTTTGAGTTCCCAAAACTTCCACTACCAACTCCTTTTTTAGGGGGATACTCTTTTTTTCTTACAATTTGGAGGGAAGTTTTCAACCATTTCTGCATATCATTTTATATATTTGTAAGACAGCCAGGTCTGACTTTTATTGCAATCTTTATGCCAAATCCTCCTAAGTCTATATCTCCAAACAAGTCCTCATAGACTATTTAGTCCTAATTCCTACTGAGCATTTTCCCCATCAGCTAAACTTAACACTGTAAGCATCATTTTCACCTCCATCCTAGATGCTGCTCTCTTTCTAAGCTGTCTTACTTCTACCACTATCATTCCTTCAGTCTTTAAGGAGAGCATTTATAGTAATTTTTGACTCTTTCCTTTTCCTTAACCTTTAGGCAGTTATCAAGGCTTACTGTTTTTACTTTGAACATCATTGCTATCCTATTCCACTGCCACAGTATATACCTGGAAAACTCACTATCTACCTTTAGATTTCCATTCCTTCAGTCCATTTGCAAATTGCCAGATCTCCATATAGCACTATTTTCAACACATTGCCTCCTTGCTCAAAACCTCTAACAGTGCCAATAGTGAACTTTTGTTGTCTATTGGCTGCTCAGTATTTATTTCTCCTTCACACCTCAACTTTCTTTTGGGGATTATCTCTTTTATTGGATTAAAAAAACCCAACTATTAATCTCTTTTTCAGCTAAGGGAAGGACATATAACAAACTAGGGCTTTGGAATGCTCATTCCTCTAATTTGAATCCTTAGCAATGTAATAAAGAGATTAAACATGGTTGCATATTCATTCACGCTCGCATGGAGCCTTGGCCTGCTTCAAGCCTACTTTTCTAGTTCCTACTTTTTAGCCTTAGAGTCCACTTTGCTTTCTAATGTTTCCAGGCCTGGTTCTCTAGTCTTTGCATTTGTTCTGGGAGCTCCTCATATTTTTCCAATAAATTCCTCTCTTGAATTTTCCAGAATTTGTTTCAGATGCATGCAAGCAGAGCCTGACTGATCCTTTCTCCACTGTACAAAGTATAAACTTCTTTACTGGTCCCAGATCTTCCATAATCTGGCCCCAGCCTTGTTTTCCTTTACTCACCAAAACCACAGCCAGCTGTCACTTTGTGACTGGAAAATGCCACGTTAGTCTTGCTTCTGGAATGACCTCCTCTCTTTCATGCATCTATACTATTTACTGATTCTTCAAGGTTCTGCTCAGTGTTTGTTTTCATTAGGAAAACAAATTTTATGCCCTATATTAATTTCCACTATCTTTGAAATCTGTTAGCATTTAGTGTCTGTTATTAATTTTTCAGTCGGAATCAACTAGTTTTTGTATTTGTAGAAACATTTGATGGGCCAATCTCCAATCCCCTCCCCCAATAATTACCTATTCCATTGTTAGACAACTATAGTTAAAAGTTCTTTCTTGCATGAAACTTAAATTTCTCATCCTACCACCCATTAGGTCGTCCATCACTGGTTTCAGCTTGGCATTCCAGTAAATTAATAATATCTTGAACATAGATCCTGTGCTTTAGCTAGTGGTTATTCCTTTCATCTTTGTGTCATCCGAGAAATTGGTAAGGTTGCCTTCAATGTCTGTGTCTAGGTTATTGATAAAAGATATGAAAGAAGGCCGGGCATGCTGGCTCACGCCTGTAATGCCAGCACTTTGGGAGGCTGAGGCAGGTGGATCATGAGGTCAGGAGATTGAGACCATCCTGGCCAACATGGTGAAACCCTGTCTCTATTAAAAATACAAAAAATTAGCTGGGTGTGGTGGCACGTGCCTGTAATCCCAGCTACTCGGGAGGCTGAGGCAGGAGAATTGCTTGAACCCAGGAGGTGGAGGTTGCAGTGAGCTAAGATCACACCACTGCACTCCATCCTGGGCAACAAAGCGAGACTCTGTCTCAAAAAAAAAAAAAAAAAAAATTAAAGAGAAGTGGGCCAAAGATGGGCACTTATTTTATTGGATACATCTATCTAGGTATAGTCATTGAATATGATTTTGTAAACAGCTGTGAATCCTTTAATAATTTGCATTGTGTGTATTTTCCAAAATGATGCTGCAGGAGAGTTTGTGAATGAACGGCTTTGCTGAAATCAACATATACTAAGTCTATGATACTCCTCGGAGCTACTGATCTAGTTACCCTAACAAAAAATAATAGGTTAGTTTGTCATGGTTTGTTCTTAGTGAATCTATGTCATCTGCTGATGACCACCACGTGCATTTTTAAATGTTCACAAACCAAATATTTAATAATAATTAATTCTAGACTTTTCCTGGTGATAAACCTCAAGCCTTGTAGTTCGCAATTCCTGATTTTAAATCAGAACCCTCAACCATTTTGAGCCGTCTGTCACCTCTAATCTTCTCTGTGAATTCTCAAAGGTTGTTGATAATGGATTTTGAGAGCTGTATGCTTCCCTTATAGCATGCTTTGCCTGGGTCCAGGCACTAGAACAACTTTAGGGCAATTACACTCTGTGACTTTTTATTTATTTATTATCTACTTACTTATTTTTTGAGACAGGGTCTCGTTCTGTGGTCCAGGCTGGAGTGTAGTGGTGTGATCACAGTTCACTGCAGCCTCAATCTCCTGGGGTCAAAAGATCCTCCTGCCTCAGCTTCCCAAGTAGCTGGGACTACAGGTGTACACCACCATGTCAGACCAATTTTAAATTTTTTCATAGAGACAGGGTCTCACTATTTTGCTCAGGCTGGTCTCGAACTCCTGGGCTCAAGTGATCTTCCTGCCTCAGCCTCCCAAAATGTTGGGATTATGGGTGTGAGCCACTGTGCCTGGACCACTCTCTGACTCTTTACTAATCCTAGGCTGTAATACTCTCACCATCTGTTTTCCCTCAATTTACATTTTAGTATATATTTTTAAATTATGAAAATGATATGTGCTCATTATAAAACTATTTCAATATTACAGAAATTTACAAAGTAAAAATAAAAAGTCCCTCCCTCAATCAATCCTAATGCCCAGTGGGAACAGATTGGAAAGTATCCTTCTAGACATTTTTTATGCATTACCAAACATTTTTATGTAATTTTAAGATGAGATTATACCCTGTGTACTGTGCTGCAATTTAGTTTTTTTCACCTAACAATGTATCATTAACATCGTTTTGTATGGGTTGTATAGCACTATCTCTTTTTTTTTTTTTTTTGAGACAGAGTCTCGCTCTTTTGCCCAGGCTGGAGTGCAATGGCATCATCTCAGCTCACTGCAACCTCTGCCTCCCAGGTTCAAGCGAGTCTCCTACCTCAGCTTCCCAAGTAGCTGGGATTATAGGCACCTGCCACCATGCCTGGCTAATTTTTGTATTTTTAGTAGAGATGGGGTTTCACCATGCTGGCCAGGCTGGTCTTGAACTCCTGACCTCAGGCGATCCACCCACCTTGGCCTCCCAAGTGCTGGGATTACAGACGTGAGCCACCGCGCCTGGCCACTGTCTCATTTTTTAAATGGGCACATGGTATTCTTTTGTAAGCACTGCAAAAATACATTATTGTACATATACCTGTCTTCCTTCATCTCTTTTTCTACGAGGGCACATACTTTCCCTTGAGAATGAAGGGGAAACTGCAGGTGCATAGGGGACTACCTAGAGAAAATAAGGAGAAGAATGATTCTGCTCTATCCTGGAGGCTCTTAAGTCCATAGTCATATTGTTATCTTGACATGGCAATTTATGGCTTATGATTGCTTTCATATTTCATTTGATCTTTATTCAAACCTATGAAGTGGCTAGACCCGACAGTAAAATCATTGCTATTTTACAGTCTCAGAGGTATTGAGTGACCAGCCTCATGCCTCACAGCTAGTTAGGGACAGTATGCAGTTAGAATCCATGTCTTCTATCTTTCAGTCCACTGCTATTGCACAATGGACAGCTGCTCCCTGCAACCACATGTGGGAGGAGAATTGGGAGGACTGAAAAAAAACTGTGTAGTGATTCACAGGGAACTTGGGATAATGGTCGTCAAGAATGTGCTATGTCAGCCAGTTGGTGTCGTGCTGAGCAGTGTTGGTTTGGGTTTTTTTTTTATATGGTGAGAAAGAGAATGAATGTCTCTCCATGTGTTTCTAGGTATATCAGTGATTTCTGCTTTCACAGTAGAGACAGTCATAATAAGCATATGCACTTGTATCCTTAAAAGTAAGGCAGAGCATTATTCTAAGCGAAGTAACTCAGGAATGGAAAACCAAGTGTCTTATGTTCTCACTTATAAATGGGAGCTAAGCTATGAGGATGCAAAAACATACAGAGTGATATAATGGACTTTGGGGACTCGGGGGGAGGCTGGGAAGGGGACAAGGGATAAAAGACAACATATTGGGTACAGTGGACACTGCTCAAGTGCCAGGTGCACACAAATCTCAGAATTCACCACTAAAGTACTCATCCATGTAACCAAAAACCACCTGTACCCCAAAAACTATTGAAATAAAATTTAAAAATAAACATTTCCAAGGGAAATAAGCAACTCAGTGTCAAATATTGAAACACTGAAAAAAAAAATCTGTTTAAATAGGCTTACTATACTTTCTCCTGAAATTGGATTAATGAAACTTGAATAAAAATAACTATGTTTAAAGAAAAAAAAATATAAGGCAGAGGTTCTTTTTTTTTTTTTTTGGAGACGGAGTCTTGCACTGTTGCCCGGGCTGGAGTGCAGTGGTGTCATCTCGGCTCACTGCAACCTCTGCCTCCTGGGTTCAAGCAATTCTCCCGCCTCAGCCTTCCAAGTAGCTGGGATTACAGGTGCCCGCCACCATGCCCGACTAATTTTTTTTTTTTTTGTATGTTTAGTAGACATGGGGTTTTACTATGTTGGCCAGGCTGGTCTTGAACTCCTGACCTCAGGTGATCCGCCTGCCTCAGCCTCCCAAAGTGCTGGGATTACAGGCGTGAGCCACCGTGCCCAGCCAAGGCAGAGGTTCTTAACCCTGTTTGCACGTTAGAATCACCTGGAGAGCTTTTAAAAAGCACCACTCTGTGTGGTGGCTCATGCCTGTAATCCCAGCACTTTGGGAAGCCAAGGCGGGCAGATCACGAGGTCAAGAGAGTGAGACCATCCTCGTCAACAGAGTGAAACCCCGTCTCTGCTAAAAATACAAAAATTAGCTGGGCTTGTTGGCACGCGCCTGTAGTCTCAGCTACTCGGGAGACTGAGGCAGGAGAATCTCTTGAACCTGGAAGGCAGAGGTTGCAGTGAGCTGAGATGGCGCCACTGCACTCCAGCCTGGGCGACAGAGTGAGACTCCGTCTCAAAAAAAAAAAAAAAAAAAAAAGACAATTTAACAGAGCTTTCAAAGTGAAATACAAAATCTCTACAGTAAACTTTCTCCCACCTACAGGGTTAGCAGTAACCAAATTTACCCTGGACAAGAATGTGTCAAATAATCTAAAAATTCTCAGTCATATTTTAGAGACAAGTATGTAATAAATAGATATTTGTTGAGTGAATGAATGATTAAATGAATGACCAAACAGAAACCACTTAAGAATCTATTTACTAACAGAAAAAAGAATCTATTTACTTACAGTCATTTACGCCAGTTCATCAGGGTATTTCTTTGAGAGCCTGCCCCATATCAGCAGTAGTAGCTTCCTATGTCTGCCAAAACAAATAATCACAAACTGGGTGGCTTAAAACAAGAGAAATTTATTTTCTCGCCATTTTGGAGGCCGGAAATCCAAAATCAAGGTATTGCTAGGGTTGGCTCCTTCTGGGGGCTGTAAGGAATAATCTGTTACGTGCATTTCTCCTATCTTCTTCCTTTTTTTTTTTTTTTTTTTGAGATGGAGTTTGGCTCTGTCACCCAGGCTGGAGTCCAGTGGTGTGATCTCGGCTCACTGCAACCTCTGCCTCCTAGGTTCAAGGGATTGTCCAGCCTCAGCCCGTGAGTAGCTGGGATTACAGGTGACCGCCACCACACTGGGCTAATTTTTGTATTTTAGTAGAGACAGGGTTTCACCATGTTGGCCAGGCTGGTCTTTAACTCCTGACCTCAGGTGATCAGTCTGCCTCGGCTTCCCAAAGTGCTGAGATTACAGGTGTGAGTCACCGCACCCGGCGCATTTCTCCTATCTCCTGACATTCCTTGGCTTGTAGATGCATAACTCCAATCTCTGCCTTCATCTTCACGTGGCTTTTCCCCTATGTCTCTCTTGTTTCTCAAATCTCCCTCTCTTTTCTCTTATAAGGACACAGTCATTGTCTTCATAAGGACACAGACCACCCTAAATAAAGGATGATCTCATCCTGAGATTTTCAATTACATCTGCGAAGGCCTTTTCTTTCTTTTTCTTTTTTCTTTTTTTTTGAGATGGAGTTTCACTCTTGTTGCCCAGGCTGGAGTGCAACCTCCGTCTCCCAGGTTCAAGCGATTCTCCCGCCTCAGCCTTCCTGAGTAGCTGAGATTACAAGACATGAACCACCATGCCTGGCTAATTTTGTATTTTTAGTAGAGACAGGGTTTCTTCATGTTGGTCAGGCTGGTCTCATACTCCCAAGTTACTTCAGCAAGTTACATACTCCTGAGTTACTTCACCAAGCTCAGATGATCTGCCTGCCTCGGCCTCCCAAAGTGCTGGGATTACAGGCGTGAGTCACCATGCCTGGCCACAAAGGCCTTATTTTCAATAAGGTGATATTCATAGGTACTGGGAGTTAGGACTTGGACACATCTTTTTGGCAGCCACCATTCAACCTACTACACCAGTAAAAGTCACTCATACTGTGGTCCACACTTGTGTCCTACAAGTGAATGATTTTTTATTTCCACAGCTGCTTTCCAGCAGACAGTAGGATTCTATTTGACTAGTGCAAGTATGGCTTTAACTTTCCATTAATGTCACCACGAATCATGAGGAACACACCCATCTCTGCAGCCAACACTAATGAGGTCATGTTAGGTGTCTGGACCTTGCATGATAACAATCTAAGGAAAATCACAAATAGAAAATAATCTTTTCCTAATTTTTTGAGAGGTACAGTCATCAAATACATTGAGATGTGAAAAATGACAGTATCTTTAAAAATACAGAAAAACAAGTCACATCAAGCACATTAGAGGATTCCTTCCTCATTAGCTCAACAGTTTTCCCTGAATTAAAGTTTTTCAGTATTCAAATTTCTCAAAAGCCTGTATTACAAAAATGAAATGAAAAAGTTATTGTTCTTCAGCAGATATGTATAACGATAACTTCTAAATTAGAATGAACCCACCAAAATACATTTTTTTCACATACAGTGTCTTTTGGGTACATGAAGGGCTTATTTCTTCTCAGTGAATTGTGATTCAAAGTGCCTGGCTGGCTTGCAGCTTATCACGCTGAGGATTTGAGCACCAGCTGCTCACCCTGTTCATTCAGGTCTGAATAGATGGGTCTCACTATCCAATATGATTCTTCTATGAATAACAATCATTGCTTCTTACCTATTTCTTTTTCCTTCTGGATTAAATTATGTATTTTTTTTTTTTTTTTTTTGAGACGGAGTCTCGCTCTGTGGCCCAGGCGGGAGTGCAGTGGCGCAATCTCGGCTCACTGCAAGCTCCGCCTCCCGGGTTCACGCCATTCTCCTGCCTCAGCCTCCCGAGTAGCTGGGACTACAGGCGCCCACCATCGCGCCCGGCTAATTTTTTTTGTATTTTTAGTAGAGACGGGGTTTCACCGTGTTAGCCAGGATGGTCTCGATCTCCTGACCTCGTGATCCGCCCGCCTCGGCCTCCCAAAGTGCTGGGATTACAAGTAAATTATGTATTTCTAAAGAATATTTCAATAAAAAATTTTATCAAACATACACAAAAATACAGGGACTCTCACAAAGTCATCACCAAGATTCTAGAATTATCAATATTTTTCCATACTTACATATTATTTTTTGCTGAAACATTTTATTTTATTTTTGCGACAGAGTCTCTCTGTGTTGCCCAGGCTGGAGTGCAGTGGCATGATCTTGGCTTACTGCAACCTCCACCTCCTGGGTTCAAGAGATTCTCCTGCCTCAGCCTCCTGAGTAGCTGGGACTGCAGGCATGTGCCATCATGCCCGGCTAATTTTTGTATTTTTAGTAGAGATGGGGTTTCACCATATTGACCAGGCTGGTCTCAAACTCCTGACCTCAGGTGATCCACCCGCCTCAGCCTCCCAAAGTGCTAGGATTACAGTTATAAGCCACTGTGCCCAGCCTGCTGAAATATTTTAAAGAAAATCCTAGACATTATACCATTTAATTCCTACACCCTTTAGTATGCATCTCTAAAAATTATAGACATTTTCTTACCACACGTAATACTGGTATCATATCCAATGATAATTCAGTATCATTTAATAGCCAGACTATATTCAAATTCCCCTGATTGTCTCAAAAATGTCTTCTTGGGTTTTTTGGTTTGTTTAAATAAGGATCAAAATAAGATCTACATATTAAATTAGATTGCTAAGTATTTTCAATCTCTTTTAATCTAGTAGAGAATTTTTCACAGTGGCACTGTTGACATTTGGGACTAGATAATTGTTGTGGGGAAAGTTGTCAAAAAATTTGGACAATTTTTTGACAATGTCCCCTGAGGATAAAATCACCCTTGGTTGAAATCACTGATCTAGTATACTAGTATAGTCCCCCCACTTCATATATATATATATATATATACACACACACACATATATGTATATGTATACATCTGCGTATATATGTGTATATATACGTATATACACACATCTGTATATATATACGTATATACACACATCTGTATATATATACGTATATACACACATCTGTATATATATACGTATATACACACATCTGTATATATATACGTATATACACACATCTGTATATATATACGTATATACACACATCTGTATATATATACGTATATACACACATCTGTATATATATACGTATATACACACATCTGTATATATATACGTATACGTATATACGTATATATACTATATATACGTATATATACATCGGTATGTCTATATATACATATATAGACATATATATACACATATATACTTATATATGTATATATACATCTGTATATATACGTACGTATATATACACGTATACATATATATACGTATATGTGTATATATATGTGTGTGTATATATATGTGTGTGTGTATATATATATATGACATTAACAGGCCAGGCGTGGTGGCTCACACCTGTAATCCCAGCACTTTGGGAGCTGAGGTGGTGGATAACCTGAGGTTGGGAGTTTGAGACCAGCCTGGCCAACAGGGTGAAACCCCATCCCTACTAAAAATACAAAAATTAGCCAGGCATGATGGCTTGTACCTATAGTCCCAGCCATTCAGGAGGCTGAGGCAGGAGAATTGCTTGAACCCAGGAGGCGGAGTTTGCAGTGACCGAGACTGCGCCACTGCACTCTAGCCTGGGCTACAGAGTGAGGAAAAAAAAAAAGAAACAAACAACAAAAAAAAAGGACATTAACTTATAGAAGAAATTAGATGAGTTTTAGATGAGTTGTTTTGTAGAATGTCCCACATTCTGAATTTGTCTGCTCTCTCATAGTATCATCCAACATATCCCTCTAAGACCTATTCCCAGTAAGTGGAAACTAGGTTAACTGAGTCTCAGAATATTGGTAGTTTCAATATTTTTGACAAAAATAGTTCAAAGTTGGTGCCATGTATTGTATTTTATATTGTATCATCTCAGGAAGTCTAGCATGTCTGTGTCATTATAAGTGATGCTAAGATTGATCAGAAGGTTCAAGTGGTAATGTCTGATCCTTTTATTGTAAAGTTCTCAATCTTTAATTTAGTAGTTTTAGCCATTGATGAGGTTTGCCTGTTGTATCGACTATTTCATTATGTTGTAAAATAGAAAATTTATAATGTATTTTTCCTTTAATTTATTAACTGGAGTTCTTTTATAAAGAACTTTCCCTCATTAAGTATTTGGTTACTCTGAAGTATACTTCACTCAGGAAAGGCAGGATTAATTCTCAATTATTTTTAATTGCCAATTTTTCAAAGTAAGTATTGTACCCTAGGTTTTAATAGTGTCCAGTGTTTGCATGGGTGTGTATTTGCTTTTCCTTGTTTACTTTTACTTTTTGATTCTGTAACACTGTGAACTCATGGATTTTTATATATTCAGTATGTTTAAATCAAATGTAGTCAATATCCTTTTTGTTGTTGTTGTTGTTTTGAGACAAGGTCTCACTCTGTCTCCCAGGCTGCAGTGAAGTGGCATGATCATGGCTCACTATAGCCTCCGTTTCCTGGGCTCAAGTGATCCTTCCACCTCAGCCTCCCGAGTAGCTGGGACTACAGGCATGTGCCACACCTGGCTAACTTTTGTGTTTTTTTGTAGAGATGGAGTTTCACCATGTTGCCTAGGCCAGTTTCGTACTCCTGGGCTCAAGTGATCAGTCTGCCTCAGCCTCCCAGAGTGCTGGGATTATGGACGTGAGCCACTGTGCCCAGGCCCAATATTCCTTTTGATGTTCACTTTTTTCCTATATTTGGCCAATAGAAGCTTCTCTATGTTTTTATTTTATTTTTCCCAAATAAGAAAGTTTAGTTATTTTTTTAATGAGTAACTGAGACAGTAAACTGCCTGCTTTAAATGTCTGAAGAAGTCTTTATTTTGACTTCATTATTGATAGATAGATAGATAGATAGATAGATAGATAGATAGATAGATAGATGTTATAACCTTACCATTGTTTTTCTGCAGCACTTCAAATATATTAATCCATGGCTGGGCATGGTGGCTCAGTCTTGTAATCCCAGCACTTTGGGAGGCTAAGGCAGGCGGATCACCAGAAGTCAGGAGTTTGAGACCAGCTTAACCAACATGGTGAAACCCGGTCTCTACTGAAAATACAAAAATTAGCCAGGCGTGGTGGTAAGCACCTGTAATCCCAGTTACTTGGGAGGCTGAGGCAGGAGAATCGCTTGAACCTGGGAAGTGGAGGTTGCAGTGAGCCGAGATTGCACCATTGCACTCCAGCTTAGGCAACAAGAGCGGGACTCCGTCTCAAAAAAAAAAAAAAGATATTAATCTGCTACCAATTCCCATACCTGTATAACCTCACCCACTATGGACATCCTACACCACAGGAGTACATTTGTTACAATCAATGAACCTGCACTGACACATCATTTTCACTGTAAATCCTTAGTTTACATTAGGATTCATTCTTGGTGTTGTACCTTCCATGGGTTTTGATGAATATATAATGACAGGTATCCACAATTGTAGTATCATACAGAAGAGTTTCACTACCCTAAAAATCTTTTGTGCTCTGCCTATTATCGTTCCCTCCCTGCAACTCCTGATCTTTTTACTGTCTCCAAAGTTTTACCTTTTTCAGAATATCACATAGTTGGAATTATACAGTATATATCCTGTTCAGACTGGCTTTTTTTTTCTTAGTATTAAGTTGGTGCAAAAGTAATTGTGGTTTGGGACCGTGAATTTTGAATCATTATACCTAGGCTGAAACACATCTTTATTAATCAAAATGGGAATTATTACAATCAATACATTTTTGCCAACGAGAAATAATTTTGTTTATTCCTGTAGTGTAAAATCCGTGCTTTGGGATTCAACAAACTCTTGGAAAGCATTTTCTGCATCCTGCTGGCTGTGGAAGCATTTTCCCCGCAAAAAGTTGTCCAGATGCTTGAAGAAGTGGTAGTCGGTTGGTGAGAGGTTAGGTGAATATGGAAGACTAGGCAAAACTTTGTAGCCCAATTCGTTCAACTTTTGAAGCATTGGTTGTGCAATGTACGGGGGGCATTGTCATGGAGAAGAGTTGAGTCCTTTCTGTTGTCCAATGCCAGCTGCAAGCATTGCAGTTTTCGGTGCATCTCATTGATTTGCTGAGCATAATTCTCAGATGTAATGGTTTCGCCGGGAATTTGAAAGCTGTAGTGGATTAGACCGGTAGCAGACCACCAAACAGTGACCATGACCTTTTTATGGTGCAAGTTTGGCTTAGGAGTTGCTTTGGGACTTTTTCTCAGCGCAGCCACTGAGCTGGTCGTCACTGGTCGTTGTATAAAATCTACTTTTCAATGCATGTCACAATCCGATCAAGAAATGGTTCATTGTTGCATAGGATAAGAGAAGATGACACTTTAAAATGATTTTTTTGATTTTCGCTCAGCTCATGAGGCACCCACTTATCAAGCTTTTTCACCTTTCCAATTTGCATCAAATGCCGAACAACCACAGAATGGTCGATGTTGAGTTCTTCGGCAACTTCTCTTGTAGGTGTAAGAGGATCAACTTTGATGATTGCTCTCCATTGGTAGTTGTCAACTTCCAATGGCCAGTGACGACGCTCCTCATGTTCAAGGTTCTCCCTTGCAAAACTTCTTGAATCACCACTGCACTGTACTTTCGTTAGCAGTTCCTGGGCCAAATGCATTGTTGATGTTGAGAGTCTTCTTCCCTGCTATATGACCCATTTCGAACTCAAAAAAGAAAATCACTTGAATTTGCTTTTTGTCTAACATCATTTCCATACTTTAAAATAAACATAAAACAAAGAGCACATAATAAGTCATTAGCAAAAAACAAAAACAAAAACATAAAGCAAGAAATTCCCATTAAAATGATGTATAACATAACCACATTTATTTAAGAATGTATTCTAATATCAAACGGCAAATTCCAACAATGCAAAAACCGCAATTACTTTTGCACTCACCTAATAATATGCATTTAAGTTTCCTCCATGTCTTTTAGTGGCTTGATAGCTCACTTCTTAAAGTGCTGAAAAATTCATTGTTTGGAATTACAACAATTTATCCATTACCTACTGAAGGACAGCTTGGTTGCTTCCAAGTTTTGGCAATTATGAATAAAGCTGTTATAAACATCCGCATACAAGTTTTTGTGTGAACATAAGCTTTCACTTCCTTTGGGTAAATACCATGGAGCATGATTGCTGAATTGTACAGTTAAGAGTACATTTAGTTTTCTAAGAAACTGCTGAATTCTTTTCCAAAGTGGCCATACCATTTTGCATTCCCACCAGCAATGAAGGAGAGTTCCTGTTGCTCCACATCCAGAGTTTGGTGTTGTGTTTTGGCCATTATAATAGGTGTGTAATGGTATATATTTGTTGTTTTAATTCATAATTTCCTAAGGATATATAATGTTGAATACCTTTTCATATGCTTCCTTGTCATCTGTGTATCTTCTTTGGTGAGGAATCTGTTTAAATCTTTTACTCCTTTTTAAATTGGGTTGTTTTCTTGTTGTTGAGCTTTAAAAGTTCTTTATATATGTGTCTTTTGCAAATATTTTCTCCTGGTTTGTGGCTTCTCATTTTCTTGACACTGTTTTTCATGCAGCAGAAATTTTTTAATTTTAATAAAGTCGAGATTATCAAGATTATCAATTTTTTTATTTTAATTAAATTAATTAATTAATTAATTAATTTAGAGACAGAGTCTTGCTCTGTTGCCCAGGCTGGAGTGCAGTGGCACGATCTCAGCTCACTGCAACCTCTGCCTCCCAAGTTCAAGCAATTCTCATCCCTCAGCCTCCCGAGTGGCTGGGATTACAGGCACATGCCACTATGTCCTGCTAATTTTTTGTATTTTTAGTAGAGACAGGGTTTCACCATGTTGCTCAGGCTGGTCTCTAACTCCTGAGCTCAGGCAATCCGTCCGTCTCAGCCTCCCAAAGTGTTAGGATTACAGGCTTGAGCCACCGCACCTGGCCTCAATTGTTTCTTTCACGGATCATGACTTTGGCATTATATCTAGAAGGTAATCACCAGTCCCAAGTTTATCTAGAGTTTCTCCTATGTTCTTTTCTATGAGTTTTGTAGTTTTGCATTTTACGTTTGGGCCTATGATCCATTTTGAGTTAGTTTTTGAGAAGGATGTTAGATCTTTCTCTAGATTCTTTTTTTTTTTTTTTCTGTATGGATGTCCAGTTGTTCCAGCACCATTTGTTGAAAAGATTATTTTTGCACCATGGTATTGCCTTTGCTCCTTTGTCAAAGATCAGTTGACTATGTTTATATGGGTCTTTTTTGGGGCTCTCTTCTGTTCCATTCGTTTACTTGTCTATTCTTTTGCCAGTACTACATTGTTTTAATTACTGCTGCTTTATAGAAAGTCTTTTTTTTTTTTTTTTTTGAGACGGAGTCTCACTCTGTTGACCAGGATGGTGCAGTGGCACGATCTCAGCTCGCTGCAACCTCTGCCTCTTGGGTTCAAGCGATTCTCCTGCCTCAGCCTCTCAAGTAGCTGGGATTACAGGCGTGTGCCACCATGCCCAGTTAATTTTTGTATTTTTAGTAGAGACGGGGTTTCACCATGTTGGCCAGGGTGGTCTCAAACTCCTGACCTCAGGTGATCCGCCCCTCTCAGCCTCCCAAAGTGCTGGGATTACAGGCGTGAGCCACCGTGCCCGGCCAGAAGTCTTGAATTTGGGTAGTATTAGTCCTCTGACTTTGTTATCCTTCAATACTGAGTTGTCTGTACTGGGTCTTTTGCCTCTCTTTTTTAGAAAAAGTTTATTGATATATATCAATAAATTGATTAAAAATAACTTGCTGGGATTTTGACTGGGATTGCATTTAATCTACAGATTATGTTAGGAAGAAGTGACTTCTTGATGATATTAAGTCTTCCTAGCCATGAACATGGAATATCCCACCATTTATTTTGTTCTTTGATATCTTTCATTAGTTATATAGATTTCTTCATATAGATCTTGTACATAGTTTTTAGATTTATACCTACCTTAGTTTTGGCTGCTATAACAAAATACCACAGATTGGATGGCTTAAATGACAGAAATTTATTTCTCACAGTCCTGGGGGCTGGGAATTCCAATATCAAAGTGCCAGCAAATCCATTTTCTGGCGAGGGCACTCTTCCTGGTTTGTAGACGGCTGTCTTGCTGTTGCATTCTCACATGGTGGGAAGAAAGAAAGAGAGTGAGATCACACTTTCATGTCTTTTCTTATAAGGGTATTAATGCCATTCATGAGGGTTCCACCCTCATGACCTAATTACCTCCCAAAGGTCCCTACCTCTTAATACAATCACACTGGAGGTTAGAATTTCAACATATGAATTTGCTGGGACACAACAATTCAGTCTATAGCATTCTGCCACTGGACCCCCAAAACTCCTGCCCATCTCATATGCAAAATACATTCATTCCAACTCAACAGCCTCAAAAGTCTTAACTCATTGCAGCCTGAACTCTAAAGTTTAAAGCCCAAAGTCTCATCTAAATGAGATATGAATAAGAATAGAGGTAAGATTCATTGTGAGGCAAAATTCCTCTCCAGCTGTGAACTTGTGAAATCAAATTAGTTGCGTGTTTCCAAAATAAAATTGTGGGAAAGGGATAGGATAAATATTCCCATCCCAAAAAGGAGAAATAGGAAAGAAGAAAGGGATGATGGAGTCCCAAGAAAGTCCCAAACCTATCAAGGCAAAATTCGTAAGACGTTAAGGCTTGAAGAGCTTCTTTGGCTCAATGCTCTGCCTTCTGGGACCCACTGGGGTAGCAGTCCTGCCTGTGTGGCTCTGTCTGGTGGGGGCCACACACCCATGGCTCTGCCAGGCTGAAGTTATACCTCAGTGGCTCTGCTGAGTAGTGCTGTGCCTCTGCTGCTACAGGTGGCGCTGCACCGATGGCTCCATTGGGCACTGGTCCTGCTCTTTGAAACTGAGGCAGAGGCAGCCGCCCTGTTCCCCAAGTTAGGTCCTCTGTTCCTATGGTGGGAGTGGTGGCCTGATGATCTTCAAATCATTTTTGGGTTTTGGGTTCTTTCTTCTCTTGTTTTGAGGAATAGTGCATGTTCACAGCTCTATGATCCAGTCCTGTAGGATCTAAGAAGGCTGACAGTCTCCCGCCATTTAGTCCCAGCTGGCAGTGTTTCTGCTGCTATAATCTTTTCTTTTCTGTTTCTTTTTTTTTTTTTTTTTAGACAGTGTCTTGCTCTGTCACCCAGGCTGGTGTGCAGTGGCCCGATCTCGGCTCACTGCAAGCTCTGCCTCCCGGGTTCACGCCATTCTCCTGCCTCAGCCTCCCAAGTAGCTGGGACTACGGGTGCCCGCCACCACGCCTGGCTAATTTTTTTAAATTTTTTTTAGTAGAGACGGGTTTTCACCGTGTTAGCCAGGTTGGTCTCGATCTCCTGACCTCGTGATCCGCCCGCCTCAGCCTCCCAGAGTGCTGGGATTACAGGCATGAGCCACTGTGCCCGGCCTCTGCTGCTATAATCTTATCTGTATTCCTGGCTTCTGTTGAGATACATGGCTGATTTGGTTCATAGTTCACACCCATGCTAATCTTTTTTATCAAATTGTTGGTCTGACATGCCCTTTGTGTTCTCTTTTGAACATACCTTCTTACTTTTAAAATAATATGAACAGGCTTAGAATTTTCCAAATCTTTATATTCTGATTCCTTTTTGCTTAATAATGCCATTTTCAATTTATTTCTTCCTCTTGCATTTTACTATAAGCAGTAAGGAGGCACCAAGCTGCTTCTTTAACACTTGCTTAGAAATCTCCTCAGCTAAGGCCAGGAGTGGTGGCTCACCGTAAAGTTCTGTAATCCCAGCACTTTGGGAGGCCGAGGTGGGCAGATTGCCTGAGCTCAGGAGTTGGAGACCAGCCTGGGCAACATGGTGAAACCCTGTTTCTACAAAAAATACAAAAATTAGCAGGGCAATGTGGCAGGCGCCTATAGTTCCAGCTACTCAGGAGGCTGAGGGAGGAGAGTCACTTGAACCCAGGAGGTGGAGGCTGCAGTGAGCTGAGATCGCACCACTGCACTCCAGCCTGGGCAACAAAGTGAGACTGTCTCAAAAAAAAAAAAAGAAATCTCCTCAGCTAAATGTCCAATTTCTCCCTTCCCTTGCCCTTCCCCTCCCCCTCCCCCTCCCTTCCCTTCCCTCTTTTCTTTTCTTTTCTGTCTTCTCTTCTCTTTTCTTTCTTGAGATAGAGTCTCACTCTGTTGCCCAGGCTGGAGTGCAGTGGTGCAATCTTGACTCACTGCAACCTCCGCTTCCCAGGTTCAAGCGATTCTCCCACCTCAGCCTCCCAAGTAGCTGGGATTACAGGCACCCGCCACCACGCTCAGCAAATTTTTCTATTTTTAGTAGCAATGGGGTTTCATCATGTTGGCCAGGCCGGTCTCGAACTCCTGACCTCAGGTGATCTGCCCACCTTGGCCTCCCAAAGTGCTGGGATTATAGTCATGAGCCACCAGGGGTGCCTGTCCTAAATGTCCAATTTCATTGCTCATACGTTATACCTTTTACCAAACACTAGAACATGAACAGTATTCAGCCAACTTCTTTGCTACTTTATGATGAGGATAGCCTCCAGGAAGAAATAGAAACTCTGTAGAGACTAGTAACAAGCAGCAAGATAGAATCAGAAAAAAAAAAAAAAAAAAAAAAAAAAAAAAAAGGCCAACATAAAAAGTCCCAGGACCAGATGGATTCACAGCTGAATTCTATCAGACATTCACAGAAGAATTGATGCCAATCCTACTAAAACTATTCCAAAACACAGAGAAAGAGGGAATCCTCCCTAAATCATTCTATTTAGCCAATATCACCCTAATATCCAAACAGGATATAACAAAAAAAGAAAGCTACAGGCCAATATCCCTGATGAAGATAGATGCAAAAATCCTCAACAAAATGCTAGCTAACTTAATCCAACAGCCTATCAAAAAGATAACACACCATGATCAAGTTAGTTACATACCAGGGATGCAGGGGTGGTTTAACAAACACAAGTCAATAACTGTGACACCCCACATAAGCAGAATTAAAAACAAAAATCAGGCCGGGTGTGGCCTGTAATCCCAGCACTTTGGGAGGCTGAGGTGGGCAGATCACCCGAGGTCAGGAGTTCAAGACCAGCCTGGCCAATGTGCGGAAACCCCATCTCTACTAAAAATACAAAAATTAGCTGGGTGTGGTGGCGGATGCCTGTAATCCCAGCTACTTGGGTGGCTAAGGCAGGAGAATTGCTTGAACCTGGGAGGCAGAGGTTGCAGTGAGCTGAGATCATGTCACTGCACTCCAGCCTGGGTGACAGAGTGAGACTCCATCTCAAAAAAAGAAAAAAAAATCATATGATCATCTCAATAGATGCAGAAAAAGCATTTGACAAAATCCGGCATCCCTTTTTAATAAAAACCCTCAACAAAATTGGCATAGAAGGGACATACCTCAAAGTAATAAAAACCATCTATGACAAACCCACAGCCAACATCACCATACTGAATGGCAAACATTGAAAGCATTATTATATATAACTGAGAACTGGAACAAGGCAAGGATGACCACTTTCACCGCTTCTATTCAACATAGTATTGAAAGTCCTAGCCAGAGCAATCAGACAAGAGAAATAAAAAGCATCCAAATTGGAAAAGAGGAAGTCAAACTGTTGCTGTTCACCAATGATATGATTGTATACCTAGAAAACTCTCAAGACGCATCCAAAAAGCTCCTAAATCTGATAAATAAATTCAGTAAAGTGTCAGGATACAAAATCAATGTACATAAAACAGTAGCACTGCTATACACCAACAACAACCAAGCTGAGGATCGAATCAAGAACTCAATCCCTTTTACAAGAGCTGCAAAAAGAAAATTTATAAATAAAATACTTAGGCCTGGCCAACATGATGAAACCCTGCCTCTACTAAAAATACAAAAAAAAATTAGCTGGGCATGGTGGCAGTAGCCTGTAATCCCAGCTACTCAGGAGGCTGAGGCAGGAGAATCACTGGAACCTGGGAGGCGGAAGTTGCAGTGAGCCAAGATGGTACCACTGCACTCCAGCCTGGGTGATAGAGTGAGACTCTATCTAAAAACAAAACAAAACAGAACAAACAAACAAAAAACAAAATGTACACACACACAAAACAAAAAAACCTTAGGAATATACTTAACCAAAGTGGTAAAAGATCTCTACAAGGAAAACTACAAAATCCTGCTGAAATAACTCATAGGGCTGGGTGTGGTGGCTCACTCCTGTAATCCCAGCACTTTGGGAGGCTGAGGCAAGCGGATCATGAGGTCGGGAGTTCAAGACCAGCCTGGCCAACATGGTGAAACCTTGTCTCTACCAAAAATACAAAAATTAGCTGGGCATGGTGGTGGGCGCCTGTAATCCCAGCTACCTGGGAGGCTAATGCAGGAGAATTGCTTGAACCTGCGAGGCGGAGGTTGCAGTGAGTCGAGATCGCACCACTGCACTCCAGCCTGGGCAAAAAAAAAAAAAAAGGTCTGAAAGAACTCATAGACAACACAAAGAACTGGAAACACATCTCGCGCACATGGATGGGTAGAACTAATATTGTGAAAATGGCCATAAGAAATTTACAGATTCACTGCCAAAAGCAATCTACAGATTCAACGCAATTCCCATCAAAATACCATCATCATTCTTCACAGAACTAGTAAAAAGAATCCTAAAATTCATATGGAACCAAAAAAGAGCCCACATAACCAAAACAGTACTAAGCAAAAAGAACAAATCTGGAGGCATCACATGACCTGATTTCAAACTATACTGTAAGGCTATAGTTACCAAAACAGCATGGTACTGGTATAACAGTAGGCATGTAGACTAATGGAACAGAATAGAGAACCCAGAAATAAAACCGAATACTTATAGCCAACTGATCTTCAACAAAGCATACAAAAACATTAAGTGGGAAAAGGACACCCTATTCAATAAATGGTGCTGGAATAACTGGCAAGCCACATGCAGAAGAATGAAACTGGATCCTCATCTCTTACCTCATTTGAAAATCAACTCAAGATGGACCAAAGACTTAAATCTAAATAAAAAACCTGAAATCATAAAAATCCTAGAAGATGGCCGGGCACGGTGGCTCACGCCTGTAATCCCAGCACTTTGGGAGGCTGAGGCGGGTGGATCACGAGGTCAGGAGATCAAGACCATCCTGGCTAACATGGTGAGACCCCACCTCTACTAAAAATACAAAAAATTAGTCGGGCATGGTGGCGGGTGCCTGTAGTCCCAGCAACTCGGGAGGCTGAGGCAGGAGAATGGCGTGAACCCGGGAGGTGGAGCTTGCAGTGAGCTGAGATTGTGCCACTGCACTCCAGCCTGGGTGACAGAGCAAGACTCCGTCTCAAAAATAAATAAATAAATAAATCCTAGCAGATAACATTGGAAAAACTCTTCTAGACATTGGCTTAGGCAAAGAATTCATGACTAAGGACCCACAAGCAAAAGCAGCAAAAACAAAAATAAACAAATGGGACCTAATGAAACTAAAAAGCTTTTGTCAGCAAAAGAATTAATCAGCAGAATAAACAAACAACCACAGAGTAGAAGAAAATATTTGTAAACTATGCATCTGACAAAGAACTGATATCCAGAATCTACAAGGAACTCAAACAAATCAGCAAGAAAAAAACAAATAATCCCATCAAAAAGTGGGCAAAGGACATGAATAGACAGTTCTCAAAAGAAGATATATACAAATGACCAACGACGTGAAAAAATGCTCAACATCACTAGTTATCAGGGAAATGCAAATTAAAACCACAATGAAATACCACCTTACTCCTGCAAGAATGGCCAGAATTTAAAAATAATTTTTAAAAAGGTGTTGGTGTGGAGTGGTAAAAAGAGAACACTTCTACATGGCTGATGGGAATGTAAGCTAGTGCAACCACTATTGAAAATGATATGGAGAATCCTTAAAGAACTAAAAGTAGAACTACCATTCAATCCAGCAATCCCAGTACTGGCTATCTACTCAAAGGAAAATAAGTCATTATATGAAAAAGATGTACGCACTCACATATTTACAGCAGCACAATTAACAACTGCAAAAATGTGGAACCAACCTAAATGCCCATCAACCAACAAGTGAATAAAGAAAATGTGGTACATATACACCATGGAATACTACTTAGCCATAAAATGGAATGAAATAATGGCCTTTGCAGCAACTTGGATGGAGCTGAAGGCCATTATTCTGAGTGAAGTAATTCAGAAATGGAAAACCAAATATCACATGTTCTTGCTTATAAGTGGGAGCTAAGCCATGAGGATACAAAGGTATAAGAATGATAGAATGGACTTTGGGGACTTGGAGGGATGGGTCAGGGGGTAAGGGATAAAAGACTACATATTGCGTACAGTGTATACTGCTTGGGTGATGGGTGCACTAAAATCTCAGAAATCACCATTAAACAACTTATCCATGTAACAAAAGAACACCTGTTCCCCCAAAACTATTGAAATAAAATTAAAAAAAGATAGCCTCTTCTCCATTGTCCAATAACATGTTCCTCATTTCCATCTGAGATCTCATCAGAGTGGTCTTACTATCTATATATTTACCAACTTTCTGTATGTAATTACTTTTATATTCTCTAAGAAGATGGAAGCTTTCTATCCAGAAATCTTTTCTTTCTGAGCCTTTACCAGAATCATCTTCAAAAATTTCTTCATGGCATCACTGGCTTTATCTAGCATGCACCTCAAAACTCTTCCAACTTCTACCCATCACCTAGTTCCAAAGATGCTTCCACATTTTAAGGCATTTGTTACAGCAGCACCTCACTTCTTGGTACCAATTTCTGTATTAGTCAGAACATATACATGTAGATATTTATTAGAAAGTATTAGCTCATGTGATTATGGAAGCTGAAAATTCCCATGATTTGCCATCTAAAGCTGGAAACTCAAGAAAACTGATGGTGTAGTTCAAAGGCCTGAGAGCTGGATAGCTGATGGTGTAGATTCCAGTTTGAATCTGTAGGCCTGAGAACCAGGAGCACTGTGAGCAGAAGATTGATGTTCCAGCCCAAGCAGTTAAGCAAAAAACAAATTCAATTTTCCTTCACCTTTTTGTTCTATTCAGTCCCTCAACAGATTGGGTGATGCCCACCCATATGGGGAAAGGCCATCTTTATTCAGGTCACCAATTCAAATGCTAATTTCTCCAGAAACACTCTCACAGACACACCTAGAAATAATGTCTAGGAGTTCAAGAGTTCAAGACCAGCCTGACCAACGTGGTGAAACTCCGTCTCTACTAAAAATACAAAAATTAGCTGGGCGTGGTGGCAGGCACCTGTAATCCCAGGTACTTGGGAGGCTGAGGCAGGAGAATCGCTTGAACCTAGGAGGTGGAGGTTGCAGTGAGCCAAGATCACGCCATTGCACTCCAGCCTGATATACAAGAGTGAAACTCTGTGTCCAAAAATAAAAAATAAAAATAAAATTAAAAAAATTCACCATCATAATACCTAAGCTTTCATTTTTGGATAATGCTAATGTAAATGTTAATGTGTTTTTAATTTCAAATTCCATTTGCTCATTGCCAGTATCTAGGAAAGTGATTGACTTTCATATATTAACCTGTGTCCTACAATCTGGCTAATTGCAGGATACAATTAGCTTTTTAGTTTCAGGAGCTTTTTGGTTGAATCTTTTGGATTTTCTACATAGATTATCACATCATCTGTAAACAAAGACTGTTTATTTCTTCCTTTACAACCTATATACTGGTTATTTTCTTTTAAAAATCTTATTGCAGTAGCTAGGACTTCCAGATGTCAAAAAGCGGTGGTAAGATAAAATATCCTAGCCTTGTTCCTGATCTTAGTGGGAAAGCTTCGTTTCTCACCATTTGAGTACAATTTTAGCTGTAGGTTTTTTATAGTCCTTCTTTATAAAATTGAGGAAATTCCCCCTCTATTCATCATCTGCTGAGAGTTTTTATCATGAATGGGTGTTGGATTTTTTTAAATGCCTTTTCTGCATCCATTGATATGATCATGTGACTTTCTTTAGTCTATCAATATGGATTTCATTAATATAGTTTCATATATTGAACCTGCCTTGTATACTTGGGATAAATTTCACTTAAGTTGTATTGTGTAATTCTTTTTATACATCATTGGATTCAATTTGTTAATATTTTTGGGGGGATTTTTGCAGCTACATTCATGATATTGGTCTGATATGTCTTTTCTTGTTATGTCTTTTTCCGATTTTGGTGTTAGGGCAATGCTGGCCTCATAGAATGAGTTAGAAGGTATTCTCTGTGCTTCTATCTTTCGGAGAAGATTATAGAAAACTGATGTACTTTCTTCCTTAAATGTTTGGTAGAATGGTGAACACATCTGAGCCTGGTGTTTTCTGATTTGCAAGGTTATTAATTATTGTCAATTTTTAAAATAGATATAGGTCTATTTCTTCTTGTGTAAGTTTTGGCAGATTGTTTCTTTGAAGGAATTGCTCCATTACTTCTAGGCTATCATATATGTGGACATAGAGTTATTCACAGTATTCTTATATTATTCTCTTAATGTCCATGGGATCTGCAGTAATATCTACTCTTTCATTTCTGGTATCAGTAATTTTTTTTCTTAGTTAGCAGGGCCAGAGGCTTATTGATTTTATTGATCTTTTCAAGGAACCAGGTTTTTGCTTTATTGATTTTCTCTGTTATTTCCTGTTTTCAATTTCATTGATTTCTCTGGGAGGTTTTTTGCTTGTTTTTGTTTTGGGTACAAAGGTTATCCTGAATCTCTGGTAGTTTCTTCAGATTTTTTTTTTTCTTAACATTTTTCAGTTTCACCATGGAGTGTGTAGAAGTATTTTTTATTGTTGTGTAAACAGTATAATGCTTGGACAGTGGTGTGCTGGTAAACATGGGAGTGGGGGCTGATTTGTAGCAGTCTGCCAATTTCTGTGACATAAACATTCCCTCAATAACCTATTTCAAGCTACCAATGTAACATCTTTAAGTAAGGATTTGAGAAGGGATGCAGAGTAGCATACCATTTCATTTTAGCCATGCAAACATGAGAGACATAAATAACTTCAAGAGCATTGATAATAGTAAAATGTAGTAAAATAATTAGGAATTTACAAGCTTTAAATATTTATTACTTCTGTTTTTAATATAATTATTTAATCATAAGTTTATGCAATTTAATTTTAATAATGGTTAACACTTGGCTTGCACATTTTCTGAATATTTAATAAGCAGCTCTCATAAGCTGGCTCCAGCATATTTCTTCAGTGTGAGGATTTATCTCTCTTTAATTCCTGAAAATTCTTGGCTATTATCTCTTCAAATATTATCTCACTCTCCCATTCTTTTTGCTTTCTCCTATTTTAATAAGCTCCTATTAAATACATGACAACTCTGCTCATTGTAGTTTTTTATTTTTCTTTTATATTTTCAATCTTTTTTTTTTTTTTTTTTTTTTTGAGACAAGGTCTCACTGTTGTCCAGGCTGGAGTGCAGTGGCACGATCATGGCTCACTGCAGCCTCGACTTCCGGGGCTCAAGTGACCTCAGCCTTCCACGTGGCTGGGACTACAGGTGTGTATCACCACACCCAGCTAACTTTTTTTGTTTTTTGTTTTTTTGCAGAGATGGGGTTTTTGTCTTGTTTTCCAGGCTAGTCCAGAACTCCTGGGCTCAAGTGGTCTGCCCCCTTCCACCTCCCAAAGTGCTGAGATTACAGGTGTGAGCCACCACACCTGGCCTCTATTCTTGTTTTTATTTTATTTAAACATTTTTGGCTGGGTGCGGTGGCTCACACCTGTAATCCCAGCACTTTGGGATGACGAGGCGGGTGGATCACCTGAGGTCAGGAGTTCGAGACCAGCCTGACCAACATGGTGAAACTCTGTCTCTACTAAAAATACAAAATTAGCTGGGTGTGGTGGTGCATGGCTGTAATCCCATCTACTTGGGAGGCTGAGGCAGGAGAATTGCTTAAACCCAGGAGGTGGAGTCTGCAGTGAGCTGAGATTGCACCATTGCACTCCAGCCTGGGGAACAAGAGCGAAATGCCATCTCAAAAAACAAAAATTTATTTATTTACTTTTTTTATTTTTAAAATTTTTATTATTTTTTATGGGTTTGAATCTACTCTTTTTAAAGTCGCTTTCTGTTTATTTTTAAAATTTCTAGTTCTTAAATTTCAAATTCCCCCATTGCCTGTTTATGATTATTTCATCAGATTCCTAACAGGAAATAGATGATATACTAAAATTTGTATAATTCCAAGGTGGTTTATTTACAAAGGGACCATTTACAGAGCTGTGAGCAGGATGTAGTGTGGCCACAAAGGATAGTGCAATAACCTGGAAATGGTTGCAGTGGAGCCATTACTACTCCTTGGCCTGAAGAGATGAGGATAGGGAGAAGTGTCTAGAATTTGAAAGAAACTCATGAAGGAAAGATCACCTTGAGAGGTGCAATGACCTTCTGTTGAGAGACACAGCCAACAGCTGAGAGAGAGTCAACTGGGGAATAAAACTGATCCCACTTTCCAATATTCTGCTAGGGTTTCCCATTGGCTGAATCTAACAAGAGGCCAGAAGACATGAGAACTCACTGATGTAGTCCATGTAGGTCTGCCTCCAGCAATAGAAGACAGATGTAGCATAGTGGAGAGTGGGTCTACAGGAGCAAATGGAAGACATGCGATGTACTTTTTCTCCATCCTAGCGAGGTGTTTCTCCATGTGATTTGTAAGTTTTGGCTGTGAGTTCATCTTTAGCTGGTTGTTTTATATGGGAGTCCCTTGTGCCCTGGGTTGAGAGGGGTCTCAGTTAGGAAGTTTTATGTTTCCCTGTCTCTGGCCCTACAAGAAACACTGTATTTGGATCTCTTTTCATGTGCGTTTTTCTACTTAGAGTCCCTACACCGTGAATTCAGATCTTTTGTCCATGAGTGACACAGGTCTGTGTTTCTGATTTTTTTGGATTCATTTGATTCATGGCCCTAGGCTTTCAGCAGGATTCCTTGCTACTTCCCTTGCTAAGGACCACAGTTTACTTCCTGGTTTACTTCAAGAGCACCCTTTGTGGCTCCTGGCATTATATACGGACTTTGGTTCCAGCTCCTTATCTTTTACAAAAATTATGGTTTCATTAAAAATTATTTATTTATGACTTTTTTAATTTTTAAAAATTGTGGCAGCCGGGAGCAGTGGCTCACGCCTGTAAATCCAGCACTTTGGGAGGTCAAGGCAGGCAGATCACAAGATCAGGAGTTCGAGACGAGCCTGGCCAATATGGTGCAATCCCGTCTCTACTAAAAATACAAACAATCAGCCGGGCGTGGTAGCACACGCCTGTAGTCCTAGCTACTCTGGAGGCTGAGGCAGGAGAATTGCTTGAACCGGGGAGGCAGAGGTTGCAGTGAGCCGAGATTGCGCCACTACACTCCAGCCTAAGAGACAGAGCAAAACTCCGTCTCAAAAAAAAAAAAAAAAAAAAAACCTGTGGCAAAATACATAAAATTTGCCATCTTCACCTTTTTTTCAATGTAAAGTTCAGTGGCATTAAGTATATTCACATTGTTGCGCTACCATCACCACCATCTATTTCCAAAGTTTTCATCTTCCCAACCTGAAATCCCATCCTCATTAAACAATAACTCCTCATTTCTCCCTCCTCCATTGGCATTCACCATTCTACTTTCTGTCTCAAAGAATCTGACTACTGTAAATACCTCATAGCAGTGGAATCATGGAATCATACAGTGTTTTTTTGTGTGTGACTGGCTTATTTCATTTAGCATAATATCCTCAAGGTTCATCCATGTTGTAGCATATGTCAGAATTTCCTTCCTTTTTATGACTGAAAAACATTCCATTGTATGTATACATCACATTTTATTTATCTGTGCCTTCATTTATGGACATTTAAGCTACTTCCACCTTTTGGCTTTACAAATAATGCTGCTATAAGCATGGGTGTACAATCAGTTCTCTGTCTTTTGTGGACTTAAAATTTAGTATCCTTTCTGCATATATGCATTTAAACTTTCTCATTCAGCACCAAAGGCCTACTTCCAATTTCAAAACCCGTCTGAGTGACGTAGCTTCTGCCCCCGTTTATCAGGAATGCTGGTTACAGGTAAGCAGGTTATATCCTACATAAAGAAACCTGGGCAAGGTGGTGCATGGGGGTAATATCAAGCTTGAACTCCAAATTGAACTCACCAATTCCTGAAACCATGAGAGTGAATTTGTTCAGGGAGTAGGTCTATTTTTGATTCATGCAAAGGCACGGTTTGGCTGCCTTGCCACTCATTCACTTAACATCTTTTTATGGCTTTTAGTTTCTGCTTCACTTTTGGCATCTAGAGATTTACCTTTCTTGTTTTTGAATTCATCCATGTATTTAATTTTTTGTTGTTATATTTTCTATTTTGTTGTTATATTTTTCTATTTTGTTGTTATATTTTCTATTGTTTGTATATGTTTGGAATAGGGGTGTCTTAGTTTGGGCTACTGTAACAAATATACCATAGACTAGGTGGCTTAAAAAACAAATGTTTATTTCTCACAGTTCTGGAGGCTGGGAAGTCCAAAATCAAGGTGCCAGTGTCTGATGAGGGTCTGCTTCTTGGTTTGCAGATTGCTATCTTCTCATTTTATCCTCACATGGCGGAAAACAAAGAGAGACAAAGGAAGCAAGCTCTATAGAGTTTCTTCTTATAAGGTACTAATTGCATTAATGAGGGCTCCCCCCTCACGACCTAATTATCTCCCAGAGGCCTCTCTGGGAGGGGGATTAGATACCATTACATTGGGGATTAGGCTTCAACATATAAATCTGAGGTATGGGGCGGGGGACACACAAAGATTAACTTCATAGCAAAGAGAAAAAGTCTTTTCATTGATTGGAAATCATAACCATTACTGTTATTGGAGTGCAATGGCGCAATCTCGGCTCACCACAACCTCTGCCTCCTGGGTTCAAGCAATTCTCCTGCCTCAGCCTCCCGAGTAGCTGGGATTACAGGCATGTGCCACCATGCCCAGCTAATTTTGTATTTTTAGTAGAGATGGGGTTTCTCCATATTGGTCAAGTTGGTCTCGAACTCCTGACCTCAGGTGATCCACCTGCCTCGGCCTCCCAAAGTGCTGGGATTACAGGCATGAGCCACCATGCCTGGCCCTCATTATTGTTATTTTTAAATAACGCATTTAGGCTGAGTACAAAAATTAGCTGGGTATGGTGGCATGCACCTGTAATCCCAGCTACTTGCAGGGCTGAAGAAGAAGAAACGCTTAAATCTGGGAGGCAGAGATTGCAGTGAGCTGAGATCATGCCACTGCAGTCCAGCCTGGGCAACAACAAGACTACATCTCAAAAAAATAAGATAAAATAAAACAATAAAATAGGCTGGGCGTGGTGGCTGGTGCCTGTAATCCCAGCACTTTGGGAGACAGAGGTGGGTGTATCACCTGAGGTCAGGAGTTCAAGACCAGCCTGGGCAACATAGTGAAACTCCATCTCTACTAAAAACACAAAAAATTAGCTGGGCGTGGTGGCATGTGCCTGTAATCCCAGCTACTTGGGAGGCTGAGGCAGGAGAATCACTTGAACCCGGGAGGCGGAGGTTGCAGTGAGCCAAGATTGCACCATTGCACTCCAGCCTGGGCGACAGAGCAAGACTCCATCTAAATAAATAAATAAATAAATAAATAAAATAATAATAAAATAATGCATTTCTTCTGTATGCTCTTTATTTTTCCAAATTAGATGAGGGATAGATACAATAAGAGAAACAGGAACTTTAAATTACAAACCTAAAAAAATCAAGAGCAAAAAGACAAGAGTCAAGTAATGAAGCATGGATATAATGTTAGGAGTACATTTACACTATGGGCAGCTACTAAAAGTGAGAATAAAACCTAGCTACTTATTTTTTTAAAATCTCATCAAAATCTGGTTTTCTTGGTTACAGTTTTAACCAAAGAATTTTCACAATTTTTGTAGGTAAACAATTTAATAATATGTGGGATTTTCCCCCCCATTTTTTAGGGGTCTAGCTATATTGCTCAGGCTGGATTTGAACTCCTGGGCTCAAGTGATCCTCCCACCTCATCCTCCCAAGTAGCTGGGGCTACAGACATGCACCACCATGCCCAGCAACCTCACTGCCTATTTGGAAAACCAAGACAAAAAGAGAAATATGATGGACTGTTTTTAGGGTATTGTATTTTGTAATTGATAAGTGCATAAAACGTATTTGGAATTTTCCCACACAAGCAGATAGATAAACCCCTTTTGCCCTATAACATAAAAGGCACTGTGTACCAGTTTTTCCAAAGTTGAGTGTTTATAAGTGCACGACTGGCTCTCCTACATTTGCTTTCTTTTTTTTTTTTTTTTTTTCAGATGGAGTCTCACTGTGTAGCCCAGGCTATAGCGCTATAGTGCCATCTTGGCTCACTGCAACTTCTGCCTCCCAGGTTCAAGCGATTCTCGTGCCTCAGCCTCCCGAGTAGCTGGGACTACAGGCGGGTGCCACCACGCCCAGCTAATTTTTTTGTATTTTTAGTAGAGTCGGGGTTTTACCATGTTGGCCAGGCTGGTCTGGAACTCCTGACCTCAGGTGACCCACCCGCCTCAGCCTCCCAAAGTGCTGGGATTACAGGCATAAGCCACCGTGCCCGGCCTGCTTTCTTGTTTTAAAACAAGAACAGTCCTGATGTAGACAAAGAATCTATCCCTGACTTCTGTTTTAACACTCAGCAAGTAGTTATGAAAGATGTTTTCTTGCTCAGTCTCATTGGTTGTGTTCAAAGTGGAAGTTGAAGAGTTTTTCCCTCAGGGCAAAAGGTTTTCATTCTCTCTGCGTGCTTTCCCTTACACAATGACTTCAGAGACTGGCAACATAAATGTTGCTTAACTTGTTCAGATGAACATGAAGGTAGAGGCTACCGCCTTAGGATTCTGAACCTGCAAGTGAGGTCAGACCTCAGAAGTCATCAAGTCCTAGTTTTGAGGCCCATGGGATGGCCTGGAATTTTTGTTTGTTTTTTCTTTCTGTTGGCCATTGAGCACAAGCAGAGAACTGACGGCTGTGAAAGCTGCCTAGAGGCCTGACAGCAAGGGTTTTACCTGAACTATTTGGTAGAGAAAGTCCAGTCTTCCCCAGCTAACAGAAGAGGGCCTCTCTTCACTAGCACCTTGCCTAACCTTTAGATAAGTCACCTACATTCAATTTTGCATAAAGTGGTTGATTTCAGAGCAGCCAAAGCAGAAGTGAAATCAACTTGGTGTATCTCAAGACAACACTACATGGAAAGACCTTTCCTGGTGCTCACAGTGGGGTAACAGAGATTAGGTTCGCCTGAGATGAGATGGATGTGATATGAAAGAGAAGGAACACTCAAGAAAAAAGAAAGGGATGAGTCATGGAATACTTTTGGAATATGAAAACAGAAATAGTTTACCTCCTCTATGGTTTTATCTGAGGAGCTTGAAGATGTAGAATATTTAGCTCCCAACTTTAGCTCACTATCCTGGTTTCTACCCCAATGCTAGATTCTGAAACAGTCTTGTGAGAGTAAAAGTCCAGGATGTAATATGGTCTGCTCTGCCCTTATCCAGGCTCAAAGAAAGACATCTTATATGTGTGTGTCAGAAGATTGAGGATTGGTTGGTAATCTTTACACAGGAGCCTAGGTCTGCAAGTGGGCTTATGTGGCTCTCTTTAATTACAAAGTAGACTAGGTATTAGCAATTACCCTACTCAAGAAATTCCACTAAAGAGTCTCGTCCTTAACAGGATTGCTGTTCCGTGTAGGCCACTCTTCCTTCTGTGAATCCCAGCCCAAGTCTTGGTGGTGATTCCTCCTCCAGCCCCTTCATCCTTTCAATTTCCACACCTGGTATCTACCAAAAACACACTTCTGAGCTTTTGCAGAGTGCCCCTTTATTTCACGGAGGCGGGAAGCTTGTAGATGGGAATGTGTGTTGCTCTAAATTAATTTCCTACACATGTTCCCTCATGTGCACAGAGCATTTGCATTTTAAGCAAATCTTTTCTCTCTCTCTCTCTCTCTCTCTCTATATATATATATATATACATATATATATATACATATATATATACATATATATATATACATATATATATATATACACATATATACATATATATATATATATATATTTTTTTTTTTTTTTTTTTTTTTTTTGAGACAGAGTCTTGCTCTGCCACCCAGGCTAGAGTGCAGTGGCACAATCTCAGCTCACTGCAAGCTCCGCCTCCTGGGTTCACACCATTCTCCTGCCTCAGCCTCCCGAGTAGCTGGGACTACAGGCACCCACCACCACGCTTGGCTAATGTTTTGTATTTTTAGTAGAGACAGGGTTTCACTGTGTTAGCCAGGATGGTCTTGATCTCCTGACCTTGTGATCCACCCGCCTCAGCCTCCCAAAGTGCTGGGATTACAGGCGTGAGCCACCGTGCCCGGCCTATCTTTTCTCTATTTTATTGGTCATAGTATAATTTTACCTGCAATACAAATATAACAGTGATTACATTTTCTTTCTAGTAATTGGCTGTAGGAATCACATACTCTTATTAAACTCTTCCTGTCAGTTTATACTGCACAATAACTTTAGTTTATCACAGTGCCTACATGCAATGCTACCTGATACCCGCTCCTGGAAAAGAATTTTGTTCTGTTGTGCTTACTTTGCTCTTTTCTGTACAAACTCCCTTTTATGTACTTTTATGATTTATTGGCATTATGCAGCCCTCTATCCTCCTTTCCCGACCGGGCTCAGAAACTTGGGAGTGATGTGCGTTCTCTCCCTTTCTAGTTGACTCTTTCCTGGCTCCTTTACTCTTCCTTCTCCCCATCTCCTGCTTTCCTGTCACTGGCTTCTCCAATCTGCTTTTTCCTCTTGCTCCCCCTTTGCCCAGTCTTATAGCACCCTCTAAGAAATGTGTTTTGCCGAAGGAAGGTCTCTGTACACTGTTATTACTTTCTTCTTTGACTGTGTTTTTAGTTTTTGTGTCATTTCTGGGAACTCTGCTACAATAACATTCCATGAAGGAAAGCTGAACACTAGGGAAATGAGAGAGGAAGCTGGGGAAAGAAAGAGCAGAGGGAAGATGGAGAGGGGCTCAGGGAGGACCCCAAACAAGTTAACATGAGGCATCTTGGAGTGAACTCTACAAATAAAGACACTTTTTACAATGTTTTACTGTTTACAAAGTAGTTTTCATATGTTACCTGATTATCTGGTAACAAATATAGGCATGCTTCTTAACATTTTGCAGATGAAGAGACTGGAGCTATAAATTAAGAATAATATAAACTGTGATGATGCAGCTTATAAAAGCAGAGTTGGGATTTGAGGCTTCTGACTTCAGCTCTCTTTCTCTTTCCACTATTCCACAATGCCAGGAAGATGAAGGAGTTGAACTCCGGGAGAATTCAAGTCACCTTTCACAAGGCTATGTTTTCCATAGGTTCAAAAAACCAAAAAATCCAGACTTATGCTCTAGTTTATCATGATTAATTTTTCTTGTGGTAAGAAAATAATTTAACCATTAGGTTTGTTTGTCGTAGCAACAAGAAATGAATTACTTTCCAAACTGGGAATATCCCTCTGTAGCCAATGAAAGAATGAGTACAAGTGTGGAGGAGTAAATCTGCATAAAGATAAATATAACTTTAGAAAATTCTTGAGACATTGACAGAGTTTTGGACCTAATTTCTAAATGGGCAGAAAGCTCTCTTTTAGAACAGCTTCTCTGCAATCCTGTGTAGAAGTGGGAAGATGAACATGGAGACTATTCAAGGCAGGGATGGTGGACTTAGTGGGTCATTTTCACTTTTTTGAGTTTCAAAATCTTACAAATTATATTATTTTTGGCTCTTTCTGTGTCTTTGAGAACTGCTCTTTCTACCTTAAATCACCTCCAGAATCACCAGGGCAAACAAGAAGCTTATTTGAACTTCAGGTCTCTAGAAAACAGACTGCTGTGTCATTGCACTTGGAAAGCAATCATTTAAAGATAGTTTTCAGGCAGGTGAAAGACCAGCACAACAAACTGATAAAACTGCCTCTGTCATTTGATCTCCTGCAGCCATTCTGGAGAGAAGACATTCCTGTTAGGAACCTGAGCAAGAAGCTCTGGTCAGGAGACTTCTATTTTATTAGGATCCTGCCCCAAGTTAGAGGTCAAGTTACAACTCCCCTCAAAATTACTCTGTAATAGGCTGCATTACATAGAAAATTCCAACAAAGCACCGGAATGTCTGAGTTAAGAGAGCTCTTTGTACATTAAGAAGAAAAATAAAGTTCAGCAGCATAATCCTATTTCTAAGCCAAATCTGGATAATACTAAAGGACTTCCAAATAACACCATTTAACTATTTGCGAGAATTATGAGTTTGCACTCTGAGCGATGTCCTGTCCCCTGCCCCCCAAACCTCAATAGAAGCAAAGAAGCTAGCAACACTCTACCTCATAAGCTTACTATTTAAACTGTGCAAAGGTGAATAAAAAAAGTGAGAATAAAGAAGGTGATGTGGGAAGATGGCAAGGAAATGTCCCATTCTTAAGCACCTTTTAAAAAAAGAATTGTAATCCCAGCACTTTGGGAGGCCAAGGCAGGCGGACCACGAGTTCAAGAGATAAGACCATCCTGGTCAACATGGTGAAACTCTGTCTCTACTAAAAATACAAAAATTAGCTGGGCATGGTGGTATGCATCTGTAGTCCCAGCTACTTGGGAGGCTGAGGCAGGAGAATCACTTGAACCCGGGAGGCAGAGGTTGCAGTGAGCCGAGATCACATCACTGCACTCCAGCTTGGCAACAGAGTGAGACTCTATCAAAAAAAGAAAAAAAAAAAAAAAAAGAAGTGTAATGCCAAGATTTGCTCAAAGCATTCCTGAATTCCATGGGGACCTAGAGTCCATTGACCCTGACACCTTCCACTACCCCTCATGGCCATTGTGTCCTGAATGCCCCTCCTTAGCCAGCTTCCATTTGCAGTCCTTGCATACACCAACTTATTTGCCTCTCTCTCCTTTCAGAGTACAGTATGTGCCTGGCAATATCCTAGGTATGGTTAAAACCAACTCTCTGCCTAGTTTGTGCTTAAAAGTGTTGGGGGAAAACATGCAACCATGCTGAGCAGACACACTTTAAATTCACGATCATTCATGATTATGGGCATCTTGTGGCCCTCCATGCTGCCTGGCTGTTCTTTTTTTTTTTTTTTTTTGAGGCAGAGTCTCGCTCTGTTGCCCAGGCTGGAGTGCCCTGGCATGATCTCTCTTGGCTCACTGCTACCTCCTCCTCCCGGGTTCAAGTAATTCTCCTGTCTCAGCCTCCCAAGTAGCTGGGACTTTACAGGCACTCGCCACCATGCCTGGCTAATATTTCTATTTTTAGTAAAGATGGGGTTTTGCCATGTTGGTCAGGCTGGTCTCCAACTTCTGACCTCAGGTGATCCACCTGCCTCGGCCTCCCAAAGTGCTGGGATTACAGGCGTGAGCCACTACGCCCGGCCACACTGCTTGGCTGTTCTATCACATTGCACACGCCCCTAGATGGCTCATCATACCTGTTTCCCCCTTTTACTCTCAGTGGGTCACCTTACTTAACTGTTTTCTTAAAAATTTCTATGTACTCCTATTACCCCAATTCCCACAGGACTTACATCAGTTTAGACCTTGGAAGATGGCACCCAGCATTGGCTACATGCTCCTACTCTAGTTGTCATTTACCTCAAGGGCAGCATATTTATTGAAGGTTAAAACAATAAGATAGCACTGTCCTAGGCATGTTCCCTGGCAGCAGTGTCCCTCTACCTCGTGTTGCTGTGCCTCTATTGCTTGAAACGTCAGTAAGTAAATGCAATCCTGTTTAACCCAGGGTCCTGAGCATGTGTCCCCTGCCCACACTTCTGCTGAACTACAGTTCACATGTCTCACTGGGACAGTCTGGGAGGATGCTAGCTGTACAGACTGCTGTTGCTTATCACTGCTGTTATTCTATCGAGCCGTCACCCAGAGACCTGCCCAAAGTTTGCAGGTGCATGTCCAGGGGTAAGGTGGGACCACACAGTTCAGCACCTCAGTAGGACTGTCCCCCACTGAGTCTTGCCCTGCTTTCTGCCACCTCCCCTGATGTCTGCCAGAAGAAGAGGCCATGCAAGAACTTAGGAAAAAAAACAGTGGGCACATTCATAATGGCTACCATTTACCAAGTATCTGTTGTGTGCCAGGTGCCTTACATGCATTCACTCACCTAATTCTAACAACTGTATTCCAAGGTGTCATTATTCTCATTTTATAAATGAGAAAACTGAGGCTTAGATTATGTAATATGCAGAAGCCTCACTGCTAATAAAGGGTAGAGTCTGCATCCGGACCCAAGTCTGCCTGAGTTCAAAGCCTATGTTCTTTTCACGACACTACTGCCTATTCATTTATGTCAAAATGAGAGCTTAGAGTTCACTGGAGACCATCAGTATGGGTTTCCAGGTTTCTTAGAATGCTGTGTGCTACCCAAATATTTTATTTTCTTATGTTAAGTGCAACAATTTTTATTAATACATGCAATTATATAAAATCAGAGCATGAACATGACCTGATAAACTTTGTATTTATTTTCATTTCGACTTGGACATCTAATAGGCATCTGAAACTTAACACATACAAAACCAAATTCCTGAAGACCAACTCCCCGCTAAATGTAGCTCATGTGGTCTTCCCCAGCTTAATAAATGGCAACTCCATTATTCTAATTGCCCTGGCAAAAAAACCTTGGTGCCATCTTTAATTCTCTTTCTGTCATAGAACATCAGAAAATCTTGAGGACTCTAACTTTAAAATATATTAGAATATATTTTCTATTGCTGTTACTACCCTGCTCCAAGCTTCATTGTCTGTTGGCCTGGATGATGGCAATAACTTGTTTCCTACCTCTTTGTCTCCTGACAGCCTTCACTCAACATTATGATCCAGAGTAAGCCTTTAAGACAGAAGTCAGCCTTCCCCACTCCCACGGCTTCACATGACTAGCCTAAAAAACAAAGATAGAAGTCAGGTCGTATCATCCTTCTGCTCAATATCACGGATTGGCTTCTCGTATCACTCCAAATAAAATTTCAAGTCCTTAAAAAGCTTATAAGGCTATATATCATCTAACCCCTCCTTCCCTATCTGAATGACTTCTCCTTCTCTCCACTAATCTCACTCTGTCCACACTGGTCTCCTTGTTTTCAGAAACATATTACGACTACTTCTGCCTCAGGACATTGTGTTTGCTGTTCACCCTGCTAGGAGATCTCTTCTAGATACCCACATGGCTTCTCCCTGGCTTCCCTTCTATCTCCGCTCAAATGTCACTTTATCAGTGAGGCCATCCCTTTAATAACTGTGGTAGCTAGTGTCCAAAAATGGCCCCTTAATGAGCCACATCTTCCAATATTCTCAGCCTCATAGAGTCCTCTCTCCTTGAATCTAGTGAGCCCTGTGACTTGTTTTGACCAATAGAATGTAGTGGAGGTGATGCTTGCCTGACTTCCAAGGCTACATCATAAGAAGCCTTGCAGTTTTCACCTGGAGTTTTTGGAATATTTGCTTCAGGAGAAGCCACCGGCATGGGAGAAGCCTGACTACTCAATCCCACCATGTTGTGAGAAAGCCCAAGATAGCCACATAGAAAGGTCATGTGCAGACAGAGTGATGCCTGGCCAGACCCCAGTTGTTCCAGCCTTCCCAGCTGAGGGGCCAGCCATGTGAATGAAAAAGCCGTTTGGAATGTCCGGCCCATTCAATTATTCAGATAACCCTGGCCCGATTTGCCATATGACCGCAACTGTTTAAAGACCCCAGGGAACCTACAAGATCATACATTTTTTTCTTAAAGTTTTTTTTTTTTTTTTTTTAATTTTAGAGACAGGGTCTCACTCTGTCACGCAGGCTGGAGTGCAGTGGCACAGTCATAGCTCACTGTAAACTCAAAGTCCTGGGCTCAAGCAATCTTCCTGCCTCAGCCTTCTGACTAGCTGAGACTATAGGTGCATGCCACCACACCAAGCTAATATTTTTTAACCAATAGGATTTAGGGTGTTTTGTTGTGTGGCAATGGATATCTGAAACAGAAATCAATATGTTACACCCCTTCCCACAAATATAATGACACTCCGTATCCTCCTTAACTTGCTGTATTTTTCTCTTGTTGCATTTACCACCTGGCTTACTGTGTATCTACCTATTTGTTATTGTCTCCCTATCCCCGCTGGAACACAAACTCTGGGAAGGCAGAGACTTTGTCTTATTCATTACTGTATCTGAGCGCCTGGAATAGTGTCTAAGATAGGCCCTCAATACATATTTGTTAAATGAAGGCATATATTTAATTTAACTTGATAAGTTTGCTTTTTGTAGACATAGCAAGTCCATAAAAAGAAAAGACAAATTAATTTAAATTGCCCATGCCGACAGCCTTCCCTCTTATGGACACAATATCTGGAGATGTCTAAAATACTGCGATCTTCGCCTTTCCACTGAAGCATACCTTCCAAGGGGAAAGGAGTAAGATTCTGCTCCTTTAATACATACTGACCTCAGGAGAAAGGGACTAGAAATGTATGGACTGAATGTCTGTGTGCCTTGCAAATTCATATGGTGAAATCCTAAACCCCAATATGATGGTATTAAGAAGTGAGACCTTTGGAGGTGATTAGGTCATGAGGGTGAAGCCTTCAGGAATGGGATTAGTGCCCTTATAAAAGAGACTTCAGAGAATTCTCTAGCCCTCTTTATGCCAAGTAAGGACACAGTGAGAAGATGACCATCTATGAACCAGGAAGCAGGCCCTCACCAGACATCATATCTTCCAGCACTTTGATCTTAGACTTCCTAGCCTCCAGAACTGCAAGAAATAAATGTTTGCTGTTTAAGCCATCCAGTCTATGATATTCTGGTATAGTAGCCTGAACTAAGACAAGAAAAAAAAAACAGGTGTCAGGCAGATTCCAGGAGAACATCCCTTAAACATAACCCAAATGGAGATGACTATCAGAATCATCAAACCCTGTTGAGGAGCTCTTGTCAGTAGATCTGTGCTACACAGTGTCACCTCTCCCTTCGCTCACTTCTGGAAGGACTCAATAATTCCTCCTCATTCCACAAGCACTTCTTGAATGCCTAGTCACTCTCTTATGATAAAATATCCATTCCCTCCTTTCACAAAATTAGTCAGAATAAAGAAAAACCATTGGGTTGAAAAACTTTGAATAGAATGTTTAAAGTGATTTAGAAGTTTGGACACAAGAATTTTGTTTGCGTTAAAATAGTTCAAGATCTCATCTCAACCACTTCGTGGGAAAATTGCTAGCATAGAGATGCTTCAGCTGTTAGCTTTGTTGACCTTTTTGTTTTGGCACTTCTGGAAAATGGAGGAAGGGGCTGAAGCTCATATATTCTTGGAGAAATAAGGCAAACAGCACAGCTCAGGTATGGGCTGGTGATGTGGCATTCTGTGTCAAGTAAGGAACACCCTGCCATCTCCTGGGCCTCAGCTTCAGATTTCTGGACAGTACCTTCTCAGGCAAGAATACATATTTTCCCATGCACAAGCAAGAAGGCTGCCCAATCCATTTAGATTCATATGGAAAGAAAAGAGACACTGCCTCAAATTCAAAAGCAACAAAGCAGGCGGAGATGAAGTACAAGCTCAGAAACTCACAATAATTGCTTTACTAACCAGAATATCTAGTTAGCTTCTCTGCTGGAAATATCTGCAGTTATGTTTTCTCAAAGTGCTCTTCATGATCCAGATTAGCTACAAGTTTTACTTTTTGTAAAGGGCCCAGTTGGGTATTTTTTCCAGAACAAAGGGTGAATGCAATGAATAGTCAAGTTTTTACCTTTCTCTAGACTGAAAAATTCTAGCTTTAAAATAATAGCTTTTCTAGATTATTTCAATACCCTGCCCTCCCCCTTCCTTTAAAAAATAAATCTTATAGATTAAGTTTGGGCATCTGGTTGAAAAAACCCCATTTAAAACATTAGAAAATTGAGAGTTAGAGAGACTTAAGATCAGCTAGTACATGAGCCAAATCTTCAGATACAAAATCCATGTGTTCTCCATAGTGGAACACTGTAAAATTAAACTACCACACACTCACAAAGCTTTGTTTTTTTTTTTTTTGTTTTGTTTTTTGTTTTTTTTTTGAGCAGAGTCCTGCTCTTTTACCCAGGCTAGATAGTGGCACGATCTTGGCTCACTGCAACCTCTGCCTCCTGAGTTCAAGCGATTTTCCTGCCTCAGCTTCCCAAGTAGCTGGGATTACAGGCGCACGCCACCACTCCCAGCTAATTTTTGTATTTTTAGTAGAGACAGGGTTTCTCCATGTTGCCCAGGCTGGTCTTGAACTCCTGACCTCAGGTGATCCACCCGCCTCGGCCTCCCAAAGTGCTGGGATTACAGGCGTGAGCCACTGCGCCTTGCCTCACAAAGCTTCGAAAAACATTCCTTAATAAGGCCTCAAGGATGAACATGTCCTTGTGTATTTTTTTTCCGTGAAAATGAAACTAGTCTCAAATCTCCATGCAACTGTAGCTGGAAAAATAAATATTGATCTAGTTTCCTCCTATAATTCTGAATTTTAGTTCATAGGAGCTTAGAGTTAGAGGCAAACTTTGGACATTATTTAGTCCTAATCCATCACAAATTGTAAGAAAAAACTCAAAATAGCTTTATTTAAAACAAAAGTATCTTTAGGTATAATGCTATTTTCACACATGATTGATAAATTTATTAGGATGAAAATCATATTAGAATAAAATATCTTTGAGGCTACAACTCGTCCTTTTTATGTGAATAGCAAAATTAAAGGCTTAAAATATATGCTAGGATGAAGACGAAAAATGTGATTTTCGGAAGACTGGAAAGTACAATGAAGGTTTGGCTTTCATACAAGGTTTGGATTTGTTTTTTAGATTCTTCCCAGTAATTAGATTTAGGGTTTAGAGTATCTCATGTGACTCTCTTATAAAAACAGACATTTTAACCAAGCACTGACATGCAAAATAAAAACAAAAACCTTTTTCCTTCAGGGACTAGCCCAGCTACAATTGGAAGTTCAGTAATGCGTCTAAACATACATAGTAATTAAATCTAGCTTCCAACAAACTTAAAGTTAAATTTTAATTACTTTTTATGGCTGGGTAATAAATTGTATGTAAATGAGTCATGGATGGAGACCTTAGTATATATAAAATGTCAAAAACCAGTACTGATTGATATACTGAAAAGAAAAGAGGCCTTGAAAATTTGTATTCTAGATCTAACTCAGCCACAATAGCTCCTTAACCAAATCATTCAGCTTTTCTGGGCCTTGGTTTCCTCATTTGTAAAATATGATAGTTACATTTGGTAATTATAATTAATGTTTGTGTGGTGTTTATGTCTCTAAAGCTCTTTCCTGTGTATGATCTGACTTCATTCCTATAATTCTTGGAAGTAAGAAGGACAGATACTTTTAGTATACAGATGAAGAAACAGCCTCATAAAGGCTAAAATATATGATCAAAGGCACACAGTTTGTAAATGGATTCAGACTCAGATGTTCAGACACAATTTTGTGTAGGTAGACACTATACCTACTACCTCTAAAAGTCTGATATAATAGAGTTGTGTTTAGTCGTTACTCAATTATAACTAGACTTTTAAAGTACCTTAAACACTATTCAACAGGTACACCATGTTCTTTTAGCCTGCAGGACTGAATGCTCTTATGGTTTCCCTGCAGGAGGATCCAATTAAGTGCTAAGTTAATAGCCAACTTTATAGCCAAGCTAATAGAAAAGCCACATTACACTGGCTCCGTCTTGTCAAACCAATCACTTTTAAGACTTTGTGCTGATTTATGTCCCTGATATTCACTGTAATCTCTGGGTTACTGTAAAAATGCATTCTTCCATTGCTCAGTTACTAAGATGTGTTAAGAGTCACAACAGTAGCCAGAACACCAATAAGTAAATAATGTAAAGAGTATTCAAGTAGTTTAAGAAATGATGTTAGTTATGTGTCTCCATGCTCTCGCCCCAGATATTTAACCCCAGGCATTTGGTAAATCATAACAAGGCATTATTTTCGCAGTTCTTGATTTCCACTTGAAGTCAAGCCAAATATTATGTTCATTTACATTTGCATGGCATACTTTTGTATCTTTCAAAGTGCCTTCACATTCATTATTTCATTTTATCTATATACAATGCTAACATGTAGTTGAAATTGTTCTCTGCGGTTGCCAAAATAGCTATTTCTTTATTTACATTTTGCTTTTCTGTCTGTTTTTATCCCATCCAGGCATTTAAAATGCTAAAGAATGAACAAAACTGCAGTGTCACAGAACTTCCATGAAGACAATAGAAGGATGAATAGTAAAGTGTGCTAATCCCACCTAAAGTTAGTAGGGCCCAAAACCAAGAGAAGCAATGATAATAAAATAAAGTAACATGTTTCAAAAGTGATAAATCAACCTAAAAAATATAACCTAGGTTCAATTTTCAAATGTGTAATTTCAAAGAATGAGAGAAAATTGGTAGGAATTGGTGAGAATACCTTTGTAGCAGAAATGCCAATAACACTTAAGGATTTAGAAGGAGGTCTAAATAAATTTAATTATTTTTAAAAGATAAAAAGAAATAATTGAACACAACTTTACTAAAGGCCATGAATATTCATAGTAAGAGAAGAAGATGCTGAGTGAGATTTGTTGACGTTTTGTCGATGAAAAGAGTTAAACTCTGTAAAATACTTGAAGAAATTTATTCTGAGCCAAATATAAGTGACCATGGCCTGTGACGCAGCCCTCAGGAGGTCCTGGGAACATGTGCCCAAGGTGGTTGGGGTACAGCTAGGTTTTATATATTTTAGGGAGGCATGAGACATCAATCAAATACATTTAAAAGCTGGGCACGGTGGTTCACGCCTGTAATCCCAGCACTTTGGGAGGCTGAGGTGGGCAGATCACTTGAGGTCAAGAGTTTGAGACCAGCCTGACCAACATGGTAAAACCCCATCTCTACTAAAATACAAAAATTAGCTGGGCATGGTGGTGCGCACCTGAAATCCCAGCTACTTGGGAGGCTGAGGAAGGAGAATCACTTGAATCCAGGAGGTGGAGGTTGCAGTGAGCCAAGATCGTGCCACTGCACTCCAGCCTGGGTGACAGTGTGAGACTTCATCTCAAACAAACAAACAAACAAACAACCCAGATACATTTAAGAAATACATTGGTTTGGTTCAGAAAGGTGGGATAACTCAAAGCGGGGGTTTCCAGGCTATAGGTAAATTTAAACATTTTCTGGTTGACGATTGAGTTTATCTGAAGACCTAGGATCAGTGGAAAGGAATGTTCAGGTTAAGATAAAGGATTGTGGAGACTAAGTTTTATTATGCAGAGGAATCTCTCAGATAGCAGAGTTCAGAGAGAAAGCAGGTTGTAAAATGTTTCTTATTGGACCTAAAAGGGTGCCTGGCTCTTAGCTGATTATCTCCTGGATCTGCAAAGGAAGGAAGGAAAACAAAAGGGAAAGGGGATTCTCTATAGAATGTGGATTTTTTCCACAAGACACTTTGCAGGGCAATTTCAAGGTATGGCAAGGAAATATATTTTGGGATTAAGTATTTTTTCCTTGTCTCATAATATTATGCCAGAGTCAGATTGAAAAGTAAGTCGTGATATACAGGGTCAGATAAAACCCATCTGATGAGAATTTATGGTTTGTAGGGCATGACTCCCTGGACCCCTTAGGTAGGAATTTGGGCAAAATGAAAAACAGAGCTTAGTCCTCCATCCCCCTTCTTGGCCAAAAAGCATTCCACAAAATGCATATGCAGGCCAACAAACAGCAACAGGTCCCACAGTGCTAGGAACGCTCATTCCTAGAGTAGTCTGGTTGGGTGATAATAATTTTAAGTATTTGCAATTTGGATCATGGCGGGAGGAAATGGTCTGACCTGGTGTAATAACCAGTAGTTTAAGGGGTGAGATGGAGTCAGACCTAGGGTTTAGTATAAAAAAATCCCAGATCATATCTATTTTGTGAGCTATCATGATCTGGGTCTTTAATTGTGCCTTGTTCATTTTGCTGTAACTGGCATAACATTTACAAGAGATATATAATGCTAATACAGTGACAAATACCAAGATAAATACCGAGACGAATACCAAAATACCCAAGATAGCAAAGATTAGGCATCCAAGAAGGTTACAGGTAGAGTCGGAGGGCAGTAAACAACCTAACCAGCAAAAAAAACCACTGCATGCATCATCATATTCTTTGATCAGACTCACAATGTGTTTACCCTCCTTATCAAGGGTCATTTGAACCTTATGATAAATCTTATTTGAGGATTGTAGGACTGACACTAAATCAGAATCTAATAAATTTAGTCTCTCTTCCGGCCAATTTATCTCCATGGGTATAACATCCTGAGGAGGGTATAAATCAAATGCAAGGAATGCCTGGCCCTCAATGTCTAAATTGTTATAGGACTTATTAACAGTGGACAAATCTATTTTTCCCACCACCTTTGTATTGCACCATATACTGGTATTTGGGAGAGAAAGGAGGTTTTGTTACAGGAGAAGTCATGTAATTCTACAGTGTCATTTTGTTGTCCCTCCCAACAGAAATGGCCCTTCCTTATATACCAGATGCTATGTTCCATGGGGGTGGATATTAGAGGCCAAGTTTAGGAAAATCAGGGTTCCAAGTGGTTTGAGGCCATAGCCATTCTCCTTTTCTCTTTTCATAATCTGAAAGGGAGATGGAATACCATGTGTTATTATCAGCTAAAATAGCCCACCTATTTCCCAGGGGTAGTACCTTTGAGCCTCATTTAACTTCGGTGCCTGTTCTCTGAGAATACAATGTTTAAGATCACACTTAACGTCCAAAAATCTCCATAAGTTTGGAGGACCACATATTTTCCACAGGTGTTTGGATTGTGCCTCAGTACTGAGGACTGTAGACCATGCTTCATATCCACCTCTGATTCCATTTGTAATAAAATAGACATGAGCCCCTACAGGTAAGAGTAGATGCTTGTTCCCATCTTTGGATTTGGGAGTATGTTTTCATGGTTTGTCTGGTTTCTTCTATCCATTTGATGAGTGCTGCATTATCTTTTAAAGCAGCTTCCCATCCTTTTCCCTCTTCCTGGAATAGCATTCCTTCTATGTGGCCTATTTTTGATAGGGATTTTTTTTTCTAAAGAATGTCTCTCTTCATTAGCCATGAACTCAGCTTGCCCCAGTATGCCTTGCCCAGCTCTGACTCCTCCAGTGAGGTCATGCTTTAGTTTTTTGGGTGGCCAATTTTCGTGTATCCATCAAGAATGCTGTTGCCATTGTATACTGATGCCATTTGTACAATTTGGATAAATGGAGTCAATGCAGAACTGCTGGGTATCCCAAACAATTGTTAGGTTAGTGGAGGTTACACCTAAGTATGCTCTTGTCTGGGTATTCCATAAGGCTTCCCAGTGGCGCCCTGGTTTTAGGGTGGAATTTGTGCTGTCAGGGACTTCTGTCCACCAATTGACTTCCATAAATAGTTATTTAAGGGCAGTGTCAGTGTGGTTGGTACTGGATAGGAGCATCCAGCCACAAGCACAGGGCTGGTAGTTATTTGGGCAGGCCATGCTATGGCAGTTTACACAGGAGACATTGTAACAAGGCAGTTGTCTCAAGTGATCATCCCCAATATCTATTGTTATGCAACGTTCTACCTGGTTAGACCCCCTCAGTGATCATCCTGAGGCATTGTTAGAAAAAGTATTCCTGCAGGGCGTCATATTTGGTTGCAGCCCTATAATAGGGGTACCTAAAAAGTGGGGACCTTGGGGAATGTTTAGAATGGTGCTCTTCCATATAACAGTCTTCATTTCCTCCTGGTCTATATCATACCAAATGATGTGGGCTCTGCCTGCAGGAAGACTGCTGAGGTTTACAGGGGACTGGGAGAAATTTTCAGGTTGGAAAGAGGAGTGTGGGGTAGGTAGACAGAGGAGATTGTGGGAATGAGAATGAACAAGTAAAACATTTTCCTGGCTTTAGCAAGGGAATGTGTAGCCACATCCATTTAGAAAGTTATACCAAAGAAGATTGCATAGATTCCAAACAGCTTCTTGGGGGTCTCAGTTAAAACATTTGTGTTTTAGCAATATTCTATAGCAAGGAAAGTAAAAATGATGGTTATTTTAGGGTTCATGAGGACTAGCCTGGTCCAGCATCTCTGGAAGTATGTTGACTTTGTTGTAGCCCTAGAGATTGGCTGAGCCTCCAGTGTTCTCTTGATTTGCAGGTGGGTGTCAGAGACTGCTGCGGAAGTTCAGGGGCAGTCAGGAATGTGGTCAGGTGCTCATTTTAGGTGTAAAATGTGAATCCAAGAAGCGACTCTCTTTAACGTGCAGAGCAAGAGTTGGTTAAAAGCACCTGCAAAGGTCCTTTCTGGAGGGGTTGTAAGGAATCCTTCAGTTGGTGTCTAGTTAATGCTATTAATTCAGCCATCTGGGCTGATTTGACTCCTTGGAGTTGGGCACTTTCGATTATGTCTGTTATGGAAGTGATGGTGTATCCTGCCTGGTAATATCCCTTAAATAACAACCATCTGTGAACCAAATTAATTCAGCATTCTCAATGGGAGTTTTCCTATAAATCTTCCTTAGAGGAGAGTAAGATATTAGTTAGTAGAGTGCAGTCATGTTCCTCTTCCTTTTGTTGTCCACCTGGAAGGGAGACCAGGGTAGCAGGGTTAAGAGTGTTACAGCACTTCAAAGTGATGTTGAAGGCAGAAAGCAGGAGTACCTCATAAGAGGCAAGGTGGCTAACAGAATATTGTTAAGTGTAGTGACAGCTTAGAAGAGATTTCATGAGTGGGGGACATAGATGGTCAGAGGGGACCCTATGACAAATTCTTCAATGTTTTTGCATAATGTGGCTGCAGCTGATATAGCCCTCATGCAAGGAGGGTGCCCCCTTGCAACTCAATCTAACTGTTGCCTAAAATAACCAATTGGTCTGTGATTGTCACCATGTTTTTGAGTTAATACTCCTAGAGCATTCCCATTTATTTCATGTACAAAGAGGGAAAAAGGAAGACTGTAATTGGGGTGGCCTATAGCAAGTGCTTGGGTGAGAGCCTGTTTTAGATCTTCTATGTGTTGTTTTTTCCCTCTCTTCCCAGTGGATTGGGTCTGGCTGGGTCTGTTTTAGTTTTTTATATAGGGGTTGAGCAATTAAGCAGTAGTACGGAATCCAGCTCCTGTAATAGACTGTTAACTGTGAGAAGCCTCTTAATTGTTTTTTAGTTTTGGGCAGGGGAAATGTCATAACAGCAGAGATTCTCTTAGGGTTTATTAAAAGCCCCCTTGGGGAAATCATATGTCCCAAATATTTAACTTGGGGGAGGCAAAATTGTAATTTATCTTTTGGCACTTTGTGTCCCTTAAAAGCAAGCTGTTTAAGGACTGTATCTTCTCTGCATTTTGGTAGGGAGGACGAACAATAAATCATCCACATACTGAGTTAGAGTACATTCATTTGGAAACTCAATGTCATCGAAATCTGCCTTTAGTATTTGAGAAAAATAAGTAGGACTTTCAGAGTAGCCCTGGGGTAAGACTGTCTATGTGTATTGGTGATTGTCCCAAGTGGAAGGGAAAAGATACTGGCTATTTTGCTCTACAGGTATGCTGAAAAATGCACTACATTAATCAATAACAGAGAGGTGGCTGCAGTGATAGGAATATTGGACAGTAAGGTGTGGGAGTTAGGAACAACAGGGTGTCTAGGAACTATTATTTTATTTATAGCTCTTAGGTCTTGAACAAATCTCCAGCCTTTCTCATTTGGCTTTTTAACTGGGAGGACTGGTGTACTACAGGGGCTGGTGCAGGGTACTATGAGTTCTTTGTCTAAATAGTCCTGAATGATTGGTTTGATTCCTAGGAAGGCTTCAGGTCTAAGGAGATACTGCCTCACATTTGGCAGAGGTTTGGATTTATTTATGGTTATCTCTATAGGGACTGCTGACTTAATTCTCCCAATATTTGTGGAAGAGCTTGCCCATAAGGAGTCTGGTACTTTAGATAAGAAAGGCTCTAATTCTTCCTGTCCAGAATCTTGATTGACTTTCCCAAGCACAATACTACATGTGGGTTTTTGTAAGTCTCCCAAGTTGAGAATAATTTCTCCCTTTTGTGAAAATGAGATATGAGCATTATGGGTCTCTAGGAAATCCCGTTCCAGCAGGTGTGTGTGTGACACTATCTACTATAAGAAAAATGTGATCCCTCACTAGTTCTCCTAGTTGAAATTGAAGGGGATTTGATTTAAAGGCTGTAATAGGAGAGTTTGAAACCCCTACCATGTGTACTTTTTCTTTACTCCAAGGGAGAGGGTTTTTAATCAAGGTAGGGTTGAAGACTGACAGTGTAGTGCTGATGTCGACAAGGGCTTTGATATTTTCCCCATTTATGGATATTTCTACTTCTCCTAAAGCATTAGTTAGAAGTAGGGGGAAAACCCTCTCTATTCCCTCAGAGCATCCTTATTCTGATTTTTGAGTTGTTCTGGTGCCTTCCTTTGGGGTCCTTTGCCCATGTTGAGCAAGCACCCATTTAAGTTTTTTACATTATTTTAAAAAATGTCCTTTCTTTTTGCAATAGTGGCAAATTGCTTCCTCTTGGGGTTGCTTAGATCTCTGGAGACCATGGGACCCTTGCAAACTCCCAACTTGGTTACTAAGTTGTTTTAGTTGTAAACTTATAATTTTAGAGACTATTTCCTTTTCTTTCTTAATGATTGCTTGTGACAACTGGTCAGCTAGGGTGACTAGGTGGCTAGTGGGAAAGGAAGCCCAAGTCACATTATTCTTCTTTATTAGGGTTGCTAACTCTTTATCTAAACCTTGAATAAACTCAGAATTGAGTAAGTTGTCACTTTTACCGTGCTCAAAGTTTTCAGGAGGTATTCCTGAAAACTCTTTGAATGTCTTTTCAAACCTGATATAAAAGTCAGGCATGATCTCGTTTGGGTGTATTTTACATTGTTGCACCTTTGCTCAATCTATCAATCTATAACCTTGGGGAATATCTGTGGTACAGTGTCACAGAGGTGATTGCAGAGCTCTCTGCATTTCTCTCTTCCAGTTGCATCTATTTTGTCAAAATCTTCTAAAGGCTGTTTCCAATCTGCTACTCTAAACCATTCTTCAGCTTTGTTTTTGGAGACCAGTAACTGAATCAGCTGATATAGGTCAGAGAACCCTGGGTCATAAATCTTAAGACTTAACTGGAATTCCTAAGCAAACCCAAAGGGATCTTCAATCGGATTGAGGAATCCAGATACCAGGGACTTAACTATGATTTGGTCCAGGGGGCATATATTATGTTAGAATCCCCTCTGCTTATGGGTTTTACTCTAAAAGGAGCAACTACTATATTATTTTCTGCAGCTATTTCTGGTCCCCCTGTGGTTTGAGGCAAGGGAGGAGGGAAAGGAGGAGGAAAAATGAAATTGTCTGGATAAGGAAGTTCAGAGAGTAGAGGGTCAGGAGGAGCAGAAGGGGAGTCAGTTTCTGGAGCCTTCCTGATTTCAGAAGTGACTTTTACTGGTTTTTTTAAATTCTGAAACAGTTTCAAAAATTTTTAAATTAACTTCCTGGAGGAAGGCAAGCTTATCTTTCCCTCTTTTTGATGATTCTAGATGCCAGCTAAAGTACGATTGCCATTCATTTTCTTTGATTTGGGAGCCTAATTTGTCTAATCTAGCATGCAGGAAAGCCAATTTAGGAATATCAAAGTTCCCTATTTTGGAAACCTTAAACCTAGGTCATCTTTAGTAAGATCTTTCCATTTACATAAATAATTGCAAGTAAAGGCACCACAATTATTAAACATAAACTCAGTTGGAGTGCCCACAGGGGGCCACTCTCCTTGCCTTTCCTCTTTTTTGGAGGATTTATTTCCTATCTTTTTTGTTTTTTTTTTTTTTTAGGGAACTGACCTGCGGACTAAGGTTTTTGTGTGGTGGATCGATATGTGCTGCCTGTCAGTAGCACTCCACAGTGTGTCACCACTGAGTTATTTCTACACTCTTACATGTCTCAATTTCTCTCTTCAGAGGTCTATCACCTCTGAGAGGGCTCAAGACGCTGGGTGATCAGCCCTTATGTGCATTTCCTGGATGAGCCTTTTTAAATTAATATTTGTTGGAGAGTTTCCTATAGGGCCGCTGCACATTACAGGGGATCAACCCCCCCCGCCCCCCGCCCTCCGCAGACACTCCCACGAGGCCCCCGGTCACCCAGAGGTGCCTTTCAGCTGGGAGGAGCAAAATGCCCTTTCACTTCAGAGCTGAGGAACTCAGTCTCTCACTTACTTATGAAAAACAACAGTTCAGTTCCTCACGCAAAGTGTGCACAGACAAGCCAATTGAGATTAATTTTGAGAGAAAAGGCAATGGAGAAAGATCCTTTTGAATGCACTTCTGAAACTAAAATTAAGATTTTAACCAACTTCCTAGGAGAAAAGACAGAGAGGAAAAAATCAGCTTAGAATAAATCAAGGACCATCAACCAAAACAGGAGGTTGGGGCTCAGGAGAACTTCCCAGTTCCACCGAAGGAGAAGCTCGAATTCGGTGAGGCTTCAATGGGCTCCTGCTGGTACCTTAGCTCCAGTTTTGGGCAACTCCTTCAGGGTCCTGAGTCTTCTCCGAGGCCCAATGTTGGGCACCAGATTATTGTCGGTGAAAAGAGTCAAACCCTGTAAAATATTTGAAGAGATTTATTCTGAGCCATATATAAGTTACCATGGCCTATAACACAGCCCTTAGGAGGTCCTGAGAACATATGACCCAGGTGGTCGGGGTACAGCTCGGTTTTATATATTTTAGGGAGGCATGAGACATCAATCAAATACATTTAAGAAATACATTGGTTTGGTTCCGAAAGGTGGGACACCTCAAAGCGGGGGTTTCCAGGCTATAAGTAAATTTAAACATTTTCTGGTTGACAATTGGTTGAGTTCACCTGAAGACCTGGGGTTAATGCAAAGGAATGTTCAAGTTAAGAAAAAGGATCATAGAGGCTGTGGCGTGGTGGCTTGCGCCTGTAATCCCAGCACTTTGGGAGGCTGAGGTGGGCGGATCACCTGAGGTCGGGAGTTTGCAACCAGCCTGACCAACATGGAGAAACCCCATCTCTACTAAAAATACAAAATTAGCCAGGTGTGGTGGCACATGCCTGTAATCCCAGCTACTCGGGAGGCTGAGGCAGGAGAATCGCTTGAACCCAGGAGGTGGAGGTTGCGGTCAGCTGAGATCGTGCCATTGCACTCCAGCCTGGGCAACAAGAGTGAAACTCTGTCTCAAAAAAAAAAAAAAAAAAGAAAAGAAAAAGGATCATAGAGACCAGGTTTTATTATGCAGAGTGCAGAGGAATCTCTCAGATAGCAGAGTTCAGAGAGAAAGCAGGTTGTAAAATGTTTCTTATCAGACCTAAAAGGGTGCCTGGCTCTTAGTTGATTATCTCCAGGATCTGGAAAGAAAAGGAAAACAAAAGGGAAATGTGGATTTTTCCCACAAGACACTTTGCAGGGCAATTTCAAGGTATGGCAAGGAAATATATTTTGGGGTTAAATATTTTTTCCTTGTCTCATAGTGTTATGCCAGAGTTAGAATGAAAAGTGTGTCACGATATATAGGGTCAAATAAAACCCATTTGATGAGAATTTATGGTTTGTAGTGCATGACTTCCTAGACTCCTTAGGTAGGAATTTGGGCAAAATAAAAAAATCAGAGCTCAGTCTTCAGTTTGATCAATAGTTCTTTTTATAATAAAATTGTAAAGATTATTTCTAAATGCTAGTTTTTATTTTTATAAAGAAACGTATGCTACTATGTACTTTGAAAAAAACACCTGGACTGGGTGCGGTGGCTCAATCCTGTAATCCCAGCACTTTGGAAGGCCGAGGCAGGTGGATCACAAGGTCAAGAGATCAAGACCATCCTGGTCAACATGGTAAAACCCTGTCTCTACTAAAAATACAAAAATTAGCTGGGCGTGGTGGTGTGTGCCTGTAGTCCCAGCTACTCGGGAGGCTGAGGCAGGAGAATCACTTGAACCTGGGTGGCAGAGGTTGCAGTGAGCCAAGATCGCATCACTGCACTCCAGCCTGGGCGACACCGTCTCAAAAAAATAAAAAATAAAAATAAAAAAGAAAAAAACATCTGGAGTCATATACACATAATGTTACAGCAATTATCAAGGAAAGAATACCTATTTGTATGGATTTTTATCTGATCTGATACAGAAGTTTCCAAATGTTCTTGAAACTTGTGAGGGTGTTTTCTTTCATAAAACCGTAAACTTGGTCTCCTTTAAAAATTCCACCTGGAGAGCTACTGATTAACTTGTAAACTTACTGTCCCTTGATACATTTTAAGTGTGTTTCAGTAATGGGATCATAAAAAATTTGCCCTTAGGCCGGGCGCGGTGGTTCACGCCTGTAATCCTAGCACTTTGGGAGGCTGAGGCGGGTGGATCACCTCACGTCAGGAGTTCGAGGCCAACCTGACTAACATGGTGAAAGCACTTCTCTACTAAAAATACAAAAATTAGCCCGGCATGGTGGTACACGCCTGTAATCCCAGCTACTCGGGAGGCTGAGACATGAGAATAGCTCGAAGCTGGGAAGCAGAGGTTGATCGCGCCATTGCACTCCAACCTGGGCGACAGAGCAAGACTTCGTCTCAAAACAAAACAAAACAAAACAAAACAAAACAAAAAAAAAAAGAAGGAAATTTGCCCTTGTGCCCCTTCTTATGAATTCTGATGGATGAGGGAGAACGAAGAGAGGAAAGAGTAAGATAAAAAAAAAAGCCACAAGATGGAGGATAAAAATATTACGGTTATTCTTTTAACTTATCCAGGAACAGAATGAGTAGCATTTTCAGTGTAATGCCCTCACGGTGTATTTCAGAATACTCAGCACCTCCTAACCATTTTACATCTAGAAAGCTCCCAAAAAAAGGCTAATTTGGTTTACTGCCACTTTGGGACGATTCTGGTTCTGGGTGGATTCTGGTTCTGGGACGGAGTTGTTTTCCTTGTCTGTCCCCTCTGGATGCAGTTACGTAGCCATCTAGTGACTGAGTTGGGAATTGCAGCTTCCTTTCGGATTGGGGAAATCTGCCAATTCACCCTGCCTCATCGCAGATGTGGAATGAAAGAAATTCGGTTGGCAAACCTCCTACTAACGGAGAATACCTTAGTGAACCACTTTGCAAGTCCGTCTCCTACATCCTTGTGCAGGCATCTCTTGTGCAGAGCCTTACATTCTTAGATTACCTCACAGGGATACCAAGAGCATAAGATGAAGTTACATAAACCAGAACACAAAAATGTATTTTTAAAAATTACTGTTGTTTTTGTTAGAAAACCCTTTGGAATAGGTCGTTAAAGAGCCTTGTTAAGTGCAAGTCTGTCACAAAATCAGAGATGTTAAAGAAGGCAAGAGGTAAAATGAAAGGAAATTCATGGGGTTGTTATACTTTCATTCATTTATTAACGATATCATTCACTGAGTTTCTACTTGGAGTAGGGTGCTGGGGAAACAAAGATGGATAACACATAAGGGGCACTCTGTCTAGAGGGGAGCCAGACTTGGAAGCAATTTTTAAAAAGTATATCAGAGCAGTGGTGACTGTGCAAAGCACCTGCTTATGCTAGACCTGGGGACACTGAATCCCATTTAGGCAACATGCTTTAAAAAGTACACAGAATCGGATGGGCGCAGTGGCTCACGCCTGTCATCCCAGCACTTTGAGAGGCTGAGGTGGGTGGATTACTCGAGGTCAGGAGTTTGAGACCAGCCTGGCCAACATGGTGAAACCCTATATGTACAAAAAATACAAAAATTAGCCAGGCATGGTGGCGCATGCCTTTAGTCCCAGCTACTTGGGAGGCTGAGGCAGAGGCAGGAGAATCGCTTGAACCTGGGAGGCAGAGGTTGCAGTGAGCCAAGGTCGCACCACTGCACTCCAGCCTGGGCAACAGAGTGAGACTCTGTCTCAAAAAAAAAAAAAAATACACAGAATCAAACAAAATGTGGTATATCCATATCATGGAATATTATTCAGTCTTACAAAGGGAGGAAATTCTCACATGTGCTACAACATAGAGGAAACTTGAGGACATTATGCTAAGTGAAAAATAAGCCAGCTGCAAAAGAGAAAATACTGTATGATTACATTCATATGAGGCACCTAGAATAGTCAAATTCATAGAGACAGAAAGTAAAATGTGGTTTCCAGGGGCTCAGTGGAGAGGCAAATGGAGAGTTATTGCTTAAAGTATAGAGTTTTGATTTGGGAAGATGAAAAAATTCTGGAGATGGATGGTGGTGATGGTAATAGAGCAATGTGAATATACTCAATACTACTGAACTGTACACTTGAAAATAGTTAAGATGGTAAACTTTATGTTATGTCTATTTTACCAGTTTTTAAAAAAGTACACAGAAAGCAATGAGAATGAATCAAGTATAGCTACACACAATATGACATGGATAACTCTTACAATGTTGAGCAAAAGAAGCCAGATACAAAATGGTGCATACTGTGTGATTCTATTGATATAATTCACATGTTAGAAGTCAGGATGGTGGTTACTTCTGGGGGAGGCAGAGATAAAAAAGTAGCATAAACTTCTAGGGTTCTGGTAATATTTCTGTTTCTTGACCAAGTAGTGTTCACGTGTAAAAGTTAATTGCACAGTATATTTATAATTCGTGCAGTTTTCTGTATGTATCTTAAGCTTCAGGTTTTTTTCTTTTCTTTTTTTTTTAAATGGGACAGAGACAAAGTGAAGGGGAATCACCAGGACAGTTAAGGGACTTTAAACATTTGTAGGAAGAAAAGTCGAACAATTTCAGGGTGGTCGAAGTAGTTTGTAGTCTTCAAATATCTGAAGGAGTGGCATGTGGAAGAGGAAGCAAACTTTGCTCACCATACCCAGAGGGGTGATGAGCCAGAGTTAGAGGAAGACAGAATTTAGCTCATTAAAAATGATGCTTCAATTATAGGGTAAGAATTGGATCTCTTAGGAAAATCACACAGCTTCAACTTTGGGACTAAAGGTAATTGGGTATGAATCCTGGCTCTGCCACTTACTTGGATGAATTATGTCACTCAATCGAGTTTCACTTTCTACATCTGTAAAATGCGACTGGTACTAACCACTTGCTGGGTTACTTTCAGGACTAGTGATAATGTATAGCACATACTTTGCCTAGGCCCTGGCCCATAGGAAGTGCTGAAGAAGTAGTAGAAGTTATTTTCAGAAGAAAATGACATAGAAGATGGATTACACCTCAGTGAGGTGTTATGTATTAAAGCATTGGTTCCTTTCAACCCCAAGAATCTATGTAACTTGCCCAAGGTCACACAGCTAATAAAGCCTTCGGTTCCTGATTGGTCCACTCCACTGGGCTGCCTTAGGTGAGAGGATTTCTAGCATCAAGCCGTTGCCCATCAGGGCTAATCAGATAATCATGTCTGTAACAGACCATGAGGGTTAGGATCTTATTCCTTTAAATTCTGACTGTACTCTACAATAGTTCAAAGGGGGAAATCTGGGATGCTGGTTCAAGTGGTAGCCGTGAACAGACAGGTTACGGCTTCAAAGCACCAGGTATTGGGGGTGTGTGTGTGTGTGTGTGTGTGTGTGTGTGTGTGTGGTGTGGTGAGAGAAATTGTTTTAAAAAAAATTTTTTTTTAATGGATTAAGGAAAAAATGTGAAGATAAGTTTAGCCAACTTCACCATTTTTCAGGGTCCAGCTCTTACTGACTGAATAAATAAATCATGAGGCAGAAACAAGAGATACTGCTTTGAAAACCAGTTTCTTCGGCCGGTCATGGTGGCTCATGCCTATAATCCCAGCACTTTGGGAGGCTGAGGCGGGTGGATTGCCTGAGGTCAGGAGTTCGAAACCAGCCTGGCCAGCATGGTGAAACCCTGTCTCTACTAAAAATACAAAAATTAGCCAGGCATGGTGGCAGGTGCCTGTAATCCCAGCTAATCGGGAAGCTGAGGCAGGAGAATCACTTGAACCTGGGAGGCGGAATTGCAGTGAGCTGAGATTGTGCCATTGCACTCCAGCCTGGGCAACAGAGCGAGACTTCATCTCAAAAAAAAAAAAAAAAAAAAAAAAAGAACAGTTTATTCATTTGTAGGCAAAAGCAATGGACTCAATCCACAAAGGTGAGAAAAACCTGAGTTAACACTTTGGCCTAAATTTTCCCAAAGCCTCTTTCTTAGCCTGACTCCAGGCTGCTTAACCCTTATATTTCCAAAGGAAATGACTTGCTGGGGCGGGGCGTCTCAATTTCTACTCTAGGCTTTCTTCCCAACCTCTGTTAAATATTTCTGCCTTGGATTTATTTATGCCCTGGACACAAGAGGAGTCTCTATGACAAGAGACTTGAGGAAACAAACACCTAAAACAGTGTCTCTTTGTCTTGGGCATTATACACTTAAGTCACACTGACCCTTTAAACTTCTACAGCTGCTCAAATGTTATGTCTTGGCCCATATAACTTTTATACTGGATGAAAAATAAATGATATGAATTTAGCTCACTATAGCTTTGGTCTTCGCCAAAGGAAAGAAATACCAGCAGCTTCTTTTTGCAAGTAGCAATTTATTTTAGTGCTTTCCTCTTCAGACTAAAGCCCTTGGTAGAAACCAAAATTACAGCCAAAGCCCACACAGAAACCTCAGATTTTAGTCATATGTCTTGCAAGGATGTTACATCATTTCTTAGTTTACCAAATGGAGACATTTCCTGAAACACAGAGACTCACTGTGAGCTTTGGCCTAAAAGATTTTGGGACTGTGTAGCCCACAATGATCTTAAACTAAATCTTATTTAGGTATCTCATTGACAGACATTTTTTCTTTCACCTTGATCAGTGTGCCTGTCCTTTACGCAGGTGTAATACAAAGCAGTTACTTGTCTTATTTCTGAGATCTCAACATCAGAGTCCTACAGGAAATGATGGCGTATTTAAAATGAATAATTTTTAGAATTCAAAGAAAGAGCCTAAAAAAATAAAGAAAAAAGAAAAAGAAAATGAGTAATTTGAGGAGAGTATAATAAAAAGGACTATTTACAAAGGTAAAAGAGTTCTGGGGAAGCAGCAAGGAATTGGGCAGTATTCTAGGGTTAGTTACTGCGAGCAAATGAGAGGGAGTAATCCCTTCCAACAGCAAGCAGTTTTCAAGCTTTAGTATGCATCAGAATTACCTGGAGGACTTATTACAACACAGATTACTCAGCCTCACCCTGGAGTTTCTGCTTCAGTAGGTCTGGGGTAGGACTAAAATATTTGCATTTTGCATAAATTCCCTGATGATGGCAATGCTACTGGTCTGGAGAGAAAACTGTGTGGAGAAGGCAATTTGGGGCCAGAGGTGTAGCTCACGCCTGTAGTTCCAGCACTGTGGGAGGCTGAGGCAGGAGGATTGTTTGAGTTTAGGAGTTCAAGACCATCCTGGGCAACATAGCAAGACCTTGTCTCTACTTAAGGAAGTTGGGCATGGTGGTACATGCCTGTAGTCCCAGCTACTCGGGAGGCTGAGAGTGGGAGGATTGCTTGAACTCACAAGGTCAAGGCTGCAGTGAGCTACGATTGTGCCACTGCACTACAGCCTGGGTGATTGCCAAAAAAAAAAAAAAAAAAAGGCAGTTTGGCAATTTGACACAAGCTGTGCCCTCCACAGAGAGATGCAGCCAACATGGGAGATCCAGCAGGGACGTACCAAGAGAATCTAATCATCAAAATCTACCCCTATCCAATTCCTTCTGTTGCTCCTTTTTAAACTCAACCAGCAGCCGAAAGGCAAGGGAACCCAGTGATGCAATTCAGACAATTCAGCCTTTAGGATATGGATCAGAGTAGAAAGTAGAGTTGGGTGAGCAAATGGGAAATATCCAGCACTTCTATCACAAAATATCAAGTACCTTCTCCTCACTACTTTTTTCATGCTATTTTATATTTTTATTTTGCTTTCCAGTATATACATGAACATTCATATACATGATATAAATGTAATTTCACAGTAACCCTATAGGGTAGGCAGGAAGATATTTATGCTTACTTAGAAATAAGAAAACTGAGGCTCAAAATGGTAAAGGCTACACATCTGAAAACAGCTTGGATTTTATCACAGGTTTTCTGGGTCCCAATGTGGGGGGCTCTTGCCACCACTTCACACTGCAGACATGAGGGAATCTGGTAGTGATGCTGGTTCCCCCACTCGAGGCTTCTAGGAATCTCTTTCTCCTTCACTGCCCCACCTGCATTCCCCTTGAGCTGCATTCTCTTCTGGAAAAGGTGACTCTCTTCTTTGACTGAGGAGCTCAACCCTTGCTCAAGGGCATACAATGAATTTAGTCTTCTACTAGAGTCATTTATTTGCATTTTTCACTGATTTTCAACCTTTTCAGTGGCAGGGCTACTTAGTCTTGATTTGGGGGCCTTGGAGAGACAAATAAATAACAGCTGTTACCCATCTGAATTCCTTTTGAGAAACAGACACAAAAATCAGACAGACGGAAATAAAAGCATCAGCTTTAATGAGGGTGAGGACAGAGTAGACAAGCTGCCGGTCAGGTCTCACAATCAGACTTCCTAATACAGTCATGCACTGCATAAGGACTCTTTTTTTTTTTTTTTTTTTTTTTTTGAGACGGAGTTTCACTCTTGTTGCCCAGGCTGGAGTGCAATGGCACGATCTCGGCTCACCGCAACCTCCACCTCCCAGGTTCAAGCGATTCTCCTGCCTCAGCATCCCTAGTAGCTGGGATTATAGGCATGTGCCACCACGCCCGGATAATTTTGTATTTTTAGTACAGATGGGGTTTCTCCATGTTGGTCAGGCTGGTCTCAAACTCTTGACCTCAGGTGATCTGCCAGCCTTGGCCTCCCAAAGTGCTGGGATTACAGGCATGAGCCACTGCCCCCGGCCAAGGACTCTTTAATTAATGATGAACACATATATGACAGTGGTCCCTTAAGATTATAATACTGTATTTTTACTGTACCTTTCCTATGTTTAGATATGTTTATATACACAGACACTATTGTGTTACAATTCCCTAGAGTATTCAGTACAGTAACATGTTGTATAGGTTTGTAGCCTAAGAGCAATAAGATATATCACATAGCCCAGGTGTGTAGTAAGCATCTAGATTTATTTTATTTTTATTTTATTTTATTTTATTTTTTTTGAGATAGAGTCTCACTCTGTCGACCAGGCTGGAGTGCAGTGGCACAATCTCGGCTCACTGCAACCTCAGCCTCCCGGGTTCACGCCATTCTCCTGCCTCAGCCTCCCGAGTAGCTGGGACTAAAGGCGCCCACCACCACATCCGGCTGATTTTTGTATTTTTAGTAGAGACGGGGTTTCACCGTGCTAGCCAGGATGGTCTCGATCTCCTGACCTCGTGATCTGCCCGCCTCGGCCTCCCAAAGTGTTGGGATTACAGGCGTGAGCCACTGCGCCTGGCCAGCAGCTAGATTTATTTAAGTGTGCTCTATGATGTTTGCACAACAAAGAATCACCCGGTTCCAGGTACCGGTCCCTGGCCTGTTAGGAACCAGGTCACACAGCAGGAGGTGATGGCAATGGCGGTGAGCAGGAGGCGGGCATTACTGCCTGGGCTCCACCTCCTGTCAGATCAGTAGCAGCATTAGATTGTTATAACAGTGCAAACCCTATTGTGAACTGCACATGTGAAGGATCTAGGTTGCATGCTCTTTATGAGAATCTAATACCTGATGATCTGTGGTGGAAGTTTCATCCCAAAACCATACCTCACCCTTCCAGTCTGTGGAAAAATTGTCTTCCACAAAACTGGTCCTCCCCTGGTGCCAAAGGGGTTGGGAATCACTGACCTAATTACATATTTCTCATAACGTATCCCTGTCTTTAAGTGATACATGACTGTACTTGACTCCTGAACTTTTTGGGGAGGCAGGAGTGTATGTGTGTGGGGAGGTGCACATGCTTCAGCGGTGGGGTTGGTGGGAGGATGCACCTGTCTAGTGGGCAGGCTAGTCCAAGAAGGTTGCAAAAAGGGCTGAGCATGCTCAGTTCCTTCCTCAGTGGTTCAGTCAGATGAGTCACTCCTTCCTTGGGGAGAACTGAGAGGGGAAATAGCAGGAAGCTAAATGCTGTCTTCACAATTCTTCTGAAGTGGAAGTTTCTATTTTATGGACCTGGGAGAGGGAGAAAATGGCTTCCCCAACAACACTGCTCTTAGCAGTACAGATGGTCCCCAACTTAAAATTTTTCGACTCTACCAGGTGCAAAGTGATATGCATTCAGTAGAAACCATACCTTGAGCACCCATACAACCATTTTGTTTTACTTTCAGTACAGTATTCAATAAATTGCATGAGATATTCAACGCCTTAATATAAAATAACTCTAGGCTAACATAAGTGATCTGAGACTTTTAAGGTAGGCTAGTCTATGATGTTCAGTAGGCTAGGTGTATTAAATACATTTTCCGCTTATGATATTTTCAACTTATGATGAGTTTTTTGGGATGTAACCCTACTGTAAATCAAGGAGCATCATCTGTATGTAACACCTTGCTCTTAGCAGTATAGAAGGACTACTGATGCAATTAATTCTGTCATATGATCTACGTAGTTTTTGAAGTTTTGATTCTCGTTAGTATATTAGTACAGGGCTGGGCGCGGTGGAGTATAGCCTCAGGCTTCAACAGTACTATCACTTCTTTGGAATGTTATTTAGTTTCTTTTTAACTTGATTCATTTTTGATCCCTTGGTCAGTTCCCATAATGCTCTGGATCAGGGCCTGCTTGAATATTAAATTCCCATTGTTTCCTTCTGGGAAGGTCTCTGCTTATCCAATCTGGAGCCTATCTTTCTTCCTTGTCCTGGATCTGGTAGACTATTGAGAAAAGTCCTTACAAAGATTTCCTGGGAACTGGATTTTTAAAATGAGTGCATGTGGGAAAATACTCTCCAAGTGCAAAGGGGACTCTGTTTTTACCTCTACTTATATTTCCAGCTCCTCGGGGAAAATAAAAGTATTACAGGTCAAATCTCTTTACAAGTAGCTCAACTTGACTGTCTAAATATGTGGTATGGAGTAGAGTTTTATTTCATGGATTACTGCTTGCACTAGGTTAGACATAAACTGGGCTGTGGAGAACTTTTGGTTAAATAGAGATTTTCATTGCAAAGGTATTTGTTGTAGAGGAATTTACCCAGTAAACAGATATCTTCCAGCTAATGTTTTTACCAGGCTGATTCAGACCGGGTAGCAGGAGCGGGAAAACACTGTGGACACAGTCTGCTGGCTAGCGGTCAAGGCAGAGGCAAGTCTGGCACAGGCAAAAGTCTGTGTGAAATGTGGACCTGAGTCATGAAAGGAGGGGAAGAAACTAGTATGTGTCATTCTGAAAAAGCTCTTCTTAGGGCTCTTTGGGCTGTAACCACTGCCTCTCTCCATAGAGAGTCACAGGGCCTCACTTGGCTCTTCCTGCTGCATTTTCAGACTTAAAAGGAAGCCACCGGCCGGGCGTGGTGGCTCATGCCTGTAATCCCAGCACTTTGGGAGGCCGAAGCGGGCGGATCACGAGGTCAGGAGATCGAGACCATCCTGGCCAACACAGTGAAACCGCATCTCTACTAAAAATACAAAAATTAGCCGGGCATGGTGGCGCATGCTTGTAATCCCAGCTACTTGGGAGGTGGAGGCAGGAGAATCCCTTGAACCAGGGAGTTGGAGGTTGCAGTGAGCCGAGATTGCGCCACAGCACTCTAGCCTGGCGACAGAGTGAGACTCCGTCTCAAAAAAAAAAAAAAAAAAAGGAATCCACCTTCAGGCAAATTCCCTCCGCCTCTCAAGAAAGATAATAAAACAAAATGGAGAGTCCTCGTCTCTAAAAAACCTGGGTCAGGTTTTGAATGAACGCAGTACCGTGACCCAGCATTAGGGGCTAGGAACGTCCACAGTCACGACTGAGGCTTGCTGCTCTGGCGCCCCCTTGGGCATGAGAGTGGAACTGTATACAAAGTTGCCTAAATCCCCACTGCTGCAGTCCCCAGAACACCACCCAGTGTCTCTTTTTCTAGGCCTTTCTCAGCCTGGAGAGTTTCCTAACTTTTTGCCATTCCCAAGGTTTTTCTCTGACCACCACCAAACCCTTCTCAATCTACTAATTTTTCTAAACAAATTATTTTATCTTTCTAATTCTGCATGCATCTCTAGTCACTAAGCCCCAGAAAGATCCTGTAGCAAGCTGTCAATCAATAATAAATTAGCATTTCTGAAATTCATGAGACTTTTTCTTAGTTTTATTGAAATATATTTTATGTACCATAAGACTTCACCCATTATAAGTGTACAGTGAATAATTTTTAGTAAATTGATAGCTTTGTGCAACCACTGTCACAATCCAGTTTTAGAACATTTCTAACACCCAGAAAATTACTTGTGAGAATGTGCAGTCAAAAAAAAAAGAAACAAAACAAACAAACAAAAAGAGAATTTGCAGTCAATCCTCACTTGTTACCTTCAGTTTCAGACAACTACTGATCTGCTTTCTGTCTCTAAAAATTTTCCTTTCCTGGTCATTTCATATAAATGAAATCATACACTATACAGTTTTTTGTGACTGGCTTCTTTCACTTAGCATAATGTTTTCAAAGTTCACCCATGTTGTAGCATGTGTCAGTACTTCATTCCTTTTTATGGCTGAATAATAGTCCATTGTATATAGATAAACTACATTTTGTTTATTCATTCATCAGTTGATGAACATTTGGGTTGTCTCCAGTTTTTGGCTATTATGAATGATGTTGCTATGAACATTTCTATACAAGTGTTTGCATGAATATATGTTTTCATTTCTCTTGGGTAGATACTTAGTAGAATCGCTGAGTTGTATGGCAAATCTATTTAGCTTTTTAAGAAACTGCCAAACAATTTCACAATGTGGCTGTTCTATTTTATATTCTCATCAGCAATATGTGAAGGTTTTCCCATAACTCCTCCATCACTAGGTATTGTCTGACTTTTTGGTTATAGCTTAGTGGGTGTGTTAATGCTATCTTATTGTGGTTTTGACTTGCACTTCCCTCATGACTAATGATGTTGCGCATTTTATCAAGTGATTATTAGCCATTTACATATCCTCTTTGGTGAAATGTCTATTCAAATGTTTACTTCATTTTAAAATTAGATTATTAGTCTTCTTATTACTAAGTTATGAGTTCTTTGTATATTTTGGATATAAGCCCTTTATCACATACATCAGTTATAAATATTTTCTTTCAGTCTACATCTTTTCAATTTATTATGGATGTCTTTTAAACCCAAAAGTTTTAATTTTGATAAAATCCAATTTGTCAGCTATTTTTGTGAACTGTGCTTTTGATGTCATATTTAAGAACTCTGCCTAGCCCAAGGTCATAAAGATTTTCTCCTGTGTTTTCTTTTTTAATATGAAACTCTATTTTTCTTTTTTTTTTTTTGAGACAGAGTCTCGCTCTGTCGCGCCCAGGCTGGAGTGCAGTGGCACGATCTCAGCTCTCTGCAAGCTCTGCCTCCCAGGGTCACACCATTCTCCTGCCTCAGCCTCCTGAGTAGCTGGGACTACAGGCGCCCGCCACCACACCTGGCTAATTTTTTGTATTTTTAGTAGAGACGGGGTTTCACCATGTTAGCCAGGATGGTCTTGATCTCCTGACCTCATGATCTGCCCACCTTGGCCTCCCAAAGTGCTGGGATTACAGGCGTGACCACTGCGCCTGGCCTCTCCTGTGTTTTCTTTTAGAACTTTTGTAGTTTTACTTCTCACATGTAGGTCTGAGATCCATTTTGAGTTCCATTTTGTATATAATGTGAAGTAAGAGCCTAGGTTCACTTTTTTGCATATGGATATTCAATTGTCCCAATACTATTTGTTGAAAAGATGGTCCTTTCTCCATTGAAATGTCTTGGCTACTTCATCAAAAATCAATGGACCATAATTTCTGAACTCTCAGTTTTATACATGTCTATCTTTACACCAATACTACATTGTCTTGATTACTATCTGTTTATAGTAAGTTTTGAAACTGGGTATTGTAAGTCTTCCAGCTTTGTTCTTCTTTTTCAAAATGTTCCTGGATATTACATATAAAATTTAGGACCAGCTGATTCATTTTTCATTTTTGCCAAAAAGCCTGCTGCAGTTTTTTGCTTGTTTGTTTTAGAGATATGGTCTCACTCTGTCATCCAGGCTGGAGTGCTGTGGCATGATCATAACTCACAGTAACCCTGAACTCCTGGCTTCAAGTGATCCTCCGCCTTAGCCTCCAGAGTAGCTAGGAGTACAAGCACGCACCACCGTGCCCAGCTAGTTGTTTTATTTTTATTTTTGTAGAGATAGGGGTCTCTCACTGTGTTGTCCAGGTTGGTCTCAAACTCCCAGCTTTAAATTATCCTCCTACCTTGGCCCGATAAAAGGCTAGGATTATAGGTGTGGACCACTGCATCTAGCCAACTGCTACAGCTTTGATAGAGATTGCGTAGAATCTAAGAACATTTTGGGGAGAATTATAATCTTAGCAATACTGAGTCTTTTCGATCCATGAACATGCAGTGTCTATCCATTCACTTACATCTTTCATCTAACAAAAAAAGCAAAAAAAAAAAAAAAAAAAAAAAACCAACACAACAGAATTGCTGGGCGCGGTGGGACATGCCTGGAATCCCAGCACTTTGGGAGGCTAAGGTGGGTGGATCACTTGAGGTCAGGAGTTCGAGACCAGTCTGGCCAACATGATAAAACTCTGTCTCTACTGAAAATACAAAAATTAGCTGGGTGTGGTGGTATGCGCCTGTAATCCCAGCTGGGGAGGCTGGGGCAGGAGAATCGCCTGAACCGGGGAGGCAGAAGTTGCAATGAGCCAAGATCACGCCACTGCACTCCAGCCTGGGTGACAGAGTGAGACTGTGTCTCAAAAAAACCCCCCAAAAACCCTAAAAACCAAAACAGAACTGAAGGGAAAAAGAGTGATTCAAGAATACCTGGAGATTTCAATACACGCTTTCAAAAATGGTTAGAAACCAGAGAGAAGATTAATAGGAAATTGAGGACTTGTACAATCTATAAACCAATTATACTTAACAGACATATGCACACTCTGCCCAACAGCAGCAGAGTACACATTCTTCTCAAGTATATGTGGAACATTCTACAGGACAGACTGTATGTTAGGCCACAACACAAACACTAACACATTTAAAAAGACTGAAATACAAAATATATTTTCTGACCACAATGGAATGAAACTAGAAATCAATAACAGAAGGAAAACTGGAAAACTCACAAATATGTAGAAATTAAACCACACACTTTTAAACAACAACAATAGGTCAAAGAAGGAATACAAGGGAAACTGGAAAATACCTTAAGATTTATGAAAATACAAACACAGCATACCAAAACATATGAGATGCAGCAAAACAGTGCTGAGAGAAATTAATAGCTGTAAACACATTCATTAAAAAAGTGGAATAGGCCAGATGCGGTGGCTCAAGCCTGTAATCTCAGCACTTTGGGAGGTCAAGGTGGGCGATCACTTGAGGTCAGGAGTTTGAGACCAGCCTGGCCAACATGGTGAAACCCCCCTGTCTACTAAAAATACAAAAGTAAGCCAGGATTGGTGGCGCATACCTGTAACCCCAGCTACTCGAGTGGCTGAGGCACAAGAATCACTTGAACCTGGTAAGTGGAGAGGTTGCAGTAAGTTGAGATCATGCTACTGCACTCCAGCCTGGGCAATGAAAGGAACCTCTGTCTCCAAAAAAAAAAAAAAAAAAAACAAAAAACACGCCGGGCGCAGTGGCTCACGCCTGTAATCCTATGTAATCCTAGCACTTTGGGAGGCCGAGGCGAGTGTATCATGAGGTCAGGAGTTTGAGACCAGCCTGGCCAAGATGGCAAAACCCCGTCTCTACTAAAAAATACAAAAACTAGCCAGGTGTGGTAGTGGGCACCTGTAATCCCAGCTACTCGGGAGGCTGAGGCAGAAGAATCGCTTGAACCTGGGAGGCGGAGGTTGCAGTGAGCCAAGATCACATCACTGCACTCTAGATTGGGTGAAAGAGCAAGACTCCGTCTCAGAAAAAAAAGTGGAATAGTTTTCAACCTAATTGTACACATTAGGGAACTAGAAAAAGAAGAGCAGTCCAGGCGCGGTGGCTCACGCCTGTAATCCCAGCACTTTGGGAGGCCAAGGCAGGTGGATCACAAGGTCAGGAAATCGAGAACATCCTGGCTAACAAGGTGAAACCCCGTCTCTACTAAAAATACAAAAATTAGCCTGGTGTGGTGGCAGGCGCCTGTATTCCCAGCTACTCGGGAGGCTGAGGCAGGAGAATGGCGTGAACTCGGGAGGTGGAGCTTGCAGTGAGCCAAGATTGTGCCACTGCACTCCAGCCTGAGTGACAGAGCAAGACTTCGTCTCAAAAAAAAAAAAAAAAGAGCAAACTAAAGATTTGTGCAGAGATAAGTGCAATATAGAATAGAAACACAACAGAGAAATCAATGAAACCAAAATTTGTTTTTCAAAAAGTGTAACTGCATTGACAACCTGTAGCTAAATTAAGAAAAAAAGAAATACTCAAATAACCAAAATCAGAACATTACAATCAAAGTCACAGAAATAAATAGGATAAGAGAATACTATGAACAACTGTACACTAACAAATTGGATAACCTAGAAGAAATGGATAAATTCCTAGAAAAATACAATTTATCAAGACTGAATCATAAAGTAAAAGAAAATGTGAACAAACCTATAGTTAGAATGAGATTGAATCAGTAATAAAAAATCTGTCAACAAAGAAAAGCCCCGGATGAGATGGCTTCACTGATGAATTCTACCAAATATTTAAAGAATGAAGACTGGGCACGGTGACTCATGCCTGTCATCCCAGCTTTTTAGGAGGCCGAGGCAAGAGGCTTGCTTGAGTCCAGGAGTTCAAGACCATCCTGGGCAACGTAGTGAGATCCGGTCTCTGAAGAAAAAAAAAAAAAGTTAAAGAAGAATGAATACCAAACTCTCAAACCTCCTAAAACTCCTCCAAAAAATGAAGAGGAAGGAACACTTCCAAACTCATTTTAAGACGCTAACATTATCCTGATACCAAAATCAGACAGACACTACAAGAAAAGAAAACCACAGTCCAATATCCCTGATGAATACTGATTAATTTAAAAAAATCCTCAAAATAGTGCAGGCAAATAGAATTCATTAAAAGGGTTATACACCATGACCAAGTGGGATTTATTTCTGGAATGCAAGGATGGTTCCACAAATGAAAATCAACCAATGTAATGTACCACATTAACAGAATGAGGGAAATAACCCATTCAGAATTTTTTTTTAATTTTAGAGACAGGGTCTCACATTGTCACCCAGAGTAGAGTGCAGTGGCACAATCATAGCTCACTGCAACCTTGAAATCCTGTACTCAAGGGATCCTCCTGCCTCAGCCTCCCAAGTAGCTAGGACTACAGGTGCACATCACCATGCCTGGCTAATTTTTTATTTTATTTTGTAGAGACAGGGTCTTGCTATTTTTCCTAGGATGGGTCTTGAACTCCTGGCCACAAGTGATCCTCCTGCCTTGGCCTCCCAAAGCACTGGATTTACAGGCATGAGCTACTGTGCCCAACCCCCATTCAGATTTAATACAATTTATCAATAAGGTTGAATTAATGTCTGCCATTTTGCTATTTGTTCTCTATATGCTGTTTGTCTTTTTTGTTCTTCTGTTCTTCCTTTACTGTTTTTTATGTTTAATAGATATTTTTATATCCCATTTTAATTTGTTAATTTTTTACTATTTTTTAAGTTATTTTCTAAGTGGCCACTCTAAGAATTAAAATATGCATCTTGATTTATCAAAATCTATTTCAGAGTAATAACTCTAGTAAAACATAGAAACTTTGCTCTAATATAGTTCCACTTACACCTTCTTCTTTGTTTTACTATTGTCATACACATTACATCTATATATGTTATAAAGCTATTTATTGTTTTATAATATTAGTTCACATAATATTCTGTTTCAAAGTTCTTAGAAGAGAAAATATATGGATACAGTCCTTTATATTTACTCATATGTTTAATAATTGCTGTGTTATGCATTTCTTTGTATAATTTGAGTTACCATCTGGTGTTATTTCCTATTAGCCTAAAGAATTCTCTTTAATATTTTTTTTAATGCAGGTCTGCTGGGTCCCTCTCAGCAGTCCAGGCCTTATGTTGACTCATTTACACACAGCTCTGCTTTGCTTTGACCTTGTGAAAACACTGCTTCGTTTAAATTTCACCTAAACTCTACTCTTCCCCCACAATCCTATAATAATTCCATCTTTTCCTTTGTCTAGTCAGATGCTCCACAGTTCCTCTGGTAAGTGGTCTCTGTCATTGCCATGAGTCAATAAACTTGTTTATAGATTTGTCCCTGAAAGCTGATTGGGCTACAATATTTATTTAGTACCTATTTTATCCATGGGACTAAAAACTCCAGGACTGGGCTGGGTGTGGTGGCTCATGCCTATAATCCCAGTACTTTGGGAGGCTGAGACAGGTGGATCACCTGAGGTCAGGAGTCCAAGACCATCCTGGCCACCATGGTGAAACCCAATCTCTACTAAAAATACAAAAATTGGCTGGGTGTGGTGTTGGGCGCCTGTAATCCCAGCTACTCGGGAGGCTGAGGCAGGAGAATCACTTGAACCCGGAGGCAGAGGTTGCAGTGAGCCAAGATCACGCCATTGCACTCCAGCCTGGGTGACAAGAGCAAAACTCCATCTCAAAAAAAAAAAAAAAAAAAAAAATTAGCCAGGTAGCACGCACCTGTAGTCCCAGCTACTTTGGAGGCTGAGGCAGGAGAATCGCTTGAACCCAGGAGATGGAGGTTGCAGTGAGCCAAGATCACACTACTGCACTCCAGCCTGGGCGACAGAGTGAGACTCCGCCCCAAATAAATGAATAAATAAATAAACTCCAGGAAGGGAGTTGTGTCTATCTTGTATCTCTAGCATGGTTCAATGCCTGACACATTGTAGTAGATCAATAAAAGTTGCATAAATGAATAATGATACAGTTTGGCTGTGTCCCCACCCAAATCTCATCTTGAATTCCCATGTGTTGTGGGAGGGACCCAGTGGGAGGTAATTGAATCATGGGGGACAGGTCTTTCCTGTGCTGTTCTGTGATAGTGAGTAAGTCTCATGAGATCTAATGGTTAACTATAAGGGGGAGTTTTCCTGCATAAGCTCTTTTTGCCTGCCTCCAACCATGTAAGATGTAACTTGCTCCTCCTTGCCTTCTCCCATGACTGCAAGGCATCCCTACCCATGTGTAACTGTAAGTCCAGTTAAACTTCTTTCATTTGTAAATTGCCCAGTCTCGGGTATGTCTTTATCAGCAGTGTGAAAACAGATGAATACAGTAAATTGGTGCCAAAAGTGGGGTGCCACTGAAAAGATATCTGAAAATCTGGAAGCAACTTTGGAATTGGGTAACAGGAAGAGGTTGGAACAGTCTGGAGGGCTCAGAAGAAGACAGGAAAATATGAGAAAGTTTGTAACTTCCTAGAGACTTGTTGCATGGCTTTGACAAAAATGCTGATAATGGTATGAACAATGAGGTCCAGGCTGAGGTGGTCTCAGATAGAGATGAGGAACTTGTTGGGAACTGGAGCAAAGGTAACTTTTGTTATGTTTTAGCAAAGAGAATGGTGGCATTTTGCCCCTGCCCTAGAGATTTGTGGAACTTTCAACTTGAGAGAAATGATTTAGGGTATCTGGTGGAAGAAATTTCTAAGCAGCAAAGCATCCAAGAGGTGACATGGATGCTGTTAAAGGCATTCAGTTTCATAAGGGAAGCAGAGCATAAAGGTTTGGAAAATTTGCAGCCTGACAATGCGATAGAAAAGAAAATATCATTTTCTGAGGAGTTCAGGCTGGTTGCAGAAATTTGCATAAGTAACGAGAAGCCAAATGTTAATACCCAACACAATGGGGAAAATGTCTCCAGGGCATGTCAGAGGTCTTCACAGCAGGCCCTCCCATCACAGGCCTGGAGGTCTAGGAAGAAAAAATGGTTTAGTGGGCTAGGACCAGGGTCCCTGTGCTGTGTGCAGTCTAGGGACTTGGTGCCCTGAATCCTAGCTGCTCCAGCCATGACTAAAAGGGGCCAAGGTACAGCTCAGGCCATGGCTTCAGTGGGTGCAAGCCCCAAGCATTGGCAGCATCCACGTAGTTTTCAGCCTGCAGATGCACAGAAGTCAAGAATTGAAGTTTGGGAACCTCCGCCTAGATTTCAGAGGATGTATGGAAACACCTGGATGTCCAGGCAGAAGTCTGCTGCATAGCCCCAAGCCTTGGCAGCTTCCACGTGGTTTTGAGCCTGCAGATGCACAGAACTGCATCTGCACAAACTTCAAGAATTGAAGTTTGGGAACCTCTGTCTAGATTTCAGAGGATATATGGAAACACCTGGATGTCCAGGCAGAAGTTTGCTGCAGAGGCAGGGCTCTCATAGAGAACTGCTAGTGCAGTGGAGACGGGAAATGTGGGATTGGAGGCCCCACACAGAGTCCCTACTGGGCCACTGCCTAGTTGAGCTGTGAGAAGAGGGCCACCATCTTCCAGACCCCAGAATGGTAGATCCACCTACAGCTTGTACCGTGCACCTGGAAAATTCACAGACACTCAATGCCAGTCCATGAAGGCAGCTAGGAGGTGGGCTATACTCTGCAAAGCCACAGGGGCAAAGCTGCCCAAGACCATGGGAACCCACCTCTTGCATCAGTGTGACCTGGATACATGGAGTCAAAGAGAGAATGAGTTTGAAGGAAAATGAAGAGACCCGAGAATGGGAGTATTCTGGAAAGCACAAGTAGTTCAGTATTTCTAGAGGCTCAAATAGGAGGGTGGTGGAGGGAGAGGAGAAAGGGGAGGCACCTAAGCTTGTTAATGGCTACCTCTGTGGTTCTGCTGATAAGATTGGATTTTGTTAGGCCGGGCGCAGTGGCTCACGCCTGTAATCCCAGCACTTTGGGAGGCCGAGGCGGGCGGATCACGAGGTCAGGAGATTGAGACCATCCTGGCTAACACGGTGAAACCCTGTCTCTACAAAAAAATACAAAAAATTAGCCGGGTGTGGTGGCAGGCGCCTGTAGTCCCAGCTACTCAGGAGGCTGAGGCAGGAGAACGGCATGAACCTGGGAGGCAGAGCTTGCAGTGAGCTGAGATTGTGCCACTGCACTCCAGCCTAGGCGACAGAGCAAGACTCTATCAAAAAAAAAAAAAAAAAGATTGGATTTTGTTCTGTAAGTGATGGGAGGCCTTTGAAGATTCTTGCTGAAGGGACCCACTAATCAGGTGTCCTACTAGCACCTCTCTCCTCATAATTCTTCCTCTGGTTCTATTTTAATCTCTGGCACTCCTAGCTCCCCACAGGTCCTGTGTCTGAGGCAAATCCATATATCATCTACTGTGACTGAGGAAGTAGTAACTAGAGCCTAATGGGCCTCTGAATTCCTTCTTTCCATCCCTCCTAAAGCAGTTTTAATTTTTCTTATGATTATGAAAGTAATATATTATCATTTCTAAAACTTCAATAAATACAGAAAAATATAAAGAAAAAATACACAGTAACCATAATTCTATTATCTGAGGCAACCATCTTTAAGGTTTGGGTATTCATGCTTCCAGTTATTTTTCGATGCACATTCTCCCTTCTAACAAATGTATAAATGCTTATTAATTGCCAGCCATTGTGCCAGGCACTGCATAAACAGCAGTGAACACCTGATCCCTGCCCTCAAAGAGCATTCAGCCTAGTGAGGGAGAAACACATTAAATAAATAAGGCAAATACTTTTATATTTACAAATTGTGATGTGTGACATTGACATATATTTGTGGCAAAGATGAGCTCAAACCATACATATATTATACTGTTTTATAACCTGTTTTCTTCACTTACATCGATGTATCATGAATATCTTTCCATGGAAATAAATACAGACTCTGTTAGAACTGAGAGTAAGAAGATGAATATGGAAAACATGTTCCTGCCTTCATCTTCATATCCCCAAGTGTCAGCTCTAATAGGGAAGAGAGACATATAAACCGGTAATTTCAACTCAGTTTTAGTAGAGGTTGTAAAAGGTACAAACATAAGGTATGATAGAGGAAATAAGGTCTGAGTTCTGTTTTAAAGGATAAATAGGAATTTTTCAGTTAAACAAAGAGTGAAAGAATATTCCAGGCAGTCAGCAGGTACAAAAACATGAGGAGTTAAACAGCACGGCACACTCAGGGAATTCAGGCAGCTCAATATCACTAAAATAAAAAATTCTGACATAAGACTAGTATGAGGCCAGGTGTGGTGGCTCACACCTGTAATCCCAGCACTTTGAGAGGCCTAGGTGGGCAGATCACCTGAGGTCAGGAGTTTGAGACCAGCCTGGCCAACATAGTGAAACCCTATCTCTACTAAAAATACAAAAATTAGCTGGTGTGGTGGCACACGCCTGTAGTCCCAGCTACTCGGGAAGCTGAGGCAGGAGAACTGCCCGAACCCAAAAGGCAGAGGTTGCAGTGAGCCGAGATCGCGCCACTGCACTCCAGCCTGGGTGGCAGGGCGAGACTCTGTCTTAAAAAAAAAAAAAAAAAGGCCAGGGTGCAATGGCTCATGCCTGTAATCCCAGCACTTTGGGAGTCCAAGATGGGCAGATCACCTGAGGTCAGGAGTTCAAGACCAGCATGGCCAACATGGTGAAACCCCATCTTTACTAAACATACAAAAAATTAGCTGGGCGCGGTGGCCGGTGCCTGTAATCCCAGCTACTTGGGAGGCTGAGGCAGGAGAATCGCTTGAACCCAGCAGGAGGAGGTTGCAGTGAGCTGAGGTTGTGCCATTGCACTCCAGCCTGGGGCAACAAGAGCACAGCTCCATCTCAAAAAAAAAAAAAAAAAAAAAAAGAATAGTATGAGAAGAGGGTAGAGAGGCAGGCAATGGAAGAGTTATAAATATCTACAGATGCCCAGGTAAAGAGCTTCCATTTTTCCCACCAAACTATTTTGAACTAGGAATAGTAAAAGATTTCTGAGTTAGAAATCAGATGGCTGGCTGAAAAGAGGAGAGGACAGTGATGGCGATGACAAATTAGATTGTTATAATGATTCAGGAGAGAGATGAGGTACTAAAGTAAGATGTTTGCAGGGGAAATGAAGCAATGGGGGACGTTATTGGGGGTAAACTAAGGCAACATCGAGAGTGAAAAATCGGAACTATTGATGAGAGTTGTCAAGGTCTTTGCTGGAAAAACCTTGCCAAATGTCAAACCCAAACAGCCTGGGGATAAACAATGCTAAATGCAGTTCAGTAGTTGAGGGGGTTGAAAATAGGATGAGAGCCTAGGAGAGAGTATAGAAGGGGAGAACTGGGGCCATTGGATAAGTGTGTGTGTATCCTAGAACTTTCCTTTCAGGCGATTCCCAGGTGCACTGCTGGAGCAGGGATGATAACTCTTGGGGTAAGTGAGCATGAACAACTGTTGTCTGTTTGCAATACTCTAATCAACAGGTGGGCAGAGATTTTCAGTAAAATGTTATAAAAAGGAATGATTCTCCAGAGATATATTCTAAAAATAAGTGGGCTGAATTCTCTGTGGGCATGGGATGGCATAAATGACTTTCAAAATGAAAGCTATTGTTTCTGCAGAAAATATTGCTGAAGAAATGGATCATGGTGGTTGCTTCTAAGGAGGAAAGTAGGAGGGTGGGGAAAGGAAAAGAGGAATACTTTTCTTAGTGTAAGCTTTTGTACATGTTGAATTTGGAATAAAGTGAATGTAATGTTTATGCAAAATAAATAAAAGTTTTCTAAATGAAAGCTGAGGAAACACATGGAAGAAAAACATGTCTTACCTTTTCCTGTACCTCTATATATTTCCAAGTGAGACAGAAAGAAAGCTTTCTGTCTGTGTATTTCCAATTGAGACAGAAAGAAAATAAAACAAGTGAGACAGGAAAAAAACTTGTGGAGTGGCTGGTGATAGTCTTATGGAGAATATACTAGTTTGCCCCCCTGCTGTCCTTGGACCACTGCACCTTCTTAAAGTGTACGGAGTCACTTTTCTGTCCTTTTTTTTTTTTCTTTTTGAGACGGAGTTTTGCTCTTGTTGCCCAGGCTGGAGGGCAATGGCGTGATCTCGGCTAACCTCAACCTGGGCCTCCAGGGTTCAAGCAATTCTCCTGCCTCAGCCTCCTGAGTAGCTGGGATTATAGGCATGCGCCACCACCCTGGCTAATTTTGTATTTTTAGTAGAGACGGGGTTTCTCCATGTTGGTCAGTTTGGTCTTGAACTCCCGACCTCAGGTGATCTGCCCGCCTCGACCTCCCGAAGTGCTGGGATTACAGGTGTGAGCCACTGCGCCTGGCCCTGTCCTATTTTCTTTCTTTTTTTTTTTTTGAGATGGAGTCTTACTCTGTCACCCAGGCTGGAGTTCAGTGGTGCTATTTGGGCTCACTGCAACCTCCACGTCCCAGGTTCAAGTGATTCTCCTGCCTCAGTCTCCTGAGTAGCTGAGAATTACAGGGGCGCACCTCCACACCTAGCTCATTTTTTGTATTTTTAATAAAGATGGGGTTTCGCCACATTGGCCAGGCTGGTCTCAAACTCCCGACCTCAAGTGATCTGCCTGCCTCGGCCTCCCAAAGTGCTGGGATTACAGGCGTGAGCCACTGCATCTGGCCCCCTATTTTCAGTTCAATGAGAGCCACTTTTCTCCTTGACTGGAAGAAGAAAGAGGAATTTCAGTTCAAGAGGGTTTAACAGGTTCTATCTTTGTGACAGTAAATCATTCCAAGTGAAATTACCTAGGACAGAGGTGGTGATAAGAAAAGGAGGAAGAAGAGTCCATATTTACAGAAAAAGTGGACAGTCTAAAATTATAAGCTTAAAATGGAAAATTCATATCCTCTTTATTTTGGGGCAGGACTAGGAGCCAGAGTCTCAGAACAGGAAGCCACAAGTAACCTCTTTACTATCAACACCATGAAAGTATGGGGGGAATGCTCTGGGTTTGAATTCTAGATGTAGGGCTACAATTTCATTTCCACCCGTATGGTTGTATGACTTGAGATTAGTTGGCTTCCACAATCTAAGTCTTAGCATCCTTTTCTACAAAAGGAGACAATTGGATGTGTGGATGGCCTTCAACTTTTCTTCCAGCTCTCACATTCTGTCATTATAAATCTTAGCAAGTCTTATTGTACGATCAGCTTTTCTCTCCAGGCATTTAACTTCTGGACATTTGACATTTGTTTCCTTGCTCTATTTTCAATTTTTAGCTTTGAGAAGTGGAAGCTAGAGAAGGAATGGTAGGAATTAATGGGAGTCAACAATTTTTGTGCCTGGGTCACAAAATAGGAGGCTCTGGGAGTTGTTCCAGAAAATTCTCTGTCATAATCTGGTCAGTCATAGATTGTCCAGATTGAGAAAAAAACTTTGTCTTTTTCTCAAATTTCTCTCTTTCCCAAGAACTATTCTGTCCTTTTCTCTTGCAACCATTCACCTTATCTCTGGACTCTGGCTGTTCACTGTCCTAGACTAACATACCAATTGATGTGATTGAATGAGAAATATAATAATTACTTCAATAAATAATTGACTACATACTATGTACTAGATAAGCAGCTTTCAATTTTTTTGGTCTCAGGAGCCCCACAACATAGTTAAAAATTATTGAAGATCCTCAAAAGTTTTTGCTTTTGAGTTATATCTACTAATACTTACCGGGTTAGAAAGTAAAAGAGAGAGAATTTTAAGATGTTAATTAATTTTAAAAACAGCAACAATGGGCTGGGTGCAGTAGCTCACGCCTGTAATCCCAGCACTTTGGGAGGCCGAGGCGGGTAGTTCACCTGAGGTCCAGAGTTGGAGATCGGCATGGCTAACATGGGGAAACCCCGTCTCTACTAAAAATACAAAAAATTAGCCGGGCGTGGTGGTGGGTGTCTATAATCCCAACAACTTGGGAGGCTGAGGCAGCACAATCCCTGGGAGGTGGAGGTTGCAGCGAACTGAGATTGTGCCATTGCACTCCAGCCTGGAAAACAAGAGCAAAACTCCATCTCAAAGAAAAAAAATAATAAATAAATGAAACAGCAACAATAAACCCATTGCATGTTGACATCCTTTTCTATTTTTAAATGAAAAACAGTTATATAGTCAGCCCTCAGTATCCTCAGGGGATTGATTCTAGGACCCTCGTGGATATCAAAATTGGTGGATGCTTGAGTCCCTTAATTAGCCTTCTTCATCTGAGGGTTTTTCATCCATGGTGGATTTTGATCCACAGTTGGTTAAATCCTTGGGGATATGGATCACGTGGATATGGAGAGCTGACTGTATATCAAATTCCAAAACAATTAAAGAACTGTGTCACTGTTTTACAACTTTGCAAGTCTCTTTAATGTCAGGATTAATATAAAACATTGCATTGTCATGTCTGGTTCTGCACGTAATCTGTTGATTTGGGGTTTGTATTAGTTTCCTGTGGTTGCTGTTTAACAAATTATCACAAACTTGGTGGCTCAAAACTACAGAAATTTATTCCCTCATAGTTCTGGAGGCCAGAAAGTTCAATACCAGTTTCACTGGGCCAAAGTCAAAGTGTGGGCAGGAAAACGTTCCCTCTGGAGGCTCTAGAGAAGCTTCTTCTTCCAGCTTTTGGTAACTGCTGGCATTGCTTGACTTTTAGAGGCATCACACTAATCTCTGCCTTCATCTTCACATCAATTTCACTTCTGTGTTGGGTGGCTAATCTCCCTTCTCTCTTAACAGGATGCTTGAGATAACATCAATAATCCACTCAGGTAATCCATGATAATCTCTTTACCTAAAGATCCTTAACTTCATCTCATCTGTAAAAGTTTTACCACGAGGTAACACAAATTCCAGGGATTAGAACACGGACATCTTTGGAAGTCATTATCAGCCTACCACAAGGTTTTTCTTTTTTGTTGAAGTTTATGAGGAAAACCTGGTCACATACAGAAAGTAGTTGGGGAAAAATCCCTTTCAAATAATTGTAGATATTCTTCTTAGATCCAACACTAAAAGCAGTAAGTAGTTTTTAAAAAGTTGTTGCAATGTGGAATCTGAAACCATCAGGGAACCTTTTTTACTAGGTTACATTGAAATCATAATTCTATTGAAGCTGTCCTCAAAGGGTTAACAAGAATTCTGGAAGGAAATATAGTTATAATTGAGCATTAATCAGGCTGCACTCTGACCCACTTCCTTGTAACCAAAAGTCAGGTTACACTACATAGAGACCATTTGCGTTCCCATTGTTCCTATTGACAGAATTTCTGACATTAGGCTTTTTTTTTTTTTTTTTTTTGAGATGGAGTCTCTCTCTGTCACCCAGGCTGGAATGCAGTGATGCAATCTTGGCTCACTGCAACCTCTGCCTCCTGGGTTCAAGCGATTCTCCTGCCTCAGCCTCCCGAATAGCTGCGATTACAGGCACCTGCCACCACGCCTAGCTGATTTTTGTATTTTTAGTAGAGACAGGGTTTCACCATGTTGGCCAGGCTGATCTCGAACTCCTGACCTCAGGTGATTTGCCCGCCTTGGCCCAAAGTGCTGGGATTACAGGCATGAACCACCGCACCTGGCCCACTCAACTAATTTTTGTGTTTTTGGTAGAGACGGGGTTTCACCATGTTGGCCTGGCTGGCCTCAAACTCCTGACCTCAAGTGATCTGTCTGCCTTGGCACGGACTCCCAAAGTGCTAGGATTACAGATGTGAGCCACCGCGCCTGGCCAGGGCTTTTAAGATAGATAGGATCTCTGACATTAGAATCATAAAGGGTTTAAGAACTGCTTAAGCAGATCCTGAATTCCACCTGAACAGCTGATGCCAACCAGTTTAAAAACCCCCAGAGAGGAACGGAATCAATAACATCTCCCTGTCCCATGGCTTCACCCTGCACTCTGATCAATCTCTACACTTTGGCCTACTCCCAAACCTTTAAAATCCCTAGCTCCACATTCCTTGGGGAAATGGATTTGAGGTTTTCTCCCATCTCCTCATCTGGCAGCCCTACAATTAAACCTCTTTCTCTGCTACAACCTGGTGTCTTGGCATATTAACTTGTCACATATTGGGCGAAGGGCCCTATTATGGTTACACTATTTGCTTTAAGTGGATGTTTTGCTGGTACATAATTTTATAACATTGTGCATTGATCATTTGGAAAATATTGGTTCATTGAGTTATGGAGATCTTTCAAATGTTGGCACATTTAATTATACAATATAAAAAATTCATTAACATAATCACCAATTTATCAGAATGGTCTTTATGTATCTGGAAATTATTAAAATTGTAGTAGACAAACATTTTTCAAAATTTTAGTTTTCACTTGAAAGCCTGAATTTATCAGTGGCAACAAATATTGTCAGTTATCTTCCTTGAAGTGTGAAGGAAACCAGACTCTGTCACCCCAAAATATTCCTATTTGACATGAATATTATTTTGAGCTGAAGGCAATTAAGCAGCAGCAAAGGCAGGAAACACTCTCTCTACCCTCCTCCTTTTCTGTTTAAAGGCAGGATACAACTTCCTTTACTGGAGGCAACTCTACCATCTTACTAGCCCAGAGGTGGCACCAGAGGAATGTGCACACAAACCTTACTTCATTAGTTTCTTTCCATATATTTTCCTTCCCCAAGATTCCCAGCCCTGGAAGACTAAAACTGCTTTCCTTTGTCCTGTCATTTCTCTATAAGTTTATTGTATTTTGTTAAAGATGCTATATAAGCCAGAGTTTTACCTTCTTTGAATTACTCATTTCTAGTTATTCCTATGTTATATGCTCCATACATTTTAATAAACTTGCTTGTTTTTTTCACAGGGGACCCAGCCAAGAACTTAGAAGGGTAAGAGAAAAAGATTTTTTTCTTTCCCTACAACTGAAAGACTCACTGTTCATTTTCAAGAAAACTACTGTTTATCGCTTTCAACTAAAAATGGTGTTCCATGAAAAAAAGTGGTTGGTTCAGCTTTCTCTTTTCTTTTTTTTTTCTGAGACGTAGTTTCGCTCTGTCGCCCAGGATGGAGTACAGTGGCGCGATCTCGACTCACTGCAAGCTCCGCCTCCCGGGTTCACGCCATTCTCCTGCCTCAGCCTCCCGTGTAGCTGGGACTACAGGCGCGCGCCACCATGCCCGGCTAATTTTTGTATTTTTAGTAGAGACGGGGTTTCACCGTGTTAGCCAGGATGGTCTCGATCTCCTGACCTCGTGATCCGTCCGTCTCGGCCTCCCAAAGTGCTGGGATTACAGGCGTGAGCCACCGCGCCCGGCCTTCTCTTTTCTTTTTTTGAGACGGAGTCTCACTCTGTCGCCCAGGCTGGAGTGCAGTGGCGTGATCTAGGCTCACTGCAAGCTCCGCCTCCCAGGTTCACGCCATTCTCCTGCCTCAGCCTCCAGAATCGCTGGGACTACAGGCGCCCGCCACCACGCCCGGCTAATTTTTTGTATTTTTGGTAGAGACGGGTTTTGCACCGTGTTAACTAGGATGGTATTGATCTCCTGACCTCGTGATCCCCCCGCCTTGGCCTCCCAAAGTGCTGGCATTACAAGCATGAGCCACTGTGCCAGGCCGGTTCAGCTTTCAAGTTAAACAATGATACAAATGCTTTTCCTTGAGAAACTATCTTATCTCAGTTATGCCTCAAGAATTTTTTCTTTTTCTTTTTTTTTTTTTTGAGACGGAGTTTCGCTCTTGTTGCCCAGGTTGAAGTGCAATGGCACGATCTCAGCTCACTGCAACCTCCGCCTCCCGGGTTCAAGTGATTCTCCTGCCTCAGCCTCCCAAGTAGCTGGGATTACAGGCATGTGCCACCACGCGCAGGTAATTTTGCATTTTTAGTAGAGATGGGGTTTCACCACGTTGGCCAGGCTGGTTTCGAACCCCTGACCTCAGGTGCTCTGCCCGCCTCAGCCTCCCAAAGTGCTGGGATTATAGGCCTGAGCCACCACACCCGGCCAAAAGAAAAGCCTCAGGATTTAAGAGTTTATACTTTATGAGGTTGTACTTTATGAGTACTTCCCATTTTGTCACAAAAAAAATTTTTTAAAAAGTGCACTCAAAGACTGAAATTTAATAAAATTAAGAATTCTTACTGCTTCATCAAGGATATTCTTAAGTGAAACTGACTTAAAAAAAATTGAGTGTATTGTTCCAGGATAAACTATGAGATTCAAAGAAGTTGTTCAATACATTATTTCATCACCACTTGTGTTTCTTGTCAAGATTTATGTAAAAGAGGATCTTCAAGAATTAGTTGGTGCTGACACTGGATGGGTATAAGCAAAGCAACAAGTCCAGCTACATGAATAATTATGTCCATTTTAAAGGAATTATAATTCTGCAGATGACATAGTAACTCAGTCTTTATATTTGCAACTAAATTTCTTTCTTTTTTTTGAGACAGTCTTGCTCTGTTGTCCAGGCTGGAGTGCCGTGGCACCATCTCAGCTCACTGTAACCTCTGCCTCCCAGGTTCAAGTGATTCTCCAGCCTCAGCCTCCCGAATAACTGGGATTACAGGCATGTACCACCATGCCCAGCTAATTTTTTTTTTTTGTATTTTTAGTAGAGACAGGGTTTCACCATATTGGCCAGGTTGGTCTCAAACTCCTGATCTCAAGTTATCCGCCTGCCTTGGCCTCCCAAAATTCAGGGATTACAGGCATGAGCCACCTCGCCTGGCCTGCAACTAAATGTCTAATTTGGTGAGTTATTGCATCTTTGGAAAGTAGCACTCCCATGAGTTCTTTTACTGATTATCAGCTAGCAGGCATTCATTAGTCTTTTAGCTATTGCATGTCCTTCTCCTATCAATGAAATATAATAATTTCATGTGTAAGATGCTTCAGTAGGTTTTTCATTTTTACTTTGAAAATGGTAATACAAAAGCTTTGGCTTTTATAAAGCATATCATCTCTATGTTGAAAGTATTAAATTCCCTTTCTTTTAAATTCTGACTGGTCTGAAAATGATGCCTCAACTTGATTGGCACCATAATAGTATTTGAAAATGTTCTGTTGAATGACATAAAATAAGGCAAGTGATTAACATCTCTAATGCCAAGGGAAAGAAAGAAGCTTTTGTCATACTTTCCTTTGTTATTTATAGTTTCGACCAGATTTCTCCCTTTCCCTGAGTCAGTGAATTCTGATACTGATGTCAGCTTCATCTTTTTCGGCATCTTTACAGACGGGAAGGTTAGAAAGCGAATCTTCTAGTATCCCCTTTTTAAGCCAATGGAAGAACCTAAAATTAAAAAACTATACATAAAACAAAATTTAATTTAAAGATAAAATATTAAATTCCTTTTTTTTTTGGAGACAGAGTCTTGCTCTGTCACCCAGGCTGGAGTACAGTGGTGCGATCTTGGCTCACTGCAACCTTCGCCTCCTAGGTTCAAGCAATTCTCCTGCCTCAGCTTCCCAAGTAGTTGGGACTACAGGTGTGCCACCATGCCCGGCTAAATTTTTTGTATTTTTTTTTTTTTGAGGTGGAGTCTTGCTCTGTCGCCCACGCTGGAGTGCAGTGGTGAAATCTCGGCTCACTGCAACCTCCGCCTCCCGGGTCCCAGCAATTCTCCTGCCTCAGCCTCCCGAGTAGCTGGGATTACGGGCGCACGCCACCATGCCCGGCTAATTTCTGTATTTTTTTAGTAGAGTCATAGGTTGGCCAGGCTGGTCTTGATATCCTGACCTTGTGGTCTGTGCACCTTGGCCTCCCAAAGTGCTGTGATTACAGGTGGGAGCCACCGTGCCTGTCCGAATATTTTGTATTTTTAGTAGAGACGGGGTTTCACCATGTTGGCCAGGTTGGTCTGGAACTCCTGAGCTCAGACAATCTGCCCGCCTTGGCCTCCCAAAGTGCTAGAATATAGGCATAAACCACCGCGCCCGGACGACAAAATATTAAATTCTAGGCAGGGCGTGGTGGCTCACACCTGTAATCCCAGCACTTTGAGTGGCTGAGGCGGGCAGATCATGAGGTCAGGAGACCGAGGCCATCCTGGCCAACGTGGTGAAACCACATCTCTACTAAAAATACAAAAAATTAGCCGGGTGTGGTGGCACGCACCTGTAATCCCAGCTACTCGGGAGGCTGAGGCAGGAGAACTGCTTGAACCTGGGAGGCGGAGGTTGCAGTGGGCCGAGATCACACCACTGCACTCCATCCTGGGCAACAGAGCGAGACACCATCTCAAAAAATAATAATAAAATAACAAAATTAAATTCTAAAAGAGTATCCCTTTCTGGCTGGGCGCAGTGGCTCGCGCTTGTAATCCCAGCACTTTGGGAGGCTGAGGTGGGCGGATCACCTGAGGTCAGGAGTTCGAGACCAGCCTGGCCAAAATGGTGAAACTCTGTGTTTACTAAAAATACAAAAATTAGCCGGGCATGGTGGCGGGCGCCTGTAATCCCAGCTACTCGGGAGGCTGAGGCAGGAGAATTGCTTGAACCCAGGGGGAGGAGGCTGCAGTGAACCCAGATTGTGCCACTGCATTCCAGTCTGGGTGATAGAGCGAGACTCTGAAAAAAAAAAAATTAAATGAATAAATGAGTATCCCTTTTAGATAAAGTTTAAATATTTTAAAATGTTCTCAATATATTAAAAAATATTCTTGCGAGACAAGCCAACAAATTGAACTTTTTTCTTATGTTCCCATATAGGTATTAAAACAACTTCAGGATTTCAAAAAAACTCATTTATTAGGTGACAAGGAGGTTACAGAGATTAGAGCAGGTATAACCGAAGATAGCTTGTAAGTGTAGCTGTAGCTGGTGGGCCGGTTGAGGTTCTGGACTTCGCGGTGCAAAATAATTTTGAAGTCCAAAGTAAAAGCAAGCAAAAGAGTTTATTGCAAAGCGAAAGTACACCCTCACAGCTGATCAGAGCGGGCTGCTCAAAGGTGAGACAGCATGCACTGACACTGGGGAAACTCCCTTTGTAGGAGTCTCACAGGATCATTCATGAAGCGGGGAGAACGGGTGCTGCTATTAAGCACGTTCTCTGGTTTTCTGTCGCCATGTGCGCTGTGGTTGTATATGCTAGTACATACACTGCATGTCTTATTAGTATCTTAAATCTTCACCCAGGAGTGGTGTTTTTTTTTTTTTTTTTTTTTTACTATTATAATGAGTATAATTCAGCCCAACGACACTGATCATGGGTTTCTGCGCTTGTGAGAGTTTGGGGATTTTCCCTTCTGCTCTCGTACCTCTTTGCTGCAAAATTTTCTAACCAGGAGCCTCGGATGTGGTTTGTACACTATGGGCTGGTTTGTTCTATTTATTTAGCAAGTTTGTTCCCCTTGAAGGGAGGCTATCACCACCTACCTAACCTACCTCCTAGAAACACACTAGGAGTACTGAGAGCAAATTGCATTAATCTCTGAAAACGCACGTATTTATGCCCTAAACCTACTACCTTAGAAAATTCTAGAAAACACAAGGATACTCCAGGATACATTTTACCAGCTAGTCAATCGTCATCTAGCCGCTTGAAAACTCTGTACATTTCCAACAGAATGAGGGTAAAAACGGCAAATAACACGTAAGAAACGTTATCAATGTTGTTTTGACTTTGTGAATTCCCTAGAAGGGTCTCAGCGACCCTGAGGTCACCAGACCACATTTCGAGAGCCATTGTACCAGACTCTGTTCTAGATAAAAGACGGAGCAATCGGAATGAATAAAATACTCTCTCTATGGGGAGCTGTTTACGTAGTGGCAACTGCGACCTGTTCTAAAGTGGAACAGAACCGAGCGCTGTGAGAGGGTGGGACTTGGAGACCTATCCTTGCCCGCCGGGCCAGGGGAGTGGGCTCTAGAAGGATGACCTTTCAACTGCGACCTGCTGAGGAGGAGTCGGCAAGGGTGGCCGCCGACCAGTTCTCTTTCCCGCCCACCTCCCCAAATCCCAGGAGAAGAGGGGCGGACGGGAAGCGACAGTGGCCGCGAGTCCCCGGCACGCGACGGGCTCTCAACCTGGCACGCCGAATCCTCAGGACAGCCCCGCTATCACGCAACTACTCGGGTGTCCCAAGAGTCGCCAGGGCCGGAGCCGCGCGCGGCGCCGGGGACCCGCGTGAAACCGCCTGTGGGAAGCGGGCGGGTGGCGCGCGCTCCGGGGACAGTGAGAGGCGGCGGACGGCGCGGGGACGTCCCGAAAAAGGCGCAGCCAGGAAGACGCAACTCCTGACGCGGTCTCGGGCTACGCGGAGGCGGCTAGTGGGAAAGGGGGACTCTGGGAGACAGTGCCTAACAGGGCCAGGCCCCCGACGGCTTCCTCAGGAGGACTCACGGTTCTGGGGGATTCCGGAACCGCTACCCCGTCGCGAGAAAGGAGGTCTACTTACGCGCGCAATCTCGAGCGAGCGGCCTTTTCCACCCCCGCGGTCTCTTGCGCCCTCTGGTGGCCTCTCGCGAGAACGACGCTGAACTTGTTCAGGTGGGACGCCAATAAAGATTTCTTATTCAAAAAACAGGAAGTGCCTACGGAGGCCGGGCCGGCAGCGGCGGCCGGGCATGAAGCCGGGCGGCTACGGGATCGCGGGCGGCGGCGGCATCGCGGGCGGCGGCGGCGATGAGCGACATAGTGGAGAAGACGCTGACGGCGCTGCCGGGACTCTTTCTGCAGAACCAGCCCGGTGGTGGGCCCGCGGCCGCCAAGGCGTCCTTCTCCTCGAGGCTGGGCAGCCTTGTCCGCGGCATCACAGCCCTCACCTCCAAGCACGTAGGTGCCCGCCGGCCCGGGAGCTCAGGGACATCGGAGTGAGGCCCCCGCGCCAGGAGGCCCTGGCCGGGCGGCGAGACTTCAGGGCCTCTGGGGTTAGCCCTCCGGCGGGGCTCAGGGGCTGCTGTGTCGGTTCGTCCTTTCGTCTGCCTGGAAGCTTCACTTTCCTGCTGGGACTGACAGCAGGGAAGCCGAGTTTCCACAGTTAGTTCTGACACTGACTCTTTGATCGGGGGCACATCTCTGTAACCTCTGAGCCTCCGTGTGTTTTCTCAACGTTGTGGTGGAAAAGTACTGATACATAATTCATAGGTTTTTTGTTTGTTTTGAGGATTGGGTGAGATGTCAAGCGTGTGAAAATACCTAGTGCGATGGAAGTGTCAGACATTATTTACCTTCCACAAAGTTTTTTTTCCCTACTCAGTTTCCTTCTCTCCCCCGGTGCCTTCAACTGAACAACAGTTCAGATGTCGCATACCTGAAGAGATCCTGTGAGCCTCTTGTTGAATATCTTTGGGGAGCTTGAGGTTCTTGGGTTACAACAACGTGTTGGGCAAAGAAAAAGCACAGTTCTCTCAAAATGTAAAATTTGCTAAGTCTCTGCCTCAAGTGGGCTTTGAAAATGAGCAGTTATAAAAATTCTTAAACTTTTAAAATTTTTAAATTTTTATTGACGGAGTCTCTCTCTGTCGCCCAGGCTGGAGTGCAATGGTGCGATCTCGATCTCGGCTCGCTGGAGCCTTAAGGTTTTAAAAATTTTAATTTTTGTTTTTTTTTGAGACGGAGTCTCGCTCTGTCGCGCAGGCTGGAGTGCAGTGGCGCGATCTGGGCTCACTACAAGCTCCGCCTTCCGGGTTCACGCCATTCTCCTGCCTCAGCTTCCCGAGTAGCTGGGACTACAAGTGCCCGCCACTGCCTGGCTAATTTTTTGTACTTTTCGTAGAGACGGGGTTTCACCGTGTTAGCGAGGATGGTCTCGATCTCCTGACCTCGCGATCCGCCCGCCTTGGCGTCCCAAAGTGTTGGGATTACGTGCGTGAGCTACCCTGCCCGGCCTTAAAATTTTTAAATTTTTAATGACGGAGTCTCGCTCTGTCGCCCAGGCTGGAGTGCGATGGTGCGATCTTGGCTCACTGGAGCGTCTGCCTCCCGGGTTCAAGCGATTCTCCTGCCTCAGCCTCCCAAGTAGCTGGGATTATAGGCGTATGCCACTACGCCCGGCTAATTTTTGTATTTTTAGTAGAGACAGGATTTCACCATGTTGGGCAGGCTGGTCTTGAACTGACCTCAAGTGTTCGCTCACTTCGGCCTCCCAAAGTGCTGGGATTACAGGCATGAGCCACCGCGCCGGGCCCCCACAGGCGCTCGATGGTTGCACGGATTGTGTAGTATACCGATTCACAGCTACAAGGAGTTTATATCTTAAAAAGAGCACGTGTTAATGTCATTATTTGTTCAACAGATGTTTATGGAACAAGGTTATGTGTTAGACACAGGAAAATAGAATTAAACACATTCCCTTTTCCCAAGGAATTAGTCATTCGTTTTGGGCTTAAGACAAGTATAAGCATGACTACAATGCAATAGAAGTGCTAAAAGAGAAGGAAAGACAGAAAAGAAAGTGCTCTGAAGGTTTAAAAAAAATATTTTTTTGGCAGCTCTAATAAGTTGATGCTATCCGGAGAGAACCTGCTTCACATTCCAGAATCATTACTTGTGGGCTTGTCTTGTTTTGTTTTGTTTTTGAGATGGAGTCTCACTCTGTCGCCCAGGCTGGAATGCAGTGGTGCAATCTTGGCTCACTGCAACTTCTGCTTCCTGGGTTCAAGTGATTCTTCTGCCTCAGCCTCCCTGGTAGCTGGGATTACAGGCACACGTCACCATACCCGGCTAATTTTTATATTTTTAGTAGAGACAGGGTTTCGCCATGTTGGCCAGGCTGGTCTTGAACTCCTGACCTCAGGTAATCCACCTGCCTTGGCCTTGGCCTCCCAAAGTGCTGGGATTACAGGCGTGAGCCACCACGCCTGGCCATTTGTGGCCTTAATAATGTTGTTTTTCTTAAGGTTTTTGTCCTTTGCTAATTTTTAAGGGATCCTCAATAAAATTTTTTAAAAAGTTATTTTTGGTCTTAAATAGCAGTTTGAAACTGTAGATAGGCATCCACGTGTATCAGTACGTCACTAGTGGCTTTTGAATAGCCATCTGATGAACATGTAATTCAGTGTGTAATTTAAAGGTAGCATGATATTAGCCAAAAAAAAATGGGGCCAATTTTTTAAGTGCTTAGGGAGATAACATACAATGCAGACAGTAGGAGTGACCACATTGGTATGTGTCTGAGATAGGAAGTTATGGAAAGGATTTGGGGAATGAGGAAAAGACAGGGAAGAAGAATGTAGTTTAAGGGAAAAAGACCTATTTCTGTTTCTGCTTTCTTACCCTGTTTCTTAATTCCATGAAGACTTTTTACTTCTAAGGGGAAGATGTGAGATGAGACTCTTTTCTTGGGCCAATACATGGAGAATTTCTACTCTCTCTCCACCTTTAATTTTTTTTTTTTTTTTTTTTTTAGATGGAGTCTTGCTCTGTTACCCAGGCTGGAGTGCAGTGGTACGATCTCGGCTCACTGCAACATTCACTTCCCGGGTTCAAGCGATTCTCCTGCCCCTGCCTCAGCCTCTCGAGTATCTGGGATTACAGGACCCCCAGCTAATGTTTGTATTTTTAGTAGGGACGGGGTTTTGCCATGTTGGCCAGGCTGGTCTCAAACTGCTGACCTCAAGTGATTCACTCGCCTTGGCCTCCCAAAGTGCTGGGATTACAGGCATGAGCTGTTGTGCCCGGCTTCCACCTTTAGTTTTAAAAAAAAACATTTTCTGCTATTCTACCATTAAGGGGAAGTAACTGAGTAAAGAAAAGAGGAAGGATGGGTTAGCCTGGAAATATTTATTCTCTCCAGGGATGGTTCTGAGGTTTGGAGAAATGCCTTTAGATAGATCGTAAGCAGATAGTATTTGTAACTCTCCTTTAAAATAATGTTTCTTTTAAATTAAAAGTATTGTAAATTATATTTTTCCGTTTAGATAAATGCTGTTACAGTTTTAAAAGACAGTTAATCAAGCATTTAAATATTTTCACTTTCTCAGGAAGAAGAAAAATTAATCCAGCAGGAACTGAGTAGTCTGAAAGCGACTGTTTCTGCTCCTACTACAACACTGGTAGGTTTGCATAGTCAGTGCCAACACATTTGAATTTGAAATCTAGTCACTGTGGACTCAATAGTGGCATCTAACTGATGATCGGTTGCTAAAATTTGATTTATCATAGTCAAAATGAATTATAGTTGGTAGCAACTCAGATGTTAACTTTAGCCTTTTATTGTTGACTGGTTTGCACCAGAACAAGATTTGCCTATGTGAAGTCAGGGCTAATGTGATGATGATTACATAAATGTGGAGATACTCTTGGGACCCTAGTGCTGATCTGATGTTTTTAATGTTATGCATTTGGAAAAGGTTGGGATTTCAACATGATATTTTCAGACCTGAATTAATATATTGTAGGTATATCTAATTTTATTATTTAAGACCTAGTTGTTTTTAAAGTTTGTTCTACATAATCTGATTTTTCAAACAATATTCAGCAACTATTTAATGAATGGTCATTCATTATTATGCAGGCCACTGTGGGGCTGTCCCAGCATAGCTAGATTAAAACTCAGTTTGATTTTTTTTTTTTTTTTTTGAGACGGAGTCTCGCTCTGTTGCCCAAGCTGGAGTGCAGTGGCGTGGCGTGATCTCAGCTCACTGCAACCTCTGCCTCCTGGATTCAACCGATTCTCCTGCCTCAGCCTCCTGAGTAACTGGGACTACAGGTGCCCGCCACCATGCCTGGCTAATTTTTGTATTTTTAGTAGAGTTGGGGTTTTCATCATGTTGACCAGGCTAGTATCGCACTCCTGACCTCAAGCGATCCACCCACCTCAGCCTCCTAAATCAAAGTACTAGGATTACAGGTGTGAGCCACCGTGCCTGGCCTGATTTTTTTTTAAATGAGATTTTGTTTCAAGCAACATATCTTCAGCAAATATTTGGTGAGTGTCTTCAGTATATAAGCCACTGTGGGAATGTTTTCCCTCCCTGCCAGTAAAAATATCAGGACGATCATTTTGCATAAGCACATGATTGTGAATTTGAATAACACTTGTAAAGTCTGAGAGAATGAATATATTTTCTTCTGTGGTCATAATAATAGTATGTGGCAAATAAAACTGAAAACATAATCTGATATATCCATGTGTATATATGTATATGTATGTTTGTGTGTATACATGTATGTGTGTCTGTGGCTATGGATAAAATAATTATGCTTCATAGTACTAGATAGAAACGTTAAACAGAAATGGTTTTTGTTTGTTAGATTTCCATTTTTTATGATTGGCATCAGTATATAATTTTCCTTGTTCCAAGGCAGAAACCTGAAGTTGGGCAGAACTAAGATAAATAGGTAGAAATTAGGAAGGCAGAGTTTGAAAGGAAGGTTTTATAACACTATGGCCATCCAACTCTGTGTATATCTTACAGAGTAGTCTGTCCCAGAGCTGTTCATGTAAAGGTTGGCTGTCAGAGAAATTGTAAAGAGAATTCTTGCATTGGGGAATGCACTTTCATCTCTAAAAATAAATGCATGAGATGTAATCTCACTTAGATAAAGTTCATAATGACTTTTGAAAAACTCTGAGATAAAATGTTACAAATCTAGGGTTGAAACTTAATGGCTTAAATGAACCCTTTAACTCCTAATTAATGTAGAAGTCTGAAGAGGGACTTCCAGTATTTTTTGTTTATCTTTTGTTTGTTTTCTCAGTATTTTGTAGCTTTTTTGGGGGCGGCAGGGTGGGAGGATGGAGTCTTGCTCTGTTGCCTAGGCTGGAGTGCAACTGCGTGATCTTGGCTCACTGCAACCTCTGCCTCTCGGGTTCAAGCGATTCTCCTGCCTCAGCCTCCCAAGTAGCTGGGATTAATTACAGGCGCAGGTCCCCACGCCTGGCTAATTTTTGTATTTTTTTAATAGAGATGGGGTTTCACCATGTTGGTCAGGCTGGTCTCGAACTCCTGACCTCAGGTGATCTGCCCTCCTTGGCCTCCCAAAGTGCTGGGATTACAGGAGTGAGTCACTGTGCCCAGCTAGTGTTTTGTAGTCTTAATTAATGTGTTAATGAATTAACTTTTACTGCTTTAAGCACAAGTGACCTGAGTTAAATCTCATTCCCTTAAGATTTTCCTATGGTTTCTCTTTAAATTCTTTATATTTACATTAAACATTATTATCCTTGCTTTCAAATATTCAATTTTACTGTTTCCTGAGCATTTTGTTATTTAATAATCCTGTAATATGCTAACCCTAGTTAATTTTGACATATTAAAATAGTCTATGTGGACGGGTGTGGTGGCTCACACCTGTAATCCCGGCAATTTGTGGGGCTGAGGTGGGTGGATCATTTGAGGTCAAGAGTTTGAGACCAGCCTGGCCAACATGGTGAAACCCCATCTCTACTAAATATACAAAAATTAGATGGGCGTGGTGGCGTGCACCTGTGGTCCTGGCTACTAGAGAGGCTGAAGCATGAGAATCGCTTGAACGTGGTAGGTGGAGGCTGCGATGAGCCAAGATCTTGCCACTGTACTCCAGCCTGGGTGACAGAGCGAGACTCTGTCTCAAAAAAAAAAAAAAAAAAAAAGTCTGTGAGCTTTTAGTTATTTTGAAACACATTTTATTTATATATTTTACTTCTGATTAAGATTTTCCATAAATATTGAGAATGCAAATATCTTAGTGATAAAACAAATTTTTTAGCATCCCTTAAAAATTTTTGGCTTGCATTGAAGATATTAAAAGACCCCATTAGAAAACTAAATATTATTACAATAGCTATGCCATTAATGAAATCATGCCCCTCAGTTTATAATTGTGAGTTATTAAAAAAGAGTGCCTATAAAGCAAACTATTCCATATTGTACTTAGCACAATAATTCTGAAGAAAATCTAGGTGCAATTTGGTTTTCCAATGTGAAAAATATTTTTGTTACAGGAATTATTACCAACTTGTGGGAATTTTATGGATGTTTTCATTTGACAAAGTCTACTAAAATTATGTGCTGTATTTTAGAAGCCAAGTAAAATGACCATGATGAAATCTTGTGTGAAGACCCCATGTATCACATTATAACCAAATTTTTCACTAGGGACACATAGAAACAGCTACAGTTGATTTATTTTATAGTAGTGCTACTAACAAAATAGTGAAATAATTTTACTAAAAGTAATACTGTTGGTAAGTAAGATCAGGAGCAATTTTTATTTATAAAGTCTGATATTGGGTGATTAATTTGTAATATATATGTTATTTCTTCAGCACCAGGATTAAAGGATTCTCCTTTTAAATTATGAGAACATAGTTAAAACAATCTAAATATTCTGTTTATTTATACAGCTACTGGATATTTTGCTTTTCAGAAAATGATGAAGGAATGTATGGTGAGACTTATATATTGTGAAATGCTTGGATATGATGCTTCCTTTGGCTATATTCATGCAATCAAGTTAGCCCAACAAGGAAACCTCTTAGAAAAAAGAGTAGGTATGTATGTGTTTTAAGACTTTGATGCTTTCATGTTGTCCTTGAAGTTGCATCTATTATACAAAATGAATGATGGCATGTATATAGTATGTTTTTAGAATACTGTATTATAATTTCTAAAACTTTAAAAGATCACACTTCAGAAAGTCAAAGCCATTTATAGGAAATCAGTTTTCCTGATGCATAGCATTTTGGAGTTAAAGAGAAGACTAAAGATTTCTTGCTCTTGTGATGGCGGTTAGATGACTATATATGTCAGAACTCATTGAACCATACACTTAAATATTTTTTGTATATAAATTATATGTCTATAAAGCTGACTTTTTTGTATATAAATTATATGTCTATAAAGAGCTCTTTTTTTTGTTGTTGTTGAGACAGAGTCTCTCTGTGTTGCCCAGGCTAGAGTGCAGTGGCGGGATCTCTGCTCACTGCAACCTCTGCCTCCAGGTTCAAGTGATCCTCCTATCTCAGCCCCCTGAGTAGCTGGGACTAAGCTGTGTGCCACCATGCCTGGCTAATTTTTGTGTTTTGTTTTTGTAGAGATGGGGTTTCACTATGTTGCATAGGCTGGTCTTGAACTCCTGGGCTCAAGTGATCCACACGCCTTGGCCTCCCAAAGCGCTGGGATTACAGGTGTGAACCACTGCGCCTGGTCAATAGAGCTGATATTAAGAAGTCTGTTTAACCTTATTAGTTTAATGGTCAGAAATGCTTCTTTATAGAATAAAACTGAAATTTATTAAAGTAATTTTAAATATCTTGTTCTTAGCTTCTCAAATGTTAGCTATGAGGATTAGCAGTGTCTTAAAAAAATTTTCTCTCTATAGTCAACCTTTAGGGCTGTTAGGAAAAATTCTTTTAAGCAATTAAATATTCTATTCATAAATGTTCAACTTTATATCAGAATCTCAAGAAGGAAGTATTTTAGAATAGTAAAGGTTAGAACACGTTCTTTATTCAGAGAAGTTGATAATGTCATGTCGTTAAGGACTAGCATTATTCATAAGTTATATTGCTCTGTGCTATCAGATGACGGGGTGAAGGTGACAGATGTCTTGGTAAACATTCTGAGACTGAGTGCACACAATATTCCACTTGTGGAACCCTACTCCGCCCAAAACACACTTAGATCTTTTAAACTTGTTATATTCTTTCCTCCAAGTAGAATGTCCTTTAACATTCTCTTTCTCTCTTTCCATATTCCAAATCAAATTTTATTTCTCCTGTGATCACTCAGGTGGCTCCTACCATCTGTTACCTTTTGTTATCTTTTCATATATTAATGTCTTAGCTCCTGAACTAATTTTAAGATCCCTAAAGGCAGGAATTTTTTTTTCGAGGCTTCAAATTAGTTTTTATTAGTAATTTGCTTTTCTTAAAACTTTGATTTTTCTTAAATATTATACAAATATGGAATGTAAGCTCTTCCAGTCATATTCACGATTTTCAGTTGTCATCCCAAACCTTGAAAATTCACCTGTCAGAATTTTCATATGTTAAAGTCTTTCTAATGGTGTTGCTCTTTTTAGCTTCTGAAAGACTGTATTTGTAGTTTTTTTCTCTTCTTTGGTTTGGTTTTGATCAAAGAAGGAAAACATCAAAAAGGAAATTTCAACCATTGTTGAGCATTTTGAGAAAAGTGAAAACCAACTTCATCCTTTTCGTTTCTAAGGAAAAATGTGTTAGATGTGAATACATTTGGAAATGTTTACAATTCAATCATAACAAGAGTCAGTGATGGCAGATTTTAGGCAAAAGTCTGGTATTTCTTTGCCTCCCTCCCATCTTATCTTTTCATCGCATTTCTTTTACTGTTCTGCTTCTCAATTTCTTTGCTTTCTAATCTTTCCCTTCAACTTTGGGCCATTTTCTCTTATTCCCTTTACATATTAGCTTACAGCAATTGAGATAACATTGATACCCTTCTTAGAGGTATCTATTTTGTTAAAGACTCTGGAAGACAGATCCAAATAAATTAGCCTTCAATAGTGAAATTTTGTCTTGAGTAGGAAAAATATTTATGAACAGAAAGTCTTCTTAGGGATTGTCTGTTTATAAAATTTATTCAGTATTCATGGAATTGATAAGATGAGTGCCCACTGTATGCCAGATACTGCAGTTAAACTTACAGATGAATAACTTACATTGCTTATTCATACTTACAGATGAATAACTTACATTTTGAGGATCCCTGCAATGACGGGAAAGGACCGAAACAAACAGAAATTAATAGTTACAGTACAGGCCGGGTACAGTGGCTCATGCGTGTAATCCCAGCACTTTGGGAGGCTGAGGCAGGCAGATTGCTTGAGCTCAGAAGTTGGAGACCAGCCAGGGCAACATAGTGAAATCCCATCTCTACAAAAAATACAAAAATTAGCCAGGCATGGTGGTGTGCACCTGTAGTCCCAGCTACTTGGGAGGTTGAGGTGGGAGGATGGCTTGTGCCCAGGAGGCAGAGGTTGCAGTGAGCTGAGATTGTGCCACTGCACTCCAGCCTGGGCAGCAGAGCCAGAGCATGTCTCAAAAGAAAAAAAAAAAGTTATAGTATAATGTTGTAATTGCCTTCATGAAGGCATGAACCATGTGTTGTGCTGATATAATCAGGCATACAAATGACCATGGGAACCTTTGTTTCCCTGGTCTCAGACTTTGAAGAGGAGAATATGCTGATTAGATTTTGTCTGAGAGTTCTGAAATGAAACTACCTGGGAACCTGTTTAAATATTGCATGGGTAGAATTTAGTACTTTGCTTTGGTCCTGCCATTTTTGTTTTGGCTTCCTTTGGCATGAAATGGGCCTTAGTCCTGCTCTTTCTTGTTACTTGGCTGGCTTCCATGTTAGCATAGGCAGGAAATTTTGAAAACAGTAGATAGTTATTAAATATTAGATAGTTGATGGTAGAATTATTTTGTCCAACTGTTGCTACATTTTGCTTCTTAGACTTACATATAATTTAAATAATTTTCAATTTTATTTTATTTTTAAAATATGTAAAGCATTATGGCTCACTTTCATCTCTAGCCCCACTACCCAGTCTTCCCTTTACCCTCATAGGGAACTATTTTCATTAGTTTCTGATTAATCTTTCCATTGTTTTATTTTGAAAAAGCAAGCAAAAGTTTGTGCACACATTCACTCTCTTTTATATAAAAGGCAGCATGTTATCTATACTATCTCTTACTTGAAAGATAGCATACTATATAGATTATTCTATACCTTGTTTTGACATCTTTATACTTTTATACAGTTGCATAATTTTTATTGGGTGGATGTACCATAGTTTTTTCAACCACATCCCTTTTGGTGGACATATGGCTTATTTTTGATTTTTTTTTTTGTTGTTGTTCTCATAAATTATGTTGTAATTTGGCTGGGCATGGTGGCTCATGCCTGTAATCCCAGCACTTTGAGAGGCCGAGGTGGGCGGATCACCTGAGGTCAAGAGTTCGAGACCAGCCTGGCAAACATGGTGAAACCCTGTCTCTACTAAAAATACAAAAAATTAGCCAGGCATGGTGGTGGGTGCCTGTAGTCCCAGCTACTAGGGAGGCTGAGGCATGAGAATCGCTTGAACCTGGGAGGTGGAGGTTGCAGTGAGCCAAGATCACGCCACTGCACTCCAGCCTGGGTAACAGAGTGAGACCCTGTCTCAAAAAAATAAATAAATAATGTGGCCAGGCACGGTGGCTCACACCTGTAATCCCAGCACTTTGGGAGGCTGAGGTGGGCAGATCACTTGAGGTCAGGAGTATGAGACCAGCCTGACCAACATGGAGAAACCCTGTCTCTACTAAAAATACAGAATTAGCTGGGCATGGTGGTGCAGGCCTGTAATCCCAGCTGCTTGGAAGGCTGAGGCAGGAGAATCACTTGAACCTGGGAGGCGGAGGTTGCGGTGAGCTGAGATCGCACCATTGCACTCCAGCCTGGGCTACAAGAGTGAAATTCCATCTCAAAAAATAAATAAATAAATAAATAAATAAATAAATAAATAAATAAGTAAATAAATTATGCTGTAATTAATAACCTTTTATATGTATCATTTTATAGTTATGGATGCTTATATTAAAGGGGATCTCAGAGTTATTTTTATTGAGACTCATGATCTTTAGGAAAATATTTTCTTGCCAATTAGAGGGACGTGTATCTGCAGGCATCAGATGTTTTTAATGTATATTATTGAGTGGTAATCATTTTTTAAAGATATAATTTATGGGGCTGGGCACGGTGGCTAATGTCTGTAATGCCAACACTGTGAGAGGCTTAGGTGGGCAGATCACTTGAAGTCAGGAGTTCGAGACCAGCCTGGCCAGCATGGTGAAACCCCATCTCTACTAAGAATACAAAGATTAGCCTTGTGTGGTGGTACATGCCTGTATTCCCAGCTACTTGGGAGGCTGGGGTCAGAGGATTGCTTGAACCTGGGAGGCGGAGATTGTGGTAAGCTGAGATTGTGCCACTGCACTCCAGCCTAGGCAACACAGCGATAATATGTCTAAAAAAAAAAAAAAAAAAAAGATAAAATTTATGCCTTTTTTTTTTTTTTTTTTTTTGAGACGGAGTCTCGCTCTTTCGCCCAGGCCAGAGTGCAGTGGCGCTATCTCGGCTCACTGCAAGCTCTGCCTCCCAGGTTCACGCCATTCTCCTGCCTCAGCCTCCCAAGTAGCTGGGACTACAGACGCCTGCCACCGTGCCTAGCTAATTTTTTGTATTTTTAGTAGAGACGGGGTTTCACTGTGTTAGCCAGGATGGTCTCGATCTCCTGACCTCGTGATCCGCCCGCCTCAGCCTCCCAAAGTGCTGGGATTACAGGCGTAAGCCACCGTGCCCGGCCTTCTTTTTTTTTTTTTGAGACAGAGTCTCTGTCACCTAGGCTGGAGTATGGTGGCGCCACCTCGGTTCACTGCAGCCTCCGCCTCCTGGGTTCAAGTGATTCTCCTGCCTAAGCCTCTCGAGTAGCTGAGACTACAGGTGCGTGCCACCGTGCCTGGCTAATTTTTTGGTAGGGACGGGGTTTCACCGTGTTAGCCAGGATGGTCTGGAAATCCTGACCTCATGATCCACCCGCCTTGGCCTCCCAAAGTGCTGGGATTGCAGGCATGAGCCACTGCGCCCGGCCATTTTATGCCTTCTACATGTCTTCACTCTGGTACTGTTGTCTCATCCACTCCTGAATTTTAAAGCCTGCTTTGGTGCTTTCTCTGATGCAGAATGTCTTTTTATTTGTATCTTCTTCTGAGATGGAGTTTCGCTGTTGCATCCCAAGCTAGAGTGCAATGGCACGATCTCGGCTTACTGCAATCTCTACCTCCCAGGTTCAAGCGATTTTCCTGCCTCAGCCTCCCGAGTAACTGGGATTACAGGTGCCCGCCTGCCATCACACCCGGCTAATTTTTTTATTTTTGGTAGAAACAGGGTTTTGCCATGTTGGCCAGGCTGGTCTCGAACTCCTGATCTCAGTTGATCCACCCACCTTGGCCTCCCAAAGTGCTGGGATTACGGGCATGAACTACCGTGCCCAGCCAGAATGCCTTATTATTTTTTTTATGAGTATCATTGAATAAATACTTTTTTTAAGTTATTATTTTCTTTTTAGAGATAGGGTCTTGCTACGTTAGCCAGGCTGGTCTCAAACTTCTGGCCTCAAGCAGTCCTCCCACCTTGGCCCCCCAACGTGCTGGAATTATAGGCATGAATAAATAAACTTCAGTGCTCATAAAGTTAGGTGTTAAGTGCTTTATCTTCTGAGATAGTATTTATCTTCATTTTACCTTTTCTTTTTTTTTTTGAGACAGAGTCTTGTTCTGTCACCCAGGCTGGAGTGCAGTGGCGTGATCTTGGTTCACTGAAACCTTTGCCTCCTGGGTTCAAACGATTCTTATGCCTCAGCCTCCCAAGTAGCTGGGATTACAGGAGAGTGTCACCACGTCTGTCTAATTTTTGTGTTCTTAATAGAGGTGAGGTTTCTCACCGTGTTGGCCAGGCTGGTTTCAAACTCCTGACTTCGAGTGATCCGCCTGCCTCAGCCTCCCAAAGTGCCTGGCCATTTATCTTCATTTTAAAGATGAGAAGACTGAGACTCAGAAAAGTCAAGTAACTTATAGAGCATAGGAACATAAGTCATAGAGCAGATAAATGGAGCCAGAGCCCAAATTTCTGTACTCAAAGCTTGTATACCTCATTCTTAGTTATACCAAATATATTTTGTAATCGTAGTTATTATTCTTTGTTTCTCTGAAAATTTTTACATTTTTTGAGTCACAGTGTTTTTCCCCCTTTTTTTCTGATTGTTGAAACAGTTGGGATATTATTCATAACAGAAAGAACTAAGGTTTCATTGAGATGGTCTTTGGATTAGTTTGTTGACCTTGATATTGGTGACTTGGGAATGGGTGATACCTTAGCTGAGCAGGTGATTTATCAGCAATCTGATAAGACAATCTCTGCTTTAAATGCTTTCTGGGGGCCTGGGTGTGGTGGCTCACTCCTGTAATCCCAGCACTTTGGGAAGCTAAGGTGGGAGGGATCGCTTGAGTCTGGGCGTTTGAGACCAGCCTGGGTAACATAGTGAGACCCTATCTCTACAAAAAAAAAAAAAAAAAAAAATTAGCTCGGTGTGATGGTGCATGCCTTGGTCCCAGCTACTTGGGAGGCTGAGGTGAAGGATTGCTTGAGCTTGGAAGGTAGAGGCTGCAGTGAGTTTTGATCGTGCCACTGCCTTCCAACCTGAGTGATGGAGTGAGACTCTGTCTCAGGAAACGAAACAAAACAAATGCTTTCTGGGATTTTCCTCATCTCTTTCTTGGCCCGGGTCAGATTTGTTTCAACTCTTAAGATTGTGAGAGTAATAGCTCTGCTCCTCCGACCTCTAGTGAAGGTGTTGGAATTGGTCATGCTACTACCTCTTGATTGTAAGAATTGGAAGTTTCCGTTTTCTCCTGTTCCATGGTAGACACAGACAGCATGGATGCTGGGTAATGATGGTTATAGTTAACATTAGAATCCCTGATGAAAAGGCTGAAAGAATTGAGAAGAACGAAAAACAATGAGCATGGAGTCAGGGAATCAGGTCAAGATAGACTATGTGGAGAGGCAGTAAAATATGGGGGTTTAAAATATGGACTGACTTCAACTGTCTGGGTTTGAGTCCTGGCTCCACCATGTGATAGATTGGACCTTGAGAAATTGCCTTTTTTTGGGTCTCTTTTTTTTTTTTTGAGACCGAGTCTTGCTCTGTCGTCTGGTCTGGAGTGCAGTGGCGTGATCTTGGCTCACTGCAAGCTCTGCCTCCTGGGTTCATGCCATTCTCCTGCCTCAGCCTCCCGAGTAGCTGGGACTACAGGTGCCCGCCACCACGCCTGGCTAATTTTTTGTATTTTTAGTAGAGACGGGGTTTCACCGTGTTAGCCAGGATGGTCTCGATCTCCTAACCTCGTGATTCACCCACCTCGGCCTCCCAAAGTGCTGGGATAACAGGCGTGAGCCACCACGCCCAGTCTTGGGTCTCATTATATAGGGATAAAAAGGCCTATCTCATTGTGTGGTTATGAGGATTAAATGAAGTAATGCTTATAAAGTACTTGACCCATAGTGACTGTCTAATTAAAGTGTTAGTTATTATCAATGTGAAGCCTGACTGAGAAAATTCCTTGGAGTATCTAGATTATATGTACATGGCATTTGTTATAGTGTTAATATATTTCCTCAATGTTAAAATGTACTTTAAAAATGTTTTAATATTATTGCAATAAAAATGCTTATTTAAGCCAATGAGTATATTTAATGTGGCAGACAGTGTTTCTTTCCTAAATAATTGTTATTCCCTCAATTGAGAAAATAAGGTATTGTGTGTGGCTTAATATATTTAATATATGATTTACATCATGTGCGTTGACATTAGGTGGCTAGCTCACTCAGTACAAAGAGCTAGTAACTCACTATTAACTGTAGTGATTAGGGTTTTTTTTATTATAGTGATTAGTTTTTGAATTATATATTTGGCTATAAAATAGCAATTATAAAATAGAGAATGCTTTGATTGATAATGTAAAGATTTGCACAAAAAATAGAAGGCATGTCTTCTTAGTGCCATTTACAAGATTTTAAGTTGATACACATAGTGTCTATTCCGTTTCTGGAATATCCTATGAAATACATAATTCTGGAAGATTTCAGGGTGAAGAATAGCTGAAATCTTCCTTACTGAAGGTTTTTAACCTTATATTTTGCAATTTGTGTTTCTGTTTACTTGTAACTGGTATCTTTGATACTTACAGGACTGCTTTGTTTAACTTCGTGTGAAAAGTCTGTTTTTGGTAGTTAGTAATCAGACTTTTCCCTCAACTTTTATAGGTTATTTGGCTGTTTCCTTATTTCTACATGAAAGTCATGAATTATTGCTTCTCCTTGTGAATACAGTTGTAAAGGTATTGTATTGTATGTTGGTTAATATGAAGTCATAATTCTTGTCAGCACCTGATATTTCTCCTCGATCATATTCAACTAGATGAGATTAGAAGAAAGTGGGCTTGCAGAATGGGCTTAGAAGAATCTTTTAGATCAGTTTCTGCATCTATAAAATGGAGTTAAATAATAGAACTTACAGAGTTGTGAAGATTAAATGAAATACTATGTGAAGTAGTAGCTGCTGCTCTTCTTGTTATAATTTCATTTTAAAACACAGAGTTAGAACTAAAGTTCAAGTCTCTAAGTTGTTAGTTTAGGTATACTTTCCATGCTGTTATCTTTTTTTCTAGGATCTGTTCTAAAGGGATATAGATATAAACTGGGTAAATGAAGTCTTTAAAATTTAAAAAGTCATTTAAAAAAAGAATAGAATATAATCAAGTAACTGAAATGTAGAGATAATAAAAACAATCCTCACTCACAATATTTTCTGTTAAACTCCCAAATCAAAATGATAATGAGATGTAATTGAGTTGTTGAGCTTTTTATCTTGTGTCAGTTTTTTGATAGAGAGAGAGAACAGTATTTTCTGACCTTTAAGTCATATACTATATTAAGGTTACTAGTAGCTTAAATTTCTTCCAAACTTAAAAAATATATTTTTAGGTTCTATTAGAATAGTTTTATAGACCATATGGATAGATAAGTACATATGAATGTGTGCATTTTATTGTGAATATTCCAGAATCACTTCCTTTTAAACTTACATTCATATTATTGTTGATTAATAAGAAAAACTCATAAAATTGTTTTATTATTGGTTTAGAAAAGTTTTAAAGGCTGTAATAAAGGAGACTACTTTGGCTAGATTCAGAACAGCGATAAAATTTCCTCTTCTATCAGTTGCTTTTTGGCTTTATTTGTCTACTGACTCTATTAAGGCAAATGAAACAAATAGGAGCATTGCAATAAAATATGCCATAAGTTTGGATGTACAAATTAATTATAAATAGCACAAAATTACTAAGTATATAGGACCATTACAGTGTTGAATTTGCCATTCCTAGTTTCAGTATTTACACTAAATGTTTTCTTTGCTTAATGTTGTGCCAGGATCTGCAGAGCACTAACCTAGTAGAAGTGTGTATGGCACTGACTGTTGTTAGCCAGATTTTCCCCTGCGAAATGATTCCAGCTGTTCTTCCATTAATAGAAGATAAACTTCAACATTCTAAGTAAGTAAATTCTTTTGGGATAGGCATCTATGCCATATATTTCAAAACAGAAGTTTATGCTAGAAAATTTATTACAACTTCAGTGCTACCAGGATAGAGATTATTTGACTGCTAGGAATAATACAAAAATCTTCAATAGGATCATCTTTATTTTTATGTGGGTTTAGGGAAATGTTAGACAGCTTTCTAAAGTTAGACTAAGAGACAGTGAGGCCTAGTATCCAGGAATCCTTGGCTTGCCTCCCATTTCTACCACTAATGAGCAGTGGTCTTGTTTTTCCTTGGCTATATGGGGTTGGTTGAAGCTCCTTAGTTCTACCAAAGTTGTTTTGGGGATAAAGTGAAATAATGAAAAACATATGGAAATTGTGCAAGTGTTGTGAATGCAAAGCTTCAGTGTAGTGGGAAGATGCTTTTTTTTTTTTTTTGAGACAGAGTCTCACTCCGTTGTCCAGGCTGGAGTGCAATGGCATGAACTTGGCTCACTGCAACCTCTGCCTCCCGGGTTCAAGCAATTCTCCTGCCTCAGCCTCCCATGTAGCTAGGATTACAGGTGCCTGCCACCATGCCCGACTAATTTTTTTTTTTTTTTTTAATAGAAACTGGGTTTGGCCAGGCTGGTCTCGAACTCCTGACCTCAGGTGATCCACCTGCCTCGGCCTCCCAAAGTGCTGGGATTACAGGTGTGAACCACCATGCCCGGCCCGGGAAGATGCTTTTTATATCAAAACCACAGCATTTTAATCCTATTTTACAGCAGAATGTTTCCAAGCTTAATTTACTTTGTAGTATTTTGCTAATCTTCTCTTGTAAATTTCCTTAACTGTCTCCTTATCAGACTGACTTACTTTTCACTGTATTTGAATTATTAATATTTTGTTTTTGACCAAGCCCCTTTATGTCATAATTTTAATTAATTAATTAATTAATTTTTTTGAGACAGAGTCTCACTCTGTTGCCTAGGCTGGAGTGCGGTGGAGTGATCTCGGCTCACTGCACGCTCCACCTCCCAGGTTTAAGCAGTTCTCTGCCTCAGCCTCCTGAGTAGCTGGAATTACAGGAACACGCCACCATGCCCAGCTAATTTTTTGTATTTTTAGTGGAGGCAGGGTTTCACCATCTTGGCCCGGCTGATCTTGAACTCCTGACCTTGTGATTCACCTGCCTCGGCCTCCCAAAGTGCTGAGATTACACATGTGAGCCACTGCGCCTGGCCCATAATTTTTAAAGTTGGAAAAGGTTTGCAATCATTGTGATTATGGTATGTCAGTTATATATTCTTGATGAAGATTTTTTTGTTACTCATACAACATTTATTTTACATACTTTAAATCAGTATTTTTAATGTTCTGAGATTGCAAAATGTTGTTTTATAGCTTGTATTCTTTTTTTTTTTTGAGATGGAGTCTTGCTCGGTCGCCCAGGCTGGAGTGCAGTGGTGTGATCTTGGCTCACTGCAACCTCTGCCTCCCGGGTTCAAGCTATTCTTCTGCCTCAGCCTCCTGAGTAGTTGGAACTACAGGCGCCCGCCACTATGCCTGGCTAATGTTTTAGTAGAGACAGTGTTTCACCATATAGGCCAAGCTGGTCTCGAACTCCTGACCTCGTGATCCACCTGTCTTGGCCTCCCAAAGTGCTGGGCTTACAGGCGTGAGCCACCATGCCCGGCCAACTTGTATACTTTAAGAAATATTGAATCATGAATCTTCCAGCTAAAATGATAGCTTTTACTAAGAATTACAGAATAACTTCATAGGTCTTTCAGACTTTTTATGTATTGTATATCATATCTGTGTTTAGAACGAAGGATGATTATGGACAATTAATTATTGGAAATATTTGCTTTTTTGAGATTTATAAGGTGATCTGATTATAAAAGCAGCATATTTTTGCTTAACTTTTCCTTACCACTACTTTTGTGGTGACCTTACTTACTGACCATTTGTATGAAATCCTTCTGAGAATTGAAAGGTCCCGTTTCAATTTTTTTCTTTATTGCTTTGTGTTTAGTCTAATTTCAAGTCCTGGCTAGAGTTTAGACTTTTTGAAACTCAGCTTTTGCAGTTATGGCCATACTCAGCCCCATGCTCTGGAGTAAAGAGCTGACGAATATGAGGCAGAGCTATAGGTAAGCCAGTAGATGTCACAAAGAATATTTGAAATAAGGCTTGAATTCAACTTTTGAATCCCTGGTTGTATTTCAGCATACCAACCCCAGAGCCTGAATCTAGGTCTCTCGTCTTATGTTAGTACCACCACTTGAGGCCAGGCCTGTGAACTCCTGGGCCTATTCAGAGTTTTTTTTTTTTTTTTCCTCACTTCATTTACCTATTCTCCCCCAGAATTAATATCAGTTAACACGCAATGGCAATACACTGTGACGTGGCTTGCATTCACCACAGTATTAATACTAACAGTAAATCTGTTATTAATCTGCCTTTCTTTTCTTTTCTTTTTTTTTTTGTGAAGAGTTTTCCGTTATGGCATAGCTTGCCTAGGAAGATAAGAGTTGTTTATTAATGGAATTTGTATGACCACTTATTAAGAATCTTATAAAAGGAGTTCTTGAGTGGAACACAAAGGATTGCACTGAATAGTCTCAGTCTTGAGATTCTACGACAGAAATATCTGTTAAGGAACCCTAAAAGTAAATACTTCACTTTTGTGATGTTTGCTGCTGTTCTGAGCACTGCCAGCATAGTCTGCAAATAACAGATATGTAGAAATAGACAAGAGAGAGAATTTCTAACAAGGAAGAAGCTTCCTTGGAAACTACATCATGAACATAGGATGGCATTTCTTTATTTTTGCTTCTGTGTGCTAGATGTTATCTGCTACAGATGAAGTGCAAAACTAGTATATACTTTTCTCTTTATTATCATGAGGTTTTGAAACAGATGAACTGGGCAAAGAGAGGAATAACATCTTTTTATTCCATGTGTGTCCTTGTATTCCTCCCCTCTGTCCCCCAGAATATTTGGAGTCTGCTATCCAGTGATATATATATATAAAAAAGAAACATAGAAAGCTACTATTTTAGGGTGAGAATGTTAACGAGTTTTTTTTCTTTTCTTTCCTTTTTAATTTGAGACTGAGTCTTACTCTGTCACCAGGTTGGAGTGCAGTGGCACAACCTTGGCTCACTGCAACTTCTGCCTCCCAGGTTCAAGCGATTCTTGTGCCTCAGCCACCCAAGTAACTGGAACTACAGGTGTGCACCACCACACCTGGCTAATTTTTGTATTTTTAGTAGAGACAGGGTTTCGCCATGTTGGCCAGGCTGGTTTTGAACTCCTGGCCTCAAGTGATCCACCCACCTCAGCCTCCCAAAGTGCTGGGATTACAGGCCAAAGATTTTTAATATTAATAAAAAGATTTTAATATTACTAGCTGAAATTACCTATTACTTAAACTTACTGTTGACTTTTTTTTTCAATTTTTAGAGATACGTCTTTTAAAAATGGAATTAGAGAATTAAGAAATTTGTTTTTCATGTTTTTTTTTTTTTAATCTCAAAAGTAATATATGCTTGTTACAAAAAAAAATTCCCTAACTAGATAAATATATAACACGGGCAGTTAAAGTTTTGAGACCTTACTTCCTAGAGGTAACCACTTTTTATAATTTGGTATATTAGAATAAATAAATTAATCACAAATGTATAGTTATCTCTTTCTTTGTAAATTAAGGTAATGAGCCAGTATTTTGAAATCATCTGGCCTATAATCTTTCAAAGTAAATACTTGAGAATTCAGATTGTCTTGTTTAAATTTCATTTTTTGTCTTCAGGGAGATTGTACGAAGAAAAGCTGTTCTGGCATTATACAAATTCCATCTCATTGCTCCTAATCAAGTACAACATATTCATATTAAGTTTCGGAAAGCACTTTGTGACAGAGATGTTGGGGTCATGGCTGCCTCCTTGCATATATATCTTAGAATGATTAAGGTAAGTTGGAAATTTTAGCAAGTACTGAGTAGTTACCATTAGAAAAATACAATTATGGAATTAAAAAGAAACAGATATTTTGGTAAAATGCTTAGTTAACATTTTATAATTTTATTATTGACCTTTGAATTAGTAGTTTTGCAAGTTGTTGAGAGCATGAGTTGTAGGCACATTACAGAATTAGTTTTTTTTTTTTTAATGCCTAAAATTTTTTGATGTTACTAAACAGGTGTGGAAAAATGGTATCAGTGGAAGGTGTCTTAAGTTTGCAGATTTGTGTTTTTTCAAGCAGTAATTCTCTTTTATATAACTTCATGGGATGCATAACATTTTATAGAAATGAGGAAAACCAGCGGGGGTTGTGCAAGCTATAGATTGTAGTATTGACTCCATGTATTAATTCTGTATCATATGAGGAAAGAGGGTTGAATGTTATGGTAAAACACTTTTCTAAATGGCGATGGTGGATTTATACTAATTCATCCTTAGTGTATTGCCTGAAACCATTTGTGTTCAAATATACATATTTGTAACAGATTTCATGGCACCTACTATAACAAAATAAAATATGCTATTGAACTCATTTAAAGTTATATTGTTTTTTATGTATCGTGTTCTAAAATAGTACAGTTTAAATAAATGTTCAATATTAAATTTTATTTTTTCCTTAACATTTACTAAAATTTGAAAGAGCTTTATTTCCCTTCCAAAAAATTTTCCCTTGATACATAATAAAAATTAGAATAAAGAATCTAATGTTCCTTTTAAGGAGTGTGGATATAATTTCCCCAGTCCAAGAGATTACTCAGATACATAATCAAGGCACACTCCTTCAGAAACAAATATTTTTAGATACTGTGTGGCTAATTAATTTTTAATTGGCAGGCACACTGATTTTGGGGACTTTTTTTTTTTTGAGATTGAGTTTCGCTTTTGTTGCCCAGGCTGGAGTGCAATGGCATGATCTCAGCTCACCACAACCTCCCCGTCCCAGGTTCAAGCGATTCTCCTGCCTCAGCCTCTCGAGTAGCTGGGATTACAGGCATGTGCCACCACACCCGGCTTATTTGGTATTTTTAGTAGAACCAGGGTTTCACCATGTTGGTCAGGCTGGTCTCGAACTCCCAACCTCAGGTGATCCGCCCGCCTCATCCTCCCAAAGTGTTGGGATTACTGGCGTGAGCCACTGTGCCCGGCCCCAGAATGAATTTAACTCATTTACATGGGAAGTCTTTTGGAAACAGAGTTCAGAGATTGCAAATAGGCCTTGATTTTCATCCAAAGCCGAGGTATTACTGTCCTTTTGCAGTATGCCAGTTCTTTTCACTTTTTGTTTTAATTACTGGTATTGGCTATTAAGGATTCTACCTAAGATATAAGAATTTTGAAATGTGATTAAACTGTATACGGGGAAAAGTAGGGAGTGATGGAAGCTTTTCTGGGATGATTCAGCTTTGGGTTGGTTAGCCAGAGGAATTTTATCATGGAAGATATTATACATATTAGAGCACTGTTTCATTAAATGTGAACATAAACTTAAGTATGTATTAAGTCAGGTTCTATATGACATTTCAATTAGGTCTATTTCTATTTAATAAGACGTTATTAACAAAGTTTTTTTTGCGGGGGGATGTAGGAGAATTCATCTGGATATAAAGACTTGACTGGGAGTTTTGTAACCATTTTGAAGCAAGTAGTTGGAGGAAAGCTCCCAGTAGAATTCAATTACCACAGTGTGCCAGCACCATGGTTACAAATTCAGCTCTTGAGAATACTGGGACTTCTAGGAAAAGATGATCAAAGGTAAACTATTTTCAGTAAGTTTGCTTAATGACCCCCATACCAGATGATAAGCTTAGACTTTAGTAACCTAGAGGTTTAATGATAAACCAGATTCTTCCAATGTTTAATTGGCTTAATAGTGATAAAAGAAGCCATTGTAAGAATCACATAAATGCTTTCAGGTTGCTGGGATAATCCTGGCTCTCTCCTTATCTTAATTTTACCCATCATGAAAGGTACCCATGAAACACCATCTCCTCTGTGATGCTTTCGTAATTGTTCTAGTTCAGGGGTTGGGAAACTTTCTGCAAAGGGCCAGATAATAAATATTTTAGGTGGCCGGGCATGGTGGCTCACGCCTGTAATCCCAGCACTTGGGAGGCTGAGGTGGCGGATCACAAGGTCAGGAGTTTGAGACCAGCCTGACCAACATTGTGAAACCCCGTCTCTACTAAAAATACAAAAATTAGTTGGGCACAGTGGCGCGCGCCTGTAATCCTAGCTACTCGGGAGGCTGAGGTAGGAGAATCACTTGAACCCAGGAGGTGTAGGTTGCAGTGAGCCGAGATTGTGCCACTGCACTCCAGCCTGGGTGACAAAGCGAGACTCTGTCTCAAAAAATAATAATAATAAATAAATAAATAAATATTTTAGGCTTTGTGGGCCATATGTTGTTTTTTGCATCTATTCGACTCTGCTATTACAGCATGAAAGCAGCCACAGATAGAACATAAATAAACATTATGGACATTAAAACTTGAATCTCAAATCGGCACATCATGAAGTATTATTCTTTTAATTTTTTTTCCAACTATTTCAAACTGTAAAATCTCTTCTTAGCTTGAAGCCATACAAAACCAGGCATTTGGCCAGATTAGGCCTGCGGGCTATAGTTTGCCAACCCTTGCTCTGGTTGGGTGTGAGTGCTTCACCTTTTTAATTCATTTATCTGAATTATTCTTTTAGCCAATAACTTAAACTTCTCATGTGTATCTTTCCAACTATATATATATATACTTTCAATTTTGCCATTTTTTTTTTGTTTTTGAGACTAAGTCTTGCTGTGTTGCCCAGGCTGGAGTGTAGTGGCGCGATCTCAGCTCACTGCAACCTCCACCTCCCGGATTCAAGAGATTTTCCCACCTCAGTTTCCCAAGTAGCTGGGATTACAGGCGCACACCACCATGCCCGGCTAATTTTTGTATTTTTAGTAGAAATGGATTTCACCATGTTGGCCAGGCTGGTCTCGAGCTCCTGACCTCAGATGATCTCCCTGCCTCAGCCTCCTAAAGTGCTGGGATGACAGGCGTGAGCCACCGCCCCGGCCTCAATTTTGCCCTACTTTTTCAAACTTAGACACTTTCAAAGTTCTAAGGACAGTACAAGGAGTTCCCTTACATCCTGCACCTAGATTCATCAATTTATTTTCATTTGTTCTATCATTCTCATTCTCTGTGTGTGCATGTGTGTATGCATTTGCATGTGCACCTACATATTATTTTTATTTTAAAAACTATTTCCGAGTTGCTTGAGAGCAAGCCCCTTGAGATTTTAGTTCCCTTGAGAGCAAGGACCTTGGCTAGAGTTCCTGATATGTTTCTGTCTTAAGAAAATGTTTGCTAATCAGTGTTCTGATTTTATGAATATTGTTCCCTTTTATATAGTAGGGTACCTTTGTATTCTAATGTTTTAGCCTAGCTTTACAAAGGGACCATTCTCCAGGCTTTTGCTTCTAGAAATCAACTTAAGGTCAGAATCCATTTGCCTGTGAGCTCCTGACTAGCACTAATTGGGCTACATCACTGTTGGTATTATAGTGTTACTTTTTTCTGTGTTTATGAATCTCAACTACTGATTGAAACCTGCAGTGAAAACGTAAGGTGATGGAGCATGTACACACATTAGAAATGATTGTCTTAATTATATTTTATTTTATATCATGCCAGCCTATCCTAACGTGGAGCTCTAGTTGGAGTTACTGGAATTTATGTTTTAAAATCATGAATTTTATATTAATGCATCAGATCTTATTGGTCTAAAAAAGACTTACTGCCATCCATTGTTATCAGGAAGTAACTTGGGAGGCATTTAGTGAATTTATTAAATTCATTAACTCACTATCTTCCTTTTTCTTGCCTTCATGGATAAATTTGGATAATACATATATACAAAGATGAGTAAGCTAGTCCTTACCTTCACAGCACTCAGGTGACCAGTAATTAGGCTCAGTTATTAATAGAGTGGAACTTTCTTATAATGTTATGGAACATTAGAATGTTTTCTCCTTTTTTGTCTCAACTCTAATGAGATTTTATTTTAACATAAATCTTACATTTTGTTGGACATTATTGCTCAATGTAGCAAAGTAAAAAGTTATAACCGGATTCTAAAGTATTTAATTGAAAAAACCAATTTACTGGAAAAGTCTGTTGTATTTATGGTCTTTTATATCTATTTGAATATTTTCTTGTGTTTTGTAGTTTTGTGCTTCTTAGATTTATTAAGATTTATCTTGATCTTGTTCACAAATGTTTCTTCATTTCATGTGGTTAAGACTCATGCCAGACACTGGCTTTTTAAATTGAGGAACTAGACTATAATCTAGGTATAATATTACCAATTTTTTTTGGGGGGCAGGGAAGGATTGGTAATGTCTGCTGTATGGTTATCTTCTGAGAAAGAAATGCTTACACAATAAAACGAAGGATTTTAGAATGTGGTTCTGGATTCTTAATTATTGGATATTTATACTTCAGTCAAGACAGAATGAAAGTACATGCACTTAACATTGAACTTTCTAGCTGTATATTTGGAAAAAAAGACATTTTCTGAAAGATGTAATTAATTTATATAGTCCCAAATTATTTTGATATTTTCATTTATTTTATGGCACAGTTTCTCTGCAAGACCACTGTATGTATCCTGTGTTGCTGGTATTTTTTTTTTCTTCTATTAGTGCTTTTTGAATTTGTAAAACATACAAAATACCAGCTAAGAAGCTATAGTTTTTCACATTGGCCTCTTGGAGAGGATATTTGTCTAACAAGCGTGGAGGCAGAGTGCTAGGGCACTAATGCACTTTTTTTTTCCCACAGTATCTTCCTCATCACAGTTATTCTTACTGTAATCAGTGACCATAATGACATATGAATGGTCCAAACCTATTAATTCCACAAAATATCTTTTTTTATATTTAATGTAAATGTAAGTAAAAATTTTCTTTCTGAAGAACCTAGTTACTACTCAAGGAAAGACTAGTATTTGAAAACTTTTTCATGGTATCTGGGTAAAATACAGTTAATATGCTATCTGAAATAATATGAATATATGAAGTATTACTATGGTAACTTAGAAATATTCTATTGAAAGAAAATTATAAAATATAGTATGTTCAACCAAATAAAAACTTGGTTTATAAACTAGGCACAGTGAGGAAAGAGTTGATTGACATATATATCTCATTGGTTAACTAGTCAACTTTGATAAAGTAGGAAGTTCAAGCTCATGAAAAACAGCAAACCTTTTAAGAAGTGAAATTTCCATAACTTCATCATAAAATGAATTTCTTTCACTTCTCTTCTGTAGATCCTCAGTTTTAAAGAGAAGTTTGAAAAACTGTTTTATTGGGTTAGAATACTATAATTCTACTGCAAATAAAATATCTTTTAAACAGGACAAGTGAATTAATGTATGATGTTCTTGATGAATCCTTACGAAGAGCTGAGTTAAATCACAATGTCACATATGGTAGGTAATATATGTAAATATTACTCTAATGACTAATAATGTTTTTTAGTATTGCAGTTAAATCTGTGTTAGAATGCTATAAATTCCAATAGAATTTTATACACTGATTTTAAGATAGTTCTTTGGATTATTATTTTTTCAATGTAAGCATTTAATTACTGATAGATAAGAGTAATTTGAACTCATGGCATGTTCTAAATGTTGACCTAAGTTTATTATTATAATTGTCTCTATTGAAAACACATATCAATTATCTATTTTTTTCAAGTATCTAATTGACTGTGAAGATAACTCCATAGATTTGTTCCATGCTTGGTAAACATTTACGGTATTCAAAGACAGTTCTTAAATAAATCAATCGACTAGTTGTCAGATATTTTATTAAATTTCTGTTATTTGTCAGTCCCTATGCAAGGTACTTAGAATACAGCAGTGAATAAAACATTATGGGGCTTATAAACTAGATTGATGGACAGGGATAGGTGTTGTTAATGTTACAAAAGAGAATTGCAGGGCATGGTGGGAGAATATAGCAGCTAGTCTTAGGTGAGGGGAAGAATAAAGAAGGTTTTCCTGAGAAAGAAATATTTAAGAAGACATCTGAAGGATGAATAGGATATAGGCAGGAATATATAGACGTGGAATAATAGTATACTATTTTGTGAAGAGACAATAAATTGTTACATGCAATTTAAAAATTAGTAATAGGAGACAAGAGTAAGTTGAGGGAAGGGGGTAGAAAACTGAGAAAGTAGCCAAAAAAACTTCCAATTTTAACAGCCAACGGGAGGAGCTGTTCTTTTTGATTAGCCTGAGAAAGCTCAGTGAGGAAATTGAGATATTTGGAGCTATTTAAAAGGTAGAACAGTTTGAATTTTGCATGCTCTGGAGGACAACAGTAGAAGAGGCACTGAGAGATGTAACTCAAATGAGAAGTCATTTCTTAATCTGGTAAAATATCATGAAGTAGGAAATGAAGAGCATTACTTTTTCTTTGAGACAAGGATAACCTGCGGACCTTTAAGAACAATGGTTGTAGAAATGTAGGTTAGACCAGAGGACAGAAATTGAACTAGTTTAACTGAAATAAAAAGTGCCTGACAAAGATGCAGTCCAAATAAGGAAAAAGGATTGTGTGTATGAGACTAATACAAGAAAAATAATGCACATGGTAGTGAATTGGGGTGGTAAACTTTGAAGGATAGATTTTTGTTTTGCATGTATGAATGGTAATTAAGGTAATAAGGATGCTTTATTAATTTGTTCAGCCAGCATTTATAGAGTGCCTGTGAAACAAAAACTTGATTGTGTTTTAAACTAGGTGCGGATTGAGGAAAGAGTTGATTGACTTATGTATCTCTCCATGCTAAGTGTGGAAAGTAAAGGGAAGAATAAGGTAGACACAGGCCTTGTCCTTATGAGTATATAGTGTAATAAACAGTTGATATTATATAGGTTCCTGCTATGCAGGAATAAGGGGTCACAGATGTGGATGACCCTTATTGAAGCAGGTGATTTTCTGAGAAGATCTAGAAAAGTGTCAGAATTTTTCCAGTAAGTTAAAGTAATTTAAAGTTTTTTGTTTGCGATGTAACCAGTGTCCAGGATAAGGGTTTGAAAGTCTTTCGGGAAATTCTGCTTAAAATTCAGTTAAAAATCTGCTTTTTTTTTTTCCCTTGCAGAAAGTTTTTTTTATTTTATTTTAATAATTGACATTTCAGCTTTAATTTTTTTATTTTTTTGAATAGGTAATATATGCACATGGGTCAAAATTCAAAAGGTACAAAAGGGTATACAATGAACAGTAAGTGTCCTTTCCACCCTTATCACCCACCACCCAGTTCCCTTTCCTGGGGATAACCACTGTTACCCGTTCCTTTTGATTTGGAGAATACTGTATACCTGAGGAAATATTTTTTAATATTTTCCAGAATGACCCTTTTATTAAGATTGCTTGGCCAGGCATGGTGGCTCACGCCTGTGATCCCAGCACTTTGGGAGGCCGAGGTGGGCGGATCACAAGGTCGGGAGTTCAAGACCAACCTGGCCAATATGGTGAAACCCTGTCTCTACTAAAAATACAAATATTAGCTGGGCATGGTGGCGTGTTCCTGTAATCCCAGCTACTCGGGAGGCTGATGCAGGAGAATTGCTTGAACCGGGACCTGGGAGGCAGAGGTTACAGTGAGCCAAGATCATGCCACTGCACTCTAGCCTTTGCTACATAGCAAGACTCTGTCTCAAAAAAAAAAAATGATTGCTTGAACCAACACCAACAGTTTCTTTCTTTGCAGGCTCTTGGTCCAGTGTTTCACCTTGCTACAGAAACCTTATAGTTCCTGTTGTTTCATTTCCTTTGTTTAGCTTTTCATTGTTATGCTTTTCTCTATATCTGTATTGATAGAGCTTATAACTTACATTGATTATATCAGTGGTAGAGTATTTGCTAGCAATCCTGATATAGGTATTTTACTGCTTAAGAATGTTAATTTTAATTGTAAGCTTCATAAGGGCAGGGACTGTGTCTCTCTTATTAACCAGCATATCTCAGTAGCTGGTACTGTGTTAATGAGTAATATGCTTTAATTGAATTAAAGGAAGAAGAAGTTATTTACTTTATCAGTTATCTAAGTGGGTTTCAGTATTAGTACTTTCTATATTTTATTTTTATGGAAGCTCTATTATTACAATTTAGTGTCTAATCAAGAAATAAATTACATTAAAGACATCTATTGAATATCTGCTATGTGCCAGGCATTGTATAAAGTGGTGTATAGGATATGAAGAAGTATAATATATGACCTTTGTCTTTAAGAAATTCACAATATAGTGGAAAGATAACTTGTTCATGAAAGCTTAATACCAGTGTAAGGCAGAATGTGAAGGGATGGTTCAGGGAAATAAGTATTGTAGGAGTTCCGAGGAAGTAGAGATCATTAAGGGCCTGAGGGCACAGATAGGGATTTACTGATGTGATAGGACCCTGAAAGGTAGATAAGATTTAGATAGGCAGAAGGGAGATTGAAGGGGCTTTTAGGTGGAGGGAACATGAGAGAAGGTGTAGACATGGGGCTATTTAAAAACAGTTTCAGAGACAATGTCTCACCAGTCTGAAAGGATAATTTATGGTGGGGAGCAGTGGAAGGGCGGTATTGTGGAGGACCTGTCACAACAGCCAAATGAGTTTGGATTTGTAAATCCGGAGGTATGGAAGGTTTTTGGATAAGGTACTGATAACATGAGAATATCATTTTTAGTAAATTAGTAAATTGAGAAAATTATATAAAATGGAGTACAAGGGACAAAAGCCATCAAAAGTAGGTAGATAGAAGTACTTTTCCGTTTTTTTTCTCACTAATTTCACCTAAAACCCTTGGATACTATGTATAAGAAACATAAGACTCAGGAAGGTGGAGAACAAGTCAGGCTGGTTAGAGACCTCAGGACACAAGGAAAGAAACAGACACGGTGGTGTGTACCCTGGGTTTTCTTTTTGCCTCGGGTACCCCAGACTGGGTACTGAAGAGCCAGCAGTCTGGAAATGCCAACAGACGCAGACAAAAACACCCCCAGAAAAGCCTGCCCTCTCTCACCAAAGGACCAAGAAGAAAAGGGAAATTAGCAAGGTAGAAAACTTTTAGATGATAACCCCTCTATTCCTTCCAAGCATAGGAAAAAACTGTGGACCCATCCCCTCCAGCAAAGGCTGAGGAAAAAGCCAAGATTTCCATCATCACCAGGTATAATGACATGCCCCAACACACCCTCCCTAACCCCCCACTAGAGTGGTGACAGAAGCCCAAGAGACAGCTGGAATTTCATTGATGCCAGGTGATAAGGAAGGCCCCTTCCTTACGCTGTCAGAGGTGACTTGGGAAGTCTGGATTTTTCCCATCTGGAAGTAGGGAGTAAAGAGGTAATTTTCCCCTCTTTGTGGCCAGGGTTCGGAGGCGTGGGTGTTAGAGAAAGCCTGGTGGACAGTCAGAACTTCCACTCCTGATCAGCGATAATGAGGCCACTCCCTCATAGTGTCACTGGAGGCCACAAAGGAAGCAGTAATGAGGTACCCCTCTCTCTCCCAGGCAGGGTAGAATCAGTTGATACTCCCTCCAACAATAACCAGGAGCCTCTCCATCCCCAGGTATCAAAGGAGACAGAGTAGAGAGCCTGGATTCCATTCCCATTGGGTGATACCTCCTCTCTCCTGCCAGAATAATGTCAGTAGATACTTATTTAACTTAATTAAAGTGAGAGTAAACTCTATTCTGAGGGATAAGGTGTCAGAAGAACTTCACATTTTGTTTGAGCATACATAATCCAACCCAAAATATCTATGATGAAACTGCAGTGTCATAAATGGTGGAACATTATTAATTTTTAATTTAGTAATTTATGCTTTATAGCATTTTAATTAGTACCAAGAGAGTAACCAAGAGTACTGAAGAGTAACCAAGTTCCATGTTGTATTTTTAAGTTTAGAAACCCTCAGTTGTGGCCGGGCAAGGTGGCTCATGCCTGTAATCCCAGCACTTTGGGAGGCTGAGTTGGGCAGATCACTTGAGGTTAGGAGTTCAAAACCAGCCTGGCCAACATGGTGAAACCCTGTCTCTACTAAAAATACAAAAATTAGCTGGCCATGATGGTGCACGCTTGTACTGCCAGCTACTTGGGAGGCCAAGGCAGGAGAATCACTTGAACCTGGGGGGTGGAGGTTGCAGACTGCATCTCAAAAAAAAAAAAAGAAATTCTCAGTTGTATTTTACTTCACCACCACAGAGAGGAGACAGCAGAGTGGCTGCTCTTTCAATTATGAACTTATACTTAGATATTTGTAGAGTTGGAGAATAAAATGACTTAGCTCTGGGTGAGAAAATAATTTAAAAATCAATTTAATTCATTTTCAGCTCAATTATGCCTAAGGAAACTAAAAATAAGTGCTGTTTTTGAACTATTATTTTTTTTCCCATGTTGGCACCCCAGAAACTTTATGAGCATCTGAATATAAACGTTTAAATTTTGGATGGGTAATGGCAGGCTTTTGTTAGTAAAACAATTTAATAGCAAGAGAGTTCTTAATGGTAGGAAGCCGTAATGAAAAATGTGTCAGTTATGTTGGAAAATGGAATATCATCATTTGAAATCTTAGGACTGTCATGGTAGTTCACAGTTCAGCAAACTTTTTCTGAAAAGAGGGCCAGATAGTAAATATTTTAGGCTTTGCAGGTCATGGAGGTTTCTGTCGCATATTCTCCTTTGCTTTTTGTTTTGTTTTTTACAGCCTTTTAAAAATGTAAAAATCTTTCTTTAGTTCACAGGCCTATAAAAATAGGCTGAAGGCTGGATTTAGTGGCATTTTAAAAATAGGCTGAAGGCTGGATTTAGTGGCAGTTTCTCCATTCCTGCCTTATCTTATTAGTCAATTGACTAAGGTTCTCTTTGTTTAGTTTGTCTAGTTCATGAATCATAAAGCGAACTTTTTTCACAGCACAGAGTAAAGACATTTTATAGCATAGCATCTGAATATACAAAGTCTCTTTAGGTTCAGCCAACTTACTCTGTAGTTTTCATTTAAAGTCAGTTCCTTTCTTAAAGAAAAATTAATATATCTGATTTTTTTTCTGTCTCTGTTATAGAAGAGGTTTAAAATTTTTTTTTGTCTTTTCTTTCCTTGTAAATTTGAGAAAAAGACAGAGGTTTATAGAAGTTTTTTCCACAAAATTTATTTGTGCATTAATCGATAGGCAACATAGTGTAAAACATAGCTAGCTGAATATTCAGAATATATTTTGTACATAAAGAGAATGTCGGGTTATATTTTAAGCTTTTGGAAATAGAGAAGGAGTGATTGTATCAGGACACTTGATATACTTCAACTTGTACTAGAACAGTTTTTAAGTGTTGATTCTGTACCTTCACTGTGTCACACTTCTGATACTATGATTCCATAGAACACATAAGACTTAATGTCCTTTCAGTGATTTTTCTTTATCATGGCAAAGCTCCAACCGCATGACTCATGCTTTTTCAAATAATTTGAAAAAAACTTTAGTGTCCATTTTGATCATTCACTTTGATCATCTGTCATAGTGATGAGACTTTCGAATGTATCAGAAAATAAAATTTGAATGCTATCAAGATGTCCAGTAGATTATTTTATGTGCTTTGAGGTTATTTTAAAGAATAGTTTGAAGATTTATGAGTAGGGACTGTATCTTTGAAATAAATACTGGATCATCCTATAAAATGATTATGTTGAAATAAACTACATACGCAATTTTGGCACGTAAATGGTCGAAACTATTTGAGAATAAACCATTTTAAAGCATTAAAGGAACGTGGGAAATATCTTTTTATATAGGAATAATGAATCTGTTATTGATGTTTCCATTAGAATGTGAACTCCTTGAGGGCAGGATGTTTTTTTCCATCTGTTTTGTTCACTGCTATATTCATAGTACTGAAACCATGCCTGGCACATGGGAGGTGTTCAGTAAATACTTGTTCCATTAATAAATGCATAATTATTACCAGTAAATATAATTTTTTGAACATTGTATTGTGGTAACCTAATCCTAGTAACTGGGTAAGCCTGAAAGTAGTAGCGTTTGTTTCTGTGAAAAGTCCATAAATAAGATTTCTGACTAAAATGGACTTTCCAATTAGTTTTATTACAAGTTCTACACAAATACATTGTTTTGTTATACCTTACCATGATACCTGCCATTTTTATGTTTCTTTTTCTAGCTATTTTGTTTGAATGTGTGCATACAGTCTATTCTATTTATCCTAAATCGGAATTACTTGAGAAGGCTGCCAAGTGCATTGGAAAATTTGTTCTGTCACCTAAAATAAATCTAAAATATTTAGGTAAGATGATTGGTTCTTTTGACAGAAATTACAGAGATAGCTTTTGAAATTTGCTGTGTATTTGTTTCAATTCACTTTGTATAATGTGTCTTTGTTTCTAGGACTGAAGGCTCTTACCTATGTTATCCAACAGGATCCTACTCTGGCTCTTCAACACCAGATGACAATAATTGAATGTTTAGATCATCCTGATCCCATTATTAAAAGAGAGGTAAACTGGTATTTTGAATAGTATATGTGAAGTGTTAAAATTTTTAAAAATTTTGTTGGCATTGTGTAGAGAGATTAAAGTGGTGGGCAGTGTGTATGTTTGCTCGTGTGTATATTTTAACTTTTGGGTGTATTTAATCCTTTTTTTGTTTTCTATTTTGAGACAGAATCTCACTCTGTCACCCAGGCTGTAGTGCAGTGGCATGATCTCAACTCACTGCAACTTCCACCTCCTGGGTTCAAGTGATTCTCGTGCCTCAGCCTCCTGAGTAGCTGGGATTATAGGTGTGTGCCACCACGCGTGGCTAATTTTTGTGTTTTTAGTAGAAACGGGGTTTCACCATATTGGCCAGGCCGATCCTGAAATCCTGACCTCAAGTGATCTGCCTGCCTTGGCCTCCCAAAGTGCTGGGATTACAGGTGTGAGCCACTGTGCCTGGCTTATTTATTTTTACTAAAGTTTAAGTAACTTTTCTAAAAAGTACTATGTCAGTGTCCACAGGAATGTCTTTAAATTATGAGTTGAAGGAATTAGGTCCAGTCATCTGTGTGGGTTCATTAATATAATTTCGATCTGAGCATCATACCAATAGGAGTCCTGAATTCTGGTCCCAGGTCTTCCTATTAGTACAATTTCCTGTTATTGTACAATTTAAGATGCAGTTGATGTTAATTAATGATTTCTCATTGTTCTCTTTTATATCTATAAAATTAATTAATTTCCTACCAAATAGATAGAAATATTGAAAGAATTAATGAAGATATTCATAAATTGATTTGAACTTCTTGGAAGGAAAGGCTTAATAATATCATCATCATATATGTCTGTATATTATATATAACATAGCATATACTATATGTTACTTATATATAATATTACTTTTGTATATTACATTTTAATATATATAATTATATATATTACTTATAATAATAATATACTTCTTTCCAACTTTTTCTTTTTGTAAATTTGCTTCAATGTCTACTTGGGTGTCTATATAAATATTCCTTTTAATTCTTATGGAAGAAATCATTCAATATCTTTATTTCAAATGGTATATGGGACCTAGTTAAGAGTAAAAAATTCTGTTTATAAAAATAGCAAAGATTTAAAAAGAATTTTTTAAATAATTTTAGATTCAGGGGATACATGTGTGGGTTTATTACATGGACATTTTATGTAATGCTGAGATTTGGGCGTCTATTGAACCCATCACCCAAATAGTAAACATAGTACTGGGTAGGTAGTTTTTCAACTCATTCCTTTCCCCTCCTGCCCTCCCTGCCTGCTTGTGGAGTCCCCAGTGTCTATTGTTTCATCATTACATCCATGTGTACCCATTGTTTAGCTCCCACTTATAAGTGAGAACAAGTGATATTTGATTTTCTGTTTTTGCATTAATTCACTTAGGATAATGGCTTCCAGCTGCATCCATGTTGCTGCAAAGGACATGATTACATTCTTAAAAAAAGAGAATCTACTAAATACTAAACATCTAAATATCTTAAAAGCAATGAGCTAAGAATAGGAGAGTTTATTGAGAGAACACTATTACATTAAACAACTATAATTTTTGAAGATTACAAATTTTAAATTTTAAAAGGCATTTGAAACACATTTTTTAAAAAATTTGCCTTCATATATATTTATTTATTTCATATTTTTAGTAGTCTGAAAATTGTTACATGCCTTGGATCTGGGCAGTTTGCAGATGTACTAATTTCTGCGTGTAGACATCCTAGAAAAATAAGAAGGCTCGAAGAGACAGTAACAAATAATTATACAGCCGTTCTGCTTTAACAGATACAGAGCATGCATTTCCTTTGTATAGTTGAGTACTAAGTTGAACAAAGTTGACTTAGGTACAGTTTTTTCTTATTGCTATTTGGTAGTCCCCACTTATTTATGGAAGTATGTTCTAATACACCCATTGGATGCCTGAAACCATAGATAGTATTGAACCATGTATATATTTATATATTTTCAATCTGATAACCAAGATGGCTACTTTATGATTAATGGGCTGGTAGCATATACAGTGTGAATACAAAGGGATGATTCATGTCCCAGATGGAGTAGGATGGTGCAAGATTTTATCATGCTACTCAGAAAGGCATGCAATTTAAAACTTATGAATTATTGATTTCTGGAATTTTCCATTTAATATTTTTTAGATTGTGGGTAACTGAAGCCATGGGAAGCAAAACCACAGATAGGGGGTTTATAATATTATTGTATTTCATAATTATCCTTTCACTTAAAAATCAGAGTCAAAGGGAAAATAGGTGACTTTTAAAATTATGAAGGTTGATCTGTTTGGTCCCTTACCTGCAGCGAGAAAAGTGATTTGAATTCTTTGAGGAGTTACTGAGTATCCTTGGTGCCCAAAGATGGCACTAAAGTACTGTCTCTTCAATGCTGTTGTCACTTCTAACCTCTATCAAATGATACGGTGAGAACTTTGGTCCTTGGATGTTCAGTGATCTGTAGCTTGGGGTAGGATTCCTTTTTACCAGGTTTTATTACCTCTGTCATATACAGGAGGAGAGAAGGTGAGAGGGAGCTACCAAGTCTGAATAGAAAAGACCTCTGGCAATACAGTTTGTAACACTATACCCCATTCAGTTCTGGAAATGCCATATTTCATGGTCTTAGAATAGGAAATAAATTTGATGTATGTTATCTAAAACTATATAACATAATTTGGAGTTCACAGGGAGCATGTCTGAAGCAGCTCCATAAGTTGAAAGCTATTGTTGGGGTGACCTATGTATTTTTAGATTTAAGTGGTGTTACACATTAACTAAAACAGTTAAAAAAAAAAAATCAGGCAGTGGACAGAACTCACAGCAAAGAGCTCGTGGAGTCCGGCCAGAAGAGCAACCAAGATGAGGATGAAGATACTGAGCCAGAATCTGGACAATTATGTCTGTGAAACCAAGTTGGACTTACAGAGAGTTCCAAGAAACTATGATCCTACCTTACATCCTTTTGAGGTCCCATGAGAATATGTAAGAGCTTTAAATGCTACCAAAATGGAATGAGTATTTGCAAAACCATTCCTTGCTTTGCTGGATGGTCACCAAGATGGAGTCAGTTGCTTGGCAAAGCATCCAAAGAACCTGGCTACTGTCCTTTCTGGGGCGTGTGATGGAGAGGTTAGAATTTGGAACCTGACTCAACAGAAATGTATCCATACAATACAAGCACATGAAGGCTTTGTATAAGGAATACGTACTCACTTTTGTGGGACTTCTTTTTTCACCGTTGGTGGTGACAAAACTGTGAAACAATGGAAAATGGATGGGCCAGGCTATGGAGATGAGGAAGAACCATTACATACAACATTAGGAAAGACAGTGTATACTGGGGTTTATCATCACTGTAAAGAAGCTGTTTTTGCCACATGTGGACAGCAAGTAGACATTTGGGATGAACAAAGAACTAATCCTGTATGTTCAATGACCTGGGGATTTGACAGTGTAAGTAGTGTTAAATTTAACCCAATCGAGACATTTCTCTTGGGAAGTTTGTGCGTCTGACAGGAATATAGTACTGTACAACATGAGGCAAGCTACTCCTTTGAAAAAGGTTATATTAGATATGAGAACAAATACAGTTTGTTGGAACCCTATGGAAGCTTTCATTTTTACGGCAGCAAATGAAGACTATAACTTACATACTTTTGATATGTGTGCACTGGACACTCCTGTAATGTTCCATATGGATCATGTATCTGCAGTGCTTGACATGGATTACCCTCCCACTGGGAAAGAGCTTGTGTCTGCTAGTTTCGATAAAGCTATTTGTATCTTTCCTATAGACAAAAGTTGAAGCAGGGAGGTATATCACACAAAGCGAATGCAACATGTTATCTGTGTAAAATGCACTTCTGACAGCAAGTATATTATGTGTGGATCTGATGAAATGAACATTTGCCTGTGGAAAGCTAATGCTTCTGAAAAATTTGGTGTGCTTACATCATGAGAAAAAGCAGCTAAGGATTATAACTAGAAATTGAAGGAGAAATTTCAGCATCATCCTGATATAAAATGTATAGCTTGTCATTGACATCTACCAAAATCTATCTACAGCCAGATTCAGGAACAGTGCATCATGAAAGAAGCTCGTCGAAGAAAGGAAGTGAATCGTATTAAACACAGCAAGCCTGGATCTGTGCCAATTGTGTCAGAGAAGAAGAAACATGTAGGGGCAGTTGTAAAATAATTAGTATTCCTAACAATCCTGATGTACAATTATTTGTTACTTTTGATTTGAGAACTCTACAAATTAAAGTGCTGGGACTAGATTAATTGCATACATTTTAGTTACATGTGTAGAGCTTTATTGTTGCTCCTTTTAGCTACCCTGAAAAATGCCTAGTTGATAAAGACTATCTAACTATTTTATCCTTAATCTGCATTCTTTTATTGAAGAATACAGTATTTGCAACTAACTCATTTTTTCCTGTTTTAATTACAGATATACTCTGTATATTCTCTCTGATCTATTATTGTAGACACTGCACATTCAAATTGACATTTAAGACCAAACGTCTCTTATGTTATCTTTAACATTACTTTGAATAATAATTACAATGATGTTTCTTCCTATGATTCCACATAACATTTAGAAGAATGTCAACTTTTTATAACTGAATGTATTTCTAGTGCTTTACTTATATTTGGCTTTTCGACTCTTACAAAACCATCAGTCTGCATTTATATAACTTTTATAAATAATATTATAATTTGGGTCAAGTTAAGATAATAAAACTTCCTTTCAGCGTTGAAAAAAAAAATCTTTCAAAATATGTTATCCTTTCTGCTTTAAGTCCTGGCTGTAAGGATTGAAAAATTAGAACCCTAAATATATTGAGTAAGTTTGACAAATATGTGGAAATTATCTTGCAGCTAATATTGCTGATCCTAAAACACCAATAAATGATGCTTTCTCAGTATTTCTCATATTGATTTCTGAGACTTATATTTTTGAAACCTTAATCTAGAGCTGTGGCAAGCCATGCAAATGGGAGCTTACTCTGGTATTGGTTTTCCTTCATCTTATTTGAAGCAGCAAGAGGTATATTCCTCAGCACTTAGAAAGTAGCTGTAGCAGCTGTGCGCTGTGGCTCACACCTGTAATCCCAGCACTTTGGGAGGCCGAGGTGGGCGGATCACCTGAGGTCAGGAGTTCGAGACCAGCCTGGCCAACATGGTGAAACCCGATCTCTACTAAAAATACAAAAATTAGCCAGGCTTGGTGGCACGCTGAGATCCTGCCACTGCACTCTAGCCTGGGCTACAGAGTGAGACTCCATCTCAAGAAAAAAAAGAAAAGAAAAGAAAGAAAGTAGCTACAGGCCAGGCACAGTGGCTCATGCCTGTAATCCCAACACTTGGGGAGGCCAAGGTGGGAGGATCACTTGAGCCCAGGAGTTCAAGACCAGCCTGGGCAACATGGTCGAACTCCATCTCTATAAAATACCAAAAAATTAGCTGGGCATGGTGGCACGTGCCTGTAGTCCCACCTATTTGGAAGGCTGAGGTGGGAGGATTGCTTGAGCCCAGGAGGTGGAGGTTGCATTGAGCTGAGATTGTACCACTGCACTACAGCCTGGATGACAGAGCAAGACCCTGTCTCAAAAAAAAAAAAAAAAAAAGTAGCTATAAAACAGTTCTTCCTTGATGACTGAGATTTTGAACCTAGGCTTTGAAGCATTTGAGCCACCAGTCTTTGTCCATCCAAACAAAACCTGATTGCCTTCAATTACCTAACCCACTCAAGTGGTGTCTTCTGTTGTTTGGGAAATAGTCTGCTGTCTTCTGTAGCATGGGAAATAGTTTCCAAGACTAGATTTATACACACATACATACACTTGCATATATATACACCCATAGCTGTAGGTAATGTATATTTAAGGGCTGTTATGTTTTTAGAAAATATATATCTATTGTATTTTAACTTTTTAGTCTCTAAGTGTTCTGTCATGTAGAGATGTCAGGTTGTGATTATCTCAGTAGGAAGCTTATAGACATTGGAATTGATCATAATTCATTTTTTGACGATAGTTTTACCTTTCTTAAGCTTTTCATTGAAATTTGCATTTCTTACCTGTTAACTGACTACCCAGTAGATCTCCATAAAAGTAGAAGAATCAACTGTATGGTCAACCTTTATGTTACTGTACTCATTGGTGTTATGCATAGTTTTATAATATTGTTTTTAATTTTTCTTCTTTAAATAGACTCTGGAACTTCTTTACAGAATTACTAATGCACAGAATATAACAGTTATTGTCCAGAAAATGCTTGAATATTTACATCAGAGCAAAGAAGAGTATGTCATCGTCAATTTGGTCGGCAAAATAGCAGAGCTGGCTGAGAAATATCCTTTTATTTCGACCATGAGTCTTAAAATAGTTAGTTATGCAGTGACTTTAAGATGATTGGTATAGATATGGTCACTTGCAAGTCGAGTTCAGAGACCTAGCAATACTTTTTATTCCTGATTTTCAAGCCTCTCTTGTCAGAAAAAGGGATTTGTGTAGACCTCTTAGGAGATGGCTTTTTTTTTTTTTTTTTTGCTGGTTTCTTTTATTCATGTAGTCCAGTATTTTGAGCAGGAAGATAGAGGAACCTTTATCCTCTTTTTCCTCTTTCAGTCCTGCCTCGTCTCTACTTCTATCTTGATTTCTTTTCTGAGTAAAAGTTCTTGCTTTTTGGGGAAAGTGGAGGGTGTGTGGGAGTGGTCAGGATGCTAAAGCTTATCCTTTATTGTTTTAAGCTGGAAATTGTCACAGTTAAGTAGTTGGGAACTCTATTAACATGTTACTCTTCTTCATGTTTGTTTCTTAAAAGTCAGAAGAACTTTACAGGTCATAAGCATATTCCATTCATTAAAAAATGTTACTGTTTAGGCCGGGCACAGTGGCTCATGCCTGTAATCCCAGCACTTTGGGAGGCTGAGGCGGGTGGATCACCTGAGGTCGGGAGTTTGAGACCAGCCTGACCAACATGGAGAAACCCTGTCTCTACTAAAAATACAAAATTAGCCGGGCATGGTGGCGCATGCCTGTAATCCCAGCTACTAGGGAGGCTGAGGCAGAGGAATCGCTTGAAACTGGGAGGCGGAGGTTGCAGTGAGCTGAGATTGCACCATTGCACTCCAGCCTGGGCAACAAGAGCGAAACTCCGTCTCAAAAAAAAAAAAAAAAGTTACTGTTTAATTATAAAAAAGAGTGAGTGAATGCTGTTAATGAAATTATATTGGAAATTGCTTAAGTGTAGTTTTGTCCTAGTCAGTGCTGTAGCTCTGGCCAGCAGAATGATAGAACTTTAGAACTGATGAGGAACAGATTAGAAAAGAGACTAAACACCTGTAATCACAGCACTTTGGGAGGCAGAGGTGGGAGGATTGCCTGAGCTCAGGAGTTCACGACCAGCCTGGGCAACACAGTGAAACCCTGTCTCTACTAAAACACAAAAAAATTTAGCCGGGCATGGTGGTGTGCACCTGTAGTCCCAGATACTCGGGAGGCTGAGGCAGGAGAATTGCTTGAACCCAGGAGGCGGAGGTCACAGTGAACCGAGATCGCACCACTGCCCTCCAGGCTTGGCGACAGAGCAAGATTCTGCCTCAAAAAAAAAAAAAAAAGGAAAAAAAGAAAAGATACTAAACAATTTGTTCAAGTAGACATACAACAATATTTAGCTTCTTTGAAGTGAATTCTTTGAAGAATATAATTTTCCATTATTTGCATCTAGTTAGCTGGTTTGTTTCTTTCAGTTATTTCACATTTATTTATTGGATGACTGTTTTGTGCAAGTATGGTGCCAAAGTGACATAAACTCAGTTTATTAAGTTTATTAAATAAGCTTCTACTGAGTACCTATTTTACATAAAACTGGGGTACAGAACAATTTATGGCAGAGGTTAAAGGTAAAACTGCCATACTAGGATGAATTGGGGTTATTTTTTAAAAGATTGCTACAGAAGGGTAATTTTAATAAGTAGCATTTGGAAGTGTACTTGTTCTTAACACTGTGGACACATATGCTCCTGATAATGCATGGTTTATTCAGACAATGAATGCTGTGTTTTCAGTAGGAGGAGATGTAATGCATCCTGATATTCCCAATAACTTTCTGAGACTACTAGCGGAAGGTTGGTACACTATTATATTCTGTAAAGTAAACATTTTAAAGTTTAATGTTTTTATTACAGAGTCCTAAGATAAGTTTGTGGAAATTAAAATGGTGTATCAATTTCTTTGTAGGTTTTGATGATGAAACAGAAGATCAGCAATTAAGACTCTATGCAGTTCAGTCTTATCTCACTTTACTGGATATGGAAAATGTGTTCTATCCACAGAGATTTCTTCAAGTTATGAGTTGGGTGAGCAAAGTACCTTAAATCATAAATTTTTATAACATTTTTAATACAAACCAAATGTTAACATATTTTCTTCAGAAACCATTCGCTTTACTCAGCTAACTCCTTCAGCTGTCAATTTTTCAAATGGCCACCATCTATCACTTAACTATTTACTTTGTTTTTTCTCTCTGCCATCTCACTTGTTTGGTCTTTTAAATATAGGTATTTACTTGTCTCTTTGTGTTTACAATGTTTTTGTTGTGTTTTTTATGTGCATCCGTGTTTGAATATTTGAATACTCATTTATCTCTACTATATTAGTTTTCTTTTTTAAAAAATTATAACCAGTAAATTATCTTTATTTTAACCAAATAGAAGGAGGTTCATCTTTAAGAGGCATTTTCAACGTACCAGGCACAGTGCTGAGTACTTACATTATTAACTTCTTTTCTTCTTCTTTTTTATTTTATTTTATTTTTTAAGTTCTAGGGTACCTGTGCAGGATGTGTAGGTTTGTTACATAGGTAAACGTGTGCCATGGTGTTTTTTGCTGCACCTATTAACACATCACCTAGGTATTAAGACTAGTACACAATAGCTCTTCTTCCTAAAGCTCTCCACCCCCACCACCCTCCCTGATAGGCGCTGGTGTGTGTTGTTCCCCTCCGTGTGTCCTATGTTCTCATTGTTCAGCTCCCACTTATAAGTGAGAACATGCGGTATTTGGTTTTCTGTTCCTGCATTAGTTTGCTAAGAATAATGGCTTCCAGCTTCATCCATGTCTCTGCAAAGGACATGATCTTGTTCCTTTTTATGGCTGTATAGTATTCCATGGTGTATATGTACTACATTTTCTTTATCCAGTCTATCATTGATAGGCTATCTGTGCTATATTAGTTTTCTTATGCTGCATAACAATGTTACCACAAACTTAGTGGCTTAAGACAATACAAATTCATTATCTCATAGTTTCTGTGGGTCAAGAGTCCAGGTATGGCTTAGCTGGGTTCTCTGATTAGGGTCTCACAGGGTTGCAGTGAAGGTGTTGGCTAGGGCTACTGTCTCACCTGAAGCTTGACTGGTAAATAATCCACTTTCGAGCTCGTGTGGTTGTTGGCAGAATTCATTTTCTCGTGGCTGAGTTTTTGTGACTGAGGGTTTTGCTTGCATACTGTTAACTGTAGGCTGTCCTTAGCTGCTAGAGCTGCTTTCAGTTTCTTGCCATGTGGCCTCCCAACAGGGCCGCCTGCTTCATCAAAGCCAGTAGTGGAGATCAGTTTTTTTTCAAGACAGAGGTCACAATTTTGTGTAATGTAATCACATGTAATTGCATACAGGTCATTACCTTTATGTATTCTTTCTTGTGCATATAGGTGAGTGTTTCTTTAGGGGAGATTTAGAGAAGTGATATGGTATGCACATTTTAATATTTTATAGAATTGCCAAATGTTAGCATGTTAGCTTAAATTTTCCCCAGATTTTTACTTAAAAATTTTTCTTTTCTCATCTGCAGAAAAGTTAAAAGACTAAGATAATGAAATATACTTTTAGTTTAGTTTTTTCAGTTAATTTTCTTTCTTTTTTTTTTTTTTTTTTGAGACAGAGTCTTTCTCTGTCAACCAGACTGGAGTGCAGTGGCGTGAACTCAGCTCACTGTAACCTCTGCCTCCTGGGTTCAAGCAATTCTCCTGTCTTGGCATCCCGAGTTGCTGGGATTACAGGCACACGCCACTGCTTCTGGCTAATTTTTGTATTTTTAGCAGAGATGGGGTTTTGCCATGTTGGCCAGGCTGGTCTCGAACTCTCGACCTCAGGTCATCCACCTGCCTCAGCCTCCCAAAGTGCTGGGATTACAGGTGTGAGCCACCACACCCGGCCCAGTTAAATATTTTTAACTACATTTGTTTTACTGTATCTGCATCTATAGGTATATCTAGGTCTACCTATATACAGTTTGTTTTGCTGAGCTGTTTAGAATTGAATTGCAGACACTGTGACACTTCACTCCTAAAACCTCAACATGAATCTTCTATGAATGACATAAGTATAAAACTGTTGTCATACCCAAGAGGTGTAAAGACACTGGGCGCGGTGGCTCATGCCTGTAATCCCAGCACTTTGGGATGCCGAGGTGGGTGGATCACGAGGTCAGGAGATCGAGACCATCCTGGCTAACATGGTAACACCCCATCTCTACTAAAAATACAAAAAATTAGCCAGGCATGGTGGCACGCACCTGTAGTCCCAGCTACTCGGGAGGCTGAGGCAGGAGAATCTCTTGAACTCAGGAGGCGGAGGTTGCAGTGAACCAAGATCACGCCACTGCACTCCAGCCTGGGTGACACAGCAAGACTCCATCTCAAAAAAAAAAAAAAAAAGAAGTGTACAGTAATTCGTTAATATCACCTGCTATACTGTCCATACTCTGATTTATGGATTTGTACCAAAAAATGTCTCTTAGGGCTATTATTCTCCTCCTTTCAATCCCAGATCCAGTTGAGGATCACAAATTGCCTTTACTTATGTCTCTTTATCCTTTTTTAATTTATAATGAACCCCACTTTCTTTTGGTTTTTATGACTGATTTTTTTGTTTGTTTTGGATGACTACTGTTAACTATAGAATGTCCTACATTCTGGATATCTAATTATTTTTGTTCAGGTTAAACATTTTTAGTGAGAATACTACATAGGCAATGTTGTGTATTTCCTACTGCATCATATCAGGATATATATAATATCAGTTTGTCCACTTATTGGTGATTGTAAGTTTATAAGTTTGGGTTAAGATGGTGGCCTGGTGCAGTGGTTCATGCCTGTCATCCCAGCACTTTGGGAGGTGGGAGGATTGCTTGAAGCCAGAGTTTGAGATCAGCTTGGGCAACAAAGTGAGACCTAGTCTCTACCAAAGGGAGAAAAAAAAGATGGTGACCTCCAGATCTTTGCATTATAAAGGTATCTTTCCTTTTTGTAATTTATAACTAATTTGTGAGGTGATTCTATGAGGCTGTGCAAATATCTTTTCCTCAGCTATCTTCAATGGCTTTAGTGTTGATTATCCTTCCTGAATTGATTATTGGTTTCTGTGGCCATTAGTTTTTTTTGTCTATGAACGTGGCATGTCACTCCACTTAATTTAGATTGTCTTTTATTTCTTTCTACAGCATACAGGTCATGTACAGTCGGCCCCCTTATCTGTAGTTTTGCTTTCTGCAGTTTTAGTTACCTGTGGCCAGTCATGGTCTGAAAATAGGAAATGGAAAATTCCAGAAATCAACAATTTATAAGTTTTAAATTATGTGCTGTCCTGAGTAGCATGATGAAATCTTGAGCCATCCTGCTTCATCCTGCTCTGCCCCAGCTGGGACCTGAATCATTCCTTTGTCCAGTGTATCCATGCTGTATACACTACCTGCCTGTTAGTCACTTAGTAGCTGTCTAGGTTTTCAGATGAACTGTAGCATTATTGCAGTGCTTATATTGTAGTAAACCTTTATTTACTTAATCATGGCCCCACAGCACAAGAGTTGCGATGCTGGCAATTTGGATATGCCAAAGAGAAGCTATAAAAATGGTTCCTTTAAGTGAAAAGGTGAAAGTTCTTGACTTAATGAGGAAAGAAAAACATCATATGCTGAGGTTGTAAAGTTCTACAGTAAGAAGGGAAATTGCCTCTGTGAAATGGTGAAGAAGGAAAAAAAAATCCTGTTTTGCTGTCATACCTTAAATTACAAAAGTGATGGTCGCAGTGCGTGATGAGATCTTAGTTAAGATGGAAAAGGCATTAAATTTGTGAGTGGAAGACGTGATCAGAAGCATGTTCCAATTGATGGCAGTTGGGTTCAGTACTATTTTCGGATTCAGGCATCCACAGGGAGTCCTAAAACCAATCCCCTTTAGATGCAGAGGGCCAAATGTATATACAAATACAATAGATTTTGTATTTCGATCTTGTATCCTACAGTCTTGCTGAACTAACTTAATAGTTCTAGGAGTGTTCTTGTAGATTTCTTGAGACTTTGTTAAGAATTTTATCTAGTGTCATGAGGGCTATTGGTCTGTAGTTTTCATTTTTGTGGTATTCCAGTTTTGGTATCAAAGTAATACTAGTTTCATAAAATGACTTGGGAATGTGCCCTCCTATTTTCTGGAAGAGTTTGCATAAAATTGCTGTTAATTCTGCTTTAAAAATTTGGTAGAATTTTCCAGTGAAACCATCTGGACTTGTAGATTTTTGGGGGAGTTATTAAATTATAAATTCAATTTTCTTAAAGAAAAATCTCAACTGAATTTTCATTCAATAGTTCAGTTTGTTGTTGTTGTTGTTGTTGTTTTTCCCCCCCTTGGGACTTATCTTTGAGTCATGGATTATTCAGAAGAGTATTGTTTAGTTTCTGAGTGTTTAGAAAATTTTCTGTTATCTTTCTGTTGCTGATTTCTAGTTTGCTTTCATTGTGATTAGAGAAAATACTATGTATGATTTCAGTTCTTTCAAATTCGAGGTTTGTTTTACGGTTCAAGGCACAGTCTATCTTGGTATATGTTCTGTGTTTGCTTGAAAAGTTACTTTAAGTTCTAGGGTACATGTGCACAACGTTCAGGTTTGTTACATATGTATACATGTGCCATGTTGATGTGCTGCACCCATTAACTCGTCATTTACATTAGGTATATCTCCTAATGCTATCCCTCTGCCGTCCCCCTACCCCACAACAGGCCCCAGTGTGTGATATTCCCCTTCCTGTTCCAAGTGTTCTCATTGTTCAATTCCCACCTATGAGTGAGAACATGCGGTGTTTGGTTTTCTGTCCTTGTGATAGTTTGCTGAGAATGATGGTTTCCAGCTTCATCCATGTCCCTACAAAGGACGCGAACTCATCCTTTTTATGGCTGCATAGTATTCCATGGTGTATATGTGCCACATTTTCTTAATCCAGTCTATCATTGATGGACATTTGGGTTGGTTCCAAGTCTTTGCTATTGTGAATAAACATACGTGTGCATGTGTCTTTATAACACCGTGATTTATAATCCTTTGGGTATATACCCAGTAATGGGATGGCTGGATCAAATGGTATTTCTAGTTCTAGATCCTTGAGGAATAGCCACACTGTCTTCCACAATGGTTGAACTAGTTTACAGTCCCACCGACAGTGTGAAAGTGTTCCTGTTTCTCCACATTCTTTCCAGCACCTGTTGTTTCCTGACTTTTTAATGATCACCATTCTAACTGGTGTGAGATGGTATCTCATTGTGGTTTTGATTAGCATTTCTCTGATGGCTGGTGATGATCTATTTTGCTTTTTCTGGGTGTTGTGTTCTATAAAGTCTGTTGTGATGGTGTTGTTCAGTTCTTCTATATCCTTGCTGATTCTTGGTCTAGTCCTATTAATTGTTGAGAGAAGGGTATTGACATCTTCAGTTCTGTGGCCTATACTGACACTATGAGGGGGTGGCTTGCTGAACAGTGGGGAAAATCCTGACTCCATCAGGCTTCCACTGACACACTCCCATCAGAGAAAGGCAGGGACACTGTATTTCTCCTTGGTGGAGGTGAGGTGCAGGCTCCCTGCCTAGTCTCCACTGACACTGCAGGGGAGTAGGCCTCTCTACAGCTCAGTGGGGATGAAAGTCCTGACTCCCCACTCAGTCTTCTCAGTTGCCACCCTGCTGGGGAATTTGGGGTACCTCTTGCAGCCTGGTGAGGGTAGAAGTCTTGATTCTCCACTCTGCCTTTGCTGGTGTGGGTGGGGCTGCAGATTTTTCTGTGTGGTATTTGGCTGGAGTAGGAGGGTTACTGTCTGAAACTTTTCTGTCCTCTTGGCTTATTGACTAGAGGGCAGGCTCCTGTTGGGGCTTTTTGTCTGTGCCCATTGGCATTTCCAGGTTCTGGCTCTCCACATCCAGTCTGAGGTAAATGAGACAACAGATAATGTGCTGTATGTTTTATATGTAATATCAAGGGTTTTTAGGTATACTTAGTAGGAAGAATAGGGATAAATACATCTTCTCCATCTTCCCAGAAGCAGACATCCATTACCATTGGTTTTTGAACTGGGACTTATGTTACCTGTTCTTCTGGAGCTACCTTCCATTTTTTATAAAACCACCCTAAAAATTATCATACTGTTTAAGGATTGAACTCATTTAGTCCTATTTCTTTTTCCTTCTCTTCTCTTCCTTCTTACTAGCTATACATTTTCCCTTGCTTATCACCCAGCCTCCTTTTCTTGCTGGTGCCGATATTATACCAAAGACATGAAATTATTCCATAAACACCATTTAGGAAAGTGTATTAGTCCATTCTCACACTGCTATGAAGAAATATCCGAGACTGGGTAATTTATAAAGAAAAGAGGTTTAGTTGACTCACAGTTCCACATGGCTGGGGAGGCCTCAGGAAACTTAAAATCAAGGCAGAAGGCACCTCTTTACAGGGTGGCAGGAGAGAGAATGAAGCCAAGTGAAAGGGGAAGCCCTTCATAAAACCATCAGCTCTCATGAGAACTCACTATCACAAGAGCAGCATGGGGGAAACTGCCCCCATGATTCAGTTATTTCCACCTGGTCCTGCCCTTGACATGTGGGGGATTATTACAATTCAAGGTGAGATTTGGGTGGGAGCACAGAGCCAACCATATCAGAGAGATTTCATACTTCCTGAATTATCAGTTTATTAATGATTCTGAAACAGGAAATTCCCCTTGACCCCTTTGTGGGCTTTGAGACGGGTGCTTCACTTACTCATCCTGTAGCTCTCAACCCCTCGCGGGAGGGTGAGCATGCAGGTGAGCGGGTGCAGGAGCCAGAGTGAGTCGCTTTTGGGCTCTGGCAGGAGCAAAACTCTGTATGGGCCCCATGGCAGCATCTAGTGGGGAGTACCCATGACTCCTGAAGCCCCATTGAGCATGTTACAGTGCTCTTTTAGCTCTGTCATCAGCAGACGGCTTAAGTGTTAACAGCTCAGTGGGCCCTTTTGTATCTGCACTCACTCCTGAGCTCTCATCTGGTGTCCAGGAAAAATGAGGTCACACAAATGAATTGAAGGATGATAAATGCAGGGGATTTTGTTGCCAGTGAAAGTGGCTCTCGGCAGGAAGGGGAGCTGACAGGGGGACTGGGGCAGTGAAGGTAATGTTCTCCAGAAGTCCAGCCGTCTCTGGCTGGATTCTTCTTTGAAGTTACGCTGTCAAGCTGTCCCTCTGAAGTAAAGCCGCTTCTCTCTGACATCCAGCTGCTTCTTCCTCTATGCTGGCTGAGTCTGGGGTCTTTATAGGCACAGGATGGGGCAGGGCAGGGCAGGGCCATGGGTGGTTTAGGAAAAGGCAACATTTGAATGGGAAAATAGGGATATAAGTTCTCACTTTGGGCCGTGGTCTCAGGCTTTCTGGCTTGCGGGTGGGGCTTCTCCAGGGACCCCACCCTTTTCTGCCTAGAATTCCTCTGCCTCCTGTCCCTATCCATTCTTTCACTTACAGGATTGTATGTCACCTAAGTTAGATGTGTGACATAGACAAGCGTTTCTTTTTTTTTTTTTTTTTTTTTTTGAGACGGAGTCTTGTTCTGTTGCCCAGGCTGGAGTGCAGTGGCATGATCTCAGCTCACTGCAACATCTGCCTCCCAGGTTCAAGCAGTTCTTCTTTCTCAGCCTCCTGAGTAGCTGAGACTCTAGGCGTGTGCCACCACACCTAGCTAATTTTTTTATTTTTATTAGAGATGCGGTTTCACCATGTTGTCCAGGCTGGTTTCAAACTCCTCAGGTGATCCACCCGCCTCGGCCTCCCAAAGTGCTGGGATTACAGGTGTGAGCCACCATGCCTGGCCAATAAGTGTTTCTTAAAGTCTCTTCTGTGGAATGTCTACATCAGAATCAGCTGATGCATATTCAAATGTATATTCTCGGGGACCACAGACATACTAAATCAGAATATCTGGGGGTGGAGCCTAGAAATCTGTATTTTTAATGAAACACCTTAAGTGCCTCTTACTACGTGTAGTAAGAACCATCATTACATGAGAACCATCAATAAGTGCTTACTGGAAAATAATAACAGGATGTGATAGTGCTTATAAAAACCAACAACCAACTCCAGAAGTTCAGAAACTTGTAAAGGTATGCTGCTTTATATATTGTTAATGACAATGATGGGGAAAGCCATTTTGAATTATTGGTATAATTTTGAACCTAAAATATACAGTTGTATCTTTAATAATTTTTTCACCATGAGAGGATGTTTAATCTACTTTAAATTCACTCTAGCAGTAGGTACTTTGTTTAGATTTTAGTATAGTCTACTGTATAACTTGATATTTCTATATGAATATCTCTTTGTTTTATTTACAGGTATTAGGGGAATATTCCTACCTCTTAGATAAGGAAACGCCAGAGGAAGTTATAGCTAAGCTCTACAAGTTACTTATGAATGACTCTGTGTCTTCAGAAACAAAAGCCTGGTTAATTGCTGCTGTGACCAAATTGACATCTCAGGCGCACTCTTCTAATACAGTTGAGAGATTAATCCATGAATTTACCATATCTTTGGATACTTGTATGAGACAACATGCATTTGAATTAAAACATTTGCATGAGAATGTGGAACTTATGAAGAGCTTGCTTCCAGTTGACAGGAGTTGTGAAGACTTGGTGGTAAGACATTGGTGTTCCATCTTTTTAAAAATTGCGTTGTCATTAAACAGAGTAATTCTTGCATTTGTGACATATCAGGAATATATCAAAATGTGGTTTCTGTAGCATTTAAGGTGAATGTTGGAGTTCCTTTTCACATTAGTATGACAGGGAATCTGAAAGCTCCCAGCACTTTGGGAGGCTGAGGTGGGTGGATCACCTGAGGTTGGGAGTTTGAGACCAGCCTGACCAACGTGGAGAAACCCCATCTCTACTAAAAGTGCAAAATTAGCTGGGCATGGTGGTACATGCCTGTAATCCCAGCTACTTGGGAGACTGAGACAGGAGAATTGCTTGAACCTGGGAGGCAGAGGTTGCAGTGAGCTGAGATTGCACCATTGCACTCCAGCCTGGGCAACAAGAATGAAACTCTGTCTCAAAAAAAAAAAAAAGATTCAATCTAAAAAGATCTTCACCAAAGCACATTATAGTCAGACTGACAAAAGTCAAATTACAAAGAGAGAATTCTAAAAACAGCAAGAGAAAAGTATCAAGTCACACATATAAGAGTATTCCTATCAGACAAATAGTGGATTTCTTAGCAGAAACCTTATTTTATAGGCAAGGAGAAAATGGGAAGATATACTCAAAGTGCTGGAAAAAAAACCCCCAAAACTGCCAGACGAGTAAGTATACTATACACAGCATAAAGGAGAAATAAAGTCTTTCCCAGACAGGTGAAACTGAGATAATTCATCCCCACTAGACCAACCCTAAAAGAAATGTTTGAGGGAGTCTTACATCTGGGAGTGAAAAGATATCTACCAACGTGAAAACACATGAAAGTATAAAACTCACTGGTAAGGCAGATACACAAATGAGAAACAGAAAGGAATCAAATATTATCATCACACACACAAAATCCATCCAGCTAAACAATGAAAAAGGAAGAAAGGAAAAAATGTATAAAACAATCAACAAAATGACAGTAGTAAGTCCTCAACTATCCATAACAACCTTTAATGAAAACAGTTTAAATTCCTCAATTAAAATATATAGGCTGGCTGAATAGATAACAAAATAAGATCCAGCTATATGCTGCCTATAAGAAACTCACTCACCTGTAAAGACACACAGACTGAAAGTGAAGGGATAAATAAAAATAACCATGCAAACAGAAACCAAAAGCATGCAAGAGTAGCTAATGTTATATCAGACAAAATGGACTTGGAAAAAAAATATAAAGGAGACAAGAAATGTTATTATATAATGATGAAGGGATCAGTTTACCAAGGGCATATAACATTTGTAAATACATATGCACCCAACACTGAAGCAAATATATATAAAGCAAATATTATTAAAGCTCAAGAGAGAGGTAGAACCCCATACAGTCATAGTTGGAAACCTTGACACATCACTTTCGGAATAAGACAGATCATCTAGACCGAAAATCAACAAAGAAGCATCAAACTTAATTTTCAGTCTAGACCAAATGGACCTAACAGATATTTACAGAACATTTTATTCAACAGCTGCAGAATACACATTCTTCTCATCAACACATGGAACATTCTCCAGGACAGACCATATGTTAGGCCACAAAAAAGTCTCAACAAATTTGAAAAAATTAAAATCATAGCAAGTACCTTCTCAGGCTGCATGTGATAAAACTAGAAATTAATAATAAAAGGTACTTTGGAAACTGAACAAATAATATGAAAATCAAAACAGCATATTTCTGAGTGATGATTAGGTCAGTGAAGAAATTAAGAAGAAAATGAAAAAATTTCTTGAATCTAATAAAAATGGAAATTCAGACACAACTTACCAAAACCTATGTAATATGGCAAAAACAGTGCTAAGAGGGAAGTTTATAGCAATAAGCACATACATCAGAAAAGTAGAAGGATTTCAAACAAACAACCTTATGATGCACCTCAAGCGACTAGAAAGGAAGAACAAACCAAACTCAACATTAGTAGAAGGAAATAAATAGTAAAGATCAGACCAGAAATAAACAAAATGGAGACGTAAAAAAGATACAAAAAAAAAAGAGACAAAAAGTTGGTTATTTTGAACAATAAACAAAATTGATAAACTGCTAGCTACACTAATCAAGAAAGAGAGAAGATTCAAATAAGTAAAACCAGAAACAAAAAAGTAGACATTATAATGGCTACCATAGAAATATAAATGATTATTAGAGACAATTATAAACAACTGTACACTAACAAACTGGAAAACCTGATGGAAACGAATAAATTCCTGGACACATCTACCAAGATTGCACAAGGAAGAAATAGAAAACCTGAATGAATAATGACATTGAATCAGTAATAGTAAGTCTCCCAACAGAGAAAAGCTTACAAGATGGCTTTACAAATGAATTCTGGCAAATTTATAAAGAAGAACTAGCACCAACTCTTCTTAAACTAGTCCAAAAAAATCGAAGAGGAGGACATTCTTCCTAACTCATTTTATATGGCCAGCATTACCCTGATACCAAAACTAGACAAGGACACAACAACAATAACAAACTACAAGCCAGTATCCCAGATGAACATAGATGCAAAAATTCTCAACAGAATACTAGAAAACTGAATCCAATAACACACCAAAAAGATAATACACTATGATCAAGTGGAATTTTCCCAGAAATGCAAGGATGGTTGAACATACAAAAATCAATAAATGTGATACTTCACATTAACGGAATAAAGGACAAAAACCATATGATCATCTCAATAGATGCAGAGAATTCATTTGGTAGAATCCAACATCCCATCATGATAAAAACTCACAAGAAAAAGCATAGAAAAAAAATACTCAACGTCATAAAGCCCATATATGACAAACCCAAAGCCAATATTGCAATGAATAAGAAAAAACTGAAGGCACTTCCTCTAAGAATTGGAAAAAGGCAAGGATGCCCACTTTCATCACTCCTATTCAACATAGTACTGGAAGTCCTAGCTAGAGCAATCGGGCAAAAGAAAGAAATAAAGGGATCTAAACTGGAAAAGAGGAAGTCAAATTGTCCCTTTTTGCAGATGACATGATCTTATATATAGAAAAACCTAAAGACTTGAACAAAAAGTTCTTAGAACCAATAAAAGAATTCAGTAAAGATCCAGGATACAAAAATCAACATACAAAAATCAGTAGCATTTCTGTACACCAAGCCAGAAAAAAAAAATCAAGAAAGTAATGCCATTTACAACAGCTACAAAATAAATAAATAAATACAATACAATACAATACAATACTTGGAATAAATTTAACCAGGGAGGTGGAAGACCTCTACAAGGAAAACTTCAAAAGGCTGATAAAAGAAACTGAAGAGGATACAAACAAATGGAAATAAATCCCATGCTCATGGATCACATGAATATTGTTAAAATGCCCATACTACTCAAACCAATCTACAGATTCAATGTACTATCAAAATACCAATGACAGTCTTCACAGAAATAGAAAAAACAACCCTAAAATTTGTAGAGAACCATGAGACTCTGAATAGCCAATACAATACTAAGCAAAAAGAACAAAGCTGGAGGCATCACACTACCCAATTTCAAAATATACTACAAAGCTGTAGTAACCAAAACAACATGGTATTGGTATAAAGAAAGACATACACACCAATGGAACAGAGGGAACCCAGAAAAACCGTGTATTTACGACTAACTGATTTTCGGTCAAAGTGCCAAGAATATATATTGGGGAAATGACACCCTCTTCAATAAATAGTGTTGAAAAGCCTTGATATCAGCATGCAGAATAATGAAACGAGATCCCTATCTCTCACCATATAAAAAAATCAACCCACAATGAATTAAAGAATTTAATGTAAGATCCAAAACTATAAAACTACTAGAAGAAAACTTAGAGGAAATGCTTTAGGACATTGGTCGAGGCAAAGATTTATGGCTAAGACTTCAAAAGCACAGGCAAAAAAGACAAAAATGACAAATGGGACTGTATTAAGGTCAAAAGCTTATGCACAGCAAACGATACAATCAATAGAGTGAAGAAACAATCTGTAGACTGGGGAAAAATATTTACAAACAAGGGACTAATATCCAGAATATATAAGGAACTCAATTCAACAGCAAAAAAAAAAAAAAAAAAAAAAAAAAATCCCATTTAAAGGTGGGCAAAGGTCATCAACAGACATTTCTTAAAAGAAGATACACAAATGGCCAACAGGTAAACAAAAAAATGCTCAACATTGCTAATCATCCGGGAGATGTAAATCAAAACCACCATGAGATATTATTTCAGTTACAATGGCTGTTATCAAGGAGACAAAAAATAACAAATGTTGCCAAGGATGCAGAAAAAAGGAAACTCATGCACTGTTAGTAGGAATGTAAATTAAGATAGCCATTATAGAAAACAGCACAGAGAGTTTTCAAAAAACCAAAAATTGTTTCAAAAAAAACAACCCAGCAATCCCACCTCTGGGTATTTATCCAATGGAAAGGAAATCATTATTTCAAAGGTATACCTGCACCCCCATGTTCACTGCAGTACTATTCACAATAGCCAAAATGTGGAATCAACCTAAGTGTCCACCAGTGGACACATGGATAAGGAAAATGTGGTATGTATACACAATGGAATACTATTCAGCCAAATAATATCCCAGCAACATAGATGGGACTTATTTCACTATGAAGTAAAATAAGCATGGCACAGAAAGTCAAATATTACATGTTCTTATGCATATGTGGAAGTTAAAAATGTGCATCTTATGGAGGTAGAGAATAAAGAAGCTGGGAAGGGTCGGGGGGCAGGGAAGAAGAATTGTTGGTTAATGGTTAGTAACATACCTAGATAAGAGGAGTAAGTTCTAGTGTTTGATGGCACAGTAGGGTGACTATAGTTAGTAATAATTGTATAGTATTTGTATATTTCAAAATAAAGAGAAGATTTGAAATGTTCCCAACACAAATGATAAATGTTAGAGGTGATGGATATCCTAAGTACTCTGATTTACGTATTACACATTCTATGCATGTATCAAAGAATCGTATGTACGCCAGATATGTATGTCTTTTAAAATCAACAAATAAGAGAAATTCCTCAATTATTCTGTATTAAAAGAGACTGTCACAGGATATAAATATCTTCACTGCAGTTTTCCAGAAGAGACACTCTTATTCCTATTTAGAATCAGTACTGGATTACAGGCGTGAGCCACCACTCCTGGCCAGGTTGAATCTCTTTGAGGCGCTTTGAGCTTCCTGCATATGGATGTCTGTATCTCTTGCAAGACTTGGGAAGTTTTTAGCTATTATTTTTCAATTAGGTTTTCTGTGCCTTCACCCATTTTGTCTTTAAACTCTCAAAATTCAAATATTTGTTTGCTTTATGTTGTCTCATATGTCATGTATGCTTTCTTTGTTTTATTTATTTATTTTTGTCTGGTTTATTTCAAAGACATGTCTTCAAATTTGGAGTCTCAGTCTATTGTTGAAGCTCTTGGTTATACTTTTTATTTCATTCATTGAATTCTTCAGTTCTATGAGTTCTGTTTGTTTCTTATTTATGATGTCTACCTCTGTTGAATTTCTCATTCAGATCATGAATTGTTTTCTTGATTTATTTTTGTTTTGTTTATCTGTGTTCTCTTGTATCTTTTGAGTTTCCTTAAGATCATTATTTTGATTTTTTTTTCAAGCATTTTATATATTTCCTTTTTTTGGGATCTGTCACTGGAGAGTTATTGTGTTCCTTTGGAGGTTTTGTTTCTTTGCTTTTTTATTTTTCTTGTGTCCTCACATTGACATATGTGTATCTGGTATCATAGCAGTTGGTTCTAAGTTTATAGATTCCTTTTAGTAGGGAAAGACCTCTCCCTGTAGATGTATCTGTGGTGTTGGTTAATAAGGTGCTTGGGCTTTGATTCTGGATGGGCACAGTAGTATATTTTCCAGATGATTTCTTCAACTGTAATCATAATCAGTGATGTCTGTGAGTTCCTCAGTGGTGATATGGTTTGGATCTCCCGCCCAAATCTCAAGTTGAATTGTAATCCCCAGCGTTGGAGGTAGGGCCTGGTGGGAGTTGTTTGGGTTATGAAGGCAGATACCTCATGGCTTGGTGCTGTCCTCGTGATAGAGAGTGAGTTCTTGAGAGATCTGGTTATTGTAAAGTATAACACCTCCCCCTACCACACACACACACACACACACACACACACACACACACTGGACTTTCCCTTTCGCTCCTGCTTTCGCCATGTGATGTGCTTGCTTCTGCTTTACCTTCCTCCATAAGTAAAAGCTTCTGAGGCCTTACAAGAGCTGAACAGATGCCGGTATCATGCTTCTTGTACAGCCTGCAGATCCGCGAGTCAATGAAACCTATTTTTTTTTTCTTATAAATTACCCAGTCTCAAGTGTTTCTTTATAGCAGTGCAAGAACGGACTAATAGAATGGCTTAGGCTGTGGTTGTTAGTGGAGGCTGTAGAAAGGCTTTGCTGAGGATAGAACATTAGGTGAGTTGATCCTTGTGCACCACTGGTAGCAATGGTTGGCTGGGCATAATGGTTGTCAGATCCCTGGGCAGTGTGTATGGGTCCTGGCAGTGGCAGGATTGGGTGTGCCAGTCCTTGGGCCTCCAAAGATGGCATGTGCACATGCTGGTGGTGGCAGCAGTGGGGTGCACACAAATTGATTTTTAGTAGCGATTCATGAATCGGGCAATATCTCATTAGTATTATTCCACATTTTCTCCTTGATTTGTGTTAGCTTACTGGTTTATTATAAACTATATTGCAGAGGATACAGAGGAAGGAGATGCATAGGACAAGCTATGGAGGAAGGTTTTCGGAGCTTTTATACTCTCCGTGGCCATACCACTTTTCAGGAACCTCCACGTTTGGCTATCTTCTTTTAATCTTCTTTGAAATTCTGTGTCATTTTATTCCTCCTCTATTTGAGAATCCAAAAAAGTGGTTTTCCCTTTTATTTTGTCAATCTACTTGTTAAAGTCTTCACCATTTTGGAGCTTGATCATCCACCTTTTAGTTTCACACCTACTTTTTGCCACCACCCCTTTTAACCCAAAGTTCTCACTTAATACTCACTCTCTTTATTTCATATCATGATCTCCCTCAGGTGTAAATTAGAAAACTTTCTTTTTTTTTTTGAGACGGAGTCTCGCTCTGCCACCCAGGCTGGAGTGTAGTGGCATGATCTTGGCTGACTGTAACCTCTGCCTCCCGGGTTCAAGTGATTCTTCTGCCTCAGCTTCCTGAGTAGCTGGGACTACAGGTGCGCGCCACCACGCCTGGCTAATTTTTTCTGTAATTTTAGTATAGACAGGGTGTCACCATATTGGCCAGGCTGGTCTCAAACTCCTGACCTAGTGATCCACCCACCTTGGCCTCCCAAAGTGCTGGGATTACAGATGTGAGCCACCGCACCTGGTCTAGAAAACTTTCAAAGGTAATTAGAATTATTCATATTAGCTGAGAAAGAGAAAATAAAGGTTATTATTTCCACTAATTTTGACTCAGATTTTCATGGCTTGTATTCATTTTGAACATTTCTTCATTAGTTCTTTCAGTAGTTCCTCAAGGGCAGAGGCCTTGTTTTAGTATTTGGTGGGCATTCCAGAGATGTTTATTGAAATGATGAATGAATATGCTACACACAGTATTATATTAGGGAGTAACTACACTTCCGTTTTCCTCCAATAAAAAATAATGATGTTGACATAGCCTCAGCCTCATCTCAAGAATCTTTTTTTTTTTTTTTTTTTTTTGAGATGAAGTTTCACTCTTGTCACCCAGGCTGGAGTGCAATGGTACGATCTCGGCTCACTGCAACTTCCTCCTCCCAGGTTTCAAGTGATTCTCCTGTCTCAGCCTCCCGAGTAGCTGGGATTACAGGCACCCACCACCATGCCTGGCCCATTTTTGTATTTTAGTAGAGACGAGGTTTCACCATGTTGGTCAGGCTGGTCTCGAACTCCTGACCTCAGGTGATCCACCCGCCTCGGCCTCCCAGAGTGCTGGGATTACAGGCGTGAGCCACCACGCGTGGCCTAAGAATCTTATTTAAGTGAAACCTTTCCAGATTCAGAGAGTGAGGTGCCATTTTTATGTTTGATAATTATTTGCTATTCTAAATTATCTGAGCTATTTGTATATACTTGCTAAATCAGGAGAGGCAAGTCTTTGGTTTCTGAGGTCATCACTGCTCTCTCCACTTGTTTATCTATCATTTTTGTTCATCTCCTTCTTTTCTCCTTTCCCTGTCATTCTTTCTTCATCTCTTATCATTTATTCATTAAAAATTATTCTCCTAACGCTTTTCCTGGTGAAATTAAGTAATTTTCCATAGATTTGTGAAAAAGCATTTTCAGTTTATATTAGGATAGTTAAATCAAAGGCACTGTGGGAGGCTGAATAATGGCCCTTGCAGAGATGTCCATGACTTAATCTCTGGAATTTGTGCTTGTTACCTTAAACATTGAAGGGAACTTGGTAGATGTGATGAAATTAAATATTTTGTGATGGGGCAGTTATCCTAGATTATGTAGCTAGGCATGATATAATCACAAGGATCCTTACAAAAGTGAAGCAAGAGGTTAGAGAGGAGAAGGCGAAGTAACAACAAAAGCAGAGATTGGAATGATAGGGCCACAAATCAAGGAATGTTGGCAGTCTCTAAAAGCTGAAAGAAACAAGAAACAGATTCCCCTGGTACATCCAGAAGGAAGCAGCCCTGCCAAAGCCTTGATTTTAGCCCCCTGCAGCAGGAAACCAATACAGTTACCATATCTTGTAGTATATATGTCTGTTTCTTCTGGTGGGTTACAGTTCTGCTCAGGGTAGGAGCTGTGTCTTCCTTTGTCTCAATTATAGAACCTAACAGGATGCCGTAACATATTTGATGCTCAAAAATATATTCTCCACTGCAGTGAAATTAATAGTAAGTGCAAATGATTTATATTGTTAGATTCTTAGGCAGGTGATCTGATTATAGATGTTTCAGAAAGCTAGAGAGTTGGGTAGCATTTTCATTCATTCATTTTTTGAGACAGAATCTTGTTCTGTTGCCCAGGCTGAAGTACAGTGGCACAGTCTCGGCTCACTGCAACCTCTGCCTTCTGGGTTCAAGCAGTTCTGCTGCAGTCTCCCGGGTGGTGGCTGTGCTGGGACTACAGCTGCGTGACACCATGCCAAGCTAATTTTTTTGTATTTTTAGTAGAGATGGGGTTTTGCCATGTTGGCGAGGCTGGTCTCAAACTCCTGGCCTCAAGTGATCCGCCCATTTCAGCCTTCCAAAGTTCTGGGATTACAGTCATGAGCCACCATGCCTGGCTGTGGTAGCATTTTTAGAACTGAAGTTTTCATTTCTCATTTAGAATTTTAAAAAATATATATGGGCTGAAATTATTTATGTGACTATATAATCTACTTAGGATAAATTTATTTAATTCCTAATTTTTGCTTAATTTTAATATAGGTAGATGCTTCTTTATCTTTTCTGGATGGTTTTGTGGCTGAAGGACTCAGTCAGGGTGCAGCGCCTTACAAACCTCCCCATCAACGCCAGGAGGAAAAGCTTTCTCAGGAAAAAGGTAATTTTTCATGGATTTATGATAAGCTAGAGTGTAGGGATGTAATTTTTGATATTATAGTCATGTAAGTAAATAAATAAAGATATTTACTTTCTATTATTTCTCTTTAATGATTCACTTGTGATTTGTTTGCCGTGACTAGGTTTTCAGATATCCAGAGGAAAAAAAAAAGTTAGCCAAGAGATATTGCTAAAGACATAGGCTCTCTATCCACAAATACCTAAGATATGGTAGTCATACTGGAATTTATTTATTTATTTATTTTTTGAGACAAGAGTCTTGCTCTGTCACCCAGGCTGCTGTGCAGTGGCACGATCTGGGCTTACTGCAACCTCTGCCTCCCAGGCTCAAGTGGTTCTTGTGCCTCAGCCTCCCAAGTAGCTGGATTTACAGGTGGGTGCCACCACACCCAGCTAAATTTTGTATTTTTAGTAGAGATGGGGTTTCAAACTTGGCCAGGCTGGTTTCAAACTTCGGCCTCAAGTGATCTTTGACCTCCCAAAGTGCTAGGATTACAGGCGTGAGCCACTGCGACTGGCCATTATACTGAAATTTTGAGGAACTTTTTTTTTTTGATAATATATTTATTAACATAATGATCTTTATGGGAAACTTTTTTTTCTTCTTCTTTTTTTTTAATTTACACTTTTAAGTTCAGGGGTACAAGTGCAGGTTTGTTACATAGGTAAACTTGTATCATGGGAGTTTATTGTACAGCTTATTTCATCACCCAGGTATTAAGCCTAGTACCCATTAGTTTTCCTGATCCTCACCCTCCTCTCACCCTCCACCCTCTGAAAGGCCCCAGCATGTATTGTTTCCCTCTATGTGTCCATGTGTTTTCATCATTTAGCTCCCACTTTTAAGCGAGAACATGCGGTATTTGGCTTTCTGTTCCTGCATTAATTTGCTAAGGATGGCCTCCAGCTCCATCCAGGTCCCTGCAAAAGACATGATCTCATTCTTTTTTATGGCTACATGAAAGAACTTGAAGGTGGGAGTATCATGTTGTTCACTGTGCTGGTAGGTTGACACATATTAGTCTGAGCATATCTGTGGAAAAGTTTCAGAAAACAACCCTGGTTACTATGGACTAGTGAGCTTCATTTTTATTTTGAGCAGTCTTTATTTTTAAATTTTCTTAATTGACAAATAATTATACATATTCATGGGGAATATAGTGATGTTTCAATCCTTGTATAGTGTTTAGATCATAGTAATTAGCATATCCATCATCTCAAACATGTATCATTTCTTTGTGTTGGGAACATTCAATATCTTTCTTTTTTTTTTTTTTTTTAGACAGAGTCTGGCTCTGTCACCCAGGCTTGAGTGCAGTGGCGTGATCTCGGCTCACTGCAAGCTCTGCCTCCTGGGTTCATGCCATTCTCCTGCCTCAGCCTCCCGAGTAGCTGGGACTACAAGCGCCGGCCACCACGCCCAGCTAATTTTTTTGTATTTTTAGTAGAGACAGGGTTTCACCATGTTAGCCAGGATGGTCTCGATCTCCTGACCTCGTGATCTGCCCGCCTTGGCCTCCCAAAGTGCTGGGACTACCGGCGTGAGCCACCATGCCCGGCCACATTCAATATCTTTCTTCTAGTTTTTGAGACTATGTGATACTTTATTATTAAACCATAGTAATTCTATAGTGGTCTAGAACTTATTTCTTCTATCTAGCTGTAATTTTTTATCCTTTACCCTATTCTTCCCTTACCCCTACCTTTCCTAGCGCCTAGTATCCTCTATTCTAATTTTTACTTCTATGAGATCAGTTTTCTTTAGCTTCCACATATGAGAGAGAACATGTGGTGTTTAACTTTCTGTTCCTGACTTATTTCACTTAATATAATGTCCTTTGGTTTCATCCATGTTGCCATGAATGACAGGATTTCATTTGTTTTTATGGCTGAATAGTATTTCACTTTGTATATAATACCACATCATTTTCTTTATCCATTCATCTGTTGTTGGACACCTAGGCTGATTCCATATTAGATTGATTCCATATCTTGGCTACTTTGAATAGTGCTCTGCAGTAAACATTGAAGTGCTAGATAATTCGTTCAATACTGAAAGTGCAGTTTTTTGAAGCCCCCAACTATTACTGAATCAGGTTCTTTCTCCCTTTGGGTCTAATATTTGCTTTATATATTTGGATGCTCTGGTGTTGGGTACATATATATTTATAATTGTTATATTCTTTTTATGAATTGATCCCTTTATTGTACAGTGTCTTTCTTTGTCTCCTTTTACAGCTTTTAACTTAAAATCTGTTTTGTTTGTTATTAGTATAGTGACTTCTGCTTACTTTTGGTTTCTATTTGTCTGGAACGTCTTTTTCCAACCCCCCACTTTCAGTCTGTGTGTCTTTAGAGGTGAGGTGAGTTTCTTGTAGGCAGTGTATTGTTGAGTCTTGTTTTTTGAAAATCCAGGCAGTGATTCTGTATCTTTTAAGTGGGGGAATTTGATCCATTTACATTCAAGGTTATTATTGATGGGCGAGGATTTGCTGCTATCATTTTATTGATTGTTTTCTGGGTATTTTACATATGCTTTGTTCCTTACTTCCTCTCTTATTGTTTATTTTTGTAGTTGGGTGCTTTTCTTCAGTGATAAGGTTTGATTCCTTTCTTTTTCTCATTTGTGTTTCAGCACTACCAGTGAGTTTTATAGTTTTGAATGTTTTCATAATGGTAGTTATTGTCTTTTCACTTCCAGACTCCCTGGAGCATTTCATGTAAGGGTGGTCTACTGGTGATGAAGTTCTTGATTTTGGTTGTCTGTGAAAGATCTTATTTCCCCTTTATTTCTGAAGGATAGCTTTGCTGGATATGATATTCATGCTGTTTTTTCTTTTTCTTTTTTCTTTTAGTACTTTGAATATATCATCCCATTTTCTCCTGGCCTCTAAGGTTTCTGCTGAGAAATCCAGCTGTTAGCCTAATGGGGATTCCCTTATATGTGACTTGATGCTTTTCTCTTGCTGCTTTCAAAATTCTTTGTCTTTGACTTTTGACAGTTTGACTAAAATGTGCCACAAAAAGGACCTGCTTGGGGTTGAATCTGTTTGGGGTTCTTTGAGCTTCCTGGACTAGGATGTTCTGTCTTCCAAGACTTGGAAAGTTTCCTGCTATTATTTCATTAATTATTTTCTTCATATCTTCCCTTCTCTTCTCCTTCTGAAATGCCCATAATACAAACATTTATTTGCTTAATGGTGTCCCACAAATCCTGTAGGCTTTCTTCATTTTTTTAAAAATTATTTTTTCTTTTTTTTTGTCTTCCTGTGTTATTTCAAAAGACCTGTCTTCAACTTTAGAAATTATTTCTTCTGCTTTCTAATGTGTTGTTGAAGCTCTTATGTGTATATTTTATTTCATTTATTGAATTCTTCAGCTCTAGGATTTCTGTTTGGTTCTTTTTTATGATATCTGTTTCTTTGTTGAATTTCTTGTTCAAATAATGTATCATTTTCCTGATTTCATTGAATTGTCTGTCTGTATTCTCTTGTATCTCACTGAGTTTCCTTAATATTGTTATTTTGAATTCCTTTTCTGGAATTTCATACATTTCCTTATGATTAGGGGTCTGTTACTAGAAATTTATTATTTTCCTTTGGTAGTGACATGTTTCTTTTTTCATGGTTGATTTGTTCCTATGTTGATTTGTATGAATCTGGTGGAAAAGTTGGCTCTTTCAATTTTATGTAGTGCAGTTTAAAGGGAAAGACTTATTTGTATAAATGGGTCTTATTTGTATAAATGTTCAGTAGGGTACTAAGGCCTTGGTGGTGGACGTGTAGTATAGTCTTCATGTAGTTTCTTTCTTTCTTTCTTTCTTTTTTCTTTTGAGAAGGAGTCTCGCTCTGTCATCCAGGCTGGAGTGCGGTGGCATGATCTTGGCTCACTGCAACCTCTGTCTCCCAGGTTCAAGCAATTCTCCCATCTCAGCCTCCCAAGTAGCTGGGACTACAGGCACACACCACCACGCCTGGCTAATTTTTGTATTTTTAGTAGAGACGGGGTTTCACCATGTTGGTCAGGCTGGTCTCAAACTCCTGACCTCAGGTGATCCACCCACCTCAGCCTCCCAAAGTGCTGGGATTACAAGTGTGAGCCACAGTACCTGGCCATGTAGTTTCTTTAGCTGTAATCTACACTAGTGGTATTTGTGAGTTTCTCAGTGGCCCAGGCTGAGTTTGTGGTGATGGTGGTGTGGCTTCACCAAGGGTGGGTTTCCCAGCCTGTTTTCAAGTTTTGGATATGTGCATGTACACAGTGAGTCAGCCAACTTGGGTTCTGGCTTACTGAGGTTGGGGCCATGGAGCTGTTACTCTGGCTGGGAAGCATGGGCATGTAGTTGCCTAGCCAGCCTGAGGACATGTCTGCCAAGAGTAGCCTATGGGGCTGTTTCTTAGGCTCATGATGTGGGTGCAAGGCTGTTTGGCTGGCCTTGGGGATGGGGGGCATGTCTTCTGAGGGTAGCCCTATGGGGATGTTTCTCTCACACAGGACACAGCCACATGGCTCTGAGCAGTCTAATATTTCTCAAGTGTATTAGAATTCTTCGTTCAACAAAATATCTGATGATTTAAGTTAGAAACAGCTAATAAAGGAAAGAGTAACTTTGTACTTAAGAAATGCAGCCTGTTGGGAAAATACGTCTGTCATGATTTTGGTAAAGGGGAAATCATTGAGTTATTTGGATGGTAGAAGGGAAGTATGCATATGAATAAAGGGAGATCAGTGAATAAATATATTATCTGTTTATGAGTTCAGAATGTCAATACTGAAAAATTCAGTGCTGAAAGGTTTTTCTTTTTTTTCCTATTTGTCCTTTAATGATTTTGTTGAGTACTTATTTTCCAGGCTGTGTGCTAGGCATATTGAGTTAAGACAACAACTAAACTGTTGATCCTAGAATGAGACCAAAAAGTTATGAACATTATTAATAGGCCTGATGTTCTCTTTTTCCAGAAGCATTTGCTCTTTTTTGCCTTTTATCTTTTTAAATCTTTTTATTATTTTATTTTATTGTGGTTAAGAACCTTAACTGGAGGTCTCTCCTCTTAACAAATTTTTAAGTGTATAATACGTTATGATTGACTGTAGATACAATGTTGTACAGCAGATCTCTAGCACTTATTCATCTTGTTTAACTAAAACTTCATGCCCATTGATTGGTAAGTCCCCATTTCTCTCTCCCCTTAGCCTCTGGCAGCAACCAGTCCATTCCTCAATCCTATGAATTTGACCTTTTAGGTACCTCATAAAAGTGGACCCATGCAATATTTTTTTGTGCCTTACTTATTTCACTTAGCATAATATTCTTAAGTTTCATCTATGTTGTCGTATATTGCAGAATTTTCTTCGTTTTCAAAGTTTAATAGTATTCCATTGTATATGTATATGACATCATCTTTATCCATTCACCTACTGATGAACATTTAAGTTGTTTTCACGTCTTGGTTATTATGAATAGTGCTGCAGTGAACATGGGAATGCTAATATCTCTTTTGGATCCTGATTTCAATTATTTGGGATAAATACCCACCCGGAAGTGAGATTGTTGGAGCATATAGTAGTTGTATTTTTATTTATTTAGAGACAGAATCTTGCTCTGTCGCCTAGGCTGGAGTGCAGTGGTACGATCTCAGCTCACTGCAACCTCTGCCTCCTGGGTTCAAGTGATTCTCCTGCCTCAGCCTCCTGGGTAGCTGGGACTACAAGCATGAGTCACCACACCTGGCTAATTGTTGTATTTTTAGTAGAGACAGGGTTTTGCCATGTTGGCCAGGCTGGTCTCAAACTCCTGACTTCAAGTGATCCACCTGTCTTGGCTTCCCAAAGTGCTGGGATTACAGGTATGAGCCACTGTGCCCGGCCATTTTTTTTTTTTTTTTTTGAGACAGTGTCTCATTCTGTCACCTAGGCTGGAGTGCAGTAGAACGATCATAGTTCACTGTAGCCTTGAACTCCTGGGCTCAAGTGATCCTACTGCCTCAGCTTCCTGAGTATCTAGGATTCCAGGTGCATGCCATCATGCCTGGTTCATTTTTAATTTTTTGTAGAGACAGAGTCTCCCTAATGTTGCCCAGACTGGTCTCAAACTCTTGAGCTCAAGTGATCCTCCTACCTTGACGTTGCAAAGCACTGGGATTATAGGCATGAGCCACTGTGTACTGCCTGTATTTTTATTTTTTTGAGGAACCTCCATACTGCTTTCCACAGTGGTTGCACCATTTTGCATTCCCATCAACAATGGGTAAGGGTTCTGACTTCTTCACATCCTTCCTGACACGTTATGTTTTCTTTTCTTTGATAATCACCATCCTGACTGGTACAAGGTGATGCCTTATTATGGTTTCAGTTTGTATTTTCTTGCTAATAGTAACCTTGAGCATTTTTTCATATACCTGTTGGCCATGTGTATGTCTTCTTTAGAGAAATGTTTATTTAAGTTATTGGCCTATTTGTGATCAGGTTATTAGTTAAAAAAAAAAAACTATTGAGTCATAGGATTAACATATTTTGGAGGTTAACCCTTACCAGAAATGTGGTTTGCAAATATTTTCTCCTATTCCATAGGTTGCCTTTTCACTCTGTTGAGTGTTTTCTTTGCTATGCAGAAGCTTTTTAATTTGATGTATTGCCACTTGTTTATTTTTGTTATTATTACCTGTATTTTTGGTGTCATATCCATGAAATTATTGTAAAGACCAATGTCATAAAGCAGCTTTTACCAGCTGGGCGCGGTGGCTCACACCTGTAATCCCAGTACTTTAGGAGGCTGAGGTGGGTGGACCACCTGAGGTCGGGAGTTCGAGACCAGCCAGACCAACATGGAGATACCTCATCTCTACTGAAAATACAAAATTAGCCAGGCGTGGTGGTGCATGCTTGTAATGCCAGCTACTTGAGAGGCTGAGGCAGGAGAATCACTTGAACCCGGGAGGTGGAGGTTGCAGTGAGCTGAGATTGTACCATTGCACTCCAGCCTGAGCAACAAGAGCAAAACTTCATCTCTTTCTATGAGTTTTACAGTTTTGGGTCTTACAGTTAAGTCCTTAGTTCATTTTGAGTTGATTTTTATGTATGGTATAAGATAAAGCTTCCATTTTATTCTTTTGCATGTGAATATTTGGTTTTCCCAATGTTGTTTGTTGAGAAGACTGTCCTTTCTCTGTTGTGTATTCTTGGTGTCCTTGTTCAATATTAGTTGACTATACATGCTTGGATTTATTTCTGGGCTCTCTGTTCTGTCTCTATGTCTGTCTTTATGCCAGTACTATGCTGTTTTGATTATTGTAGATTTGTAATATATTTTGAAATCAGTAAGTGTGATGCCTTCAGCTTTGCTCTTTTTTCTCAAGATTAATTTGGGTATTCATGGTCTTTTGTGGTTCTTCATTGGTGAATTCTACCAAACACTTAATGAATTAATATTGGGGCTGGGCACAGTGGCTCATGCCTGTAGTCCTAGCAATTTGGGAGGCCATGGTGGGAGGATCACTTGAAGCCAGGAGTTTGATACCAGCCTAGACAATATAGCTTGACCCCATCTCTACAAAAGGGACAGAGAGAGAGAGAGAGAGAGAGAGAAAGAGAGAGAGAGTTCTTTTCAACCTCTTCCAAAAATTTAAAGAGGAGAGAACATTTCTAAACTTATTTTATGAGACCAGCCTTACCCTGATAGCAAAGCCAGACAGAGCCACCACAAAAAAAAGAAAACTACAGGCCAATATCCCTGATGAATATAGGCAAAATACTAGGAAACTGAACTCAATAAAAGGATCATACACCATGATCAAGTGGGATTTATCCTAGGGATCCAAGGATGGTTCAACATCTGAAAATAAATTAATGTGATATCATGTTAACAGAATAAAGGATAAAAACCACACAGTTCTCAATAAAAGCAGAAAAAGTGTTTGACAAAATTGAATACCCTTTCATGATTAAAAAGAAACTCAATAAAACTAAGAATAGAAGGCAATATCTCAATATAATAAAGACCATATATGATAAACCCAGAGCTAACATCATAGCATGGTATGATGAAAAACCAAAAGCTTTTCCTCTGAGATCAGGAGCAAAGCAAGGATGCCCACTTGTCTCTTTTGTAGTCAACACAGTACTGGAAGTATTAGCCAGAGCAGTTAAGAAAAAGAAGAGAGGTATTCAGATTGGAAAGGAAAATTGTTCCTCTTTGCAGATAATATGGTTTTATTTATAGAAAACCCTAAATTAGACTCCATTAAAAAACCGTTAGAAGTAATAAGCGAATTCTGGAAAGTTGTAGGATGCAAAGTCAACATGCAAAAATTATTTGCATTTTTGTACACTAACAACAAACCATGTGACAAGGTTATTAGGAAGACAGCCCAATTTATGATAGCACCAAAAGGAACAAAATACCTAATAATAAACTGAAGCAAGTGAGAAAGTTGTGTTTAATGAAAACCACTGAACGTTAATGAAAGAAATCAAACAAGGCACAAATAAATGGAAATACATCCTGTGTTCATGGATTGGAAAGTACATGTATTCTGTGCAATCCCTTTCTTTTAAGGCTTTTTATATGTTATTTAGCACAGTGATAACTAATGTACTATAAAATTTAAACTCTCTTTCAAAGTGTAATCAGTTTCCTCTCATTAACTTTTTATATATTAATAGAATATATTGGGGGAAAAAGTAAACTTTTGAATTATAATTGCCTAACCTGTGGTTATACTGCATATAAATGCCTTATGACATCCAGGGCCTAGAGTGAAAAGCTCCTGGGTTTCCACAGTGGGAGGTATGATTCCGTTGTCATACTTCCTTATTTTCAGGTATCTGGGGGCCACCAGTTGCCATTACTGAAGTCAAGGGTTGGATAGGGAAGGGGAGATATAATAGGGAGACTATTTCCTGGCACTGCCTATTTTGTTTCTTAAAATAAGCTAAATAGCTGACACAAATACAAGAGCCCTGGAATTCCCCAAGCTTATGCAGTCCTTTGCCAAGTACATTTTTTCCCATAGAACCACATTATAAATGGGATTAAACGCTCAAACTAGATTCTCCCTCTCTCCTCCCAAATCTGTGTGCTTCAAAAGTCCTTTAAAGCAAAACTGAAATTTCAGGAGACTGTTATAGAAAAGGAAATTGGTTATGAGACAAGATATAGCAAGTATTTAATAAATACTTGTGGAATAAATTATAAAATTATATATCTTAGAAATGGGGTTGGCTATAAGACAAAATAAAGAGTAGGGGGAAATAGGTATTTTATGCATAAAGAATTAATTCTTGAATCTTTTAATTATCAATCTGTTATGGTTTTTTTTTTTTTTTTTTTTAGACAGAGTCTCTCTCTGTTGTCCAGGCTGGAGTGCAGTGTTGCAATCTTTTGGCTCACTGCAACCTCCACTTCTCGGGTTCAAGCGATTCTTGTGCCTCAACTTCCTAAGTAGCTAGGACAACTGGTGCATGCCACCACATCCAGCTAATTTTTGTATTTTTAGTAGCGATGACGTTTCACCTGTTGCCCAGGCTGGTCTCAAATTCCTGACCTCAAGTGATCCTCCCTCTTCTGCCTCCAAAAATTCTGGGATTACAGGCACAAGCCACCATGCCAGCCTGTTCTGGTACTAATCTGATTTCAGATTTCTGTAATCATTTGCAGAGAGTAGTAGTTAAATGTTACTTTAATAAGTGATACTTTGATCTTTTAGGTAGAAAAATGAATAAACTTCAGGAAAATATCATGGGATACTAAGAATTAGCAAAAATAGGTGAGATGGTGGGGAACAAACTTTCTTACAAGTTCCCATCAAAAAAAGCATTTCAGAATCTGTGGATTATTCTATTAAAATATTAATAAAATGTGTTATAACTCCAACACTAGATAACCAGAAATAATAAGGGGAAACAGTATTTACTAAATCTGGCTTTTAGAAAGCCATGTCAAGGTAAGGTTGCTAGTCTCTCAAAAAATAAAATAACAATAATCAGATAATTAAAGTTAATTATTTAAATAATTGTAAAAATTATTAATAATAGCTGAGAATGGTTAGAGAAATATAGCCAAGTCGTCAAGGTATAAATAATTGCAGTACAAAGTATGATAAATGAGTGTGCATATAATTGAGGCCTCTAAAGTATTAATAATAAGGGATACAAATAGGTTGAATGTTGAATTATTCACTTATGCCCAGGATAGTTTATACTTTATTATGTCTCACCTAGAATACTTCAGCGGCTCCCAACTCGAAGGACTCTCTGCCTCCAGCTTATGTTTTCTCTTCTGGTGAATTGCCCTCATTCTTCATCTGGCTAAATTCTGCATATTCACTGAGTTGCAAGTCAGCCGTCTTCTTCCTTCTCTTGGTTCTTTCTGCATACCATTTTTCTCCTTCTGTTCCACATATGTGCATGAGCTCTTGCACATGTAGTTAACTCTCCAGCATCTTTAGTCCTTTTAGGCGTTCATCACTATATGGGTCTTGGGGAGTTTTCACTGAAGAGTGAAAATAATGTGGTTTGAACTTTATTCTCAACCTTGAGCCTTTCCACCCCTTCCTTAGATGATAATCTTAATTCTTTTGACTTGGAATTGATACTTTTTTCTGCTTGCTGTCCAAATACTGTTCCTTTCCATGTCTGTTTTATTCTCTCTACTTTCAAACTTTGTACCTCTAATTTTGAGCTTCTTTCTGCTTTTTGGTTTAAACTCTTTATCTTTAATGTGCATAGAAAACATTTCTTGAGGTATTCACTGTTACTGGAAGTGTTAATGCAGTGGCTGGATGACTCACTGTCACAGATGCTATTAAAAAGATACCACTGTTGGATGGTAAGTGCAATGGTTTGAATATGTTTGTCAAAACCCGTATTTAAATTTAATTGTCATTGTGATGGTATTCAGAGATTGGACTGTAAAAAGCTGATCAGGCCATGAGGAATCTGCCTTCATGAATTGATTAATGTCATTATCATGAGAGTGGGTTGTTACAAGAGTGAGTTTGGCCCTCTCTTGCTCTCATACTCTCTTGCCCTTCTGTCTTCTTCATGATGTAGCATGAAGGCCCTTGCCAAATGCTGATGCCATGCTCTTAGATAGCTCAGCCTTGAGAACAATGAGCCAAATAAATTTCTTTTTCTTTTCTTTTTTTTGAGGCGGAGTTTCACTCTGTCACCCAGGCTAGAGTGCAGTGGCATGATCTCGACTCACTGCAACCTCCACATCCCAGGTTCAAGCAATTCTCCTGTCTCAGCCTCCCGAGTAGCTGGGATTACAGGCGTCCACCACCATGTCTGGCTAATTTTTGTATTTTTAGTAGAGGCAGGGTTTCACCACAGTGGCCAGGCTGGTCTTGAACTCCTGACCTCAAATGATCTGCCCACCTTGACCTCCCAAAGTGCTGGAATTACCACCCGGCCATAAATTTCTGTTCATTATAAATTACCTGTTCTGTGGTATTCTGTTATAGCAACATAAAATGGACTATGATAGAAAATTGGTCCTGAGAAGTGAAGCTGTTGCTATTAAAAATATCTGAAAATGTGGAAATGGCTTTGAAACTGGGTAATGAGTAGAGCAGAAGAATTTAAAGAAGCAGGCTAGGAAAATCTTAGATTGCCGTAAACATAATATTAAGGGCAGTTCTGATGAGGGCTGAGAAGAAGAGAGGAGAGCTATAGGGAAAATCTGAAAGTTAGAGATTATTAAGTGTTCATGATCAGAAAGTTGTTAGAAATATGGGCTTCACTGTCTCTTTATCTCTAAGTTACTTAAGTGTACTTAATCTCTAAGTTCATTAAATGTATGAGATCCCAGACAGGAAAGAGGAATATATCTTGTTGGAAACTGGAGTAAGGCCATCTTTCTTATAAAGTGGCAAAAATCTTGGATGATTTATGTCTCTTCATGCCTGAGGGCTTTATGGAAGACAGAATTTAAGAGCGATGAACTAGAATATCTGGTGGAAGAAATTTCTGTGCAAAATATTGAAGGAGCTGTATGGCTACTTTTAAGTGCATGCAGTAAGATATGAGAGGAAATAAATGACTTAAAGATGGAATTTATAATTAAACAGAAGCATGACAGACGGAAAATTTTCAGCCTGGCCATGTGAAGAATGAGAAAATGTATTTGGGAGACCAGGCCAAGGATCTGGTCAAGTGACTGTCTGCTAAGGCGGTTATTACAGATAGAAATGATCATCAAGACATTGGGAGAGTGACACTAAAGGCATTTCAGAGATCTCAGAGGCTGCCCTTCTCTTCACAGGCTCGAGCTCTGGGAGTGCAGAATGTTTTCAGGGGATGACCAGCGTACCCTTCATGGGCTTGCTGCCCAGAGCTGCCTCAAGTCTCTGCTCCCTGTGTTCTGGTACAGCATTCTGTGGTTGCTCCAGCCATTCATTGGGCCCAGGTGTGGCTTGACCTGCTACTCCAGAAGATTCAAGCCATAAACCTTGGTGGCATATGTGGTGCTAATTCTGTAGGTGCACAGTGTGCAAGAGCCATGGGGTCATGGCGTCCTCCACCTAGATTTCAGAAGATGTCGTGGACTCCCTGGGGCTTAGGCAGAGACTTTTCACGGGTGTGGAGCCATCACAGAAAGCCCCTACTAGGGCAATGCTGAGCAGAAATACAGGATCAGAGGCATCACAGAGAGTCCCCACCAGGGCAGTGCCTAGTGGAGCCTTGGGAGTGGGGTCACTCCTGAGACCCCAGAACTGATGCTACTAGCTTGCAGCATCAGCCTGGGAAAGTTGCAGGCATGAGACTCCAATCCCCTGAGAGCTGCTGGGTGGACTGAGCCCCAAAGCCATAGGACTTTGTCATAGATGTGGGGCTGCCTAAGGCCTTGAGTGTCCAACTCCTGCCCCAGTGTTCCCAAAAGGTGGGACGTGGAGTCAAGATAGATAATTCTGGAGCATTAAGACTTAATGTTGATTTCTCTGTTGGGCTTTGGACTTATTTGAGACCACTTACCCCTTTCTTCTGGCCTATTCCTCCCTTTTGGAATGGGAATATCTACTTTATGCCTGCTCCACTATTGTATTTTGGAAGCACATAACTTGTTAATTTCACAGCCCCACAGCTGGAGAGAAATTTGCTTTTAGTCTCACCCATATCTGATTTAGATGTCTCTGGATTTTGGAGTTAATGCTGGAATGAGTTAAGGCTTTTGAGACTTGTAATGGAATGAATATATTTTGCATCATAAGGACATGATTTTGTTGGGGCAGGAGCAGAATGCTATGGTGTGAATGTGTACTCCAAAGTTCATGTGTTGGAAACAATCCCCAGTGAAACAGTGTTGGGAGGTGAGACCTAATAAGAGGTGATTAGGTCACGAGGGCTCTGCCCTCACAAATGAATTTATATCATTATCATGGGAGTGGGTCATTAAAAAAGCAAGTTCGGGCCAGATGCAGTGGCTTACACCTGTAATCCCAGCACTTTGGGAGCCTGAAGCAGGTGGATCACCTGAGGTTGAGGGTTCGAGACCAGCCTGACCAACATGGAGAAACCACGTCTCTACTAAAAATACGAAATTAGCCGGGCATGCTGGCACATGCCTGTAATCCCAGCTACTCAGGAGACTGAGGCAGGAGAATCGCTTGAACACGGGAGGCGGAGGTTGTGGGGAGCTGAGATCATGCCATTGCACACCAGCTTGGGCAATAAGAGCAAAACTCCCATCTCAAAAAAAAAAAAAAAAAAAAAAAGCAAGTTCAGCCCTCTCTTGCTCTTGCACTATCTTCCCTTCTGCTTTCCTTTCACCATGGGATGATGCAGCATGAAGGCCCTCACCAGATGCCAGTGCCATGCTCTTGGACTTCTCAGTTTCTGGAACTATAAGCCAAGTAAATTTCTGTTCATTATAAATCACCTGTTATGTTGCATTGTCTTATAGCAACATAAAACGGACTATGATTAAGTTAGATGATTAAAAAACTTAAAATGAGGGGATATTCTAGTTGGAAAGGACCTTCAAAAGATTTAGATAAGTGGTTTCCAAACATGGTTATGAATCAGAATCACAAAGAGTTTTTTAAAAATGAGACTTATTTTGAGCCCTACTCCTATTCCTTCTATATCTGAATCTCTGTAAGCTTGGCTGTATGTATAAAAAGGTCCTTGGGAGATTCAGTGAAGTAAGCTTGATCCTTGTTATCAGATCAGCATTTGGAAACTGTTGACGTAGTTTGAATTCTTCACTTTACAGATGAAGAAATGAAGATCTAGTTCACATACCTAGTTAACAGCAAAGCTATGTCCAGAACACAGTTCTCCTGATCATTAGCCCATCATTATTATTTTTTTACATTGATTCTTCTTCTGTATCATTTATTTAGGTAACTAGCAAGCATTTATTTAGCATTCTTTGGAATAGGTGATATTTCCTTTGGAGGAGGCCATATACTATAATAGTTGAGAGTACAGCTCTGGTGCTAGAATATCTGAGTTCATGTCTGGCTTTGTCATTTTCTAATTTTTGTAATTTGGGACAAACTCTTTACCACAGTTTCCTCATTTGTAAAATGAGAATAGTAATTACAGAAGTTGACATAATATTTTCTAAGATACTTTTTATGATTTAAAAAGGTCCTTTTCTATAATCTAGACTGTTCAAAATTTGTCAGTTAAGATTAGGCTTGCTGAATTAGCCAATTAAAAAATAAAGAAACAAAGTGGGACCTCATACAAGATAGACGGTTATTGCTTTCTCCTATTAAAGGAATCCAGAAGTAGGCAATGTAGGGTTGATGATGGCTTCATGATTATTAAAAAACCCAAGTTTCACCTTTCTTGCTGTTCTGGCATCTTTGGTGTTCCACTTTATGATCCAAGATGGCTGCTTATGCCCCAGCAATCATGTTGCAGTCTAGCCAGCAGGGAAGAGAAAGGGGGAGAAGAAAGATTGTCTTTTATTCCAAGAGGACTCCTTCCAGAAGTTGCAAACAAAATATGTGTATAATTTCATAGGCTAGACCTCAGTCATATGACAAAGGTGTTTGTAAATGTCTCTGGGTGGTCATGATCTAGATAAGAATTGAGGGGTTTATTACATAGAAAGAAAGGGAGAGTGGATATTGGCATCTGTCCTACCACAGTAACAACATGAATTTTCTTGGCTCTTATTGAATTAATTAGGTTATACAGATTAAAAGGAATCAGAATCTGTGTTAACCTTAGGGAGATTTTACGTTGAGGACTCTATCAATCCATTTGGTACGAGAATGTACCCAGGAGCAGTTTGTTCAGCAAAACATGGTCACCTCTTCATTATAACTCATTAAACATTTTTGCATGGGAGCAGCGACTTTTCAGTAGACTTGGTTTATCAGTTATCTTTCCTAATTGAGTTTTTTTTTAGCTTCCAAGGGAGGTAAAAAGGTAAAAATAAAGGATAGTTGGTCTTTAATCACCTAGTAATATGAAGACTTACAGTAGACATTTACCAAATGGTAGTTGATTTATTACTGTAAGTATTTGATTAGATCATCCTCAAAGTCCTTTAGAGTTTAAAAATGGCTATTAGTTCCAGGCTTGAATTATTGTGGTAGTGAATGGTAACTTTGACAGTTTTTTGCTTTGTTTTAAATATGAACCTCTGTTATTATTTTAAAATTCTAGTTCTCAATTTTGAACCATATGGACTCTCCTTTTCTTCATCTGGCTTCACTGGACGACAGTCTCCTGCTGGCATTTCTCTTGGTTCAGATGTATCTGGGAATAGTGCTGAGACAGGACTGAAAGAGTAAGTTCATTTCTTATTAAAATTGAGGTTATGGGAGTGCTTAAATGTCTTTTAGCGTTCCATTTGCCTTCTGCTCCTGCCTCATATCATCATGGTCATTATTTGCTTATTTTAGGATAACTTTCAAGAGGTCTATTGTTTCAGTGGTTTTCACATAATTTTCTTTTTTTTTAATTATACTTTAAGTTCTAGGGTACAGGTTCACAACGTGCAGGTTTGTTACATATGTATACATGTGTGCCATGTTGGTGTGCTGCACCCATTAACTCGTCATTTACATTAGGTATATCTCCTAATACTATCCCTTCCCCCTCCCCCCACCCCACAACAGGCCCTGGTGTGTGATGTTCCCCTTCCTGTGTCCAAGTGTTCTCAATGTTCAATTCCCACCTATGAGTGAGAACATGCAGTGTTTGGTTTTTTGTCCTTGCGATAGTTTGCTGAGAATGATGGTTTCCAGCTTCATCCGTGTCCCTACAAAGGACATGAACTCATCCTTTTTTATGGCTGCATAGTATTCCATGGTGTATATGTGCCACATTTTCTTAATCCAGTCTATCATTGATGGACATTTGGGTTGGTTCCAAGTCTTTGCTATTGTGAATAGTGCCGCAGTAAACATACGTGTGCATGTGTCTTTATAGCAGCATGATTTATACTCCTTTGGGTATATACCCAGTAATGGGATTGCTGGGTCAAATGGTATTTCTAGTTCTAGATCCTTGAGGAATCACCACACTGTCTTCCACAATGGTTGAACTAGTTTACAGTCCCACCAACAGTGTAAAAGTGTTCCTATTTCTCCACATCCTCTCCAGCACCTGTTGTTTCCTGACTTTTTAATGATCACCATTCTAACTGGTGTGAGATGGTATCTCATTGTGGTTTTGATTTGCATTCCTCTGATAGCCAGTGATGACGAGCATTTTTTCATGTGTGTTTTGGCTGCATAAATGTCTTCTTTTGAGAAGTGTCTGTTCATATCCTTCACCCACTTTTTGATGGGGTTGTTTGTTTTTTTTCTTGTAAATTTGTTTGAGTTCTTTGTAGATTCTGGATATTAGCCCTTTGTCAGATGAGTAGATTGCAAAAATTTTTTCCCATTCTGTAGGTTGCCTGTTCACTCTGATGTTAGTTTCTTTTGCTGTGCAGAAGCTCTTTCGTTTAATTAGATCCCATTTGTCAATTTTGGCTTTTGTTGCCATTGCTTTTGGTGTTTTAGACATGAAGTCTTTGCCCATGCCTACGTCCTGAATGGTATTGCCTAGGTTTTCTTCTAGGATTTTTATGGTTTTAGGTCTAACATTTAAGTCTTTAATCCCATCTTGAATTAATTTTTGTATAAGGTGTAAGGAAGGGATCCAGTTTCAGCTTTCTACATGTGGCTAGCCAGTTTTCCCAGCACCATTTATTAAATAGGGAATCCTTTCCCCATTTCTTGTTTTTGTCAGGTTTGTCAAAGATCAGATGGTTGTAGATGTGTGGTATTATTTCTGAGGGCTCTGTTCTGTTCCATTGGTCTATATCTCTGTTTTGGTACCAGTACCATGCTGTTTTGGTTACTGTAGTCTTGTAGTGTAGCTTGAAGTCAGGTAGAGTGATGCCTCCAGCTTTGTTCTTTTGGCTTAGGATTGACTTGGCAATGCGGGCTCTTTTTTGATTCCATATGAACTTTAAAGTAGTTTTTTCCAATTCTGTGAAGACAGTCATTGGTAGCTTGATGGGGATGGCATTGAATCTATAAATTACCTTGGGCAATATGGCCATTTTCACAATATTGATTCTTCCTACCCATGAGCATGGAATGTTCTTCCATTTGTTTGTATCCTCATTTATTTCTTTGAGCAGTGGTTTGTAGTTCTGCTTGAAGAGGTCCTTCACATTGCTTGTAAGTTGGATTCCTAGGTATTTTATTCTCTTTGAAGCAATTGTGAATGGGAGTTCACTCATGATTTGGCTCTCTGTCTGTTATTGGTGTATAAGAATGCTTGTGATTTTTGCACATTGATTTTGTATCCTGAGACTTTGCTGAAGTTGCTTATCAGCTTAAGGAGATTTTGGGCTGAGACTGTGGGGTTTTCTAGATATACAATCATGTCATCTGCAAACAGGGACAATTTGACTTCCTCTTTTCCTGATTGAATACCTTTTATTTCTTTCTCCTGCCTGATTGCCCTGGCCAGAACTTCCAACACTGTGTTGAATAGGAGTGGTGAGAGAGGGCATCCCTGTCTTGTGCCACTTTTCAAAGGGAATGCTTCCAGTTTTTGCCCATTCAGTATGATATTGGCTGTGGGTTTGTCATAAATAGCTCTTATTATTTTGAGATACGTCCCATCAATACCTAATTTATTGAGAGTTTTTAGCATGAAGCGCTGTTGAATTTTGTCAAAGGCCTTTTCTGCATCTATTGAGATAATCATGTGGTTTTTGTCTTTGGTTCTGTTTATATGCTGGATTACGTTTATTGATTTGTGTATATTGAACCAGCCTTGCATCCCAGGGATGAAGCCCACTTGATCATGGTGGATAATCTTTTTGATGTGCTGCTGGATTTGGTTTGCCAGTATTTTATTGAGGATTTTTGCATCGATGTTCATCAGGGATATTGGTCTAAAATTCTCTTTTTTGGTTGTGTCTCTGCTAGGCTTTGGTATCAGGATGATGCTGGCCTCATAAAATGAGTTAGGGAGGATTCCCTCTTTTTCTATTGATTGGAATAGTTTCAGAAGGAATGGTACTAGCTCCTCCTTGTACCTCTGGTAGAATTCAGCTGTGAATCCGTCTGGTCCTGGACTTTTTTTGGTTGGTAAGCTATTAATTATTGCCTCAATTTCAGAGCCTGTTATTGGTCTACTCAGAGATTCAACTTCTTCCTGGTTTAGCCTTGGGAGGCTGTATGTGTCCAGGAATTTATCCATTTCTTCTAGATTTTCTAGTTTATTTGCGTAGAGGTGTTTATAGTATTCTCTGATGATAGTTTGTATTTCTGTGGGATCGGTGGTGATATCCCCTTTATCATTTTTTATTGCATCTATTTGATTCTTCTCTTTTTTTATTAGTCTTGCTAGCGGTCTATCAATTTTGTTGATCTTTTCAAAAAACCAGCTCCTGGATTCACTGATTTTTTGAAGGGTTTTTTGTGTCTCTATTTCCTTCAGCTCTGCTCTGATCTTAGTTATTTCTTGCCTTCTGCCAGCTTTTGAATGTGTTTGCTCTTGCTTCTCTAGTTCTTTTAATTGTGATGTTAGGGTGTCAATTTTAGATCTTTCCTGCTTTCTCTTGTGGGCATTTAGTGCTATAAATTTCCCTCTACACACTACTTTAAATGTGTCCCAGAGATTCTGGTATGTTGTGTCTTTGTTCTTATTGGTTTCAAAGAACATCTTTATTTCTGCCTTCATTTCGTTATGTACCCAGTAGTCATTCAGGAGCAGATTGTTCAGTTTCCATGTAGTTGAGCGGTTTTGAGTGAGTTTCTTAATCCTGAGTTCTAGTTTGATTGCACTGTGATCTGAGAGACAGTTTGTTATAATTTCTGTTTTTACATTTGCTGAGGAGTGCTTTACTTCCAACTAGGTTTTCACATAATTTTCAAAGGGAGAGACACACTTGTGACAATGTGTTTTAATATAATGGTTTAGAAAGGTTTTTAAAAGCTAAATTGTATGGGCTGTTGTTTCAGTGGTTTCTATTTATTGCTCTTAAGGTATTTATATTGTACAGTATGTTCTTTAAGAGCTTATCTACCTTCCAAGACAGCATAAAATATGTACAAGCTTTATACGTAGTAATAATATGTGTTATTGCTACATATTATATATATATATTTAGAAGCATATTAGAATTTATACATCCAGGCTGATGTTTAACATATCATTCTACATTCCTCATTCTTCTGATAAATATATCTTGTAACCGTCTCATTGGAACATTGATAGATATAGAGGTGAACATAAAATAAGGTGATTGATTTCACCTGAGGAAGCCATATAGTTGGTCACCCAGTGAAGGCCAGATGCCCCTAAACTTATGATGGGGTTACATTCTGATAAACCCATTATAAATTGAAAATATCGTAAGTCAGAAGTGATCTACCAAACAGCAGATGTATGTCTAGAACTCAGTTCTGCTGATCATTGGCCCATTATTGTTTATTATTTTATTTTATTGTTATTATTTTTTTGAGACACAATTTCACTCTTATTGCCTAGGCTGGAGTGCAGTGGCATGATCTCGATTCACTGCAACCTCTGCCTTCTGGGCTCAGGCAATTCTCCTGCCTCAGCCTTCCGAGTAGCTGGGATTACAGGCTCCTGCCACCATACCCGGCTAATTTTTTGTATTTTTAGTAGAGATGGGTTTCACCATGTTGGCCAGGCTGGTCTCAAACTACTGGCCTCAAGTGCTCCACCCACCTCGGCCTCCCAAAGTGCTGGGATTACAAGTATGAGCCACCGTGCCCAGCCTATTTATTATTGTATTAGCTCATTATTATCTCTGCATTGCAAGAGAATATCCTATCACATATTGCTAGCCTGGGAAAAGATAAAAGTTCAAAATTTGAAGTATGGTTTCTGTGAAACTCTATTGCTTTCACACCGTTGTAAAGCCAAAAAATCATTAAATTGAACTATTGTAAGTCAGGGACCATCCGTAGTCACCTATGGAAGCTGTATACTTTGCTGAAAATGCTTTCAGAGTTACTTTCCAGCCACCTTGAAAATTGGTGAGCATTTGCTAAAATGTCTTATTTGGAGCCGAATTTCATCCTTGTTAGGTATACTTTGATTTTGGAAACATAATTAGTTACCTTTAGAAACATAATTAAGTGAATAAAATGAGATGACATTTGTAAGTACATAGTACAGCCCAGTTCATAGTAAGTGATTGATAAATGGTAGTTGCTGTTATTAATAATGATTGTCATTACCATCATTGTCTTCATTACCCAAGAGGTGAGTTTACCAGATAATATTTGTGATCAATCTGTATAATTTTGATCAATATTCTGATGCGACAGTAAAGTAAGGAAATGGCTTTCTTGTTTGGGAAGAAGCTGCATCTAATAGAGTTAAAAATGTTTTAAGTAATGGCCGCATTGTTGGAATAAATGTGATAAAATCTCAAAAGTGACAACTTTAAAGGATGACATTTGAATTTTGAGTTCTTCTGTATTTATTAAGAAATCAGTCATCTTATTTTATGTTCATCCTTACATTTGTCTGTTGTTCAATGAAATGGTTACAAGTATTTATCAGAAGAAAGATACTAATAATAGATCATGAGGAATGTAGAATATGTTGAATGAAATGGCATGAGTTCAAATTCTTTTTCTTATCTTTTTTTTTTTTCCTGCTCTGTTAACCTCCTTATTTTCTTTCCCAGATATTTAATTTTGATACTCCAAGCATGGGGAGCAAATATTGTTTGTGGGCATTTGATGATGGAGGTGACAGCAATTAAGTGTCCCAAACAGGGACCAAAGGGACAAGGGAAAGAGACAGGAACCCTTCAAACCCAGGGAGGAACTTACACACTTTTACCTGCACAACAGGTGACAGCATCTACTACTATAGTACTGAACTAGGATCTGGGGGGTGTGACAGGGCCTTGTAAATGCCATACATATACATCTACTACCCTCAGAGAAATGACATTTGGCAAAACTGCTAAGGAATTATATAATATATCCTGCAGTATTGTGAAATGGAAGATAAGGGATGAATTTAAAATTTGTTTCCAAAGAGGACCTCAGCTCACACATTATTTCAGAAGAGGAACATAGTAATTGGCAAGGTGAATCATCTTAGAGGGAAGACAGTTGCTCTTTTACAGTCCCTGGCAACCTGAGAATAAAGTAGTAGCAAGTCTAATTTATAATTTCTTAACTGGCAGCACCCTATCTCAAATGGGAATTCCTAGAGCTGAGTTAAAGTACATCCCTAGTCTTTTGAAGGTTAGTTACTTGGTCAGAATTTACATCTATGTTTGAATGGTCTGAATAAAAACAATACAAGGGCACACCGTAGAAAACCATGTATTATATAATAGTATTGTCAAAATCCGGGCAAAGATGACTCATGTTTAAAAATATTATTTTTCTAATGTTTCATATAATTAAGAAGCATATTTTTTATATGAAATGGCCTTATGTTGCTTTCTTATGTATTTTCCCATTTTTTATTATTTATTTAATTTATTATTATTATTATTATTATTATTATTATTTGAGACAAGTCTCATTCTGTCACCCAGACTGGAGTGCAGTGACATGATCTTGGCTCACTGCATCCTCCGCTTCCTGGGTTCTAGTGGGTTCTCCCAGGTTCTCATGCCTCAGACTTTGAATGTGGAGTACACATTCAAAGCCGGGATTACAGACGCCTGCCACCATGCCCTGCTAATTTTTATGTTTTTAGTAGAGGCAGTGTTTTGCCAAGTTGGCCAGGCTGGTTTTGAACTCCTGGGCTCAAGTGATCCGCCTGCCTCAGCGTCAGTGCTGGCATTACAGGTGTGAGCTACTGCACCTGGCCATATTTTCCCACTTTTTAGATGGTCTGTATGTATGCTTAACAGAATATTTGTGTCGATCATAAGTATGTATGCAGATGAAATAAATAAGAAAATAAGAAAAATCTTTAAAATAGTTTGAGGCTCCTTTTAGGCTCCTTTTGTACCTCCTGCCCCTTTTTGCCAGTTGTGGATTGAGTTCCCTGGGAAGCACATTCTGTGATGGCATTTAGTATGCAGAATAATTAGGAGTGTCGTTGGGATCAACATCTATAGAAGGAAGGAAAAAGAAGCAGGTTTGGGCAGAAGTTAAGATGCAATGCATTGCCGGTGACAACCTCTGCTGACCCCATGGGGAGCTCTGGAGCTGGAATGACCCTTCAGAGTTGTGCTGAGTTGGACCGAGATGGATGGCAAGGACTTTATACTTCCATTCATCCATCACTGGATGTAGGCTGCCTTGGAAGGGGTGTGATCTTGCGTGAAGTAGCCCTCTGCAGCTCAGGCAATCCCTGAAGGGGCTGAGAGATGACAGCATTCCCAACAGCTGGTCAACAGTCCTTCATTGAAGAGAGATCCGGATGGAGCAGCCCATTGTCCTCCACATCGGCCTTTTGTTGTTGTTGTTAAACTACTATTTAAATCATGGATTAGTAAAATTTAGGGACTTGTTCTCTCTTTTTTTGTAAATAAAGGTAATATTTTGGTTAAAGGGAGTATACAGATACTATAATACTATTGTGGGTATTCATGAATTCCCTAGAGGTGCTTCTTTTGAGAATTCTATTCTAGAAATGGTAGGAGTTATTTTAGTGGTTCCCATGACCACTTGGGATCTGCTTATGGCAAGTACAACCAATTTTTGTCTAAGAGGTTTATTATATAACTTTTTTTTTTCTTTAGAAAACTCTTTTAGAACCTGGAGGAAGAAAGGGGGAAATGAAGATATTTGTAAAGGGATACTCAGCAGTAAAAATCATTGAGAAGGAATGAACCAATTCCCTTTAGGGCATTTTTTATTAACATTCAGATTTTCCTGTAGCTACTTACTTCTTAATAGCATTAATTCTTCACTCAGTATGAAGTGTAATTACCTGTTTTTGTTTTGTTTTGGGCTCAAAATCACATTGATCATGATTCCAACAATTTCAATACTAATAATAATTAGTAGAAATATTTCTGAGTCTTCCTTTTTGTTCATTTCATGATCAACTCATCTTGTAGTAGAAATGATTTTTTAAAAATGCCATTTTGGACCATGACAGAGATGCTTAAATAAGTCAAGTGCCAAGGACACATAGTTCTTTTTTTTTTTTTTTTTTAACTCCAGTGTTATTGAGATATAATTGCCAAATAAACATTGTATATTTGACCCTTGAACAATATGGGTTAAACTGTGCGGGTCCACTTAATACACAGATTTCTTCAATAAATATATTGGAAAAAGTTTTTCAGACTTGAGACAATTTGAAAAAACTTTCCAACAAACCATGTACCCTAGGAATGTCAAAAAATTAAGAAACAATAAGATTGTCAGGAATACATAAAATATATATAGATACTAGTCTATGTATTAATTGACTGTTTATGTTATTAGTAAGGCTTCCAGTCAACAGTAGGCTATTAGTAGTTAAGTTTTGGAGGAGTCAAAAGTTACATGTGGATTTTTGACAACACAAGGAGTCAGTGCCCCAACCCTCTCCATTTTTCAAGGGTCATTGGTATGTATTTAAGGTGTGCTATGTGATGTTTTGATATACATTGTGAAATGATTACCACAATCAAACTAATTAATGGACACATAGCTCTTATATGAGAATAATAGAGATGATCCTTGGCTATTTTAGCCCGCACTTATTAGTCACTCCAGATTCACAACTGCAACTTTTGTGACAACATTAGGATTCTAAATTTGGCCCTGGACTTAACTGCCTAGATGCCTTGTTTAGGCTTTTTGGGTAGGACACCTGGCTCCTAAACAATATTTTAATTCTTTTTCAACTCAGGTGTAAAAATTTGTCAGCCTCAGGCTTTTTCCCAAAATCTTACTTTTTTCTTTTTTAGATAAAACTTCATTGCATTTTGATAAAAGTACACTTAATAATAGTTGAAAATGTTGCTATGTGCATAGTGAGAAAAACCTTTTGGATTAAAGTAAATTTATGGGGAGCATGTATTCAGGGCAACTTGAATTTATGTTTCCTGGGTTGTAAAACTAAAGAAAAAATAAAATGTAAATTTATACATAGGAGTAAATTTGAATGATGTTTTTGCTTTTAACAGGATTTTACTTAATGAATTTATATAGGTTTAATTCCTTCATATTGCTAAGAAATTTCAATCATTTCTCATCTTTAACCCATCAGAATTAAAGGTATTTTTGAAAAGTCAGTGGAGGAAAGAAACTGATTTACAGTAGTTCTATTTTTGTATAACTTAAGCAGTTAAGTGAAAATTAAATGCTCTGAAATTTTTAACTAAGTCTGGAGTTCTGCAGCCTTAAATCAAATCCTTTGACTGGAGGGTAGAGGGATGTTGGCTATAACTAAAATAAAATCTAGAGATCAAGGTTTTACTTCTGGTATATAGAATATAATGTGACAGTTGTTTTTAAAAGGCCATGGGCATTGATATGTTTTGAAAGAATGCCTCAAGAAAGTAACTATTAGCAGTTATTTAAGTTGACTTGATTTTATTATCAACCTCCTTAGGACAAATAGCTTGAAGCTGGAAGGTATAAAGAAATTGTGGGGGAAAGAAGGCTATCTTCCCAAGAAGGAAAGCAAAACTGGTGATGAAAGTGGAGCTCTGCCTGTTCCTCAAGAGAGTATAATGGAGAATGTAGATCAAGCTATAACTAAAAAGGATCAATCTCAAGTTCTTACCCAATCTAAAGAGGAGAAAGAAAAGCAGCTGCTGGCATCATCATTATTTGTTGGTCTAGGATCAGAAAGTACAATCAACCTGGTAAGTAATCGGTTCTATTCCTGTAAGAATCTTTGTCATCTGTCTGTACAAAAAAAACTGGCTCTATAAAAGCTCCTGGCTGTCGTCTATATGTATAGTGAAAAGTGGCTTCCCCAGTTCTTACTCACCATCATTTCCCAGCTCCAGAACCACTAATGACACAGCTTTTTATATTCCTGAAAGAGAAAATGCAGTTGGCTCAACTTGAGTCAGGTGTTCTCTGTAGCCCAGTCAGTGGACAAGGGTCAGGCTCCAAATAAGGTTACAGGTATGACCACAGCCACTCTCACCCCTGTGGGTGGACGGGGCAGTTCTCAAAGGGAAGGGGGATGAATAATAATCGTTCAACAGTATTGATATATCTTTGTAAAAAGTACTCCTCAAAATTGTATTACATAAATTCTATTCTCCCAGAACATTATTCAGCTCTAAGAATGATCAATAATATTGCTTTGTAAAATGAAAAAATACTTAAATGATATATTAAACAAAAAGTACAGAGTATAAAGTTTTATTTATGCCTTGTTTATACCTAAGGCTGAAAGGAATTATACAAAAATGATAATTATATTCAGATATTAAGATTATGATTTTTAAACTTTTTATACTGAGAAATTATTTTCATAGTAAAAGAATGACAAGTTGGAGTGAAGGACAGGTGCTGTTTTTGAGCATCTGAGAATACCATGTAATGTATCCTCCTTTTGGTGGCTAATGAACCCACCTTGTACAAAATTTTGATTAGAGTGACATCCCAGGTCTTTCATCCTCCTCCTCCCATGGTGAAATTTCCCCTTCATTCCTGTCAGTACCAGGCCAGATGGTATACCATACTATATACTCTTTATCTTTGTCTCTTTCTTTTCTAGACTCACCAGTCTAGATCCCATTTCTGTCAGACTTGATATTTTCTCTTAAGAAAAAACAGATTCAGCCTAAAAATATTAATAACTAATGTATCTTAATATTTTCCGAGTTGACATTTGCAGATCAGCAGTAAAGTGACTGATCTTGGGTTTTTGAGTTGTTCTGGCAGGCTGTGATGAGAGGGTGGGTACCAGTGGAATGCTTGGTAAGAGCACACCAAAGTCAGATTACACCCAGGCTCATGGAGCCCTGGTTTGTGAACCTCATTGCTGGTATAGAAGTATTCCTGCCTATTTAACAAGTGCATAGCTTTCAGTTAGATTTTTTCCTTAGGAGAACATTCAGGGTGATATTAGATTTTTTGTGGTGAGTTTGAAATCGGAAATATTATTAGGATGTTTTTTCTGTTAATGATGCTAAATCCTTTTTGACTTACCCCTTATAATTCCCCCTCATTCCCACCCAGCTATCACTGAAGAGTAGAAAAAGGAGTGTATTTCTCTGTTTTATGAGACCCTGAATTCCGTAAGGAATTGTGTTGTAACTTAGATGCATAAAGAAGGAGGAACAGTTAACAATGACATAAAATTAGCATGTATCCTCTCACTTCTCAGCCCCGACCCTTCCTCTGATACTGGGGCAAAGCAGACAGGATTGGGACTAACTGAATGTGCTCCTTCTGTGTCATGCCTCATTTTGGATGGCTGTTTTTCTTCAGAAATCCTGTTCCCTACTGATTTTTCTTACGTTTAGCGTTCTCAGTTTCATACATCAAGGCTCTATTGATGTATTTCATTTTAACTAGCTTTTATTTTTAGGTCTGTGATCCATTTTGAATTAATTTTTTATATCACTTTAGAAAGGCCAAGGTTTATTATTTTTTTCACCCTTGGCTTATTTCACCTTCTTTTTTTTTTTTTTTTGAAACAGAGTCTTACTCTGTTACCCAGGCTGGAGCGCAGTGGCATGATATTGGCTCACTGCAACCTCCGCCTCAATTCGCCTGTCTCAGTCTCCCCAGTAGCTGGGATTACAGGCATGTGCCACCACGCCGAGCTCATTTTTATATTTTTAGTAGAGATGGGGTTTCACCATGTTGGCCAGGCTGGTCTCAAACTCCCGACTTCAAGTGATTCGCCTCCCTTGGCCTCCCAAAGTGTTGGGATTGCAGGTGTGAGCCGCCATGCCCGGCCTCACCTTCATTTTTAAGACATTTTTTTCTGAGTATGCAGTGCTAAACTGTTTCTTTTCTTCAAGCATTTTAACAAAGATGTCACTACGGTGTCTTCTGGCATGTATAGCTTCTGAATAATAACAGATTGACAATGCAGAAGAAAAGATCATTAAACTTGAAGACAAAGTAATAGAAACTATCCAAAATGAAACATAGACCAAAAAAAAAAAAGACCAGAAAAGACCAAAAAAAGAAAAAAGGAACAGAGAGCATCAGTGACTTGGGGGACAGTAACAAGCAGTCTAATATACATCTTTTTTTTTTTTTTTTTTTTTTTTTTGAGACAGAATCTTGCTCTGTTACCCAGGTTGGAGTGCAGTGTCACGATCTCAGCTTACTGCAACCTCTGCCTCCCAAGTTCAAGCAATTCTCCTGCCTCAGTCTCCCGAGTAGCTGGGATTACAGGCATGCGCTACCACGCCTGGCTAATTTTTTTTTTTTTTTTTTTTTCAGTAGAGACGGGGTTTCACCATGTTGGCCAAGCTGGTCTTGAACTCCTGGCCTCAAGTGATCCGCCTGCTTCAGCCTCCCAATGTGCTGGGATTACAGATATGAGTCACCATGCCTGACCTCTAATACACATCTACCTTGAGTCCCATTACTACTGAAAATAACTACTATTTGATAGTTATTAGTAACTATCGAAAATAACTACAGTAGTTTTTGTGCCCCCTTGTTTTTGTGTTAATAAAATGTTAGTTCTTATTAGGTGACTTCTGAATTTGGAGGTAAGAGACAAAAATCATCTGTTCAGAGTTGGAAGAAGGTGTTGGGGCTTGAGGAGAGTGACAGAGAAGATAAGAAAAGGGAACTAGAATTCTGGTCAACTAGAATCATGTAAAGGATGCTGTGTAGTGTCAAAGCCCCCCGGGGGAGTGGAGGTGGAGAGTAGTGCCAGTCTGCTGCACTGATTCTAAATAGAACTTTGCTAGGCAAGGGAACACTTGAACCATCACTCCTCTTACATAGATTCACAGACCATTCTTCAGAAAGTTTGGACCAACGATGTCAAGTTTGCCATTCTATCTCCTGAATGTGTGGCAAACATCACTAGTCAGTTATTGAGTTCTTTCCTGCTGAGTGTTCCAGTCAGCTACTGCCAGTTAATTCTTGAGGTAAAACCAGTTTTTCTTTCTGCTTACTAACTTACAGGCCATGAAATCATGATTATTATAGATGACTAAAACAGAGGTTGGGTCATCCCTGCATTCAAGAGTAACTTAGGCTTATACAGAACAACTATGGCAACTCAAAAAATGGTGAAGTTTCTCACTGCTTTTTAATTTGTTCAGTTCTATACTCTAGTATTCTGAAATCTAACAAGTTTTTTGTTCATGACTGACTTTTGGACCTTATTTCTTCTTCGGATTCCATGTGTTTTTTATGAGAAATAAGATTTAGCTAATAGTTCAAAGTTATATAGCTGTCAGGATTTTAGGGCTTAACATGTTATTTATCTCTGATTCTTTACTAATTTATTCTTTATAGATAGAACCTTAGCAAATTGTTATATTGCTGATTTGAAATTATAGATGAATGTTTAAAACTCATGACTAGTAGAATGATTTCTTTTTATATTATTATGTTTTATTTTTGCAGCTGGGAAAAGCAGATACTGTCTCTCACAAGTTCAGAAGGAAATCAAAAGTCAAAGAAGCTAAAAGTGGCGAAACAACCAGTACTCATAATATGACCTGTTCTTCCTTTAGTTCTTTGTCAAATGTGGCATATGAAGATGATTATTATTCGAATACTTTGCACGATACAGGAGACAAGGAATTAAAGAAATTTTCTCTCACTTCAGAACTTTTGGATTCTGAGTCACTCACAGAACTGCCCTTGGTTGAGAAATTCTCATATTGTAGTCTGTCTACACCTTCATTGTTTGCTAATAACAACATGGAAATTTTTCACCCTCCTCAATCTACTGCAGCCTCAGTTGCCAAGGAAAGCTCTTTAGCTTCATCTTTTTTGGAAGAAACTACTGAATACATACACTCAAATGCTATGGAAGTCTGTAATAATGAAACTATATCAGTGTCTTCTTATAAAATTTGGAAAGATGATTGTTTATTGATGGTCTGGTCAGTCACTAATAAGAGTGGTTTGGAATTGAAAAGTGCTGACTTAGAAATTTTTCCTGCAGAAAATTTCAAGGTAAAATTTAAAGGTATTATTGTTTTATTTTCAGTGTATATTTTGTGTTCTCTTTTCCTGTGCTCTTTAAATGTCTCCTTCACTTTTGTCATAAACACTAAAACGAAATTCTCAAATTATTTAGCAAAGTAGAAGATTAAGGAGTAAGGATATTGAAGAATAAATGTGTATACTGCTTACTTCTTTCTCTCACCAATTTATTTTTATATACCAAGTGCTCAGACATCAGTTCTCTTTCTTCCCTAGCTCTAACAGATTGCCATTGTGATTGCTGGAAGTATGTTTAATTGCATTATTGTATGGATGTCCTTGGTGGATTTATAATGAGATTTGACTAGTATATTTATCTTCCACAAAACTGGCCCAGTTTCTTCTATGAGCTAGAATGTGTTGAATGGGATATTGTCTGGGCCACTGACCAGAGCAAAAATTCCTGATACTAGATGTGCTTTAGAATCACCTGTGGGGCCAGGTGCGGTGGCTTATGCCTGTAATCCCAGCACTTTGGGAGGCTGAGGTGGGTGGATCACGAGGTCAGGAGTTTGAGACCAGCCTGACCAACATGGTGAAGCCCTGTCTCTACTAAAAATACAAAAATTAGCTGGGCATGGTGGTACGCACCTGTAATCCCAGCTACTCAGGAGGCTGAGGCAGGAGAATTGCTTGAACCTGGGAGACGGAGGTTGCAGTGAGCCAAGATTGCACCATTGCACTCTAGCCTGGGTGACAGAGTGAGACTCCATCTCAAAAAAAAAGAATCATCTGTGGAACTTAAAAAAACAGACCAAACCCTTCCCAGTTGCTTTAACTCTACCACCAAAGCTTGAGGGTAGAGAATGAGAATAGATGACATCTGTATTTGTATTTATATTTATATTTAAATTCTTTTAAAAATTATTTGAAAACTCTCCTATCTTTAAAAACCCAGGACCAGCCAGGACATTTACAGTTTTAACTGTAATGCCATTTGTTAACATAATTTTGACCTGTGTACAATTATTATTTCATTATCTGTTCTAGTGAATTTTTCTCAAGTGAAGTTGCCAGTCATCTTCATAATGTAGTTTGTTATTAACTTCCCATATTAGTATGATTTGTGCCACTTCAATTAAATAGAAAATTGGTAGTCATGTAATAGTCTGTATTGATCCCTTCCTTCTTCAACACTTTTATTACTTCTATTTGCAGGTGACTGAGCAACCTGGATGCTGTTTGCCTGTAATGGAAGCAGAAAGCACCAAAAGCTTTCAATATAGTGTGCAGATAGAAAAACCTTTTACAGAAGGAAATCTTACTGGTTTTATTAGTTATCATATGATGGATACTCATTCTGCTCAGCTGGAATTTTCTGTAAACTTATCACTATTAGATTTCATTAGGTAAATGTTTTGTGAAATGTTAATTCAAGTTGTTAATTCACCAACTATTTTTTAGACCTCTTCTCTGGATGGAGGCACTATGTTGGGTGCTAGGGAGTATAACAGTTAAAAACTACGCACAGTTCCTACGTTAGAGGAATTTCTAGTCTATGGAGGAGACATGGAGCAATTACATAAATACATATGTAATTATGAATTGTGCTATGAAGAGAAAATAAGTGTTACAATGAGGGATTATAATGAGAGACCTGATTTAGGTTGGAGTTGGTTGGTGACCTGGTAAAGCTTGTGAGAAAAAGTATTATTTAAACTAAATAACTCCGAAGATTCTGCATGGCTTTTAAAAGTTTCTCTCATTTGTATTTTATTCAATTATTTCATAAAATTTGTTTGTTAAGCTTTAGAGAAATGTAAGAAAATTGCTTGACATAGTTATTAAACTTTTTTTTATTATTATACTTTAAGTTTTAGGGTACATGTGCACAATGTGTAGGTTAGTTACATATGTATACATGTGCCATGCTGGTGTGCTGCACCCATTAACTCGTCATTTGGCAGTAGGTATATCTCCTAAAGCTATCCCTTCCCCCTCCCCCCACCCCACAACAGTCCCCAGAGTGTGATGTGTTATTAAACTATTATTAAACATGCAGTTTTTACCATTATACTGGGCACTGTACAGTGTTACCAAAATAATTGAAAACAATATCTTACCTGCTCTAATTTTGTTTTATAAATGTATTGTACTGTTTTTGAACATTAAAAATATGAAGGCTGCCTGAACCCAGAATGCAGAATACCGATGAATATCTCTATATATTTTTTTAACCTCCACATGTCACTTCTGTTACAATACAATGCTCTCGTTTTTGTTCATTCTTTTTTTTTTTTTTTTTTTTAAACAGGGTCTTGCTGTGTCACCCAGGCTGGAGTGCAGTGGCACACTATGGCTCACTGTAGCCTCGACCTCCCAGGCTCAATTGATCCTCCCACCTCAGGCTCCTGAGTAGCTGGGACTACAGGAATATGTCACCATGCCAGCTAATTTTTGTGTTTTTTGTAGAGATAGGGTTTTGCCATGTTGCTCAGGCTAGTCTCAAACTGTTGGGCTCAAGCGATCTGTCTGCCTCGGCCTCCCAAGGTGCTGGGATTAGGGACGAGGGCTACCATGCCCAGCTTTCCCCATTCTTTAAAGTCTTTTAGTAATAACATAACTGTCAGTCTATTACAGTACTGTATGCCTGTGGTGCTGATAGGATAAAATCCAGCCTTCAAAAAACTTACGTTGTGTGATTGTGGAGGTCTCCTGAACCATTTAAAAAATGTGTTTGTTAAAATTCTTTCTTTTGGTCTAATTTACTTAAGGTGCAAGATCTTTGTATTCATGTTCTTTTTCATAACTTTGATAGAGTATCCCATTATCCCCAAATTCAAAGTAAATATGAAAGAAAAGTTCTGTATTATAGTTGAATGATTTATGAAATTACTTGGTAAAATCTTACTGGAATGACTAGTAGAAAGAGAGATAACTGAGTGGTTTATTGAAATGATATTTTAAATTTAATAATATACCTGCTTTCAGTATTTTCATCAGGTTGGAGGATGATACTAACCATTTTTAGCATATTTGGTTTAAAGACATAAATCTTATGGGACCCAGATTTACAATGATTATGTTTTATTCTCATGAGGCATTTGAAATTTGTTGTTTAGAATCATTTCACTGTTTTTGACATATATCTAATTTTAAAAATTATTTTCAGACCATTAAAAATCTCAAGTGACGACTTTGGGAAACTCTGGTTATCCTTCGCAAATGATGTGAAACAAAATGTAAAAATGTCAGAATCTCAAGCTGCACTTCCTTCTGCACTAAAGACTCTGCAACAGAAACTAAGACTCCATATTATTGAGATTATAGGTTTGTAGAGTTATAAAAAGGCTATTCTGTGTTTATAGGAGCTTTCTTATAATTGGAACACAAATCAACTCTTACAAGTATCAGATTTCTCAGAGCTTTATTTCCTATTATGACTGTCTTTCAGATGAATGTGTTTTTCAGACTGTATTAAATAATTTTTTATTGGAAAATATACATACATAAAATATACCATTTTAACAATTTTTAAACATATAGTTAAGTGGCATTAAGTGTATTTACACTGTTGTGCAACTGTCACCATCATCTATCTTCAGAACTTTTTTATCCTCCTCAACTGGAACACTATACCCATTAAACACTAACTCCGCCTTTCCCCTTCCTCTCCACCTCTTGGCAACTACCATTTTACCTCTTGTCTCTATGAACTTGACTGTGTTAGGTACCTTATATAAGTGGAATCATACAATACTTGTCCCTTTGTATCTGGCTTATTTCACTGAGCATAATATCTTCAAGGTTGATCCATGTTGTAGAATGTGTCCGAATTTTAATGTGATACATTTTGTTTATCCATTCATCTGTAAATGGATACTTGGGTTACTTCCACTTTTTGGCTATGGTGAGTAATGCTGCTATGAACAAGGTTATACAAATACCTGTTTGTGTCCCTGCTTTCAGTTCTTTATTTGGTTATATACCCAGAAGTGGAATTGGTGGATTATATGATAATTTTAGATTTAATTTTTTTTTTTGAGACAGAGGCTCACTTTGTTACCCATGCTGGAGTACAGTGGTGCGATCTGAGCTCACTGCAACCTCCACCTTCCGTGTTCAAGCTATTCTCGTGCCTCAGCCTCCCGAGTAGCTAGGATTACAGGTGTGTGGCACCATGCTCAGCTAATTTTTTGTATTTTTTAGTAGAGATGGGGTTTCACCATATTGCCTAGGCAGGTCTAGAACTCCTGAGCTTAAGTGATCTGCCCGCCTCAGCCTCCCAAAGTGCTGGGATTACAGGTGTGAACTACTGCACCTGGCCTAGATTTAATTCTTTGAGAAACCACCATATCATTTTCACAGCAACTGCACCATTTTATATTCCCACCAGCAATGTACCAGGGTTCCAGTTTCTCCACGTCTTCATCATCATTTGTTATTATCTGTTTTTTTCTTTAATATTAGCCATCCTAATGTGTATGAAGTATAGTATCTCACTGTGGTTTCAATTTGCAGTCTCCTTAGTGGTTAGTGATATTGAGTATCTTTTCATGTGCTTATTAGCCATTTGTGTATCTTCTTGGAGAAATGTCTGTTTAACTCCTTTTGCATTAAATCATTTTTCACTTTTGTTTTGTTTTAGGCAATGAAGGGCTATTGGCCTGTCAGCTGCTCCCATCCATCCCCTGCTTACTGCATTGCCGAGTTCATGCAGATGTATTAGCCCTGTGGTTCAGATCCTCCTGTTCTACTCTTCCTGACTATTTACTGTATCAGTGTCAAAAGGTGATGGAGGGATCCTAGCAGAAGCCCTGCTAAATTTTACTCCATCAAGATCAATGGTTTACATAGATAAACTTATTTACCAAAGTAAAAAGAACTCATGGTACTTCTAATGAAAATGGGGATTATTACAAGTGTGGTTTATATGTTTTCTTTGTGATTCCTGGTCAAGAAAGATCCCCAAAACTGTATCCCTAACCTTTAACTCAGGATTGTACAGTATGTTTAGGTCCCTCAAAAAGTGACCTAAGCTAATGTTATAAACTGCTAATGATTTATATATCACTTAGTGTGTAGAGGGACTGAAAATATTTATTTTGTTATAAATAATTTTATAGCACGTTTACTCTAGTGCTAGCTAATTTGTAATAAAGCCAAGTCTCAGTTTTCTGCATTAAATGGAAGGGAGACATGAAATTGATAATCTCAAACTTAATTCATATTTGGCTTTGGAATGTAGTGTATGGTTTTTGGTAGGGAAGTCAATATTTTCGATTATGTTTTGCTTAGATCAGTGTTGAACTAAGTTGGCATAGCACACACTAACAGTTGTAGGAGATCCATGAGCATGCTGGATATTGAGGGGATCCAATCTGTGATCTATTTTTTATTATAGATAACTGTTACACATAATTTCAGATCGTTTGGCTGTAAAATTTGTCTGTTTTCCACTTGGAGTTATTTTAAAATTCAAAGTAAATCACTCTATTCTTATTTTGAAAACTCAGAGCCATTTTATATAGAAACAAAACCCATAAGAGCACACAGTAACAAAGCAAACAGATACAAAAATGACTTTTTAGTTATGACAAATATTTTAGTTGGTTACTACTTAGGTCCTTTTGGCAAATGAAAATTTGTGATTAGAGTATAAATGGCAAAACTATCTTTTCCTGGCCTTTGAATCCACTAGTACTTAATGGATATAGCTGAAGCAGAGACTAAGTATAACATACAGGTTCTTCAGTAAAATATATCATTTTCATGTTATAGTTATGCCTGTGTGGCCTCTGTCAGAACTATTATCAGTAAAAGAGGTTAAGCCTATATATGAATGATGGACCAAAACCTTGAGGTTGTACATTAACTGAAATAGTATTTTATAAAATCTTATGGTGCTGTGGAAAATATTTATTATTTCACCTTTTCTGACACTTCACCATGGAGACTATTCAGGTAATACAATTTTAAGTCATTGCAGTTAATACTCTGGTTAATTGGTACTGTTAATCACCCAGGTCAGGAATTCTGATTTTAGGTTATCTCATTAATCATGGCTGATAAAGAAGCTAAGGGGATTCTCCAGATCTAATAGATTTCATTAGTCATTTGTGTCGAGTATTCCTCCCTAAAAACAAAAGCAGTATTTTCTTTCTCAATTAATTTTTAAGTTATTCATTAAAAAATATATAACATCTTAATTTTATTCTTTTAAAAACATACAGTGAAGCCTTGCTACAAGAGTCATAAGTGACTGGAATTTCTTGCATAATAGGTTCCTCCTTTTGAATAGATCAGATTCATCCCCAGGCTCTCAGCAGTGTCATGATGAAATGAGTGTGCTGACTTCAGGGGTGTGGTGGACACTGGTAGCTAGCCTTATCAGCTCCCTCCTTATTCCTACCTCTGTCAGCAGCATGCCTCGCCCCTTACCTAATTCTGCTGTGACTCTGACAGAGAGGAAGTGCCTTCTCACTTTGCAAAGGAATGCAGCATGTCACAAAGGAGGTGCTCCAATTTTTTGTGTCCTTACTTCCCTATGTTTGCCTAGTTACTGAGGCTAGGTCGAGTGTGAAGCAATAGGTGTAAGATGCTGAGAGCACATGGACAGCTACCAGGGAGATCTGTTGCTTGGTTACAGGGTGTATTCATGAGTGGTAGCTGCAGTTGTCGTGAGAGACATGCTTGGCATACAGAGCTGTCTAATGGGTGGGAGACATGTAATGGTAGATTTAGGGCTGGGAGCATGATTTTGGGTCTGCCCAAAGGAACATGGTGTCACTTTTGTTCTTTCTGACCCACTAAATAAAAAGTAGTGTAACAGGGTTTCACTGGAATGTTTATTAGAAAGTTTACACTTTTTATATTTTTATGATTTTAAAAACAAACAATAATAGAAAAACAGATTTTAAGGAACTTCAGAGCAGTATATATTCTGTCTAAACTCACTGAATATTTTAAGTTGTAAATCAGGTGTCCACCAACCTTTATTTTTGCATTGCAGGAGATGTGACTGTAAAGTAGGGAGTTTTTTTTTTTGAGACAGAGTTTCACCCTTGTTGCCCAGGCTAGAGTGTAATGGTGCAATCTCCGCTCACTGCAACCTCTGCCTCCCAGGTTCAAGCGATTCTCCTGCCTCAGCCTCCCTAGTAGCTGGGATTACAGGCATGCACCACCACACCCGGCTAATTTTTTTATATTTTTAGTAGAGACAAGGTTTCTCCATGTTGGTCAGGCTGGTCTCGAACTCCCGACCTCAGGTGATCTGCCCGCCTCAGCCTCCCAAAGTGCTGGGATTACAGGCGTGAGCCACTGCGCCCGGCCAAATTATTTTTGTGGGTAGATTCATTCTCTTTACCTAATAGTCATAATTTAGTCAGTGAAGGGACAACATCTGGGGTAAGAGCTATGGAGGAGGTGCTCAGCTTTGTGAGTTTTGTGCCAGGCATCTTTGCTGAAAATGGAGATGGCAGCAAGTGTGAATCTGGGGGAATATAAGGGAAGACAGAAAAGCCTTAAGAGTAGACGGAGGAAGAAGGGTACCAGAATAGTCCCTGTGGAGGCAGGCAGATCAGAGCTCAGGGTTTGAAAGTGGGCCTGAGTAAGGGTCCTGCTAGAGAAACTGCAGATGGAAGCTGAGCAGTTACCAACTGCTAATGTGCCAAGTATACCAAGCACAGCATGTGTCCTGTAGAGGAGCATTATTTTAAACAATGTTCTACTATCATCTACCAAAATAATTGTGGTAAAAGTGTAGTATTTTATTTTTTCCTTTTATGTCAGCAATATTTTAAAATATTGATCTGTTTATCTTATATTTTTATGGATAAATGTAGTATTTGCCTCATGATTGTGAGCCACTGAGAGTGCACTGAACCTATTCACATGTCTTTAAGATGTTTTGCTGTGTTAAAATTTTAGGAGAGAAAAATACAAGTGAATAATTATTTAATAGGCATTTATTACTTTATTTTGGAGTTGAATTCTGTCATTTGAAAAAGTTCAGTAATGTAATAAATACAAAGTGATCTGCACTGTTTTTTGGTCTATGTTCTTTATTAACTAAGTAGCTGAATAATAAGTAATATTATTTAAACAATAATTTGGTAGACATCAGCTAAAAAGAGCAGGAGCAATTAGAATGGGATGAAAAGAATGATTTTTTCATTACAGCCCCCAAAGAATCTTGTCTCGTTGGCTAAAAGTAAAGATATTGCTATTTCTCTTTCTGTATGATGGTCAGAGAGAACTTTGTGGGCTTCAGACAAGTTATAGCATGGATTGTTTCTCAGGATGCCTGTCCATATCTCCTGCTTTCACCTTAGGCTGACCAGAGCATTTAAAGCAGAACATTGTTTCCATCATGCCTTCCTTTGTAGATGTCTGAAGATGCCAGAAACACAGTAAATCAATTAGAAACTTAGTGACCAAAGAATCTGAGTGTGCTGGCCATCTCTGCCTCATGTATCCTGAAACACAAAGCTAGATCAGAAATGGAGTTTAAATTCCACTGATTTGTGTCTCTTGTTGGCTACAGTGTATAAGAAGAAAAAAAACCCCTGAGACTTGAAGCTCCATCTTTGGGGCACTGAAGTCAAAAAGGAAGTTTAAATGCACCACACTCACTGTAGTAATTGAAAAGAAGGGAGCTGTTGAAGGGAGGGGTGGCCTGCAGCCCTATGGGCCAGGGTTAATGATTGCATGATAGTTACTGGTTTAGTGTATGCATAATGGGAGACTGAGCTTTTTGTGCTTAGGAACTCTCTGTGTGTGTATAGATTTTATTTTTTTTGATAGGCTCTTTTTTAAGACTTTTTGAGCAGTTTCAGGTTCAAGCAGAATCGAGAAGAACAGGTTTCCCATATACTCCCTCCTCCCACATGCATGCATAGACTCTCCCATTATGAGTATCCCCTACCAAAGTGTTATATTTGTTATAATTCATGAGCCTACCTTGACATATTGTTATCACCAAATGTTTTACATTAGTGTTCACTCATGATGTACATTCTGTGGATTTACACAGATGTATAATGACATGAATCCACTAGTGTAGTATCATACAGAGTGTGTTCACATGAATTTAGAGGATTTCTAAATCCTCTGTGCTCTGCCTGCTTATCCCTTCTGCCCTCCTGCCCCCAACCCCTGGTAACCACTTATGTTTTTTACTATCTCCATAGTTTTGCCATTTCCAGAATATCATATCTTTGGAATCATATAGTAGTAGCCTTTTTAGATTGTTCTTAATATGCATTTAAGTTTCCTCCATATCTTTTCATGGCTAACTTTTTAGCATTGAAAAATTCGTTGTGTATACCACAGCTTTTTTAATCCATTCACTTACTGAAAGACGTAGTTGCTTCTAAGTTTTGGCAATTATGAATAAAGCTGCTATAAACACTGTATACAGATTTTTGTGTAGACATGTCTTCAACTCCTTTGGACAAATACCAGGGAGCATGTTTGCTGGATCCTGTGTTAAGAGTATGTTTAGTTATGTGAGAAACTGCCAAATTGTCTTCCAAAGTGGCTGTACTATTTTGCATTCCTGCCAACAAAGAATGAGAATTCCTGTTGCTCCACATCCTTGCCAGCATTTGGTGGTGTCAGGGTTCTGGATTTTGGCCATTCTAATAGGTGTGTAGTGATATCTCATTTTAATTTGCGTTTCCCTGATGACATATGGTATTGAGCATCTTTTCATATGCTTTGTTGCCATCTGTCTGTTTGTGTGTGCGTGTGTGTGTGTGAGATGCCTGTTAAGGGCTTTAGCCCATTTTTAAATCAAGTTTTCTGATTGTTTGAGTTCTTTCTATATTTTTGGTAATATGCTCTTGTCAGATGTGTCTTTTGCAAATATTTTCTTCTGGTCTGTGGTTTATCTTTTCACTCTCTTGATAGTGTCTTTTGCAGAGCAGAGATTTTTAATTTTAGTGAAGTTCAGCTTATTAAATGTTTCTTTCATGGATTATGCCTTGATGTTATATCTAAAAGTCATTGCTAAACCCAAGGTTATCTAGATTTTTCTCCTATGATATCTTCTCGGAGTTTTACAGTTTTGCATTTTACTTTCAGGTATGTGATCCATTTTAAGTCAATTTTTGTGCAGGGTGTAAGGTCTGTGTCTAGATTCTTTTTTTTTTTTTTTTTTTTTTTTTTTTTTGCATGTGGATGTCCAGTTGTTCCAGCACCATTTCTTGAAAAGAACATCTTTTCTCCATTATATTGCCTTTGCTTCTTTGTTGGTGTGTTACTCTGTTTTTACGTTACTCTAAAGAAATAACTGAGTATTTTATAAAGAAAAGAAGTTTACTTGGCTTATGGTTCTGCAGACTGTACAGGAAGCATAGTGCTGGCATCTGCTTCTGGTGAGGCCTCAGGAAGCTTACAATCATGGTGGAATGCAAAGGGAGAGCAGCTCGTGTCTCATGGTGAGGAAGGGAGCAAGAGAGAGAGGAGGGAGGTCCCAGACTCTCTTAAACAAACAGACCTCATGTGAACTAACTGAGCAAGAACTGACTTATCACCAAGGGGATGGTGCTAAGCCATTCATGAGGGATCTGCCCCATGATCCAATCACTTCCCACCAGGCCCCACCTCCAACACTGGGAATCACATTTCAGCATGAGATTTGGAGGGGACAAGCATCCAAACCATATCAGTCAAATCAGTTGACTATGTTTATGTGGATCCATTTCTGGGCTCTCTGTTCTCTTCCACTCATCTATTTTCGTCTTTTCTTTTGCCAGTGCTACACTGCCATGATTATTCTAGCTTTATAGTAAGTCTGTAAGTCAGGTAGTGTCAGTCTTCTAACTTTGTTCTCCTTCAATATTATGTTGGCTATTCTGGGTCTTTTGCCTCTTCATATAAAATTTAGAATTAGTTTATAGATATCTACAAAATAACTTGCTGGGTTTTTTATTGGGATTGCATTGAATCTAAAGATCAAGTTGGGTAGAAGAGACATCTTTAATCAAAGATACTTTTATTTCTTCCTGCCGAATCAGTGTACCTTTTATTTCCTTTTTTGTCTTACTAAATTCACTAAGATTTCTAGTATAATGTTGAAAAGCAGGGGTGAGAGGAGATATTCTTCTCTTCTTCCTGATCTTAGTGGGAAAGCTTCTAGTTTCTCACCATTAAGTATGATGCTAGCTGTAGGATTTTTGTAGAGATTGTTTATCAAGGTGAGGAAGTTCTCTCTTCCTGATTTACTGAGATTTTAATCACGAATGGGTGTTGGATTTTGTCAGCTGCTTTTTCTTTTTCTTTTTTTTTTTTTTTTTTGAGACATAGTCTCACTCTGTTGTCCAGGCTGGAGTGCGATGGCGCGATCTCGGCTCACTGCAACATCTGCCTCCTGGGTTCAAGTGATTCTCTGCCTCAGCCTCCTGAGTAGCTGGGATTTCAGGTGCATGCCACCACGCCCAGCTAATTTTTGTATTTTTAATAGAGATGGGGTTTCACCATATTGGTCAGGCTGGTCTCGAACTCCTGACCTTGTGATCCGCCTGCCTTGGCCTCCCAAAGTGCTGAGATTACAGGTGTGAGCCATCGCGCCTGGCCTGTCAGCTGCTTTTTTCTGTATTGGTATGATCATATGATTATTCTTCTTTAGCCTGTTGACATGATGGATTACATTCATTAATTTTGATTTTTTTTTTTTTTGAGACAGAGTCTCGTTCTGTCACCTAGGCTGGAGTGCAGTGGTGCAATCTCAGCTCACTGCAACCTCCATCTTACAGGTTCAAGCAATTCTCCTGTCTCAGCCTTGTGAGTAGCTGGAACTACAGGTGCACACCACCATGCCCGGCTAATTTGTTTTTTGTATTTTTAGTAGAGATGGGGTTTCACCATGTTGGCCAGGCTGGTCTTGAACTCCTGACCCCAAGTAATCTGCCACCTAGGCCTTTGAAAGTGCTGGGATTACAGACATGAGCCACTGTGCCTGGCCTAATTCTGAATGTTGAACCAGCTTTGTATAACTGAGATAAGTCCTACTTGGTTATGGTGTATAATTCTTATTTTACATTGTTGGATTTGATTTGCTAATGCTTTGTTGAGGTTTTATACATCTATATTTATGAGAGACTGGTCTATATATTTTTTTCCTTGTAATGTCTTTGTCTAGTTTTGGCATTAAGGTAATTCTGACCTCATAGAACGAGTTAGAAAGTATTTCCTCTGTAGTTATCTCCTGGAAGAGAGCTGGTATAATTTCTTCTTTTGGTAGAAACATTTGTGAACCCACTTGGGCCTCGTGCTTTCTATTTTGGAAGTTTATTAATTATTGATTCAACTTTTTTGTAAAGATAAGCCTATTCAGGTAGTTTTTGTGTGTGTGTGAGTTTTGGCAGATTGTGTCTTTCAAGGAATGGTCCATTTCATCTAGGTTATCAAATTTGCAGGCTTAGAGTTATTCATAGTGTTCCTTGATTATCTTCTTAATGTCCATGGGATCTGTTGTGATGTCCCCTCTTTTATTTATGATATTAGTAGTTTGTGTCCTCTCTTTTTCTTATGTGTAAGTTTTTATGTCCCTTTTGCCTGACACAATAGACACTCAATAACAGTCACTCATCTATTGAATGAATAATTAAGGAGACCTGCCCACTCAAAATAAGTAACCTGGGACCAGATAATATCCAGGGATTTATATTACTAATTCTGTGGCCCTCCCAGAAGTAAAGAAATATGATCTGATCCAGTTTAAATATTTAAGTCAGCAGAAAGGGGTTCCAGTGAAAATAGCCTATGCCATTTTGTACCAGGTGGGAAAGAGGAAACATGATATCTTCATGAGACCCTTACCGGCCTGAATACTCTTTTATAAGAACATGTCATGCCTTTAAGAGATCTCTCTGCAATGCAATGTTATTACAGATAGAAATTATGATTTGGAGGAGGGATACTTTTCTGTATTATATAGTTCATAAAGTTTTATTGATCTAAAAACTTGTTCTAGGACAGAAAGTAGTAGACATCTAATTGGGGCAGTTAAAAATAGGGAACTAATGAATATGATAAGGCAGACTTACTAGCTAAATCAGCATCACTTATTCATAAAAGTAGGCGCTATGATAAAGGGAGGGACAACTACACATTAATAAGATCACTAACATCAGGAAAGTTGGGAAAGAACAGGCCTTCTGGGATAAAGCAGCAGAAAGGAGTTACTTAAAAGGAAATGTGTTTCATATGCATCACACAGGAAAATTTTTATGATAGGTACATGGATCCAAGGTAGGAAAGCACCCAAAAGGTGAATCCCAGAGAATCCTGAGAACTTATAAATATTGCGGATATGAGAAGATGGACCTGGTTGTGCAGAAAGTACAGATGATGTGGAGCATATGAGCTTCCTGGAGCATCTTTAATGCTGAAAAAATAGTGGGTCCTTGTAAGCAGTTGCAGCCAGATTGTAGGCTTTTTTCCAAGGGAGGGAATCAATTTCCGTTAGTTATTTTAAACTCTCTTCCTAAGTGGATGAGTACTTTTCCTTCCCCAAAACATTACATTGCCAATGCCACTAAATGGCTGACTTCAGGAAATTTTTCCTTGATAGGATCTGGCACATTATGTGCCAAATGGAGAGACTAGAGCCCAGAGGTTAATTGTATTTCAGTGAAAGTGCTTAGAAATATTTTAATTGCACATCTCCTCCATTCCTTATATGACAAGTAGAAAGGAGCAGAGGCAAGGCATGTACATTCTCAGGGGGAGGCATTTGATCTCTACCAAATAATTTAATGAAGGCAAGGACAAAACCAGTGACTGGAACAAGCTGGTCCTGTTAGTGATAGTTATCAAGGTATTAGAATTTATTTTCTTATTTTAGTTGATTGATTAATGGTTTATAGGGGTAAATAGTTATTGTGAATTATGGGAAAGATGAAATTATTTTGTACCCTATTATTGGACCAGTCTTCATTTACAGACATAGAATATGTATATCTTGGAACTTAGAAATTCCTAGGTTTTTATAGATAAAACATCATTTATAATTGGTTTCTCAGATGTTGCCTTTTTATTGATTCAGATTTTGTTGAAGATGATTAGAACATTGAATAGCATTCATATGTCCTATGACAGCTGCCACCATGAATAAAAGTGGCATAATTGGAAAGACCTGAATTGCAATAATTTTGTAAACTTTTTTATTACAGAAATTTCAAATACATACCAAATAAACAGTGACATAATGAACCCATGTACCATTATCCAGCTTCAACAACTATCAGCTTTCTGCTATTCTTATCATACCTCCTCACTTCCTGCCCCCACTAGATTATTTTTTGTAGTTCTTTTATTTGCATGCATTGAAATGCACAAATCTTAATTGCTTAACCTCATCAAATGGATATGCCCTTGTAACCCACAACCCTATCAAGCTGTGAAGCATTTCCATTACCCCAAGAACCTCCTCTTTTCCCTTCCAGTCAGTTCCTGTGTTCCATCATCACTCTGCTGCAAGGCAGCTACTGTTCTGTTTTTTTTTTCTACTATAGATGAGTTTTACTTGTTCTAGAACTTCATATAAATGGAAGCATTAAAAATGTACTTTTTTTTTTTTTTTTTTGGAGACAGAGTTTTGCTCTTGTCGCCCAGGCTGGAGTGCAATGGTACAATCTTGGCTCAGTGCAACCTCTGCCTCCTGGGTTCAAGCGATTCTCCTGCCTCAGCCTCCCAAGTAGCTGGGATTACAGGCGTCTGCCACCATACCTGGCTAATTTTTGTATTATTAGTAGAGATGAGGTTTCATTATGTTGGCCAGGCTGGTCTCGAACTCCTGACCTTAGGTGATCCACCCGCCTCAGCTTCCCAAATTGCTGGGATTGCAGGTGTGAGCCACCATGCCCAGCCAAGGATGTACCTTTTAAATCAAGCTCTTTTGATTAGTTAAATATTTGTTGTTGCATTTATCAACTATATGGAAAGACAGGACCTAACAGGAATGGTGTACTGAGCAGATGTGGGAACAAAATTAGATAGATACGATATTGATGGCACATGAGGAGTGTTGGTGAGATATTCCTTAGCCTGAGATGTGTCATATTGATGAGTTCACACATTTTCTCCACCCACTAATACATCTCCAGCATCTAGAACAACTTTACATGATATGAGCGCAAAACAGAAGGGGTTGAGTGACAGAAGGTAACATGATTTGGGAGAGAGATGCAAGATTGGGTATTTGTGGTCAGAGAATAGTGATCCACTTGAATTAAAGGATTCATTAAAATGTTTGTAGCAGGCTCAATCATCTCAACCTTTGATAATTTTATCACATACATATGGGATTATATTTAGCCTGACCAATTTCAAAGACTTTATTTATGTTTTTGAGACAGAGTCTTGCTTTGTTGCTCAGGGTAGATTGTAACGGATCCATCACAGCTCACTGCAGCCTTGACCTCCCAGGGTCAAGTGATCCTTCCACCTCAGCCTCCCAAGTAGCTGAGACTACAGGCATACACCATTATGCCTGGCTAATTTTTGTATTTTTTGTAGAGATGGGGTTTTGCTATGTTGCCCAGGCTGGTCTTGAACTCTGGGGCTCAAGCATTCTGACAACCTCGGCCTCCCAAAGTGCTGGGATTACAAGCCACTATGTTTGGCCAGACTTCTAAATGGTAAAGGCTTTCAAACTATATTGACTGTAACCCACAGTAAGAAGTACATTGTACATGATGACCTAGTTTACACATTATGTATATAATTGAAATTTCAAATTGCACAAAAAGTCACTTAGCTAATACTCAGTCCCATGCACTTTGATACCTTCTATTCTGATCTATTCCATTCTTTCAAAAAGCTAGTTGCAACCCATTAGATTGATTTCATGACCTATTTCATGCCCACCAAGCCCAGCTTGGATCAGCTAAACTGTAGTTGACCTGCAGACTCATGATCATGAGAACAATACTTGTTGCTATTAGCCACTGAGTTTTTCAGGTGGTTTATAGACAGCATTGTTGTAGCATTAGCTGAGATGCACATCAGAAAGTCAACATTTACTTGTTGCAGTAAGATGGACAATGGACTAGAAATAATAGCCCAGTGACTTATAATTTTGATCAAATTAGTTCTAACCTTGGACAGGTCATCTTTTCTCTCTGGGCTATAGTTTTCTGCTCTGTAAAGTGAAGAGAGAGACAGGACTGGAGTAGATCTCTCAAATCCTCACTTCTGAAGTTCAGAGTCTCAGGGCTGCTCTGAGCATATGTGATTTTCACAAATTATATGACTTCCTCTTCTAAAATTTCTTAGCTCAAGGAGATCACCCTTGTCACTACTGTAGAGTGGGGAGCAGATTCTTATATATTTCTGTAGAACAATATGGAAGAACATCAGTCCATAAAAGAACAGTAACTTAGAAAGTTTCAGCATAACCCACAAGGTCTTAGTATTCAACAGAAGCATTCTTCATGGCCAGTGCTTTCTGTGCAGGGCAACTGGCTTTCTGTCTAATCAGATAGGAAAAAATTGACTGTGTTGGCAGCTCTGATCTGCAGAAGAGCCTCCCCACTCTTTGATTCAGCACTACAGTTGTGGCAGCATCACTGTTTCCACATGCTCTTCTGTTTCCCAGCTCCTTTGGAGTTGGATTTTCATGTGATTGAGTTCCAGTCAGTTATATTCCAATAGAATGTTGGTGGAAATGATATACAGAACTTCTAGGCAAGGGCCCTAAAACATTTTACATGCCCTCACTCTTTGCTCATCAGGTTGCTGGATGGAGAGAATCCAGTTATAAAGTTTCCAAAAAGGAGACAATGGGGCTACTGGTTGGAAGAAACCTGAGTCTCTGAAAGGAGCAGTTCCTTTCCCTCTTGACCTCCCTGTACTGTAACCTGAATTAAAAACAAGTCTTTGTTGTGTTAAGCCACTGAGATTTGGGGGTTTGCTACATCAGTTAGAACTACCCTGACTAATGCATCTGCTTAGACCCATAATTTTCAATATGTTAGCCACTAGCCACATGTGGGAACTGAGCACTTGAAATGTGGCTAGTCAGAATTGAGATGTGCTCTAACTATAGAACAAACTGGATTTCAAAGACTTAGTGCACAAAAAGTAAAGTATTAATTTTATATTAATGATATTACAATTATATTTTGGATATATTAGATAAAATGTAGTACTAAAATTAGTTTCACCCATTTCTCTTTATTTTTGATGTGACCACTAGAAAATTTAAAGTTGCATGTGTGACTTGCATTATATTTGTATTGAAAAGTGCTGTCTCAGATCTGACTTTCAATCAGGATCTCAGTTTACAGTCTTCAAAGATTAAATCTAGAAAAAACATTAGTGATTGGTCTGTCTTTCTTACTACTAAACTAACCTTAAATCTGTATACTATCCTTGAATTTTAATGGCAGGTCAGAGAGAATTATTTCTGAAAAGGAAGATACTCCCTTCACTTCTGGAGGAGTTTGATATCTATCTGTTTTCTTTCTTGCCTCCCTCCTACATCTAACTTATTTTTGTTTAATTGGTGATTAATCTAATCTAGACGTGTTTTTCATCGCAGATATTACATTTTTCATCTCTAGAGGTTCCATTTGGGTCTTTTATATCTTCAGTTTTTCTCTTCATCATGTTCACATTTTCTTCTACTTTCTTAAACATACGGAATGTGCTTTTTTTTTTTTTTTTCTGAGACTGAGTCCCACTCTGTCGCCCAGGCTGGAGCGCAGTGGCATGATCTCAGCTCACTGCAAGCTCAACCTCCTGGGTTCACGCCATTTTCCTGCCTCAGCCTCCCGAGTATCTGGGACTACAGGCACCCGCCACCACACCCGGCTAATTTTTTTGTATTTTTAGTAGAGACGGGGTTTTACCGTGTTAGCCAAGAGGGTCTTGACCTCCTGACCTCGTGATCTGCCCGTCTCGGCCTCCCAAAGTGCTGGGATTACAGGCGTGAGCCACGCGCCTAGCCTACGGAATGTATTTTTAATAGGTGTTTTAATGTCCTCGTTTGAGAATTCCATTCTCTCTGTCATTTTTATGTCTGTTTCTGTTGATTGCAGTTTCTCCCAGGTATTGATCATATTATTCTGTTTTTTGACATGCCTAAAGATTTTTTTTACTAGATGGCAGATATTGTGAATTTTATATTGTTGTGTGCTGAATTGTATTGCATTCATTTCAATGTCAGCATGTTGTCGCATGCTGAATTGTATCAAATTCATTTATGTGGTGTTGAATTTTGTTCTGGTACAGAGTCAAGTTGCTTGGAGTCACCTGAATCCTTTTAAGACCTGCCTTTAACATGCACACAAATATTAATTGCAACACTAGTCATAAGGGCAGAGACATGGAATCAACCTAAATGCTCATCAGTGACAGATTGGATAAAGAAAATGTGGTACATATACACCATGGAATACTATGCAGCTACAAAAAAGAATGAGCGCATGTCTTTTGCTGGAACATGGGTGGAGCTGGAGGCCATTATCCTTAGCAAACTAATGCAGAAACAGAAAACCAAATACTGCATGTTCTCACTTTTAAGTGGAAGCTAAATAATGAGAACTCATGAACAGAAAGAAGGGAACAGTAGACACTGGGGGCTCCTTGAGGGTGGAGGGTGGGAGGAGGGAGGGGAGCAGAAAATATAACTTGAGTACTAGGCTTAGTACCTGGGTGATGAAATAATCTGTACAACAAACCCCCGTAACACAGGTTTACCTATATAACAAACCTGCACATGTACCCCCAAACCTAAAAGTTAAAAAGAAAAAAAAAAAGACCTGCCTTTAAATTTTATTAGGCTGGGTCCAGAGCAGTCTTTAGGGTTAACTTATCCCTAGGAAACACCCTTCTGAGGATTCTACCAGATGTCCTTTGTATCATGAGGGCAGTCTGGTTGGTGGAAACATAAACTATTTCTATCCCAAACTCTGGCCACCCTGACCTCCCTTAACTCTTAGGATTTCTCCTCCCTGTGCTGTGACCTGGAAACTGCCTCTAGTCAGTAAGCTGTGACAATCATAGGGCTTGTGTTGTTTTTGTTTCCCTTCTCTCTGGGAGATTAGAGTCCTGTGCTGGTTGTTTTTCAATGTCTGAAAATCATGATTTCATAAGTCTCTCCGGTTTCCTAGTTGTTTAAGGCAGGAAGATAAATCCAGTCCTTGTTATTCTTGGCCATAAGAGGTAGTACCTTAACCAGGTAGTACCAGGTTCTAATTTCATTAGATATTCCTACCCTATTCTAGAAATTCCTGAGGAACTTGATCAAATTCAGTACAGAATTTTGAAAGAAGAGAGCTGTCTCACTCTCTGTAGACAAATAACTCTTCTATATGTTTGTTTTGTGTTTGGTCAGGTTATTACATATAATGATGCTACAATTAGGGGTACCATTATCATCAAAAGGAAGAGCCCCTTATTGTGACAGCTAAATGGTGAGTTAAGAAAGCTAAATGGAGAAGAAGAGAAATTCTTAAATCTTCTCATTAGAATGAGGCCCCTGAAGACTTGCATCAACAGATATTTCTGGACAGGCCACAGTGCATAGAGCAGAGGCGTTTGCTGGAACAGCTCAAGGCAAAAACTGTAGTAGGCCAGTCTGAGCTGAACTCTTCCCCAAAATTGTGAGTGGTATTTGAGAATGTTCTTTGTGGGAGAATACTGTGGACTTAGGACTACCAATTTGTCTGTTTGTATAATAGCATTTTTTTAAAAAAAATTATTTTGTCAGGGGAAGCTTGCTGTTTCTTAAAAGTTTCCCTCCATGGGCGTCAAACTTATAAATGTTGAAAATTGTTGTCAGCCCTTGGGCTATCCAGCAGTCTCCTTTCCCTACCTCTTCCTCAGATTTCAAAGGTGTAAGCCAGTAAACTAGGATATCTCTAAAGTTTTGTCCCTATAATGACATGGATATTATCAGTACTGGCATATTCTTTGTTAAACAATTTTTTGTTTGTTTTAATTAAAAAACCTTCATTGGCTTTTATTTGTGATTCTAGAAGATAATTTTCCCTCTGATGATTTTTTCTTATTTTTAGTTGACATGTAATAATTATACATATTTATGGGATATAGAGTGATATTTTGATAAGTGTATACAATTTATAAGGTAATCAAACCAGGTTGTAAAAAGCAAATCCATTACCTCAAACATTTATTATTTCTTTGTGCTGTGAACATTCAAAATCCTCACTTCTGGCTTTTTGAAAATATACAAATAAGTTACTGTTAGCCATATTTACCCTACAGTGCTGCAGAACACTAGAATGAATTCTTCCTATCTAGCCATAATTTTGTATCCATTAACCAACCTTTCCCCATCCTTCCCTCCCCTTTACCCTTCCCAGCCTCTAATACCCACAATTCTACTGTTTACTTCCATGACCTCAAAAATTTGTTTTAGCTCCCCCTTATAAGTGAGAATATGAAGTATTTAACTTTCTGTGCCTGACTTACTTTGCTTAACATAATATCCTCTAGGCTTATTCATATTGATGTGAATGACAGGATTTTATTTGTTTTATGGCTAAATAGTATTTCTTATGCTCATTTTAAAATCCATTCATCTGTTGATGGAAGTTTAGGTTGATTCCAGATCTTAACTATTGTGAATAGTGCTGCAATAAACATGAGGGTGCAGGTATACCTTTGATATACTGATTTCCTTTCCTTTGAATAAATACCCAGTAATGGGATTGCTGAATGCATGGAAGTTTTATTTTTAATTTTTGAGAAGCCTCCATACTATTTTCCATAATGGCTGTACTAATTTACATTCCCACGAACAGTGTATGAGTTCCCCTTTCTCCACATTTTTACCAGCATTTGTTTTTTTCTTTTTGATAACAGCCATTCTAACTGGGGTGAGATCTCATTGTGGTTTGATATGTATTTCCCCAATGATTAGTGATGCTGAGCATTTTATTATATACCTGTTGGCCATTGGTATGTCTTCTTTTGAGAAATGTCTATTGATGTCCTTTGCCCACTTTTTAATGGGATTATTTGTGGGTTTTTTTTTTACAGTTGAATTGAGTTCCTTGTATATTCTGGATATTAGTTCCTTGTCAGATGAATAGTTTGCAGATATTTTGTCGCAATCGACAGGTTGTCTCTTCACTGTGTTGATTGTGTCTTTGCTGTGCAGAAACTTTTCAGTTTAATATAGTTCACATTTGTCTATTTTTGTTTTTGTTGCATATACTTTTGAAGTCTTAGCCATAAAGTCTTTGCCTAGATCAGTATCCTGAAGCATTTCCTCTGTGTTTTCTTCTAGTAGTTTTATAGTTTTGGGTGTTAGGCTTCAGTCTTTTATCCATTTTGAGTTGATTTTTGTATGTGGTGAGAGATAGGAGTCTAGTTTCATTATTCTGCATATGGATATCCAGTTTTCCCAGCACCATTTATTGAAAAGGGTGTTCTTTACTCAATGTATGTTGGCACCTTTATTGAATATCAGTTGGCTGTAAATATGTAAATAAATTTCTGAGTTCTGTATTCTGTTCCATTGGTCTATATGTCTGTTTTTATACCAAATACCATGCTGTTTTGGTTACTATAGTTTTGTAGTATATTTTGAAATCTGGTAGTGTGGTGCCTTTTTCTTTTTGTCCAGGATTTTTTTTTTTTTTTTTTTTTTTTTTTGGCTATTCAGGGTCTTTTGTAGTTCCATATAAATTTTAGAATTGTTTTTTCTATTTCTATGGAGAATGTCATTGGTATTTTGATAGGGATTACACTGAATCTGTAAATTGCTTTGGGTAGTATGGTCATTTTAATAATATTAATTCTTCTGATCCATGAACAAGGGAAGTGTTTCCATTTGTTTGTGTCCATTTGTTGTGTCCAAAACACCAATGAAAGAAATAATTTCTTTCATCTTTCAGTGAACATCTTTTGGTGTTCAAGAATTTCTTTCATTGATGTTTTGTAGTTTTCCTTGTAGAGGTCTTTCACTTCCTTGGTTAAGTTCGTAGGTATTTTATTTATTTATTTTGTTTGTTAATTTCAGCTTTTAGATATAGGAGTATCTAAAATATTATAAAACAAGCCATGTACAGGCTTGTTACATGAATATATTGTACCCAGGTAGTGAGCCTAGTTACCCAATAGGTAGTTTTTCAACCCACGCCCCTCTCCCTCTCTCCCTCTTTTGGTACTCCTCAGTGTCTATTGTTGCAGTCTTTATGTCCATGTCTACCTGATGTTTAGCTCCCATATATAAGCAAGAACACGTGGTATTTGTTTTTCTGTTCCTGTGTTAATTTTCTTAGGATAATGGCCTCCCAGCTCCATCCATGTTGTTGCAAAGGACATGATTTCATTCTTTTTTTATGGCTCATAGAATTCCACAGTGTATATGTACCACATTTCCTTTATCCAATCCATCAATGATGGGCACCTAGCTTAATTCCATGTCTTTGCTATTGTGAATAGCATGGTGATGAATATATGAATCTGTGCATCTTTTTGGTATAATGATTTATTTTCCTCTGAGTAAACACCCAGTAAAATGGGATTGCTGGGTTGAATGGTAGCTCTGTTTTAAGTTCTTTGAGAAATCTCCAAAATGTTTTCCATGGTAGGTGAACTAATTTATAGCCCCACCAACAATGTATAAGTGTTTCCTTTTCTTCACAGCCTCACCAACACCTGGTTTTTGACTTTTTTTTTTTTTTGAGGCGGAGTCTTCCTCTGTCGCCCAGGCCGAAGTGCAGTGGTATAATCTCCGCTCAGTGCAAATTCTGCCTCCAGGGTTCAATTGATTCTCCTGCCTCAGCCTCCTGAGTAGCTGGGATTACAGGCACATGCCACCAAGCGTGGCTAATTTTTGTATTTTTTGGCACGCCACCACACCTGGCTAATTTTTGTATTTTTTAGTAGAGACAGGGTTTCGCCATGTTGGCCAGGCTGGTCTCAAACTCCAGACCTCAGGTGATCCTCCCACCTTGGCCTCCCAAAGTGCTGGGATTACAGGCATGAGCCACCGTGCCCGGCCCTTGACTTTTTAATAATAGCCATTCTGACTGGTATGAGATGGTACCTCATTGTGGTTTTGACTTGCATTTCTCTGATGATTAGTGATGATGAGCATTTTTTCATATGTGTGTTGGCTGCTTTTATGTCTTCTTTTGAGAGATGTCTGTTCATGTCCTTTGCCTACTTTTTTTTTTTTCTTTTGAGATGGAGTCTCGCTCTGTCGCCCAGGCTGGAGTGCAGTGGCACGATCTCGGCTCACTGCAAGCTCCACCTCCCGGGTTCATGCCATTCTCCTGCCTCAGCCTCCCGAGTAGCTGGGACTACAGGCACCTGCCACCACGCCCGGCTAATTTTTTCTATTTTTAGTAGAGACGGGGTTTCACCATGTTAGCCAGGATGGTCTTGATCTCCTGACCTGGTGATCTGCCCGCCTCAGCCTCCCAAAGTGCTGGGATTACAGGTGTGAGCCACCGTGCCCAGCCAATCCTTTGCCTACTTTTTAATGGGGCTATTTGTTTTTTGCTTGTGGCATTAAGTTCCGTATAGATTCTGGATATTAGACCTTTGTTAGATACATAGTTGGTGAAAATTTTCTCCCATTCTATAGGAGATATTTCCTATGTTTTCTTCTATGATTTTTATAGTTTGAGGTCTTACATTTAAATATTTAATCCCTCTTGGGTTAATTTTTGTATATGGTGAAAGGTAGAGGTTCAATTTCATTCTTCTGGGATAACATGGCTAGCCATTTATCCCAACACAATTTATTGCTTGTTGTTATTGGCCTCGTCAAAGATCAGATTGTTGTAGTGTGAGGCTTTATTACTGAGTATTTGTTCTGTTCTATTGGTCTATATGTCTGTTTTTGTACCAGTACCATGCTGGTTTGGTTACCATGGCCTTATACTATGGTTTGAAGTTGGGTAGTGTGATGCCTCTGGCTCAGTTCTTTTTGTTTAGTATTGCTTTGGTTATTTGGGCTCTTTTTTGGTTCCATATGAATTTGAGAATAGGTTTTTCTAATTCTGTGAAGAATGACATTGGTAGTTTGATAGGAATAGCATTGAATCTATAAATTACTTTGGGCAGTATGACCATTTCAGTGATATTGATTCTTCCAATCCATGAGCATGGAATGTTTTTCCATTTATCTGTGTCATCTCTGATTTCTTCCAGCAGTGTTTTTTTTACTTCTCCTTGTAGAGATCTTTAACCTCCTTGGTTAGCTTATTCCTAGGTATTTCATTTTCTTTCTGGCTATTGTAAGTGGGATTGTGTTCTTGATTTGCCTCTCAGCCTGGACGTTATTGGTATATAGAAATGCTACTAATTTTTGTATATTGATTTTGTATCCTAAAACCTTGCTAAAGTCATTTTTTTAGTTCTCTTTTTGGTGGAATTTTTAGAGTTTTCTAAGTATAGAATTGAGTCATCAGCAAAGAGAGATAGTTTGACTTCTTTTCCCATTTGGATCCCTTTTATTTGTTTTGCCTGATTGCTCTGGCTAGGACTTCTAGTACTATGTTGAATAGGAGTGGTGAGCATGGGCATCCTTGTCTTATTCCAGTTCTCAGGGGGAATGGTTCCAGTTTTTGCTCACTCAGTATGATGTTGGCTGTGGTTTTGTCCTAGATGACTCTTATACTTTTGAGATATGTTCCTTTGATGCCTAGTCTATTGAGGGTTTTTATTATGAAGAGATGTTGGACTTTATAGAAAGTTTTTTCTGCATCTGTTGAGAAGATCATATGGTCTATACTTTTAATTCTGTTTATGTGGTGAATCACATTTATTGATTTGCATTATATTGAACCAAGCTTGCATCCCAGGAATAAAGTCTACTTGATTGTGGTGAATTACCTTTTTGATGTGCTGCCGCATTCAGTTTGCTAGTATTTTGTGAGGATTTTTGCCTCTGTGCTTTCAGGAATATTGGCCTGAAGTTTTCTTTTTTTGTCATTCTCTGCCAGATCTTGGTATTAGGCTGATACTGCCTTCATAGAATGAGTTAAGGAGGAGTCCCTCCTCAATTTTTTAGAATACTCTTAGTATGATTGGTACCATTTCTTTTTTATACATCTGGTAGAGTTTGACTGTGAATCCATCAGGGCTTTTTTTGGTGGTGGGCTTTTTTTGGTGGTAGGTTTTTTTGTTTGTTTGTTTGTTTTTAACAGATTCAGTTTCAGAGCTTGCTATCGGTCTATTCAGGGTTTCAATTTATCTTCTATCCCGAGTTTCCTTAAGATCATTATTTTGAATTCTTTTTCAAGTATTTCATAGATTTTTTTTTTTTTTTATCTGTTACTGGAGAATTATTGCAGTCTGTTGAAGGTGTCATGTTTCCTTGCTTTTTTTTTTAATGGTTCTTGTGTTCTTACATTGACATCTGTGCATCTGGTACAACAGTCACTTCTTCCAATTTTATGGATTGGCTTTTGCAGGCAAAGATTTTTCCTGTAGTTGTATCTATAGTGATGGTTGGATTGGGTATTTTGGCTTCAATTCTGAGTGGGCACAGTAGTGTAGTCTCCATATGATTTCTTTCACTGTAATCAGTGTCATTGGTGTCTGTGAGTTCCTTGATGACTTAGGCTGAACTTGTTAGTGGAGGCTGTGGCGAGGCTTCGCTGGGGATGGGGACACCAAGTGAGCCATCTTCAGGCACCAGTGGTGGTGTTGGTGAGACAGGCATACTGGTCTTCATGCCCCTGGGAAGCATATGTGGGTGCTAGTGGAGGTGGAGGCCCTGTATGGGCACATTCTGTAGCCTCCAGATGGCATCCTCATGTGCTGGGAGTAGCAGTGGTGGGCTGGGAGACAGGCCTTTGGCCCTTGGCTGGCATGCATGGCACCACTGGTAGCAGTAGTGGCAGCAGGTTGGCTGTGGGGCCCCTGGGTGGCACATGTGGGTGCCAGTGGCTGCAGCAGAAGGTGTCACAGACCTGTCCTCGGGGCTGTGGTCCACATGAGTGCTGAGCACTGGCAGCAGTGCTGAATTTTTTTTGTAAATGAAGTGATTCTTAAGTTATTTCTTGGTTTAATAATTATTATTACTTGTCTGAATTTCTCTTGTGAGGCTGGCTACAAAACTCATTGAAGTTGTATCCTTTGTGCATAGAATATCAGGAATGGCATGAGCCATCACTTCCCCTTCTGCAGTCATGGTAGGTGTTGCCATCTATTACATCTCTCTTGCTCTGGATTTAAAACTCAGCTTCAGGATCCTTCCTACCATAGTGCTTCAGGCATCCACTACTAGTTTATCTGAGTTGTCACTCAAAATGAAACCTATTTTTTCTGTCTTAAGCAGTACATAAAGCCGGGCACGGTGGCTCATACCTGGAATCCCAGCACTTTGGGAGGCTGAGGCTGATCACCTGAGGTCAGGAGTTTGAGACCAGCCTGGCCAACATGATGAAACCCCGTCTCTACTAAAAATACAAAAGTTAGCCGGGCATGGTAGTGGGTGCCTGTAATACCAGCTATCTGGGAGGCTGAGGCAGGAGAATCACTTGAACCTGGGAGGCAGAGAATGCAGTGAGCTGAGATTGTTCCATTGCACTCCAGTCTGGGCAACAAGAGTGAAACTCTGTCTCAAGAAAAAAAAATAGTACATAGTTGGCTTCTAACGTCAACCTTCCTCACATTAAGGGGTTCCCAACTTGTAGTCTACAAGTACAGTTCAAACACACCTTTCTACATGATTTACTATTATCTATAATGACACTCTACTTCTAATTAAGTCTAAAAGGCCTAAAGAAAAAATAATTTGTCATCACAACAATAAGGAAATATTTATTGAGTGCAACTGGGTCAGAAGCTGTTCTAAACACTGTCATGTGTTTTTTATTAATCTCCTCAAGCCCCTGTAGCACAGTATTATCTTCCTGTTTTACTGATGAAGAAACAGAGGCTCAGAGAGCTTAAATGATTTAATACAGATATCTATCTGTAGAATCAGGATTTGTGCTGGGATCTCATGATCTTCCGTGAATATACTCTTTTTTCTTATTTCATTTTCCCTTTTATTCTTCCACACCTCTTGGCTTTAGTGAGAAGCAGCTGGCACTTTCGGAGCTCTGCCAATAAGAGGGTGTCATAACGTCTGTGAGCAGATTGACAAGTCACAGCCTGTAACAGGGAGGGTTCTTCTTTTTCTACTGGAGAGAAAGACATTTTGCTTTTTCTTTTCTTTGTTACTTCCAGATTTGAAGTGATTCTGACTGCCAAAAGTCCAGCTAGTCTAAAGAAAACTGGGGGATTATAGTAACTTGTTTTATTTTAGATTAATTTGGTAGTTGGGTCAGGAAATTAAATAATGCTGTGATTATTTTATTTTATTGAAGCAGGTAATCATGAAGCCAGAGGAAAACTATTTTCAACAAGTTAATCATTGATGATTCACTGGTATTTTTTGTAGTGTTGTGTTAGAAGAATAATCATCACCAAAAATGAATGAGAAGTAGATAAATCCAGCATACATGGAGACAGACACAAACACGCCCAACCACACCACACCCACATATACACATATATAATTATTTATTGAAATAAACATGTTTGAAACTATGAACTATTATTAATATGTGTGAAATATCTTTTTCAAGTTAAAATTTTCAGCCACATCAACTTGAAATGTCTGAATATAACATTTCTCAGCCAAAGTGCCATGATTGCTCCCAAAAGAGCAGAATGTGGAATAATCAGACCACCAGCTCCTCTTCAGAGTTCTAGGAGCAAGCCTAGGGTGGCAGGAGCCCTGGAGTTCAGAGCCAGCTGTTTGAGGCTGGGTCTGATGCCAATTTTGAGGTTGAAATGCAGCTTTACTGTCTGGTCCAGGGAGCGTGGGTGCCAGTCCCAGAGCCCAAAGGTGGAGGGCAAGCACTAGTTATCATGCCAGCCTTTCTGTAGTTCTTCCGGGATCTAATACTAGAGAACAAAGGAGACACGGCCCCAAGCACTGGGATTACAGGAACAGCATAGAACCTGCAAGTGAGGGTAATCTTCCCTCCCTCCTTCATTTTCTTCCTTTCTTCCTTTCATCATTAATCTTTTTTTTTTTTTTTTTTTGAGACAGACTCTCACTCTGTCACCCAGGCTGGAGTGCAGGGGCGTGATCTCAGCTTACTGCAACCTCTGCCTCCCAGGTTCAAGCAGTTCTCCTGCCCCAGCCTCCCAAGTAGCGGGGATTTATTACAGGCACGAGCCACCACACCCAGCTAATTTTTTGTATTTTAGTAGAGATGGGGTTTCACCATGTTGGCTAGGCTGGTCTTGAACTCCTGACTTCAGGTGGTCCTCCTGCCTCGGCCTCCCAAAGTGTTGGGATTACAGGCATGAGCCACTGCACCTGGTCTGATTTCTTTTTCAGCTGTTCACTGTTGGCATATAGAAATGCTACTAATTTTTGTAACATTGGTTTGAATGGTTTGAATATACCATCCCATTTTCTCCTGGCCTATAAGGTTCTGCTGAGAAGTCTGCTTAGTCTTATGGTATTTTTTTTTTTTTTCTTGAGACGGAGTCTCGCTCTGTCGCCCAGGCTGGAGTGTAGTGGCGCGCTCTTGGCTTACTGCAAGCTCCGCCTGCCAGGTTCACACCATTCTCCCGCCTCAGCCTCCTGAGTGGCTGGGACTACAGGCACCTGCCACCACACCTGGCTAGTTTTGTTTTTGTATTTTTAGTAGAGACAGGGTTTCACCATGTTAGCCAGGATGGTCTTGATCTCCTGACCTCATGATCCACCCGCCTCAGCCTCCCAAAGTGCTGGGATTACAAGCATAAGCCACCATGCCAGGCCTTATGGGGGTTCTTTTATAAGTGATAAAACATTCTTTTCTTGCTGTTTTTAGAATTCTCTCTTTGTCTTTGACTTTTGACAGTTTGACTATAATGTGCTGTGGAGAAGATTTTTTTAGATTATATGGATTTGCGTGTCGAGTTTTCTGGATGTCTAAATCTCTTGCTAGACTTGGGCAGTTTTCAGATATTATTTCATTAAATAGGTTTGCTATACCTTTCATTTTTTCTTTGCCTTCTGGGATACTGGAAAATAAATATTTGGTCTTTATGGTGTCTCATACATCTTGTAGACTTGTTTCATTCTTTTTAATGTTTTTCTTCATTTTTGCCTGACTGGGATATTTTAAAAAGACCTGTCTTTAAGTTCTGAGATGTTTTCTTCCACTTGATTTAATCTATTGTTGAAGCTTTTGAATGTTATAATTTTTTTTTTTTTTGAGATGGAGTCTCGCTCTGTTGCTCAGGCTGGAGTGCAGTGGCATGATCTCAGCTCACTGCAACCTCCGTCTCCCACGTTCAAGTGATTCTCCTGTCTCAGCCTTCCAAGTAGCTGGGATTACAGATACCCACCACCATGCTTGGCTAATTTTTGTATTTTTAGTAGAGACAGGGTTTCACCAAGTTGGCCAGGCTGGTCTCGAACTCCTGACCTCAAGTGATCTACCTGCTTCGGCCTCCCAAAGTGCTGGGATTACAGGTGTGAGCCACTGTGCCCAGCCTGAATGTTGCTTTGTATTTCATTTAATGAATTATTCAGTCCTCAGTTCCAGAATTTCTGCTGAATTGACTTTTTTTTTTTTTTTTTTTTGAGACAGAGTCTCACCCTGTTGCCCAGGCTGAGACAATCTTGGCTCACTGCAACCTCTGCCTCCCAGGTTCAAGAGATTCTTGTGCCTCAGCTTCCCAAGTAGCTGGGATTACAGGCATATGCCATCACACCCAGATAATTTTTGTATTTTTAGTAGAGATGGGTTTTTGCCATGTTGGTCAGGCTGGTCTTGAATTCCTGGCCTCAAGTGATCTGCCAGGCCTCCCAAAGTGCTGGAATTACAGGCATGAGCCACCATGCCTGGTGAATTGACCTCTTTATTATCATATAATGACTTTCTTTGTCTCTTTTTATAGTTTGTGTCTTAAAATCTATTTTGTCTGATATAAGCGTAAGCTACTGCTGCTCTTTTTTGGTTTCCACTGGCATGGAATATCTTTTTTCATCCCTTTATTTTCAGTCTATGTGTGTCTTTATAGGTGAAGTGTGTTTCTTGTAGGCAACAGATTGTTGGATCCTGTTTATTTATCCATTCAACCATTGTATGTGTCTTGATTGGAGAGTTTAGTCCATTTACATTCAATGGTAGTATTGATGAATAAGGAGTTACTTTTGCCATTTTGTTATTTGTTTTCTGATTGTTTTGTGGTCTTTTCTTCCTTCTTTCCTTCCTTTCTTCCTTTTTGTGAAGGTGGTTTTCTCTGGTGGTATGTTTTAATTTCTTGCTTTTTATTTTTTATGTATCTGTTGTAGGTTCTCTGATTTGAAGTTGCCATGAGGTTTATAAATAACATCTTAAAACTCATTATTTTAAACTAATGACAACCTAACACTGATTGCAGAAACAAACTACAAACAAGCAAAGAGAAAACTAATACAAACTCTACATTTTAACTTTATTCTCCTTCCCCCACTTTTTAACTCTTTGTTGTTTCTATTTATATCTTATTACACTGTCTATGCCTTTAAAAATTGTTGTAGTTATTATTTTTGATAGGTTCATCTTTTAGTCTTTCTACTCAAGATATAAGTAGTTTACACACCACAATTTCAGTTATAATATTCTGTGTTTCTCTGTTTACTTACTATTACCAGTGAGTTTTGTGCCTTCAGATGATTTCTTTTTTTCTGTTTTTTTCTTTTTTTTTTTTTTTTTTTTGAGATGGAGTCTCGCTCTGTCGCCCAGGCCGGAGTGCAGTGGTGCGATCTCGGCTCACTGCAACCTCCACCTCCCAGGTTCAAGTGATTCTGCCTCAGCTTCCCGAGTAGCTGGGACTACAGGCGTGCACCACCACGCCCAGCTAATTTTTGTATTTTTAATAGAGACGGGGTTTCACCATGTTGGCCAGGATGGTCTCAATCTCTTGACCTTGTGATCTGCCCGAACATCCTTTTCTTTCAGATTGAAGAGCTCCCTTTAGCATTTCTTGTAGGACAGGTCTGGTGTTTAAATCCCTCAGCTTCTGTTTGTCTGGGAAAGTCTTCATTTCTCCTTTTGGTTTGAAGGACACTTTTGCTTGATATACTATTCTAGGATAATTTTTTTTTTCCTTCAGCACTTTAAATATGTCATGCCACTCTCTCCTGGCCTGTAAGGTTTCTATTGAGAAGTCTGCTGCTAGTTGTACTGGAGCTCCTTTGTATGTTATTTGTTTCCTTTCTCTTGCTGCTTTTAGGATCCTTTATTTATCCTTGACCTTTGGGAGTTTGATTGTTAATGCTTTGGGGGTAGTCTAATTTGAGTTAAAGATGTTTTGTGTTCTATATCCTTCTTGTACTTGAATATTGATATCTTTCTCTAGTTTTGGAAAGTTGTCTGTTATTATCTCTACCCTAATTTTTCTCTCTACCTCCTCTATAAGGCCAATAATCCTTAGATTTGCCCCTTTGAGGCTATTTTTTTTCAGATCTTGTAGGCATGCTTCATTCTTTCTTCTTTTGTCTCCTCTGACTGTGTATTTTCAAATAGCCAGTCTTCAAGCTCACTAATTCTTTCTTCTGCTTGATCAGTTCTGCTGTTAAGATACTCTGTATGTCTTCAGTATCTCAGTTGCATTTTTCAGCTGCAGAAATTCAGCTTGATTTTTAAAAATTATTTCAATCTCTTTGTTGAATTTATCTAATAGGATTCTTAATTCCTTCTCTGAGTTATCTTAAATTTCATTGAGTTTCCTCATGATTTTTGAATGCTTTGTCTGAAAGATCACATCTCTCTGTCACTCCAGGATTGGTCACTGGTACCTTATTTAGTTTGTTTGGTAAGTTCATGTTTTCCTGGATGGTCTTGATGCTTGTGGATGTTCATCAGTGTTTAGACATTGAAGAGTTAGGTATTTATTATAGTCTTCACTGTCTGAGCTTGTTTGTACCCATCCTTCTTGGGAAGGCTTTCTAAGTATTCAAAAGGAATCGAGTATTATAATCTAAATATTTGGTCACTGGTGTTTAAATCCCTCAGATTCTGTTTGTCTGGGAAAGTCTTTATTATCTGTGTTATGGGGCACCCCAGGCCTGATAACATTGTGATTCTTGCACACTTATAGAGGTACCATCTTGGTGGTCTTGGGAAAGATCTGGGAGAATTCTCTGGATTACTAGGCAGAGACACTTTTTCTCTTCCTTTATTTTCCCCCAAACAGAGTATCTCTCTCTGTCCATGCTGGGCTACGTGGAGCTGGTTGAGGGGTGACACAAACACCCCTGTGGCCACCACCACTGGCCCTGCACTGTGTCAGAGCCAAAGCCAGCATAGCATTGAGTCTTGCCTGACCTGCAGAGACCACTGCCTGGCTACTGCTGATGTTCACTGAAGGCCCAAGGGCTCTTTAGTCAGCAGGTGGTAAATCCAGCCAGGCTTGTATCCTGTTCATGGCAGCGAGCTCCCACCTCTGGCCCAGGGCAGGTTCATAAATGCCATCTGGGAGCCAGAGCTTGGAGTTCAGAACCTTAGGATTCTACTTGGTACTCTATTCTACTGTAGTTATGCTGGCATCCAAGCTGCAAGATAAAGTCCTTTCCACTCTTCCTTCTCCTTTTCTTATGCAGGAGTGTCTTCTCATGGCCACCATTGCCCCAGGGCCACTGCGAGTACTGCCTGGTTAGTGCCAGTGTTCACTCAAGGCTCACATGCTCTTCAGTCAGCTTGTGGTGAATGCTGCCAGGTCTGGGTCTCTCCCTTCAGGGCAGTGGGCTCACCTCTGGCTGAGGGTGGATCCAGAAATGCCATCCAGAAGCCAAGGCCTGGAATTGGGAACCCCAGGAGCCTGCTTAGTGCTGTATGCTACTGCGGCTGAGCTGATGCCTAAGCTCTATGACAACGTCCCCTTTACTCTTTCCTGTCCTTTCCTCAAGCAGAAGGAGCCTCTCCCTGTGGCCACCAAAGTTGGGAATATGCTGGGTCACATCTGAAGCCAGCAAAGCCCTGGGTCTCATCCAAGTACTGCTGATGTTTATTCAAGGCTCAGCAGCTCTTTAGTCATCAGGTGACGAATCCTGCTAGGACTGGGTCCTTTACTTCAAGGCAACAACAGTTTCTCTTCTGGCCTAGCGTATGTCTAGAAATGTCATCTGGGAGTTAGGGCCTGGAATGGAGGCCTCACGACTGCCTGGTGACCTCTTCTACTGTGGATTAGCTGGTATCCAAGTTGCAAGACAGTCCTCTTTAGTCTCCTCTCTCCTTTCCTCAAGCAAAAGGAAGAAGTCTCTCCTGGGCCTGTAAGCTACATTGTCTTGGAATGGGAAAAGGGTGATTTAAGCATTTCTTTGGCTGCCCCATCTAGTGTCTCACTGAGTTGTGTGTACCCCAAGTCCACTTGTTCTGAGCCCAGAACAGTACCAGGACTTGCCCAGGAATTGCAATCCTTGTGGCCTAGACTGACTTTCATGTTTATTTAGGACCCCGGAGTGCTTTAGCCTGTGGTGGGGGGGCTAGCTGGAACTCAGGTTCCAACCACTGGAATGGATGATTCCCCTCTGTCTAAGGCTGGCCTAAATGTTCCTTCATAGGTGCTGGCCAAATTCTGTCCTAGGTTTCTTTCCACTGTGACAGGGCAGTGCTGAGTTCCAATGCAAAGTCCCACAATCACTGCAGTCCCTCTCCCCAAAGCACACATATTCTCTCTCCATGCCACGTGGCCAGTGCTGGGGGGAGGGAGAGGGGTGATGTCAGCAATTCAAGACTGTCTGTCCTATCTTCTTCAGTGCTTCTTTCCTTTTTTTTTTTCTTTTTTTTAAATTATTATCATTATACTTTAAGTTTTAGGGTACATGTGCACATTGTGCAGGTTAGTTACATATGTATACATGTGCCATGCTGGTGCGCTGCACCCACCAACTTGTCATCTAGCATTAGGTATATCTCCCAGTGCTATCCCTCCCCCCGCCACCCGACAACAGTCCCCAGAGTGTGATGTTCCCCTTCCTGTGTCCATGTGTTCTCATTGTTCAATTCCCACCTACGAGTGAGAATATGTGGTGTTTGGTTTTTTGTTCTTGTGATAGTTTACTGAGAATGATGATTTCCAATTTCATCCATGTCCCTACAAAGGACATGAACTCATCGTTTTTTATGGCTGCATAGTATTCCATGGTGTATACGTGCCACATTTTCTTAATCCAGTCTATCACTGTTGGACATTTGGGTTGGTTCCAAGTCTTTGCTATTGTGAATAATGCTGCAATAAACATACGTGTGCATGTGTCTTTATAGCAGCATGATTTATAGTCCTTTGGGTATATACCCAGTAATGGGATGGCTGGGTCAAATGGTATTTCCAGTTCTAGATCCCTGAGGAATCGCCACACTGACTTCCACAATGGTTGAACTAGTTTACAGTCCCACCAACAGTGTAAAAGTGTTCCTATTTCTCCACATCCTCTCCAGCATCTGTTGTTTCCTGACTTTTTAATGATTGCCATTCTAACTGGTGTGAGATGGTATCTCATTGTGGTTTTGATTTGCATTTCTCTGATGGCCAGTGATGATGAGCATTTTTTCATGTGTTTTTTGGCTGCATAAATGTCTTCTTTTGAGAAGTGTCTGTTCACGTCCTTCGCCCACTTTTTGATGGGGTTGTTTGTTTTTTTCTTGTAAATTTGTTTGAGTTCTTTGTAGATTCTGGATATTAGCCCTTTGTCAGATGAGTAGGTTGTGAAAATTTTCTCCCATTTTGTAGGTTGCCTGTTCACTCTGATGTTAGTTTCTTTTGCTGTGCAGAAGCTCTTTAGTTTAATCAGATCCCATTTGTCAATTTTGTCTTTTGTTGCCATTGCTTTTGGTGTTTTAGACATGAAGTCCTTGCCCATGCCTATGTCCTGAATGGTAATGCCTAGGTTTTCTTCTAGGGTTTTTATGGTTTTAGGTCTAACGTTTAAGTCTTTAATCCATCTTGAATTGATTTTTGTATAAGGTGTAAGGAAGGGATCCAGTTTCAGCTTTCTACATATGGCTAGCCAGTTTTCCCAGCACCATTTAATAAATAGGGAATCCTTTCCCCATTGCTTGTTTTTCCCAGGTTTGTCAAAGATCAGATAGTTGTAGATATGCGGCGTTATTTCTGAGGGCTCTGTTCTGTTCCATTGATCTATATCTCTGTTTTGGTACCAGTACCGTGCTGTTTTGGTTACTGTAGCCTTGTAGTATAGTTTGAAGTCAGGTAGTGTGATGCCTCCAGCTTTGTTCTTTTGTCTTAGGATTGACTTGGTGATGCGGGCTCTTTTTTGGTTCCATATGAACTTTAAAGTAGTTTTTTCCAATTCTGTGAAGAAAGGCATTGGTAGCTTGATGGGCATGGCATTGAATCTGTAAATTACCTTGGGCAGTATGGCCATTTTCACAATATTGATTCTTCCTACCCATGAGCATGGAATGTTCTTCCATTTGTTTGTATCCTCTTTCATTTCCTTGAGCAGTGGTTTATAGTTCTCCTTGAAGAGGTCCTTCACATCCCTTGTAAGTTGGATTCCTAGGTATTTTATTCTCTTTGAAGCAATTGTGAATGGGAGTTCACTCATGATTTGGCTCTCTGTCTGTTATTGGTGTATAAGAATGCTTGTGATTTTTGCACATTGATTTTGTATCCTGAGACTTTGCTGAAGTTGCTTATCAGTTTAAGGAGATTTTGGGCTGAGACTATGGGGTTTTCTAGATATACAATCATGTCGTCTGCAAACAGGGACAATTTGACTTCCTCTTTTCCTAACTGAATACCCTTTATTTCCTTCTCCTGCCTAATTGCCCTGGCCAGAACTTCCAACACTATGTTGAATAGGAGTGGTGAGGTGAGAGAGGGCATCCCTGTCTTGTGCCAGTTTTCAAAGGGAATGCTTCCAGTTTTTGCCCATTCAGTATGATATTGGCTGTGGGTTTGTCATAGATAGCTCTTATTATTTTGAGATACGTCCCATCAATACCTAATTTATTGAGAGTTTTTAGCATGAAGGGTTGTTGAATTTTGTCAAAGGCTTTTTCTGCACCTATTGAGATAATCATGTGGTTTTTGTCTTTGGCTCTGTTTATATGCTGGATTACATTTATTGATTTGCGTATATTGAACCAGCCTTGCATCCCAGGGATGAAGCCCACTTGATCATGGTGGATAAGCTTTTTGATGTGCTGCTGGATTCGTTTTGCCAGTATTTTATTGAGGATTTTTGCATCAATGTTCATCAAGGATATTGTTCTAAAATTCTCTTTTTTTGTTGTGTCTCTGCCTGGCTTTGGTATCAGAATGATGCTGGCCTCATAAAATGAGTTAGGGAGGATTCCCTCTTTTTCTATTGATTGGAATATTTTCAGAAGGAATGGTACCAGTTCCTCCTTGTACCTCTGGTAGAATTCGGCTGTGAATCCATCTGGTCCTGGACTCTTTTTGGTTGGTAAGCTATTGATTATTGCCACAATTTCAGATCCTGTTATTGGTCTATTCAGAGATTCAATTTCTTCCTGGTTTAGTCTTGGGAGAGTGTATGTGTCGAGGAATTTATCCATTTCTTCTAGATTTTCTAGTTTATTTGCGTAGAGGTGTTTATAGTATTCTCTGATGGTAGTTTGTATTTCTGTGGGATCGGTGGTGATATCCCCTTTATCATTTTTTATTGCATCTATTTGATTTTTCTCTCTTTTTTTCTTTATTAGTCTTGCTAGCAGTCTATCAATTTTGTTGATCCTTTCAAAAAACCAGCTCCTGGATTCATTGATTTTTTGAAGGGTTTTTTGTGTCTCTATTTCCTTCAGTTCTGCTCTGATTTTAGTTATTTCTTGCCTTCTGCTAGCTTTGGAATGTGTTTGCTCTTGCTTTTCTAGTTCTTTTAATTGTGATGTTAGGGTGTAAATTTTGGATCTTTCCTGCTTTCTCTTGTGGGCATTTAGTGCTATAAATTTCCCTCTACACACTGCTTTGAATGTGTCCCAGAGATTCTGGTATGTTGTGTCTTTGTTCTCGTTGGTTTCAAAGAACATCTTTATTTCTGCCTTCATTTCGTTATGTGCCCAGTAGTCATTCAGGAGCAGGTTGTTCAGTTTCCATGTAGTTGAGCGGCTTTGAGTGAGATTCTTAATCCTGAGTTCTAGTTTGATTGCACTGTGGTCTGAGAGATAGTTTGTTATAATTTCTGTTCTTTTCCATTTGCTGAGGAGTGCTTTACTTCCAAGTATGTGGTCAATTTTGGAATAGGTGTGGTGTGGTGCTGAAAAAAATGTATATTCTGTTGATTTGGGGTGGAGAGTTCTGTAGATGTCTATTAGGTCCCCTTGGTGCAGAGCTGAGTTCAATTCCTGGGTATCCTTGTTGACTTTCTGTCTCGTTGATCTGTCTAATGTTGACAGTGGGGTGTTAAAGTCTCCCATTATTAATGTGTGGGAGTCTAAGTCTCTTTGTAGATCACTCAGGACTTGCTTTATGAATCTTGGTGCTCCTGTATTGGGTGCATATATATTTAGGATAGTTAGCTCTTCTTGTTGAATTGATCCCTTTACCATTATGTAATGGCCTTCTTGTCTCTTTTGATCTTTGTTGGTTTAAAGTCTGTTTTATCAGAGACTAGGATTGCAACCCCTGCCTTTTTTTGTTTTCCATTTGCTTGGTAGATCTTCCTCCATCCTTTTATTTTGAGCCTATGTGTGTCTCTGCACGTGAGATGGGTATCCTGAATACAGGACACTGTTGGGTCTTGACTCTTTATCCAATTTGCCAGTCTGTGTCTTTTAATTGGAGCATTTAGTCCATTTACATTTAAAGTTAATATTGTTATGTGTGAATTTGATCCTGTCATTATGATGTTAGCTGGTTATTTTGCTCGTTAGTTGATGCAGTTTCTTCCTAGTCTCGATGGTCTTTACATTTTGGCATGATTTTGCAGCGGCTGGTACTGGTTGTTCCTTTCCATGTTTAGCGCTTCCTTCAGGAGCTCTTTTAGGGCAGGCCTGGTGGTGACAAAATCTCTCAGCATTTGCTTGTCTGTAAAGTATTTTATTTCTCCTTCGCTTATGAAGTTTAGTTTGGCTGGATATGAAATTCTGGGTTGAAAATTCTTTTCTTTAAGAATGTTGAATATTGGCCCCCACTCTCTTCTGGCTTGTAGAGTTTCTGCCGAGAGATCAGCTGTTAGTCTGATGGGCTTCCCTTTGAGGGTAACCCGACCTTTCTCTCTGGCTGCCCTTAACATTTTTTCCTTCATTTCAACTTTGGTGAATCTGACAATTATGTGTCTTGGAGTTGCTCTTCTCGAGGAATATCTTTGTGGCGTTCTCTGTATTTCCTGAATCTGAACGTTGGCCTGCCTTGCTAGATTGGGGAAGTTCTCCTGGATAATATCCTGCAGAATGTTTTCCAACTTGGTTCCATTCTCCCCATCACTTTCAGGTACACCAATGAGACGTAGATTTGGTCTTTTCACATAGTCCCATATTTCTTGGAGGCTTTGCTCATTTCTTTTTATTCTTTTTTCTCTAAACTTCCCTTCTCGCTTCATTTCATTCGTTTCATCTTCCTTTGCTGATATCCTTTCTTCCAGTTGATTGCATTGGCTCCTGAGGCTTCTGCATTCTTCACGTAGTTCTCCAGCCTTGGTTTTCAGCTCCATCACCTCCTTTAAGCACTTCTCTGTATTGGTTATTCTAGTTATACATTCTTCTAAATTTTTTTCAAAGTTTTCAACTTCTTTCCCTTTGGTTTGAATGTCCTCCCGTAGCTCAGAGTAATTTGATCGTCTGAAGCCTTCTTCTCTCAGCTCCTTAAAGTCATTCTCCGTCCAGCTTTGTTCCGTTGCTGGTAAGGAACTGCGTTCCTTTGGAGGAGGAGAGGCGCTCTGCTTTTTAGAGTTTCCAGTTTTTCTGTTCTGTTTTTTCCCCATCTTTGTGGTTTTATCTACTTTTGGTCTTTGATGATGGTGATGTACAGATGGGTTTTTGGTGTGGATGTCCTTTCTGTTTGTTAGTTTTCCTTCTAACAGACAGGACCCTCAGCTGCAGGTCTGTTGGAATACCTTGCCGTGTGAGGTGTCAGTGTGCCCCTGCTGGGGGGTGCCTCCCAGTTAGGCTGCTCGGGGGTCAGGGGTCAGGGACCCACTCGAGGAGGCAGTCTGCCCGTTCTCCGATCTCCAGCTGCGTGCTGGGAGAACCACTGCTCTCTTCAAAGCTGTCAGACAGGGACATTTAAGTCTGCAGAGGTTACTGCTGTCTTTTTGTTTGTCTGTGCCCTGCCCCCAGAGGTGGAGCCTACAGAGGCAGGCAGGCCTCCTTGAGCTGTGGTGGGCTCCACCCAGTTCGAGCTTCCCGGCTGCTTTGTTTACCTAATCAAGCCTGGGCAATGGCGGGCGCCCCTCCCCCAGCCTCGCTGCCGCCTTGCAGTTTGATCTCAGACTGCTGTGCTAGCAATCAGCGAGACTCCGTGGGCGTAGGACCCTCCGAGCCAGGTGTGGGATATAATCTCGTGGTGCGCCGTTTTTTAAGCCCGTCGGAAAAGCGCAGTATTCGGGTGGGGTGACCTGATTTTCCAGGTGCCCTCAGTCACCCCTTTCTTTGACTCGGAAAGGGAACTCCCTGACCCCTTGCGCTTCCCAAGTGAGGCAATGCCTCGCCCTGCTTCGGCTCGCACACGGTGTGCGCACCCACTGACCTGCGCCCACTGTCTGGCACTCCCTAGTGAGATGAACTGGGTACCTCAGATGGAAATGCAGAAATCACCCGTCTTCTGCGTCGCTCACGCTGGGAGCTGTAGACCGGAGCTGTTCCTATTCGGCCATCTTGGCTCCTCCTGCTTCTTTCCTTGATATGATGTTCAAACCAGGTACTGTGACTACTCACCTGATTTTAGGTTCTTATGAAGGTGCTTTCTTGGGTGGATCGTTGTTCAATTTGGTGTTCTTGCAGGGGGGATGATTGCTGGAGGGTTCTTTTCAGCCATATTGCTCCGCCTCCTTGCCTGAATTTCTGTTTCTTTTTAATGATTTCTATCTCTTTGGTAAATTTCCCATTTATTTCCTGAATTGTTTTTCTGATTTGTTTGTATTGTTTTTCTGTGTTCTGTTGTATCTTACTGAACTTCTTCAGCATCAATATTTTCACTTTTTTTCTGTGATCTCATAAATTTCTTTTTGCTTGGAATATGTTATTGGAGAATTACTGTTTTTCCTGGAGGTGTCGTATTTCTTTGCTTTTCATGTTTCTGTGTCCTTACACTGATATCTGTGCATCTGGTGTAACAGTCACTTCTTCCAGTATTTTGTATTTGCTTTTATAGGAGAGGACTTATTCCTGAAGATGTATCTATGGTGTTGATTGGGTAGGGCACTTGTGCTTTGATTCTGGGTGCGTGCAGTAGTGTAGTCTCTGTATTATTTCTTTGGCTATAAACAGCAACAGTGATGTCTGTGATTTCCTCACTCGTTTTAGGGTGCAGTTGTTAGTGGAGTCTGTGGTGAAATTTTGCTGAGGACAAGAGCACCATGTAGTCCTGTCCTTGGGCCCCAGTGGTGGCAGCAGCAGGCAGAATGTGCCTGTCCTTAGGCCCCAGGGCAGCGTATGCTGGCACTGGCGTTAGCAGGTCCAGGCTGGCCGATTCTTGGGCCTCCAGGCAGCTTACTCAGCTGCTGGTTGTGGCAATAGTGGACAAGTTCTTCAGGTCCTTGTGGAGTGAGTGTGGTGTGGGCAATGGCAGTAGTAGTGCTGAGACAACCTTCTGACTCCCAAGCAGTCCTTGCTGGAGTTGGTGGTGGCTGTGATGGGCTGGGTAGGCTGGTCACCAGGCCCATAGGTGGCACATGCTGGTGGATTCCTGCTATGGTGGTAGTGGCAGGCTGAGTGAGCCTGACCTCAGGACCCTAGGAGGCTCAAGTGCCAAAACTGGTAGACTAGTCTGAGTGGTCCCCAGGCCCCTGGATGGTATGTTTAGGCATTGGTGGGTGGCAGAGCTGGGATGGGTGGACCTATCCTCAGGCCCCCTCGTGGTGCATGCAGGGACTAACTATAATAGGCAGAAATAGGGTGATTCCCAGGTCCTAAGTGAATGTTCAGGCGGGGGTGTCAGCAGCCCTGCTACTAGGGAGGGTGGGGTTGCTTTCAAGGACAACAGCTGTATGCAGGCAGCTAAGGAGCATACACTTTGCTTGTGCTTCACACACCCCACCCCCCCACCCCCACCCGCCCCGCTGTGGTGGCAGCCTGCAGTGGTAGTGACTGTGGGCAGAGGAGTTTGTCCTCAGGGTTCATGAAAATTCATGATGGCTTTGCTGCTGGGAGCAGTGGGGATGTTGCCAATGGTTTAAGCTTCAGCCTTGGCAGCAGCAGCCAGCTATGGTGGTGGCTGTTCTTGGTGATGTTAATGGGGATCCAGGGATGTGGAGATGCAGGTGCTGTTGGGCCCCCAGGCAGGATGCAAGCTGGTGGGGCTAGGCTCTCAATATAACACCATGATGTGTCTGCTTAGGACTTCGGAATTGTTCGGGACCCAACATAAGCTCCCTCTCTGGAGCAATACTGTTGCGTGGTCTCCAGGCAGCTTCCTATGTTAGTCTCAGGGCGGCCCACAAGGGTCAATGGGCTCCCCTGTGGCTAGGATTGCAGGAGTCTGCTGTGAGAATGTGGACTGCTGGGGATCTCTCACCCTTTCCCCACTTTGGGGAGCCTCTCCAGGCTCCCAGCTGATCCTGGTTAAGAAGGCTGCCTTGCTTCCTTCTTCTTCCTTGCTTTAAATGTTTCCTGTCATTTCTCTGTTGAATTCCAGTGTTCTCTTTTAGATGATCTATTCAAAGTGTGATTATCTATTACTATTTTGGTTCTTCTTTGTGGAGGAGGTGAGTGCTGGGTGCCTCTAGCCAGTCCTCTTGAAGCCCTTACTCACCTATATTTTCTCGTTAGAGTTTTTATTTTTTTAACTCTTACATTTAAGTAGTTGATCCATTTTGTGTTAAAGTCTGCATATAGCACGAATTAGGGGCCCTGATGCATTCTTTTGCATGTGGATAGCTAGTTGTCCCAGCACGATTTGTTGAAAAGACTATTCTTTCCCCACTGAATGGTCTTGGCAAAGATAAATTGACCATAAATATATGGATTCATTATCTAGACCAGGGGTCCCCAACCCCTGGGCTGTGGACTGATACCGGTCCGGTCCGTGGCCTGTTAGGAACCAGGCCGCACAGCAGGAGGTGGGCAGCTGTGAACGAGCATTACAGCCTGAGCCTGTCAGATCAGCTGCAGCATTAAATTCTCATAGGAGTGTGAACCCTATTGTGAACTGCATGTGCAAGGGATCTAGGATGCGCGCTCCTTACGAGAATCTAACTAATGCCTGATGATCTGAGGTGAAATAGTTTCATCCTGAAACCATCCCCTCAACTGTCCATGGAAAAATTGTCTTCCACAAATCTGGTCTGTGGTGCCAAAAGGGTTGGAGACCACTGATCTAGACTCTTGATTCTGTTCCGTTGATCTATATGTCTGTCCACATTATCTTGGTTATTGTATCTTTGTTGTAACTTTTGAAATTGGGAAGTGTGAATCCTCCAACTTTTTTCTTCTTTTTCAAGATGACTTTGGCCATTCTGTGTCCATTGCAATTTCGTACAGATTTTAGGATAGGCTCATTCACTTCTGATAAGAAAGGCAGTTGGAATTTTGATAAGGATTCAACTGAATCTGTAGATCACTGTGGGGAATATTGCCATTTTAACAGTATTGTCTTCTAATCCATGAGCACAGGATGTCTGCATTTACATAGGTTTTCTTTAATTTCTGTCTATGATGTTTTGTAGTTAACCTTAGCTTCTTTGGTTAAATTTATTCCTAGGTATTTTATTCTTTTGGGTGGTAATGTAACAATTAAGAAATTGTTTTCTTAATTTCATTTTTGGACTACTCATTGCTAGTAGATAGAAATTCAACTGATTTTTATTTATTCATCTTGTATCCTGGAACTTTGCTGAAATAATTAGCTGTAGTAGTATTTTTGTAGATTCTTTAGAGTTCTCTATATGTGAGATCATGCCTTCTGCAAATAGAGGTAGTTTTATTTCTTTCTTTCCAATCTGGATGCCTTTTTTCTTTTTCTTGCCTAATTGCCCTGACTAGAACCTGTAATACAATGTTGAATAGAAGTAGTTAAAAATGAACATAGCAAGTCTATCACCAGTAGGTATATGTTAACTATGGAAAGTTTCCTTCTATTAGTTTGTTGAGTATGTTTACCATGAAATAGTATTGGGTCTTGTGAAATCCTTCTTATGTATCTATTGATAACCACACTTTGATAAAAGCTTCAAAAATTAAAGTTTTTGGCACTCTGAGGACGCCCTGATTAAAAACTTCCAGCTGATTTTCAACCAAGTACAACCAAAATTTAGAGATCTTATTTATGTAAAAGTTCAATGCCACTTAGGATACTTTAGTTGATTTCAAAACTAATTTTCCAACGGCTCAGACATTTTGGAAATCTAATTGATGATGGATAGTAAAGAGAAAAAGTATGAACTGTCATACTGAAGCATTGAAAAAAATACAACATCATCTTTATCAGAAAATTTTGTACTGTGTATATATAAAATATATGTAAACTTTGGTAAGTACAGATGCTGCTTCAATCGGTAGAATATCCTGGTTTATGATATTGAGTTATAAATTATGTATGCACCACAATCCACTCAAAATACATTTTTGCTCAATCTAGTAAGAATATAAGTTTTATCACAATGCTATATTCTACCAAATTTGTATTTATATTATCATTGCAAAAATAAATAATTCTATCCTTGATGCCAAATTTTTAATTGAATTTACAATAATATTTACAACAAATGTTTCACTTTTGGCAAAATAAACATTTTAAGACTTAATTAGATGAAAAAAATTGAGGCATTATGGGAATTAACTCATTTTATATTTGAGTCATCTAGTGATGCTGGTATTAAGCTAGGCATCATTCAACTGTTTGCAGTATACTTCTGCTATTAATTTACCTTTTGTCCATGCATGAGAAAACTTGGAATCAAAAATGAGCAAAATTCATTTAAGGGGAGAATCATTTGATCTAAGTGATAGGTAAACACACCTTCTCCAGCTGCATATGGTGTCTTTGGGTGCAGTCTTCTTAAGATAATTGCTAATTTCTGAAGGAGATGCTGATGCTGCTTCTAATTCTCATGTGATCATACTATCACAGAGGTAGATGGTAAATATAAACATTCTGTGCAAGTTGCGTATCCATCAACTTTCTCATGAAATGGAAATTTGATTATTTAATTTTCATTAAATTTTTATTTTTTGAGCTCAGTGCTGCTGAAAGGATTTACTACAAAATATAAAATTGTTGCCAAACAGTGAGATAAATAGTTATAGATTCACATCATGTAATAAATGAGAAAACCAAAATATCAAGAGCATTTGGGAAACTTTCTTTTCATTTTCATCTTTGGTTTACCCTTGTATTTCATGTACACCAACTCCAACAACTTTTCACTGACTCTTCCAATTAGTGGTCTGAATGCTTTGTGCATTGAAAAGGCTGTGGCAATGGCCATGACATAACAGGCGGGCAAGAGTGACACATACTTTCACCACAACCACCCAAGCCCAGTAGTTAACTGGTCCTAGTCACTGGCATAGGAGTGCACTTAGTTTTATCAGTGAACACTCTGCAAACCAATTTTGAAAGGGATATGTTAATTACGTTGTATCATAAAAAGTTGGAAAAGAGATATGAGTGTAGATGGCCATCTTTCAATGTGTTAAAATGAGAAATCTGTTCACTGCACATGAGTCTCACACACCATTACCTGAAACTATGGTGGAAGGTGGAAGTGCAAAGTGGAAGTCTACCAAACCTATCCCAGCTCATTTTAATACAATTGTTGATAATACTTCATTATAAGATGAAAATTCCAGGACATATGCTAAACAAGATAGGATGCCAGGAAAACAGATGTATATTGGGATTGTCTTTGGCAAATCAGGATATATGGTCTCCCTACCTCTAATGGCCTGTGGGGAGCCCACTGGAGTAAGAGAGGACATGGGCAAGGGTTGATCATATTTATTCCTCTCCTTCATGTTTATTCAAAGACCTGAAAAGGATCAAACATTTCTTTGATGCCTACTGGGAATCTAGACTTGTTTCCATGGAATACAGTGACTTTTTTTAATCTTTTAAGTAATCTATAGAGAAATCTTTACCCCTAAACTGAGAGTCCTGAAAAGGGAGGTTACACGTAAATGGAGGTGGTAACATGCCTACAATCTACAATTTTTTATTCAAACTGGACCTCCTGAGCTCCTGAAAATAAGTTTCTCCTCTCTATCCCTCCTGTTCTAAGGGTTGGTAGCAACCCCCTGCTATTGCTAATCTTTGGGGTGCATCACTGTACCCTGTTAGACTTCTCAACTCTTTCCATCAACTCAGTAATCAATTCCCTGTATTAAATTCTATGTTCAAAATTTTGGGAGTGATATATATATTTTTAATTTTACCTTAAGTTGTGGGATACATGTGCAGAATGTTCAGGTTTGTTACATAGGTATACATGTGCCACGGTGGTTTGCTGCACCTATCAACCCATCATCTAGGTTTTAAGCCCCACATGCATTAGGTATTTGTCCTAATGCTCTCCCTCCCTTTGCCCCCCACCCCCCTGGAGTGCCATTTTCTTGATTGAACCTTGGTTGATTCAGATCTCCTTCTCTATTTCCTTTTTGTCATAATTCTTAGGTGCTTAATGTTGCCCACTTCACCCTATTATAGTGTGAAGTGGGCAACATATACAGCTGTGCCAAGGGGTTAGGGCATGATAATGGATTACTGCATGTCCTTCTCAGTATTCAAACACTGCACAGAAATGTATGGCCACATAATGCTCTACCTAAAAGAAGTCCCAATGTTAGACTTTCAGGCTTTTCCTGGGAATTCCTAAAACTTCACCAAGCATATAGTCATTACATAAAGTTGGTCTTTTCTGCTGGGAGACTTCCATTTTCTCAAAATGACCAAAATTTTGGAAGCTGAGAATGAAACAAGATGGGCTCAGAGAAACAATAGACTGAAAACAGAAGAAGTGTTTTTGGCATTTGTTTATCTGAAGTGGACTTCCAAGCAAGGCCTGCTGATTAACAGAATAGCTAAGTCTTATTCTTTAGGGGTATACATGTAGGATGGAGGAGGAATTTGGGTTTCATGGCTGGGGAGAGGGCAGGGATGGGCAAGTGGAGAAATGACAGGGCAAGCAGTTTGTGTTTGAGCTCCAAAGCAATCAGGCTGTAGGGACAACTAGAACAAAGATAGAGGCAGAGAAAGGAGAGGGGCAGGAAAAAAGCAGGAGCAAGTACCAGGCTTTATGAATCCTCAACTGCCTCCAGGCTACAACCTGAGAACAATGGAAACCACTCTTCACCTAGGAAGTGATAATGACCACACTCCAGGATCATCCTCCTCTTAAACAGCCATCCAGAATTTTTCTAGAGGAAGGAGTAATGTCAAACAGAGTGACCCACAGTGGGAAATTCTTCCAACGCTCTAAAAGCAGTCATTACCCAAAATAGGCACCCAACGTGTTCATTTATGACTTGCCATAAATACTAGCATTAGCAAGACAATATTATCCTCGTATGAGTTGACTTTATTGTGCTTCAGAAAGTTACAACATCATAAATATCTATGAACGTGTTATTTCATCTGCTCTCATAATTTGTCTCTTCCAACATGGTTCTGGCCAATTTTAGAAGTTTCCATGTAAATATATAAAAATAATGATAGGAAAAAATGAGGACAGAACAAAAAGAGGTCAAGTATCACATTTAGTCCACAAATATTATGACAGAATATGAAATTGTTTTATGGGTGGTTAAAGCAAACTTTTTATTTTTTTTTTTGTGGTGGTGGTGGTGAAGCTATGTGTATTATCACCAGTCTAAAAAGAAAGGATGCCTAAATAGGGAATGGAGCAGGCATCTTTAGAACCTCTTTTAATCTCTAGTTAATGATGTTGTAAACCAAAAATAAAATTCTAAGGCCCCCCACCCCCCAACCCCAACCAACCATCTGAATGGACTTCCTCCTCAGCCAGGGCTCTTAAAGTGTAACCTGAAAGACTGGTTCAGGCCATGAAGGGAAGTGGGGGTCAGACATGCCTCATTATACATCTCTGGCATTAACATCAATACAGATTTTAAGTCTGATAGAAACATTTTACAACCTATTCTCTCTGAAGCCTGCAAGTTAAAGCTTCATCTGCATAGTAAAACTTTGGTCTCTACCACCAAACTTTCCTTTCTGTTGATCCCAGGTCTTTGGACAAACTCAACCAATTGTCAACAGGAAATGTTTAAATTTACCTATAGCCGGCCAGGCAGGGTGGCTGACGCCTGTAACACCAGCACTTCAGAAGGCTGAGGCGGGCGGATCGCCTGAGGTCAGGAGTTCGAGACCAGCCTGGCCAACATGGTGAAACCCCGTCTCTACTAAAAATACAAAAATTAGCCGGGTGTGGTGGTGGGTGCCTGTAATCCCAGCTACTCAGAAGGCTGAGGCAGGAGAATTGCTCGAACCCGGGAGGTGGAGGTTTCAGTGAGCCAAGATCCCGCCACTGCACTCCAGCCTGGGCAACAAGAGTGAAACTGTGTCTCAAAAAAAAAAAAAAAACAACAACAAAAAAAACGCCCCCCACCACCCCTGACCCCACCACTTCTAGTTGTCCCGCCTTTCTGGACCAAATCAATGTATTTCATAAATGTATTTGATTGATGTCTCATGCCTTCCTAAAATGTATAAAACCAAGATGCACCCCGACCACCTTGGGCACATGTTCTCAGGACCTCCTGAGGGCTGTGTCACGGGCCATGATCACTCATATTTGGCTCAGGATAAGTCTTTTCAAATATTGTACAGAGTTTGACTCTTTTGTTGACAATGTCCACTTTTATAAAAGATTTGGTGGTGGTCTAAAATACTAGGCCCAGAAAATTTATGTACACATAAATGTATCCTGGCACTTTAAGAGTAACAAACAAACAAACAAACAAACAAAAAAACATTATTTTACAACATGTAATACCCTGTGACACCTCTGGAAGTGTGCCATAAAAGAAAATTAATTTTGAAACAGAGTTGGTTCCCATCTATTGTCACTAAAAGTTATTTAGGTGAAAATGAACAGTTTGGATTCTAGGAAGGTGTTAATTAAGGGAATGGGTTAACAATTATTGTTCACTTGAGTTTTCTAAAACATATGCCTTGGGTTTGAGCTGTGATTCTCTCTTCCGTCCTTGAGTCTGGAACCCTCTCCTGCTCCCAGGTTACTTTTCCAGCAATGTGCAACTCTCGAGAGAACTTTCCCAATGCCTTTGATTTCCACATGTGTTGCAAGTTGGGGATCACACAGAATTCAGGTTGAGAAGGTTCAAGTCTATATTTTCAGGAGACACACCAGGAAGAGTTCAGTGGCTGTCTGAATGTCCATCCATGTTGTTTAGGTAAATTGGTGATGGGGTAGATTAAAAGGGGACCTGTTTAGTGGTTTCCTGGCAATTGCTCTGATTTCCTCCAGACTTCCTCTTGACAGCCGAAAGTAGACTCAATAAAATTATATCCAGGAAGGTATGGAAGTGGAGGTGGTGAGGCTATTGATTTGGCGAACACATGGGATGAAGGGGAAGGCCTAGGTCTGAAAAACCTGGTTCTCCCTCCTGAGACCTCTATTTATAAAGATAAGGGATAAGACTTTGGAGACAGGTATGTGCCATATAATCTGCTTTGGAGATTAAGCAGCAACAAATAGGGAATGAAAATGTACCATTCAGTAATGTATTATTTACTCTAAAAGAAACAACTATGCCTTATACTGCACCAGTTCCTTAAACAACTTATTTTATTTTTTTAAATGATGGCAGCTCCAGGACCACACTGGATAACAAATATCAGTGACCAATACCTTTTTAAATGCCTCCTGCTGGAGAGTTTTTTCTCTCTTGTCTCCATTTCAGGGGAAACTCAGCAACCTCTGGGCCCTTTTACAATGCACAATTAGGGGCTTATAAAGAAAGAACTGCTGCAAGAGGTGTAGGTACTCATGCTAGATATTCAGGGAGGCTTGAAGGCTGAAGGTGAGATACAGTGAGCTTACGGAACATGGTGGAACTCAAAGAAGGGTTTCTGAGATAAACACCCTTATTCAAATGCCAGAGACACACTGTTTCTCTAAACAGAAACTCTTAAGGCCCGGCAGTTTTTATGTTGGAGCAAAAGATTTGGGTCAGAACCAAAGTTTTAAAGACTTTTTATTGAAGAAGTTCAAAGATTCCTTGGCCAGCAGCCAAGTGTGGTCTGATTTGTTTGCATTTCCTCTGGGAACTCACACACAAGTGAGGAATTGGCCAGCCACCACTGTGAGGGTCACCCACACCCCTGTGGGCCTTTTCTCCCTGAGCAGTTCCAAGGTGGGGGAGGGAAGCCAGGGGGAATCAGATCCCTACAAAGGCCGAGAGTTCAGCAGCCTGGCCAAGCTGCAGTTCTTTCCTGGGTGAAGAAGTATCTCTCCCAATAGCTGCAGTATCTCTTCCAATACACCAAGATGGTATTGATTAGTCCACAAATGAGACCCCTATGACTCAGGAGGTAAGTGAGAGGCATCAAGGGGAGAGGTGGGAAGTGAAATATCACCTCTTCTTCCCTCCTCCCAGTGATGGTAGAAGGACTTGCTCCAGGCTGGGAGGCATCAAGCATGTGTGCTAATGGGCCAGTTCTGCACATTCAAGATCCCGGAGATGTTAAGTTTATCCAAAAATCTTTCAAGCAATCCTGTCGTTTGCAATTAACTCAGAGGGAGTTTTGAGAAATTTGTCAACTGGATTTAATTTTAAAAAGGGAAAATATATCTTTTACTATGGTTTTGGAAGTTTGAAAAGGAGTTGCTTGTGTAACCACACACGTGTGCACACACAAACAGCATGAAGGTCTCTCCTCTCCTTGGGATTTTGATCACAGAGGTAGAAAATTAGGCAAAGTGTAAAAGGATATGTGATTGTCAAAAGGTGAGGAGTTAGAGGGACTGAAAGAAATGGGTCCCTGGTTCTCCTGGACTGATGGGTCCCAGCATGTGACTGATGCCCATCACTGAGCAGATTTCATGACCTCTTCTTCGGTGAGCTGAAAATCCAAGAGAGAGTGGAGCAGGGAAGCTGGAGGTCACACATATATAACCGCGACAGGGGAAAGGGCTGAGTAGGCAGGAGCTCCAAGAGTGAAGGTGTCTGTTATTGTGTTGAGCAGTAGGAGGGAAACACTTTCAATTCCTGTCCCTCCCAACTAAATGATAAGGGAAGGAGCCTCCATCCATATAGAAGGAAGAGAAGTGCCCTGCTGAGTTCTGGGCATTTGAGTTTGTGGGATGACCAGGGTGTGGCCTGATACCTGAGCTAGCAGCTGGTTGATCTCTCCAGAAGTGAGCTGCCTGTTGTCAGATTAGAGGCATGAGATCAGGGCCAGCCCTCACTTTTGCAGGGTCTTACTCAACCCCTGACAGGAATGGCCTTGTATGCCAGCACCTGTAGTCCTGCCCTGTGCAAGGGGCCTGCAGTTTAGGGAGGCTTGGGAGCAACAACTCCCACACAGGGCTGGGCTCCCCACATTGGTTTTTTTTTTTTTTTGTTCATTGGCTGTAAGTTCCTTTTCTGAGATGAAGCCTTCTTCCCTTTTTTCAAAGAGAGCTTGGTAAGGGAAAGCTAAAGGGATTGGTAGCCCTGTTCAACTTGCAACCACATGGAACCACATGTACATGTTCCTGGAGGCCTCTCCCCTCTGTCCCTGTGTGTCCCTGGTTTCTCTTCTGTCTCCCATCTGGGAGTCTCATGGCTGGCTGATCTGATCCTGGGTTCAACTTTTATAGATGTTGTTTCTCCATTGGCTAAAAGAAAGGTATGTCGCCTGGGGTGCTCTTTCTGCCCCCTTTTGCCTCCAGGTTCCAGGAGTAATCCTGCTCTACACTGGGGTTTCCAGATCATCCTACATTACTGGAAAGGAGGCCTTGGAAAGAAAAGGGCCAAAGAGAGGCCTGGCAGAGGATGATATTTACCTCAAGGGGTAGGGACTCTCTCTGTTTATTCTTTATATATGGGTCAAATATAGTTCTGGAAATAATATCTCCAGATCAGCATCCCAGGTCATTGACCTTAGAAGAAAATTTTTAAACAGTTACTAAAGGTAATTAATTGAGAGGTGAGAAATGGAAAAAATGCAGCAATTGCCAGGACATTAGGGGCCAACTGGTGCCACTTTTCTCATGGTTCCCATGGCTCTTCGCATTGGAAATAACTGCCTAAAGATAGCTGTCCTTCAGGCACTTGCAGCTAGTGAGAATAGGGCTTGCTGACAGCCCCAGGATGATGACAGCATGTGAAGAATAGTGGGGTGAGCACACGCCCAGAGGTTGCTTCCTGAACACAAAGGAAGAAGAGGAGATGGACTCAGTTTCAAAGCTGAAAAGGGTGGGAAGTAAAAACAATTCAGGCAGGAGTTACAATTCTGAAAGCCACAGAATTTGAGATGCAAATGATTTCAAGTGGAGCTCTCTATACTGGGTCAGCAAACTTTACTGTGTCTAAAAATCACCAAGGAGCTTTTTAACTATTCGGGGTCCCAAGCCCCACCTCCAGAAATTTGGAGCTGGTAGATTTGGGGTAGGACCCAGGATTCTGCATTTTTAATAGGGCCATTCCCCATCCCTGGGACCTCTGATGCAGGTGTTTCACAGTTTTGAGATCCTCTGCCCTATGTAATGCCTGAATTCCTTCTATGGCAACCCCAGCACATGGCTATTGACTCTGCATCCTCAATGGGGCTGCAGGATGATGAGGGAGTGGCCAGACTCTGGCAGCCAGGTTGTCCTTAACATTTTGCAGAACCCACTTCCCCACAGAGGCCACCCCTGTTAAGAGGCTGATGAGGCTTCATCTCAAGAGAATGTTGAGGTGGGGGACATAGATGGAGCTTGAGGCTCAATCTAGGATGCGGTTCGGCAAAATGAGTCAGTCATGCATATAAATGGGATTTGCTTGATCTGAATCTAAGACCATAGAGCAGTTACAATATTGAGAAATTCTTATTTGTGATATTTTGGGGAGAAAATCAACTTTTATGTTGCTAATAAGGTCTCATGGGGGTAGAGAGGTGATTGATAAGGTATTGGGCTTCTTTCTGAGATAATGAAAATGTTCAAAAGTTGCCTGTGGTTAGGGTTGCACATATTAATGAATACTCATACACTGACAGGGATTCATTCTGAGAAATGCGTCATTAGGTGATTTGATTGTTGTGCAAACATCATAGAGTGTACTTACAAAAACCTAGATGGTGTAGCTTACCACACACCTAGGATATATGGTAGAGCCTATTGCTCCTAGGCTACAAACTTGTACTGCATGTTACTGAACTATATACTGTAGGCGACTGTAACACAATGGTAAGTATTTATGTATCTAAAATACCTAAACATAGAAAAGGTACAGTAAAAATACAGTAGAAAACATAAAAAGTGGTACACCTGTATGGGGCACTTAACCATGAATGGAGCTTGCAGGACTGGAAGTTTCCCTGAGTGAGTCAGTGAGTGAGTGTTGAGTGAATTTGAAGGCCTAGGACATTATTGCACACCTCTATAAACTATAAACAATGTACGTTTAGGCTACACTAAATTTATAAAAAATATTTTTCCTTCAATAAAATTAACCTTAGCTTACTGAAACTATAAACTTTTAAATTTTTAAAAAATATTGACTCTTGTGTAACAACACTTAGCTTAACACACACATTGTATAGCTACACAAAATGTTTTCTTCCTTTATGTCCTTATTCTACAAACTTTTTCTATTTTTAAAATTTTTACTTTTTAAACTTTCTTGTTAATAAACTAAGAAACAAACACACACATTAACCTAGGCCTACAAAGGGTCAGGATCATGAAGACATCACCAAGTGACAGGAATTTTTCAGCTCCATTATAATCCTATGGGATGACTGTTGTCTATGGGGTCAGTTATTGACCAAAACGTCCTTATGTAGCGCATAACACATCACAATTCAAAAAACCATTGAATTGTACTCTCAAACTGGTGCATTTTATGTTATGTGAACTATATCTTTATAAAGCTATTTCTAAAAAAGGACTGAGAATTCCATAAAATGTTTCATTTGTTGGTGGAATGGCTTCATTAATATATTTTAAAATAATTCTCATAGCATCCTATGATATTTGACTCAAATCAATATTGACTTATTCATGACTTTGCTTATACCCTGTTCTCTGTCCAGAGACCTATTACTGGAGTCTGACACAATTTTGATCTGTAATGCATGTCTCAGTAGAGGGTTGAGCCTAACATTGAACCCCAGCGGGCTCCTGCTGAGTTGGCTAATTGGCTGACTCCCTGGGCCAACAGTGTGTAGTTCTCTGGTGTTTATGGAGTCTTGATTTTACTTTTCATTTTTCTGGCTTAAAGCTTTTCCCCTTTGAAATCCATCAACTAAGATCTTCATTCAAAAGTTCTGAAGAGGATCATTGAGGAGTCATTTTTCAATTCGGAGGCTATTGCTCTGTTGAATAATGAATAGGTTTTCCTTCTAAGAGACCTACAGTGCAGAAATGCCCAGAGCTTCTCTTCTATGCTGCTTGGAAGAACTATGGAACTGGAAGGATTCTTAAAGACCTTGTACAACTCCCTGCTTTTGCAGTTGAGGAAACTGAGGCTTGGAGAGGTGAAGCATAAGGAAATCCCTGGCTAGTGGGCAAGCTAAGACGAATCCTCCTGACCCATGGCTGGCTCCATGTTCTACATTTTCTGTTGTCTGTGAAAGCTGAAAAGACAGCAAACCCCAAAATATCCATCTCCCTCATCTCCCCCAACCCAAAGCCAACAATCTATTTCTAAAATCAAGTTGTCACTATTTCTGAAACACAAAGTAGGGGAAGCCCCATCCCATGGCTGAGAGGAAATGTGACGCTCTTACAGGGAAGCCAGCTGCTGGGAGAAGTGGAAAGAGCCCAAGTCCCTCCTCGGGGACCAGCCCACAAGCTCTTCCTTTACCAGTGACAGAGCCTGAGAAAGTGTTTCTCTCCCTAACATAACCTAATTGCCACTTCCCCACTAGCCTCCGGCACTCACTCTGTGCCAAGCTCTGGCTCCTGCCCAGCTGCTCCTTGAGCTGGGAGCCAAACCCCAGACTCCCTTGTCTCAGGAACTGGTCCAGAATGGCCTTAGTAGTCAGCTAAGAAGAGCTCTATATGAAGGCCTGGGAGGGCTGGCTGCCCAGACTCTGGCTGCCTGGGTGGGCTGCCAGGACCCCTCCTCTGTATAGACCTGCCCCAGCTCAGCAAAGGAAGGACATGTAAGGAAAAGGCAAGGCTACCAGTGGAACTGCAGTGCTGTTGGGGGTGGGTGTGAGTCTTTGCACCAGCTGACCTCTCCTTTTTCTGGGGCTGGAAGGAATTTGATGTCACCAGTATCTTAGAGCCACATGCCTCATTCTTCAGGAACAACCTCTTGGGATCCTGGAGGCATACAAGGTCTCCTGAGGCCTTGGACTTGTGTCTGCATGCCAGCAGATGAGGCTGGAACTGTGACAGAGTGTGAGCACGTGCAGGTGACCTCTTCAAATGCTTCTCCCTTGTTCCTTTCCTTGGGAGTCACACTGCCTGATTTGTCCAGTGGTGGACACTCTTGAGCCTTTGAGGTTTAGTATTAGGATTGCCAGCATAGGTTGGTCAATTTTTAATTTGATTTCTATGTTGATATGGTTTGAATGTGTGTCCCCTCTAAATCTTAAGTTGAAATGTAATCCCTGGTGTTGGAGGCGGGGCCTGGTGTAACGTGTTTGGGTCAATGGGAATGGATCCTCCATGAATGTCTTGGTGCTGTCCTCCCAGTAATGAGTGAGTTCTTGCTCTGAATTCATGTGAGATCTGGTTGTTGAAAAGACAGGTTGTTAAAAGAGAGCATCTCCTCTCTTGCTCCTTTGCTCCCTCTCTTGCCATGTGACATGCCTGCTCCCACTTCACTTTCTGCCATGAGTAAAAGCTCCCTGAGTGCTCACCAGGATCACATGCTGGCACCATGCTTCCTGTACAGCCTGCATAACCATGAGACAAAATAAACCTTCTGTCTTTATAAATTACACAGCCTCAGGTATTTCTTTATGGCAATGCAAGCAGACTAACACATATGTGGTAGCTTCTTTTGGCCAGGTTTCAAAGGGCAGGCAGAACATGTGGCAGCTGACCTGCACATAGAATGCAGACCTATGTGTGCTTCAGACACATGGCTCACCTCTCAACCTTCAAGCCCCCACAAATAAGTCACTGTTTAGGGGAGGGTGACATTCATTCTCTGCAAGCCTCCACATTCGTATGTCGTAGCAATGTTTCTCTAAATTGAGTACTCACAGACCCTGCAAGTTCCCCCTGCAGACCTCTAGGTGATGTCAGACCTTAAACACATGAAGTTAAATTCTTTTCTTTCACCTGCCGTGCTCAGTCAGCATGAGTGATGTTGTAAACACAAACTCAGAAACTCAGACTGAAGCCAGATGGCACCACATGGCTATAAGGTCATTCCCAAATGATGTGGAACATACTTATGTTGATTTTAATTTTTTTAAAAAGTTGTCAGAATGAAACAAAAACTTAAAAACTTATTTTGGAACTCATGGACTCCACCTACCCCTTCTCCCCACCTTGCCCTCAGGACTTTCAGAGATTCATAGATGCTATTTTGAGGAATAGTGTTGTAGAAGATTCTCTCTCCCCTTCCCCTACCCTTGCCAACAAGCAAGACCTCCCTCTAAAGAAAGAGCATGAGCTGGCCCCAGCTTGGGCTGTGGCTCATGTAGCAGGGTCAGATTAAACAAGCAAAATCCAGTTGACCATTCAACTCCCAGTTGGGAGGGCCTTGGCAACCCTCTTCTCGAAGGCCATCTGATTCATAACTTTATTGTCAACATTCTGGTCCATTGTTGGATAGCTCCTGTTAGTGCAATGTTTTCACAGCTAAAGTTGAATTTTCACTGATTGGTTTTGGTCTTGACCTCTGGGATCATGTTGAATTAAAAAAAGAGAAAAGTCCTAAAAATATTGGGGCAAGGCTGGGCACAGTTGGCTCGCTCACGTCTGTAATCTCAGCTCTTTGGGAGGATGAAGTGGGAGGATTGCTTAAGGCTAGGAGTTGGAGACCACCTTGGGCAACATAGCGAGACCCCCGTCTCTACCAGAAAAAAAAAAAAATTAGCCAGGCGTGGTGGTGCATACCTGTAGTCCCAGCTACTCGGGAAGTTTAGGCAGGAGGATTGCTTGAGCCCAGGAGTTTGAGGCTTCAGTGAGCTGTGATCATGCCACTACACTCCAACCTGGGTGACAGAGGAAGACCTTATCTCTAAAAAGTAAAAAAATTAAAAAAAGATATTGGGACAGAGGGCACATAGGCCTGATTTGAGCTCTTTTCTTTTTTAAAATATAAATGGATGCAATAAGTTCATTGGAGCAGCCAATGAATGTACTGATTTGATTCTATAAAATGTACAGATGGGAGAGATGAGAGTTTGAAGAAGCACAGATGGAGAAGTCTTTTCATTTTGTCACTGAGCAGAGACCTGGAGTTACTGAGGGTGTCAAGACCCACAGATGCAAACACAGAGAAGAGTGGTACAGACACATGGCAGGTGGCAGCTGGCAGGGAATGTGTTTCTGCAGGGCTCAGATATATGAGGAAGGACACGCACAAAAGGGCTTGATGAGGATTTCAGCACAAGTCCCTGGTGTCCTCCTGTGGGGACAGAGCTGAGTGTTCAGGGATGGTTGAAGACCCAGTGATGTTTCCAGATGACTGATGCAAGCTGCTCCTGCCACTCCTCAGCCTTAAAGAATGTCACACCCCTACCTGGTTTGCTGAATCAGGCATTGCTGTCTGAAGTCTGTGTGGGGCTAGATCAATTGAGCCATCTTGTACCATTGCTTCTTTTGAAATTACTTTCCCATCACTTTGCAAAATGATATGTTTGTTATTGGGGACCTAAAAATGTAGCTATTCTAACTCTGCTTTTGTGGGTTCTCATATTGAGAGTTTTGTACAGAGCTCTGAGCACAAATTCACATCTAGAGTCCTGCTTTCCAAAGCATCTGCTGGCCTCTGTCACATTTTTTTCAGCCAAAACAGCCTTTCAGGGCCACCAGGTGATGTGGTTAGAGTACTTAGGATAAACCAATAGGACTGTATAATGAGAAGCTAGCTTTGGTCACTAGACTGTTATGTAAAATATTTGAAATTTGTAGGCCTTTCAGCTGCTTGATGAAATTCAAGAATCACTTGATTTAGATGCAAATCGTATGTTTGAAATGTGCACATGGGATTGGTTTTGGCTTTGTATTTTTAGAGGAGTTCTTGTGCCCAGGTAGCCCAGATCCCCACTGGTTGCTGCTGCTAAATCTGGGGGTCTTAGGTAGACAGCCCACTGGCTCCCTCAGCGGAGAGCCTAAGGTAACAGAAAATGTTTTGGTCCACACTCTGCCATTGCACTTGGTGAGATTCACTGGTGGAGGTGCTGATCCTTCCTTGACCAAAGCAGAAAGGACCCAGTTTCCTTAGAGACTTGTGGGCTGTCAGAACCCAACTCAGCCTTCTTCCTACACCATTGTTGTGCTGTGGCCTGCAGAGCCAGGAGAGAACCCAACACCTTCTTTAGCTGAGGATCCTGCTTTCTTCCCCACTGTATCTCACACGGACAGAAGACAAGTTCACTCATTCCTCTTGGGTCCGAGTTCTCTGTAATGGTCCACTTAATGAACAGTGAACCTACTTCTAGAACCATCTTTTGAACAAGAAAACAGTCTTTTGTCAGATAAATACATCAAGGCAAACCTTGAAGACAGCATGAGAAAATCCAGCACTGCTGGACTGGTGCCTTGCAGGCAGGTGGGAAGGAAGGGGAGCCAACTGCCTGTAGTTCCCACCAGCAGTGCCAAATGACCAGCCATCTCCCCAGCCCAGGTGTGCACAGGGCATCATTGTTCAGCCCTTGGGTTTGAGTAGAGGGCTAGGCCATGTTTGTCCAATATGGAGAACAGGGGTTGGCCTTACTCCTCCATATTCCATACTGAATAGCCTTCCTATGAACTAATTCTGGCTGCGTGGCTGAAGAACGTAACTAGATGGTTTGCTATGATGTTGACATGAGAGCCAGCTGAGGCTGAATGGCCAGCGAGGCTCAGTGGACATTGTTTCACACCTCCCCACAAACCATCTCTTGATGCTCCTGCTGGAGATAGACTGTGGGGTGGGATGAACCATAGGGCTGTGCTAGTATGGTATTTTTATATTATCATTAGAAGAGAAGCAGAGGAGGATGGAAGGAAAGGCAAGAGGAGCAAGTCTCTTAATGTGGCACAGTGTTGAAAGGAAGTACATTGTTGCTGACGTTGGTTAAGACTATGATGAAAAGATGTCAGAAGCTGCACTGTGAAAGCAAGGCTGTGACATTTGGAGAAGGTGGTTTGTGTCTGTGGACTAGCTCCCCACTGACCATCTCACAGATCCACCCACTTGTGCTCCCCTGAATCTACCTCCTCTTGGGGTTCGAGTGCAGAACTCTTGCTCTTCATTTTCTTCTTCTTTTCAATCCTGTTATTCTTAACACTGTATTTAACTCCAAGGAATTTTATTTTGAATCACAACTCTAAGATCTCTTGTTTGGAGGGCAGTTTCAATTTATTAATGAACCAGAGAAAACAGCACAAAATGACTGAAAAGCCAAGAAAGATGGGTAGGGGTTCATTCTGCCTGATTCTCCCGTGCATATGGAATAAAGCCTCCCTGAGCTCCATGCCCCTTAGATAAGGGAAGGCTGGTCCTGCAGAGGGAGCACAGTGCTTCTCTGTTTCTATATTGTGGATGGAAAACTCTCTCTCCCCACCCCCCCATGGAAAGTTTCCCTCTGCAGGATCATCAACCTGAACATCTAAGACCTCAAAAACACCTCTTTTTAAAAAAATTATTATTATTATTATTATTTTTTAGAGACAGAGTCTTGCTCTGTTGCCCAGGCTGGAGTACAGTGGCGTGATCTCAGCTCACTGCAGCCTCCATCTCCCAGGTTCAAACAATTCTCCTGCCTCAGCCTCCTGAGTAGCTGGGATTACAGGCGTGTACCACCACGCCTGGCTAATTTTTGTAATTTTAGTAGAGATAGGGTTTCATCATGTTGGCCAGGCTGATCTTGAACTCCGGACCTCAGGCAATCTGCCCACCTCGGCCTCCCAAAGTGCTGGGATTACAGGTGTGAGCCACCATGCCTGGCCAAAAAGACGACTCTTGAAACACATTTTTCCAATTTGCAGCTATACTTTTTCACACCTTTGGATTTCACTTTGTCTGAAGCAGTGCATTTAGAGAGAGATTGCAAACCCAGTCCATTAGATTCTATTGTTCTTTTCTCCTATGCTGCTTAATAGTCTACATCCAGGTTTATCCCCTCACACTCAGAAGACAAAATATTAAGACTTTAAATTAGAGATTCCAAAAGTATGAACATACATCATCTCATCTGGTCCTCACAACAGCCCTGTGAGGCAGGCAGGCAGGCATCATGGTTCCAGAATGCAGAGGACAGAGTCCTAACTGGTTAAGCTGGAAACCAAATCCATGTCCTCTGTCTCCTGGTTTAGTGCTCCTCCCACTCCATGAGATGAACAGCACTCACTGTAATGAACAAAACAGCCTTTCTGCTTAGAATAGATGAAATGTCCTTTGGGCTTGCACACAGGTGATTTTAAGTAGAAACCTTGCTAGAAAGCTTGGAAGAAAAACACACCTGAGCTCAGTTCAGCATCAGAATCAGCATCAGAGGGATGAACAGGAAAGAACATGGACATCTTTGACAAGGGTTTCTGCTTATGTTCTTGATTCTCACCCAGATCATGGTTGAGTGCTGTAACTTTAAAGCAGCAAAGTCCAGTAGGAGGGAAGGCATTTAAAGGACTTTCTCATCTAGCAACTTATTGATTCCTTCACAAATCCTCTTGAGGTTGGGCCTACAGTCTCCATCCAGACTATAGAGGGTGGAGAGGAACTCCACATCGGCAAAGTGGTTAAAGACGTGGTTGATGCGCCCGTGGGTCCTGGGCGTCAGGTGCCGCTGCACCAGTTCATGCACCAGGTCCTTGCACTCATGCAGGAGATTGGAGAGCACGTTCCTATCGAAGGTGTATTCCACCTCATAGAAGCTGACAATGGTCATGGCGGTCTGGTTCAGCTTCTTCCGGAACTTCTCCACAATAACCAGCTCCTCTTGGCTAAACTGGTTGTTCCGGTAGAGGATCCCGATTTTGATCGCCACCTTGATTAAGTCTTTCATGATCTTGTGGGCTTCCTTCTTGTTGTGTGTGTGCTCTTTGGTGACTTTGTAGAGCTCATCAAAGATCTCGCTGCTGGTGTCATCAATCAACATGTTGGCCACAGTTTTGCTGGCTATTTTGCTCAGAATCTTCTTCTGGGCTTGAAGCGCAAGACTCTTTGAACTAAAAACATCAGGACCTATGGTAAAAAAAATATATATAAAAGTTTTAGAAATATAAGAACTGTCTGTTACTTTTCCACAAGTAAAACACACTAACTTGAACTTATGTTCTTAGAGCAAAAACTCATGTCTTTATATTCCCTCGCTCCCTAACTAAACCCCACCCCAGCCTGGTTCCCCCACTTTCCTCTCCACATGATATGCTTTGTTTACCCTTTTTAATCCTCTAAACTGTGCTTATGCTCCTTCCTCTGCTGGAGGTCATCTCCTCTTATCCAGGCCAAATCTTACCTTTTTAAACCTACTTCATTCATAAAGCCTTCCTGATTCTACTAGCTCACAGAGAACACTCTACCACTGCTGTCACGCTGGAAACCATTCAGCTTTGCAAACTATACAGGAGCAAATTATTGCTTAATGGCACGAATGTAGCCCCATTGTCAACCCCATTCCCAGGGCAGACATGGATAGTTGATCATGACAGTCATTTTGACTGAGTCTCAGAACCCACATATCATTGGGTCTAAGAGGTATTCTTTTGCTTTTGAAATATTGAAAATTGGATGGGTCTTTCAGTTACTGTTGCCAGGTAGCTGTTGTGCTGTGGTTGTTATTACCTGTGTGCACATCAATTTACACAAAAGTTGTCAGAGATTTGGGAGAAAGTCAAGAGAAATTTTTGTAAGAAATGTTGCCTCCTGAATACTCTTGATGGCATAGAGAGTTGTACTGTGGGAACACAGACATCAGTAACTCCAAATCAAAGATGCTAGAGATGAGTAGTACTCTGAAGGTGAAGCAGCTTAGGAAAACCAGACCCAATTTATTTTGCTGTTATTTTCTACTTTATGAATGAATGAGAGCAATATATGTTTAAAAAAATCCACAATATTATATGCAAAGAAGTCTAAAAAGCCTCTTTCAATAAGTATAAATAAAAATTCTAACTAATAAGAAAGAAATGGTTCATAATTTATAGCGTATTTTTTTCTTAAGAACACATAAAATGGCATCTTACAATTGATGGTGTTTTGATTTGATGAAATACTCTACAAGGCCACCAATTAGCTGGAGCTGACATCTGAAATGAAACCCACTGGCTATCCTCACTCTACAGTATGTATGTATATTGTTCTTATCTTCCCAAGGAGATTCAAATTGCCCAAGGACAGAGGCAATGTCTCCCACAGCACCTAGCTCGTTCTGAGCATAGGGAATGGTGCTGTTGAGTAAAATACAAGAGAAATGCAGAAGAATAAGAAAGTAGTAAAATACAGTGTACACCAAACTGATACTAAGAAAAACCAATATTCCTTTTGAGAATTGAGGGTCCTGGAGAATCCCAAGAGCTTTTGTCCAGTGCTTTGTGTCCACACAGGAGTGACTGGATAGGCAGAGCAGACAGAGCGACGGCCACATGCCCTGGCTTCTGTTGTCCTTGTCTGGTCCCTCCCTCTCTGCTCCTTCTGGGTCAGCAGAACTAAAGCAGCGAGCACCAGGGGCCTTCCACAGTCCCAGCAAGCTCTCTTCCAAAGTCTGAGACCATAGAATCTTTAAGCAACTTCACACCCAAGTGACCCTGACATGGCCAGGCTTTTCCCTTCTGCCTCAGTGCTAAGAGGAATAAACACTCATTGTGCAGAACATAAAAGGAATGAACAATCTCTCCTGACTCTTCTTTACTATGAGAAAGCTCTGACTTCCTGACTGATGCTATTCCAGAGTTTGAGGCAAATGATATTCCTGCCCAGTCTCATCATCTACCATGATCACTAGAGCTTTGTGTGAATAGCTTTTGTTCTCTGCAAAATCAAAGTTGTTCTCCAAAAGCAAATATTTACAAGCACTAAGCATATTCAGAAGATTGCACTGTATGCTTTGAAGTCAATTCCACAGATGAAGCTTAAAGACTTTTGAGTAATCGTCCTGTCACTGAAATAAGTATATGCCTCCTCAGGTGACTATTCTAATAGGAATAGTGGAATGTAGATGGATCCATTCTAGAATATAAAAAAATGAGTCATGGCTTTGTAGTCACAGCTTCTAAAAACTGCCCAAGAATAAGTCTTTAGACTCTCTAGAAATGCAGCCAACATGCATTTACACAGAAGCAGCAGGTCAACTACATATGCATCCAGTGGCAGGTTGGTGCCTGAGGGCAGGGACTTGTGTCTAAGCCTGATTACCCCCAATGCCTGGCACACTGGCCACACACAGCAGGTGTCGGCTGAGCGAAGGGAGTGCTGGTTCTGTGTCAGGCGCTGTTTAACCCTTTGGGCTGGGTTAAGTGGGCATTTTCCCGAGGCTTTCCTGCTGGCCTGATTCCATACCCTGCTGTTTGTACTGCCAGCATTTCCTCTATTCTGCTCTGGACCAGTTGTCAGAGCTCACATATCCCCATAAGATTTATTTTAAAAATAATTAATTGGCTGGGTGCTGTGGCTCATGCCTGTAATCCCAGCATTTTGGGAGGCTGAGGCGGGTGGATCAGTTGAGGTCAGGAGTTTGAGACCACCCTGGCCAACATGGCTAAACCCCATCTCTATTAAAAATACAAAAATTAGCCAGGCATGATGGCATGCATCTGTAGGCCCAGCTACTTGGGAGTCTGAAACACGAGAATTGCTTGAACTGGGGAGGCAGAGGTTGCAGTGAGCTGAGATCGTGCCACTTCACTCTGGCCTGATCAAAAGAGCAAGACTGTCTCAAAAAAATAATAATTAATTCAATTTATCAACATTTATTTTATTTTGTTTTTTGAGATGGGGGTCTCACTATGGTGGCCTCAAAGCTGGCCTTGAACTCCAGGGCTCAAGCAATCCTCCTGTCTCAGCCCCAAGTAGCTGGGACTACAGGAATGTACACTGTGCCCAGCCCATATAAGAAATTTTAAAAACTGTGTACCTCCTTGAATATTTTAAAACTTGTCAGCAAGTATTTTGCATGTTAAGATTAAATAGTTAGGAAAGATATAATTTCTAGATAATGTAAATAGTGACATTTTCAAATTAGCCTGTTAAATCATTCTTTTAAATGTGTCCAATGTAACGTAAGTACCGTTGTTATATAATACCCATTATTGTACACTTTAAAAATGACATGAACAAGGTCTTCTTTAAAAATTGGAAATGTTACATTTTTTTCTCCTTGAAATTGTATCTCTATTCTACTTCACCCACAGCACTTTAACTTCATGTATGTGCTTTGCTTGAAAATATTTATCAATCCATCATAATTCTCTACAACCAAAGGATGCATATGAATTTAAATTTAAATGAAGAGAAGATTCCAGGGACCATAAATCTCTAGGCAAAAATTAAAAATTTTCCTTTGGAGCGAGTTATCATTTTAATTATTTTAGGTATAATATAAAATATCAAAATTTTGATAACTACTTACTAAACATAAGAAATGAAGTTTTATTGGAAATGCACCTCTAAATAAGAGGGGCAGGGGTGAGGTATGGTGTCTTACCAAAAGAATCATCATTGGCAATGTGAATTTCACATCAACTCTTTGTTTGCCAGGAGGTTTTGTACCCCCAGGGCAAAATGTCCAATTAAAATTTTTTTCTTGGCCACCACACCCTGTAATCCCAGCATTTTGGGAGGCTGAGCTAGGTAGATAGCTTGAGCCTAGGAGTTTGAGACCATCCTGGGCAACATGGCAAAACCCTGTCTCTAGGAAAAATACAAAAATTAGCTGGGTGTGGTGCCATGCACCTGTAGTCTCAGCTACTTGAGAAGCTGAGGTGGGAGGATGGCTTGAGCCCAGGAGGTTGAGGCTGCAGTGAGCTGTGATCATGCCACTGCACTCCAGCCTGTGTGACAGAGTGAGACTCTGTCTCAATAAAAATAAAATAAAATAAAATAAAATAAAATACAGTGAAAAATTAGCCAGGCATGCACCTGTGGTCTCAGCTACTCAGGAGGCTAAGATAGGAGGATTGCCTGAGCCCAGGAGGTTGAGGCTACAACAGTGGAAGAAAGGGAGATCCACCATGCCTTGACCTTAGGTTTCTTCTTAGGTAGATGAGTTTGTATATTAGTATGTACAAAGAATACGTATTGAAGTTGTCAAGAGGAATTTGGATCTATAACTGAGTTCCCTCAAAACTCTGTACATGTTGTGGAATGTCTCTGGACTCTTGCAGTCTGCCCATCTACCATTCTGAATCCTACTTTTCTGCAAGAGCAGCAGCCTTCCATGAAATATTAAGTGTTCCTTGGGATGAAAAGAAGAATTTCTTGATTACATAAATTTAAAAAACACTGATTAAGCAAAATGAAATAGCTTATTTTCTGTGAGATTTTAAAAATATTTATTTAATACATTAAGGTGTTCTATCAATTCCCAGAGAGAAGTGGGTGTGGTAGGCAGACTAATGACCCCCAGAGATATCCACATTCTCATACTTGGAACCACTGGATATGCTGCCTTACTTGGCAAAAGGGAATTTGTAGACATGATTAAGTTGAGAGTGAAAGAGGGAAGTGGGAGAGTGAGTTAGAGAAAGAGATGTGATGATGAAAACAGAGGTTGGAGTGACATGGTGGCTGGCTCTGAAGATGGATGGAGAAGTCAGAACAAAGGAATGTGTCCTGTAGAAGCTGGAGATGGCCAGGGAGGGGATCGTTCCCTGGAGCCTCCAGGAAAAAAACAAAATGGAGCTCCTGCCAGCACCTGGATTTTAGCTCTGTAAAATCCATTTCGGACTTCTGATCTCCAGAAATATAAAATGATAAATTGGTGTCTTAAGCCACTGAATTTGTGGTAATTTGTTACAGCAGCAATAGGAAATGTATTCAGGTGGGTAGAATGAGATGTAGCAGTCTTGATTTTCTTTGATTAGGGAACTATTTTTGCCTCCTGAGTGACCAAATGCCCAGTTTTCCAGCAAGGAGGGCTTTCCCAGGCAGTGGAATTTCATTGCTAAAACTGGAAATGTTCCATACAAATTGGGACAAGTTGGTCATCTATTCCTGAACTACTAGCGATGTATATTTATCATATGAAGAACGAGAAGTAACGAAGATACAACTTAAGAGTGGAGGAAGATTATACCATTTAAGAAGCTCCTATCTCAGCAGGGGAAGCTGAGTACCTACCCATCTTGCCACATTTACCACCTGTTCTACCTGCTTTTTAATTCTAGAGCCAACCTTTTGTCCCTTTTAGACCAAGGTCCCCTTTGTCCCTTGTTTTCTCTGCAATTATTGAGCATTTACTCTTAGTGTGGCTATGTAGCAAGTGCTATGAGGATATCCCGAGAAAAGTATTCAATTGGGTCTTGCTCTGAATATGATCCTGCAAGGAGGCTGGATATTGACAATGAATCAAAATACAGAAACATGTGAAACAGCCCACACTGGCATGAGTGAGAGTAGTTGGGGAAAAGTCCATGGGCTCTGAAGGTGGATTTGCATGTAGGTAGGGACAGCTATGACGTTAGGAAGTGGTTTCTAAAGTCATGGATATAGGCCAGTACTTTTCCCCAAGTCACAAAGTCCCTGGGTGGTTTCCCTGATAAGCTTCCAGCCATCTATCTTGTATAAGAATTTGTTATTTACCTGCAAGTAATTTGGGGTACAAACTTCTACAGTGAGGGCTCAGGAGGGTCACCGGGATAGCATCTCTGAAGCTTTAAAGATCAAAAGTGTCATGTAGAGGAACCCAAATGTTATGGACCACCAAAATTACCAGGAAGGCTTTAAGAAAAGACAACAACCAAGTAGATTTCCATACTCTACCCCAAATTGTCACAAGCTCCCTAAGTGATTCTGACATGATGAATGTAGGACCCATGATTTATAACAGTGTCCTCCAACATGTATCCTATAGAGCACTTGTCCTGTTAGATGCTCCAGGAAAGAAAGTCTTGAGGTCAGTTAAATGAGTTTGTAGATGACAATATATCATGGTTTGCTTTTGATGGTTCACCATACCAGGTAGCTTATTAAGGCTTTGAGAAGTCCTACAGTAAAGATACCTGCATAGTTTTGTTTAGTCCACCACTTCTCAAATTTACTGGACATATACATATACATATGAATATATATATATATGTATATGACATATATATATCACATTCTCTGGTATGCATTATAGGAAATACTGGGATAGGATTGAGAGAAATAAAATCAAGACACTGGTCAACAGAACACTTTCACAACTCTCAGAGCTTAACGGGGAAGCTGGGGAGATACCATTGTTTCCAACATGCATACATAATGTTACAAATGATTTAAGGGAGAGAGAGGGCACTGAGGGAGCAGTCCCATTTGCAAGACTTTCTGCACATGGAAATCTTGGCCTTGCTTTCAACCATCCTTCTGCCTCAGCCTTCTGCACAGGGTGCCTATTGGTGACCCACCAAGGAGGAATACTGCAGGCTGAAAGAAACAGCATGAGCTAAGCTTTGGGAGTCAAGGTCACAAGTGTGCTTGGGATATTTGGGAAACAGGCCTAACTAGTGGACCGTGTTTATTAATGGGGAAACACTAAAAGATGGAGGATAGGTCTTGGTAAAAACTTCTCCTTCTGTATACAAGTCCTAGGAAAGCTCTTTTGGCCAGAGATAATTCTTTTAACCATGTTTGAACAAAAGTTCCCATTTTCCAGGCATGAAAGGTAATGGATTGTTTATAGTACTTCGGAATCTCTGAGAATAGACATAAAAATGTGATTATGTAGCGATAGCAAATTCATCCTGGTAGAAAGACAGGGGGCTTCCTTAAACCAAGATTGATAGAAGAGCTCAATCAAAGATAATATGAAGTCTCTGAGAATAAGGACCCTTCGATCATTTACAAGAAAGGAAACACACCAGGACTATGTTGGGAGAATGGTGTGACAATGGCAGTGAGCTAGTTTGGAGAGAGAAAGCAAAAGATAATTTAAGGGGGGAACTTCACTGCATGGAAAAGTGCTGGGGTCAGTCTGAGCTGCTGCTTTTATAAATGATGTTCAGCCAGAGTACAAGTGATGTTTCCATGTTTCTAGAAAACACTAAGCTCTCCCAGATGGTGAAATGCCAAGCTAATGGTGATAAACAACAGGAAGATCTTTACCAAGCTGGGTGAGTGGGCAGAATAGCTTCAGCATGGTAAGAACAAGGTAATAAATTTTGGGAAAAATAAAGTAAATGATGGTTATAAAACATGACAGGCTCTGAGCTCTCAGCTACAGCCCAGAAAAGGGCCTCTGAGCATCACTCTAGGATGTGGGAGTGGACAGGGTGAGGGGACAGCTATTCTCCCCTCTTTTTCACAGGACTTGGAAACTTCTCTAAGGAGTGTGTGGAAAACTTGAATGTAAGTGTGGATAGCTGTGTCAAAATTATAAAATGGGAAATTATTTGTAATAGTCAGTACACATCAGAATTACTTCATTTCTCTAAATAGCTTGAGATAATGGCAGGGAAGAGAATTAGCTAAAAATGTTAAGCAGAAGTTAAGAGTGAAGATGGTTCCCAGAAGAAAACAATCTGGAGTGCTTAATGGGCATCATTTGTCAAGGCAGGGGACCCAAAAGACAGGGAAGGTGGGAGGAAAGGCCCAAGGGGTGGGGTAAGAGCCCTGGGCAGAGGGAGATTCCTGGTAGTCCAAGTTTCTGGCACTCAATCACTTACACTTAATTGTTAGGGGGAAAAAAAAAAACAAAAAATGGAAGAACTTCAAGCAAGTCTCCTTAAGACGGAGCAGGCTCACAAACTGCTTTGAACTTGAACTTTCTTTCCTTTTTTTTTTTTTTTTGAGACAGAGTCTCACTTTGTCGCCCAGGCTGGAGGGCAGTGGCACAGTCTCAGCTCACTGAAACCTCTGCCTCCTGGATTCAAGCGATTCTCCTGCCTCCGCCTCCCGAGTAGCTGGGACTACAGGTACACACCACCATGCCTGGCTAATTTTTGTATTTTTAGTAGAGACGGGGTTTCAACATGTTGGCCAGGCTGGTCTACGAACTCCTGACCTCGTGATCCACCCGCCTCGGCCTCCCAAAGTGCTGGAATTACAGGCATTGAGCCACAGCGTCTGGCCTGAACTTGAACTTTCATGATGAGCAACCATCCTTCTGCTCAGTTTATGCAGCCAGAAAAGCTGACTGAACCTGTCACGTCTCTCATGCTCCATCTTTCACTACTGATAAGTGGTCAGGAGCGAGTGGTGAGAGTGATGGCCTCCCCACCCCTTCCCGTCTCCTTTTCTGTTCTGTGGGTGAATGATGAGGAAGGTGTATGCTGTAGGGGTGAGGCGTGGTGGTATGCAGGATGGGATATCCTTGACAATGATAAAATGCTTCCTCAAGAAGACACTGCTTCTGCTTTAGGTTTTGGATGTCCCTAAGTAGCTGTGGGGGCAGGACCATTAAGGAACTTTAAGTAGTGTTTTGAAATGTGAACCTAATACAGTTGTGGCTTCCAGAGAGACTCATTGAGTTGTTGCATCTCCAGTGGATTCAAACTAGAAAACATTTTCCATCCCTTGTATAAAACTGTTGTTTGTATATTCCTAGAATTCTAAAGAAAGAACATGGAGCTGGAGGAGGTAGAATGAAATGAAAGCCTTAAGGGATGGTGGGGCCTTTGAGTTAGAGACAAACAAAAAAAAACCTTGATCCTCCCCTCTCCCATGGAGAAATGATCAAAGCTTAGAAGCTCATGAAAAGTGCCTTTATTGGTCCAATTCCTTTCATACGTGAGAGAGGGTGGCACTTCTGAGGCTTACAAAAGGCATTTGGGAACACTTTAAAAGGCACCCATGGTAAAACTTAGATGATTTAGAAGGGTTAGGGAATGGATTTTTCAGACTCAGGGTTAACTTTGCAGCATATTCTTGAAGACTTCTTGGGTCTGGTCCCTTCCCAACCCTCCAGAGGAGCCACCTGCCTTGAAGACAGATACCCCGAGCTTACCCCTGCTTCTGGGAAGTCCTGAGGTCTCCCAAATTTCCACCACCTGCCACAGGAAGCAGGCAGCTTGTGGGACTCATGGGGGACACCATGACTTAAAGGGTAGCAGCCTCCACTAGGCACCACTGGTGGGGTGCAAAAAATGGAACTCTTAGAACCTCTATTTAGGTTTCCTTTTTTGTAATGAGATAAATTAAGCTTTACTAATATTTAATACACAGACAGATTTGGGCCCCACTGTTGTGTGGCATTCTGAGGGATGAGGGAAACATCCCCCACATGGGGTGGGGAGAGGTGCTTAGTCTATGCCTCACTCGTTTGTTCTCTTTCAGCAGTTTTGATTTATTTCAGCATATGTTTATGTGTGCTTGGTTAAACAGACTCACTGATTATATTACTTCATTCTAACTAAACTAGCCCTTGCAAAATAGCCCAGTGATTTCAAAAAATGCCTGAAAGAAACAAAACCGAGGACTGAAGATGAGCCGCTAATCATACAGGCACATGTGAACAGCAGGAAAACACAGAGTGGACAATTATCCTTCCTCTTGACAAGAGCTTTCCCTGCAGCCCCACTTTAAGGGAAAAGTAATGATCTAATCAGATCTGACAAGAAATGGGCCATCTACATTTCAAAAATTTCCATGGGACAACTTGAAGAATGGATTTCAAATACTTTTACTTGCCTTGAGATATTTCCCGAAGGCAGTAGGAAGCCATGGCAATTAGAAAGATAGTTAAATGCTTTGTATTTAAAGATAGTTAAATGCCTCGTGTTTCTGATCTTTAGCTTGTCCTCTAGGTGACAGGGAGAGAGCAGAGTAAGGAACAGCATGGGTGATTGCTGGGGTTCAGGGATGAGTCAAGGATGACGATGAGTTGTTTCTTCTAGCTTTAGAGACAGGTAGGGTGAAAGGATATAGAGGTGCCACCAACTGAAATGGACATCTTGGAGGAGGAGCCAGCCTGTAGGGAAGATGAATTCATCCCTGAGTTCCAGGTACCCATGGGGCATCTGGGTGGAGATAGTGACACCAGCCTGTCTAGCAGGACACTTCAAACCTCACCTGTCCTATACTAGTCTTCCCATTTTCCCCTGCAAACCCTGTCCTTTTCCAGTAAGGAAGAGATGATGAAAAGACCCATCTTCCTGAAATAATTAGCCCACTAGAGATCTTGAGGGATAAGTGGGCTCTTCCTTCAAAATGCAAACACGTCCATTTAGCTGGTTAAAGTGGATTCTCTATTCACTTTAGTCAGAGCCACACTGTATCTCTCTTGGGTGTCTCTCTCCCCTTTGTCGTCCACCATCAAACCACCCCTCCTGTTTTTTTTTTTTTTTTTTTTTTGCAAGACAGAGTCTTGCTCTGTTGCCCAGGCTAGAGTGCAGTGGCACAATCTCAGCTCACTGCAACCTCCGCCTCCCGGGTTCAAGCGATTCTCCTGCCTCAGCCTCCCGAGTAAGCTGAGATTACAGGTGTGCGCCACCACGCCTGGCTAATTTTTGTATTTTTAGTAGAGATGGGGTTTCACCAGGTTGGCCAGGTTGGTCTCGAACTCCTGACCTCATGATCCGCCCCCTCGGCCTCCCAAAGTGCTGGGATTACAGGGGTGAGCCACTGCACCTGGCCTACCCCTCCTCTTCATAAAGAGAATGAATTATTTAAAAATTAGGGTAGGGAGGGAGAGGCAGGCTTGGGTGCAATAGGACGGGGGCAGAGGTTGGAAGGATGAAGGAGTGAATTACCGGAGACAACCAAATGCAGAACAGGGGTGCTGATTCACCAGTCTTCACCCCCTCTGCCGTGTGACCAGCTTTCCTGACTCCAGCTCTGGCTTAGGTGCCCCTGAGATCCTGCCTTTGGCTGGGGCCTGCTAACAGGCAGAGAGCTTTGGCTTTGCAGTTGGTAGCTGCTCAGTCCCAGAGATTCATTCATCCACAGGCTAGGAATGGGGATTTGTGTGTTTTGGGGGCACCAAACATGACAAAATTTCCCAACTCTTTTGGACATTTTAAGGGTGCTGAATAAGAACATACAAAAGCAATGGCAGTCAAAACAGGATGCAATTTCAGATTGCTTCAATGCCTTACATTGAATAATTACACTTGAAAAGCAGCATTTAATTGTCTTCAAGATGAAGACCTTTCCCCTACCCCAATTCCTGGGTCTTGAAGAGAAGAGAGATTGGCAGGAGGAGCTGTAAAACCTTTTAGCTCATTATCTCAGCTTGTTTTAGAGCCTCCAATCCATCACCCATCAGCACTGAGCAATCTGTAACTCAATTAATGATAATGTCAGAGATAAGGACAACTGCTGAGTACAGATTACGCACATGAGGTGGTATATACCATGTATCTGATCCTCACAACAATTCCTCAAGAGAGGGACTGTGAGTTCCATTTTATAGATGAGGAAACTGAGGCACAGTCAATTTAAGTAATTCACTGCAAGCTAAGTGGCTAGTAAGTAGCAAAGCTGCAGTTGGGCCCAAGTTCACCAGACACCAAAGCCTACAGTCTTTGCCTTCCTGCATCTGCCTTCGAAAAATTCCCCTTGGCTCCCTAATGACTGAGATTTCTCACTTATTTGAAACATTAAAGGCCTCAGTTTGAATCTCCACCTACCTAGGGGAGTTGTATTTCATCACTTTTTTAAATACAAAAGGGCCAGTCTTATGTGATAGAACATACTCATCAAGACTTGAAGATAGATGTAGCTTTCATTTTTAGAGGGAATTCTGTATATTTCAACAGTTACATATTAATGTTGCTTTTCATATTGATTTTACAGCCAGCTCTGAAAAGTGAATGAGTGTTTGATAATTTTACTTACCAGAGCTCACTGAAGCAGATACTTGTGAAGCCACTGGGGGGTGAATCATCTCCAAATCAACAGGTTAATTTTGGAGATCTGAGAGATATTTTTGGCTCACTGCAGAAAAGTAACCATCACTAAAAACAACATCTACTTACATGATTTCTTTAAATGAAGCTTATTCATTCCCCCAAATCCCTTGCATCTAACAAATAACTAGTGTCTTTCTGAATGGTAGATTATATTCAGGCATAATAATAATAAAGTGCTTGCTCTTCCATGTGCTTTATGCACAGTTAAGCCATCATATTCTTGCAACAACTGTATCAAGTAGGCACTAATGTCAGCGATAGCAATGGATGCAGCATTTCACATCAAGGAAACCAAGGCAAAGAGAGATTAAGTAGCTTGTCTGAATCCACCATTTAGAAAGTGGCAGAGCTGGATTGGGCAGACTCTGCCCCAGAGTCTGCCTGAGTTCAGTGCTTCAGCCTGCCACACTGAGCTGCGATGCATGGGGTGACAAACATCAATTAGTTTAAATGTTTTCTGAATTATTGCCCACTTTAAGATGGAGATTGAGCAGTATTTTTCCCTCACAAGAATTAATTTTCTGGCCGGGCGCGGTGGCTCACGCCTGTAATCCCAGCACTTTGGGAGGCCAAGGCGGGCGGATCACGAGGTCAGGAGATCGAGACCATCCCGGCTAAAACGGTGAAACCCCGTCTCTACTAAAAATACAAAAAAAAAAATTAGCCGGGCGTAGTGGCGGGCGCCTGTAGTCCCAGCTACTTGGGAGGCTGAGGCAGGAGAATGGCGTGAACCCGGGAGGTGGAGCTTGCAGTGAGCCGAGATCCCGCCACTGCACTCCAGCCTGGGCGACAGAGCGAGACTCCGTCTCAAAAAAAAAAAAAAAAAAAAAAAGAATTAATTTTCTAAAAACCACCAAGTGTTTCAAACATATAAATAGATAAAAATATGTAATGCCTAAAAACATATACATAAACATAAACAAAATAGAAGATAATTTAACAAATACTGTGTAGCCACCACCCAGATGGAACAATTGTTAATATTTTAAATATTAAGCATTTCAAACATATGGCCAAAATAGAACATAATTTAACAAACACTGTGTGGTCACCACTCAGGTGGAAAAATTCTTAATAGTTTACCCTCAAAGACAGGGAGAGGTAAAGCCCTCTTTGCTTTCAACTCCCTCTCTTCTGCTTCTAGCTCCCAGATCAAACTGCACTACAGAAGTTGTATTTTTTTTTCATCTATCCACGTTTTTATGCTTTTGTCTCATTTCATAAGTATGCATGCATCAACATCATGTTTAAATTTCACACAGAAGGTGTCATACTACACAGATCCTTCTACAACTCTTTATTCCACATCCTGTTTTCAAGATTTATCTTGTTTAATCATTTAGTTGCTTATATAAATATATATCTTCAAGTTTCCTCCTGATGGACATTTAAGTTCTTTCCATTTTCTGCAAGGAAAAAGTGTCTCCTTGTGCGCACACACACAACAGTCTCCTGGGGTCTATACCTATAACTTGATTGCCAAGGCCTGCAGCAGCAAGGGCTGCCAATGGCTCTCCAGAGAGACTGCACTCATTTTCACTCCCAGCAGCAGTGTCTTGAGTTCCTGTGGTTGCACTTCCTCATCAACACTTCAAATCATCCAACTTTTTAATTTTTGCCAATCTGATAGGTATAAAATGGTACCTTGTTTTAATATGCATGTTCCTGATTGCTGGTGAGAGTCAATGTATTTGTGTTTATTGGGCATTAAGGTTTTTCTCTTCTGCAAATTGCTTGTTCATATAATTTACTCATTTTTTCAGTTGAATTATATATATTTTTCTTTTTTGTATATTTTGCTTATGATTCTAAGCCTCTGCTGATCACAGGGCTGGCAACTATCTCTTCCCAGTCTGTAGCATTACATTTTAACTTTATTATGGTGTCTTTAATCATACAGAAAGCTATTTTTTTTTTAGATGGAGTTTCACTCTTGTTGCCCAGGCTGGAGTGCAATGGCACGATCTCGGCTCACCGCAACCTCTGCCTCCTGGTTTCAAGCAATTCTCTTGCTGCAGCCTCCCGAGTAACTGGGATTACAGGCATGCACCACCATGCCCGGCTAATTTTGTATTTTTAGTACAGATGGGGTTTCTCTATGTTGGTCAGGCTGATCTCGAACTCCTGATCTCAAGTGATCTGCCTCCTCTTAGCCTCCCAAAGTGCTGAGATTATAGGCATAAGCCACCGCGCCTGGCCAGAAATCTAAAATTTTAATAGTCTAATTTATCAATCTTTTCCTTGATGGTTGGTGGTTTCTGTATCTCATTTTAAAAATTCTTCTCTTGCCATGAGGTGATAAAAGATAACCATATATTTTCCAGAGGTTTAAAGGTTTTGTTTTTCACATTTAGGTCTTTAATCAATCTGAAAATTATCTGTACATATTGCATGAGGTTGGGAATCTTTTTCTCCCCACGATTTATTCTATTTATTGAATAGTTCATACTTCTGCTACCTATCTGGTAGGCCCCTTCTTTTCATATCAGGTTTCTATATTGCATAGATCTGTTTTTGAGTTTTTTACTCTGTTTATTAGACTCTGGTCTATTTCAGTACAAAAACCAAGTTTTCTTAATATAACTCGTAAGTCATGATAGTCCAAAGGGAAGTGCCCCTCCTCACCCTCACTTTATTCTGCTTAGAAACTGTCTTGATTATTCTTGCCTTTATTCTTCCATAGGAATTTTAGGATAATATGATCAAATGCCATGAGCACTCTATGTTGATCTGAAGTAAACTGGGATCCTTTTTTTTTTTTTTTTTTTTTTTGAGACAGAGTTTTGCTCTTGTTGCCCAGGCTGGAGTGCAATGGTGCAATCTCGGCTCACTGCAACCTCCACCTCCCGGTTTCAAGCGATTCTTCTGCCTCAGCCTCCTGAGTAGCTGGGATTACAGGCATGCGCCACCATGCCTGGCTAATTTTGTATTTTTAGTAGAGATGGGGTTCCTCCATGTTGGTCAGGCTGGTCTCAAACTCCCGACCTCAGGTGATCTGCCTGCCTTGGCCTCCCAAAGTGCTGGGACTATAGGCGTGAGCCACCACGCCCAGCCTAAACTGGTATCTTTATGATACTGAATCTTCCTCTCCATTAACATGACATGTCTCTCCATTTAGTCATATCTTCTTCTGTGTCCTTCAATTATGTTTACAGTCATCTCCATAAATCTCTTGCATATCTTTCATTAGATTTACTTCTAGCTACCTTACAGTTTTGGTTGCTGCTGTTAATTTTTTTCTATTACAGTTTCTAAATGGTTATTAATGATGCATAGGAACCCAACTGATCCCTGTATACTTATCTCCAATTGAGACATTTTGCCGAGCTCTGTTATGAGTTCTAATTTATATAGCATCTCTTGGACTTTTTAATGTAGACAACATTGCCTACACAAAATGATTGTTTTCTTTGACCCCCTATTTCTTTTTCCTGCTTTATAACACCGGTAGAAAACATCCAGCACAGTGTTGAATAGCATTACATGGCATCCTGGTCTTGTTCCTAACTTTAACAGGATTGTCTCTAAAATTTCCCTGAGTATGCAATGTTTGCTGTGGGTTTTGATGGATACCCCTTATCAAGTTATCTTCCTTTTATTCCTATTTTGCTAAGGCATTGTTTGCTTTTAAGTAGAAATGTATCCAATTTTAGCAAACAATTTCTTTGTATCCACTGAGATGATCATATAATTTATCTTATAATATGTAAATTTAACCAATTATTCAAAGACTTTTTGATTTAAATCATCATTATATTCCCAGGATAAGCCCTACTTGGTCAATGATGCATATGTATTTACTATACTGGTGAATTCTACTAGTAAATATTGCATTTTGCAACTATACTCAAAAGTGAGATTGGTCTATAACTTTTTCATAGTACTATCTTTGTCAAATTTTGATGTCAGAGAAGACTAGTCCCATAAAACGGATTGAGTAGCTTTCCTTCTTTTTCTGTGTCTGAGAGTGTTTATGTAAGGTGGGGATTAACTGTTTTTTGACAGTTTTAGTAAAACTAGCCTGCATTTCACTCGACATTCTGAGGATATCTTTCCATGACAACAAATGTACTACATCATTGTTTTTTGACAATAGCACATGCCACCATTTTCTCTACTGGTCCCCTCTTGGTAGGTTTCAAACTGTTTCCAGTTTTTGCTATGAAGTATCTGCAGAAAGTAACAACCTAGCAGCAGGCTGCCTGTTGGGGAAAAGGGTGCCTTTTGGCACATGGTAGGATTCCCTTCTAATGCTCCTTCCTAAGTAACAAAGTAACAGGAGATACTGAAGAGGAGCTCCATGAACAGACCTCTGGCTCTGCCCACCGGATCCCATCCCTCCTACCAGAGGCCTGCTTGCCCAATTCAAAGCCAAAAGGAGGCTCAACTCTTCACAAAAATGGTTTTGCCCTAACCCAACTGGCTGAAATAGTCGGGATGACAGCCAAACAGTACCAGAAGTCAAGCCAGCTCTCCCTAAGGGTGCTGCCCTGGCTGCCAGCCATGCCCTGACTCTCGTGCCATAGCTGAATCCAGTGGACCCTCGCCCAGGTGGAAGAGGCACAGCTGACAGGTTGTTTGTTGCCGCTGAAGGTCCCCTCCCACCATGAGCCCCTGGCCAACCCTTATATCCCTCTTGTCAGGGAGGCTGGCCCTCACACCTAGCTCAGTGGTAGCCCTGTTCCTGTGCTGCACTGCGACTGGCCATCTACTTTCCGCATCCGGTGCTGAGTTCTTAGGGATTGATGCTCAGAAGACCTGTGAATCCCCATAAGCAGAACTGCCTACTATGCAGAAGTTACTCAGTATATGTCTTGTATATATGTCTCAGTAAATGAATGACTGATGAATGATTTTAGCGTGTTTGTTCTTGTTCTTTGAGGCTCAGATTCCATCAGTTCAGGACCCACACCTGGAAGGAGGTGCATATTCACAATGTGCAGGTGGAACTGAATGTACTCAAATGCCTTCTGAACTAAGCACAAGGTCCACCCTTTGCCTTTCATACGGAGCTATCTGCTTGGCCCACTTGGGTTCTGCCTGTCTTTGACCCAACAACAGCAGCATCACCTGGGGGCCAGAGGGATTGCCCACCATGCTCTCAGTGTTCAGTTCCAGCAGTAAACCCTTTCTCCATGGCAGAAGCACCCCTCCTTCCTGCCACCCCTGGAGCCTCCCCATTTACGCCCCTTCACACTCATGAGCTATTTTAATATACTCAGGAGCTGTCGGGCTTGGAATAGCACAGTCCACGTTCTGTCTCTCTGGGCAATCCTCTCTCTCTCTGCTGGCAGCTCCCAAACTTTCTCTACCACGGCAGGCACCCAAGAACTCAGGCTCAGAACACCAGACTGCTAACAAGGACACCAGTAGGATGCCACATTCAGAGCCATGGGAGCATGCCAACACCGTAATATGTGAAATTAGTAAACAGTCTAATGCAATAAAAATGTCAGTCTTTGGAATGCTGTAATTTTTGGAGGATGGATGCAGAACCTAAAATGTGCAAAACAATAAAATGGAACAAACTCGTCTATCTTGGAAAAAAGAAACAAAACATGGCCTGTGACAGTGGACTGAGGCTACTGGAAGGTGCTCTAATTAATTAATGTAGTAACATGTAAACCCTCAGCTTAGTGAGCTTAACAACAACTAGACAAACTGTTAGCTGTACTTGAGAGGTCAGAACACACGAGGGAGAAGAAACCAGAAGGTACTTCTGTATGGGAGATGATTTGGCAGACAGCATTATGGCTTCCTCAGTGTTCTACTTGATTTTTTTTTTAGTGAAATATGAATCCTGAACAATGACATTTTTGGATTTCAGTCAATCTGAATGCGGAACAGCAGGAAAGGGACATGTAATATATTGCTTATAATCTCCCTTACATATACTCTGTAGTAAAACTGGTTTTGTTTACGGATTTAAGACAAGTCAAGCCACATTTTTAATATCTGCTGGTGTCATGGTCAATATCTGGCCTGTGGAATGACAGTGTTGAGGGATGTTGTTAGCAGATGGGAGGTGGGATGACACCCGCAAGATCTCCTGAGGTTGGGCTCCTAAGCTCTGCTGGGACCGCTACTGTGATGGAACCACTCTGAGTCCAGGGGGAATCCCATTCACATCACGTAATGGGAGGGGCCAACTAGCTGTGGAGGCTTAACTTCCTGGAAGTTTCTCAGAAATGTGACTTTCTCTCAGGCTTCCTTTCTAAATTAAACTCTAAGGCCACAAATGGCTAAGAATAGAATTTTTTATACTTCATGGTAACGTAAAGAAGTACCACCAAAAGGTTTCACTGTTTTCCAACCAAATCACCAGGTGTGGTCACTCAAAGATGCTGAGAATGGCTGTCCTGCACAATCAAGATGCCAGGGTGTATCCATGGAGTAGCTAGCTCCTCGGATACAGGGAAAACGAGAGAGCCCAGTCCTGGTCCTGACTTTTGCCACTGAGCCAGCAGCAGGAAGTGGAAGACAGAGCCCGGCCTCCAGCCCTGCCCTGCCCCTGCCACCCCCAGCGCACTCACTGTGTGCCATGGGCCCATCTCTTTACCTGCTGGTTTCTGGGTCTGTTAAATGAGAAAGCAGACTAGAAGATTCTGCTAATTTGCTTTCTCAATTTAATAGTAACCCCTTAAGTATGATAAATTGAATTTTTGTCATCATCTGGGCACGCATCAGATGTGCGCTGATGCCTGTGGAGAGGTCCTCCGCGTTCCTCCTCTCCCGTGCTGGATTCCTGCCGCCCCCCATTCTACTCCCGCCATTCTTCGTAAATGGAATCCTCCTGCTTCTTTCTCACTGTGTAACACCTGGGGCATCGACCTTGGAGCCTCCAGCTTTCCTTATCTGTGACTTCCCTCCAAAATGCTGCTCCCTCCCCTGTTTCCCTGGGGCCCTTGACTCCTCCATTAGACCTCAGCCTCCTCTGTCAGTCCTTGGCCTGTGCTCGCCACAGAGCGTGCGGTCAGCAGGCGTCATGCTGGCTCTCCCCAAGGCCTCTTCCTGTGTTGGCCTCAGTGCCCACAGACCAAACCACAGACTGCCAGGCCCCCAGGCCCCGGCAGGCCGCCCTGTGCTGACGTAGCTGTGGGTGGGACTCGTGTCCGAAACCTCAAGGCCAGCCCTTCCCGCTGGTCCCATATCCCAGCTGCCCCGCCTGTCTCCCCAGCCTCTCATCCCGCTTTGCTCAGCGCAGCTCCTCCCTAAGCCAAGCACGCCCTGCTGCCCACCCCGCTCCCATCTTATGCAAGGGGGCCTAGTCAAGGAACCCCCACCTGGCTTCAATTGTTTGTACCCTGGCAGTTCCGAGAGGGGAGACCTTTGATAGAGACAGGAGACAGCCAAGGGGTCCCTTGCAAAACACCCCATTCAAGCCTAAAACAGTCTGAAAGCTGAAAGACCCGACTGCCGGTCCCGTAAGAAACCCGCAACCCAGAGGGAGAACACCCTTGTCTGCCCTCCCTTCCCCGACAGCTTCTCGCTTAATAATATGCACATGCGCACTGGGGGAACAGGGGGCGGAGCCTCAGGATTTCGCGCCTTGGGCAGGGGGAGGAGCCTGGACTCCAGCTCGAGTGTGCTGGCCTGGAATTCAGTCTGTGAGGTGGAAGCCTGTTAGCAGGACCACTTATTTTTTTCTCCGAGAGCTTTCTTTTAATAAATTCTGCTCCCCTCACCTTTCAATGTGTCTGCGGACCTCATCTTTCCTGGTCATGTGACAAGAACCCCGTTTTAGCTGAACTAAGGGGCAAAAACTTCTGCATCACCTTAACTGTCGTGTTCACCGTGGCGTCCCTGACATGTGCTAGGAACTCAATAATATACATTTAAACCTCAAAAAATAAATAGTGATTGGGCAGCCCCGGAAGAGGCCTGAGGAGGGAATGGCCACGGCAGGACAGAGGAGCTGTGGTTTTATTCTTCCCTGGCTTTCACCACAGACTCCTTGGTAACCGCTCTCACCAAGGTCACCAAATAATCTTGTAATTGGCCCTGAGGAGTGTTTGGAAACATGGGAGGGCATTTTCGGTTGTCACAAATATAAGCGGGGGCGGGGGGTTCTAAAGGCTGTTTCCGGGGGGCAGATATGCTAACTACTTGTAATCCTGGAACGCTGAGGGCACCCCGATACACACGGCTTACCTGGTCACCAGCAGCAGGGGACCCTCTGTTGGTCTTGCTTTCCTAACCCCACCTCTTCTGGCCCTCCTTAGCCTCCTCCAGGCCTCCTCCTCCTCTGTCTATGCTTCATGTCTGGGTGTCCTCCTGAGCTCACTCAGGGTCCTCTTCTCTCGCTAGACACTTCCCAAGTGTGAGATGCCACCCCTGTCCCATGGACTGACCCCTGCCCCGCATGTTCCCCAGTCCAGGGGACTCTCCCATCCATAACTGCTTGCCTGATCCCTCCCCCTCCACATTCAACATTTCTCTCAGCTCCTTTCTCCAACCCTCCTGAAGTCCTCTCCTTGTATGATACGTGACTCTGCCACCGGCCTGTGTCCAGACAAGAACCTGGGGACCATCCTTGCCTTATTTCTCTCCCTCACCTCCCATATCTAACGAGGCCTCCGACTGTCTATTCAGCTTCTGTAACATCTTTAAATGCACCTGCCTTCCTCTGCCTCTCTTTCGCTACCTCAGTACAGACCCTCATGGTTTCTTCCCCGAATGCTTGTCTGTCTCCTTGCTCATCTCTCTACCCCAGCTACTGTTCTATTTTCCACACCAGGCTGACAGCAGGCTTCGATGATGCTGCTCCTCTAGAAAAGGCCTTGAGGGGATTCCCATAACCTTCAAGACAGCCCAGACAACTCTTTAGCATGGCACACCAGGCCACTGAACTGACATCTGTCTTCTCTTCACCCTCTACAAACCCTAAGCTCCCAGCTCCAGGCCACAGGCAGGTCTCACCTGCACCAGGCCTGGGTCCCCTTGCACTTTTGCATTTTCTGTCCCTGTGCTGGGACACTGACCTCTTACTCTCTTCCCAGCCCAATTCCTGCTTAGCTTCCAGGGCTCCATTTGAATGACTTCTGACTTCTAGGCAATTTCTTTTTGCAATCACCTGCCCTGTCACTTATCACCTTGTGGAGCAATCAGTCATCCACTAGCTGGATGAGGAATTTTATCACCCACTGGTCTGTGAACTCCTTGAGGGCAGGGACCAAGGCTTATTTATCTGGGCAACTGTAGCTAGGGACTGAAACAGAGAATGTTCATTGCTTGAATGCATGGCTCTCACTCATGACATTTTATTGAAATGCATTCACACTCATGTCAGGAACAATAATGATAATGAGAGCTGGCATGTCCTCCAACCAGGGGCCTGAGACACTCTCACCTGGGAATGGTTGCCACATCACTCACCAGGTTGCTCTGTCACTTCTTTTCTTTTTATTAAGAAAATTATTTTCAAAGTAATACAGGGTACAATTATTTAAAAAGTCAAATCAGACTGAGCATGGTGGCTCATGCCTGTAATCTCAGCACTTTGGAGGCCAATGTGGGAGGTTCACTTGAGGCTAGGAGTTCGAGGCTGCAGTGAGCTATGATCATGCCACTGCACTCTGCACTCCAGCCTGGGTGACAGAGCAAGACTTTGTCTCAAAAAAAAAAAAAAAAAAAAAAAAGAAAGAAAGAAAAAAAAGAAAAGTCATTCCACAAGGGAGGCTTATAACATGATGTAGCATCCCCAGCACACCTCTGATGCTAGCTACTTACAGACAAAATAGTTTAAACTATTTTAGCTGTTTCAATGAATAATTACCTCTCTATATTTAAATTACATGCTTACACTGTTAATTCTTGATTTTATTTGCTTTTAACTGTCTACTACAGAAGGTGAAAACTTAGCTTTCTTTCCCATTCATTTCTCCTTCCACCTTCCAATTTGCTTCTCTTTCAACATTTGGTTAAATCAAACTTCAGCGATGACATTACTATGATTTAGCTATCATTCATAGCCAAGTCATGTAGTGTCCTATAACTTCCATGCCTGCATTTCCTTTCTTATTCATCTTGTTTTCCCAGGAGTTAAACACTATTTTTTAATCTCCTGGTTAGTTTTTTATCTGTCTAGTGCAAATTCATTCCTAAAGTTCGTAGCAGAATAGAAAGTTCTTCTCAATAGGTTCAAACACATCAACTAATCAACTGCTTCCACTTTTTTTTTTTCTTGGAGATATCTCTGGCAGCCCTCTGTCCCCCAACTCAAGTCTGGGCATGTTTCTCTTGATGCCTGACACACGTAGTCATCCTGGGTCCTCCCTTCACTCTTTACCCCTTCTCTCCTGTGTCCATCTCCTGTTTCTTGGATCTCACAACTCCTTTTTCTTAATTTGGTCCTCGGTTCAGTGGAGCACTTGGTCTAGCACAGACTTCGGCAAACCGCCTTAAAGAGCCACAGAGTAAAGGAGAAAAAGGCAAAATAGAGGATATTGTATAGGTACTTAAATAACCATGTAAAGTGTAAATAACCATGTAAGGTGTACTTAAAAATGGAAACACAAAAACAGGTGGCAGGCCAGATTTGGCCTGGGGGCCTCAGTTGGCTGCCGCCTGAGTAAGCAGCTATCTCAGGAAGAGGACATGATAAAGTCATTTTTTGGTATCTAACATATCATACAATGACTTTATTCCAACCACACCCTTGATGGATGGTTTGCCTTGGTCTAGAGCTCTATGTTGGAAATCATTTGCCTTGAGAATTCAAAGGCAGGGCATCATTGTTGTCTAAAGTTCAGTGTTGCTATTTAGAAAACTAGTATACATTGGTAAGGGCCTGTTTTTTTTCTCTCTGGAAGCTTTTAAGATTTTTGCTTCGTGACTTAACTCCAGGAATGGCCACAAGACTTGGCTTTTTCACTGCCTTAGTCCCTCTAACACTCAGGAGGGCTTGTGGGGGTGGGTGGGGGCCCAAGGCAGTGGAAACGGAGAGCAGCATCTGGGCCTGAGATGGGCTAGGGAAGGGAAGACATCTCAGGTGAGGCAGAGAGCTGGGACCAGGGAGATGGGGAGGACAGGGTGAAGTCAGGAGGAGATATTAAGCTTCTGGAGTGTGGACAAGATGGGTAGGGCCCATGGGGGGCCCAGCTTTTCTGGAAGTTTTAGATTCTTTGAGCTTAAAAGAGGCTACCCTCCAGGTGGAGGGGCTCAAGAAAGCTGGGGCAGCCATGACGGGACTCAGTGACTCATGAGAGAATGGACTTGTCCTACAGCACTCCTGTCATGTGCCCCATGACTCCCTGAACCACTGACCAGCTGCTCTTGGCCCTCACCTGGCCTTGATTCCACCTGTGTGCTGTCTTAGCACCAACCTCCACCCTCTTCACATGCTGCTCAGACCTCAGCCACTCTCATTGAGTGATGACAATTTGGCAGAGCTACTTTTTACATAGTTTGTTTTTTAACAACAACACAACAGAAAACAAAACAAAACACTAAGAATGGGTGGAAACAGGCCTCCTCATCCATTCCCTGAGTCTCGGCACATCACTGACCTCCCTCCCAGGATGAGGAGAAATCCTGGGTAGAGGTGGTTGGTAGCAGCCCTTGTGCTTACCACGCTTGCTGGTCTTAGGATGAGCTATCCATCATTTTGGGCACAATGCTCCCTTTGTCCAACAATTTGCTCCTGTCTCAATCATTCTCCCTCTCTTATTCCCTGATCTCTCCTTTTAAAATCACAGTGGTCATAGTCACTCACTTGCAAATAATAAGAAAAGATGGCTCCTTCATAAAGGCACTAAATAAGGGAACTTTCCTGCTTTCAACTTGAAAACTAAGAAAGAGTGAATTTTTTTTTTTTTTTTTAATGAGGGGACTTTTCTGGAAGCGTGAAAAAGCATAGTCAACATAGAGTCATGAGTGACTTGATGGGGCTACGTTCTCAGAAATGCATTAGGGGATTTTGCCATTGGGTGAACATCATACGGTGTACTTATACAAACCTAGATGGTCAAGCCCACTACCACCTAGGCTATATGGTACAGCATTTTGCTCCTAGGCTACAAACTTGTACCGTATGTTACTGTACTGAATACTGTAGGCACCTGTAACACAATGGTATTTGTATATCTAAACATGTATAAGGTACAGTAAAAATGCAGTATAAAAGATAAAAAATGGTCTACTTCTCTAAGGCACTTAGCATGAATAGAGCTTGCAGGACTGGAAGTTGTTCCAGGTGAGTCAGTGAATGAGTGGAGAGTGAATGTGGAGGCCCAGGACATAACTGTACACTACTATAGACTTTATCAACACTGTACACCTAGGCTACATTAATCTTATAAAAAACATTTTTCTTTCTTCAGTGATAAATTACCCTTAGCTTACTGAAACTTTTTTACTTTATAAACTTTAAATTTTTAAAAACTTTTTGACTTTTGTTGTAACACTTAGCTTAAAACACAAGCACATTGTATAGCTGTACAAAAATTATTTTTTCCTTTATATCTTTATTCTATAAGCTTTTTTCTATTAATTTTTTTCTTTTACTTTTTAAACTTTTTTGTTAAAAACTAAGAAAAACACATACATTAGTCTCTGCCGACAAAGGGTCAAGATCGTCAAAACATCATCAGGTGCAAGGAATTTTTAGCTCCATTGTAAGCCTAGGGACTACTATCACGTCCAAAATATCATTATGCAGCACCTGACTGTATAATTTTATACCTGAAAAGGAGTAAGGATAAATCATTTTTCATAATATAAACCAAGAAAGTAAATAAAGATAGACAAAATCCTGGCTGATGGGGAATACCAACTATTAAGGGTGATTGGGGCTAATTTAAAACTGGGTTAAAAATTCTGTTAAATGTGAATCTAAATGGTGGGCACTTCCTTTTCTAGAAGCCTCCTGACTGGGCTACCTCTGCTTGGGAGGCTAGAGGGGAGTAAGGGATTCTGGGGCCACCGTATGATCTCTTATTTTTAGCTTCAAGATGCACAAGGAATCTTCAATTAAATTTCAGTCTAATTCCTTCAGAAATAGATTCACATTATATTTAATATCACACCACTCCTCAATAATAAATTTTTTTGGAACGATGGACTGACGGTGGTGGTGGCAGACCAATACCTCCTAAAAGCTAACAATCCCGTTACAACAGGCTTTTAAATGTCGTTGTATCCCCCTCTAATTTAAAAAGTAATAAAAACACAAAATTAGTATAGGTAAATGAAAATGTGGGAAGTGAATGTCACTCATATCTGGAATAGAGGTCAAGGACAGAGGAAGGGTTGCAGAGGGCATGTGGGTCAGAGCTGCCAAGTGGACCCCCTGCCAGCCAGCGAGCAGCAGCGACGCTGAGTTTCAAGAAAGCCAAGATGGCTGAGTCCACAGGCTCACCCACGGGTGCGTTTAGACTGGGATGCTGCAGTGTCCTTGGCCAGTCTGTAGGCCTCATATTTACAAGCTCTGACCCTGTTCATGGCATGGAGGCCCACAAAGGCTAGGCCAGGTGGGCTCAGAGCAGGAGGTGGTGATGGGGGTGGAGGCACCAGAGAAAGCAAGGGCTGAGGCTAGGGCAGGGGGTGAACAGGGCAGAAGGCTGGATCACCCCAGGCAGGGGGCTGGGCGGAGCCAGTGAGGGGGGCCACAGAGGACTGGAACACAGGGAATTGATGGAAGAGCAAATTTCAAGGGAGAGGACGGAGGGGCCTGGGACAAGCCTGCAGGAGGATGAGCTGGGGAACAGGCACTGCAGCTCACTTGGCTATTGTTTATAAAAGCAAATTACCAGCTGAAAGCTGCATGTACTCACTGAAGACAAATCTGGAAGACTACAAAGAAGACAATTAAAATTACCTATGCACTCATCACAGAGTGGTTTATTTTGCTCGAGCATTAACAAAAAATCTCAAGTGTTTACGTGTGTGACTGTGAGGGGAGATTTCTCCCCCTCTCCATATACAAAGGGGTAGATGTATAGGGGTGTGTGTGTGTGTGTGTGTATGCACATTTATGTATATACGTACATACAGAAAAACAGGGATCACAGATTATTGAGCCTTCTTTGACAATGTTATAATGTGAACATTTCCCTATATCATCAAATGTTCTTCAAATTAACTTTCCTTAACATCTGAATAATATCCCACTGTGTGGAAATGTCATTATGTATTTAATCATTCCATAAATATTTGACTGAATATTCAAGTTGTTTATTTAGGTTTGTTTCTGCCCCCGCCCTGGCCAGTTTTAAATAGCAAAAATCTGCCATTTACTTTGTGATTGGGATAATTTAATCTCTCTGCATCTGTTTCTTCATCTGTAAACTAGGAATGATAATACCTGCTTTATCCATGTCATGGTTTTGCTATGAGAACATGTGTGGAGGAGTTTTCACTGTTCTATGATTTCACAGTCTTTTAACTTCGAGTGACTCGGTGGCTGTCAAGGCCACCAGCAGAGTTGGGAAAAAGTGAGGGAAAGGTGATGGCCTGGAGTGGGTGTGTTGGGGTGTCTCCTAAACAGTGAGGAGGAGGGGTCCGGGGCCTTTAGAAGACAGGATTCTTGCTCAGGAAAGAAGACTGGGCTAGAGTACAACTTTGGGAGCCTTTAGCTTCCCAAAAGCTTACAGCTATTGTTATAAGAATGGATGGTCTTTTCTAATAAAGTATTTTGTCAGAAAAAAGCAAGGCAAGAGCTCCATCTTAAGGGACATAGTTAGGAAAAAGGTATTAATGAGGGATGCAGGAGGAGCAACTGAGAAGGTACAGAGAAACCAGGATTATACACAGAGAAGTTAGAAACAAAGAAAAATAGAGTCACAAAAATTCAGGTTTGATACCTACCAGATACTGCTGTGGGCTCTCTAAAAGTTGACCCTGTATAAATTTAGCTCTGCCTGCGTTGTTTGACTCAGCGAATTATGAAGTTAAATCCTAAAGGTAGAGAGACCAAACATGGATGAACAAACATGCCAGTTTCTTTACAATAAAAAAAAAAATCAATCTAAAGAAAGATAAAATGTAATTGGAGAACTAGTGGCCAATAAACTTTTCTTGAAGCTGGTAGCTATTTAAGCTCAAAGTAAATTAACCTTTGCAATTGTCACTGGGCATCTGTAAAACCTACCAAATGCCTCTCAAGTATTAAAAAAAAATGCATTAATCTTCTGAGGGCTTTGTGGAGGGCTCTTCTGACTAAGAAAGAGAAGTGGGCCTGACCCAAGGGAAGGAGGCCCCTGGGCAACGTGCTAGCGTGGGCCTGTGCTGGTCTGACCTGTGGCAAATGGGCCCAGGATGGAGAAACCTAAGAAAGGAAATGCAGGTGATGGGAGGGAGTGGCAAGAACACAGTAGAAGGTGTCAGAAGGAAAAACAGCAAAAGTCCTTTTGATATCTCAATACCTGGAATAGCTCCGATTCTTTTTTTTTTTTTTTTAATTACATGTTTTGGGGTAAACACAAAGAAGCCATGGGATCTGGCCTCCAGTTCTGGTTCTAACACTGCCTGACAGTGGAACAAAATGTTTTTAGCATCCCAGGTCAACATTTCAGAAACAGGACTCTCATTCTTTTTAAACCCTCCTCTCTCCCTAAATAAAGCTCTCACATCTTTTTCAAATTGCTTTTGGACCACCTTCTTGGAATAGTGCAGTCTTCTCTTAGGGCTCAATCTAATTTTCTTCCTTGTACTGTTTTCACATATTCTACCATGAGCTTGCACTTTTTTGGTCAGAAAATAATGTTACTGACAAGCAATAACTAAGCGACAATGCTTGAAACACAGACCTGAGTCATCCAGCTCTGAATGTCAAGTTCTTTTCACTATGTTGCACTCTCACCTTTTGAATTTTCTCTCCTCAAGTCCTGCTGGTCACCATGTCCTGGGGATTGTATATCTGAAATGATTCTAAATGCTGGGGTGAAAAAAAGGGCTTAGGACCCAGCTTAAGCACACTTTGAAAAAGGGTGTATTTGACTTTGGTATCTCTCTTAACTCTGCTTTTCAAACCTTCTTCTCTCCTCTCTCACCAGGCCCATGTGATCCAGAAGAAGCCCACGGCTGGAGCGTCCTTCTAGGGCCTTCTGCCTAGCAGTGGCTTTGTGCTAACTCTCCCATCTTCCCTCACAGATCGCCCTTTACCATCCCCTGATCTGGATCTGGAGTCAGCCAGTCCTTCCCCATTTTGTTTATAGGCTAATGCAGGGAATGTCTGCAGCTTAAAGCAGGCCTTTGTGGAGGCAGAATGCCCTCACCTAACAGAGGGAGCCTAAGGGTTAGGGTTCTGGGAACCGTGGGAGCTGTGTGGGGGATGCAAGACAGCCTGGTGGCATCCGTGAATCTAATTACGTAGTCTACCTGGTGCAAGAGAAGAGTCTCTGGAGTTAGACTGGCTTCATTTCTACTGACAAGCTGTGCAACCCTGAGCAGGTTACTTAACCTCTCTGTGTTTGGTTTTCTGTTCTATAAATTGGGGCTATTTATAGTACATAGCCCAGAAGGCTGGTATAAGGATCAACTACCATATAAACAATTAACCCAGTCCCGAATACATTGTAAGTGCTTAATTAATATAGGATAAATAAAAAGTAAAACATCATTATACTTTTATGTTCAGTAACAGCCCTCTGGGGCTGACCTTGGGCTGGCAAGGATCATGCCATCTTATTTCTCATCTTGTTTTGCTACAACTTCTTTTTTTTTTTTTGGAGTCAGAGTCTCTCTTTTGCCCAGGCTGGAGTGCAGTGGCACGATCTAGGCTCACTGCAACTTCTGCCTCCCGAGTTCAAGCAATTCTCCTGCCTCAGCCTCCCGAGTAGCTAGGATTGCAGGCATGCACCACCATGCCCAGCTAATTTTTGTATTTTTAGTAGAGATGGCTGGTCTTGAACTTCTGACCTCAGGTGATCCACCCGCCTCAGCCTCCCAAAGTGCTGGGATTACAGGCGTGAGCCACTGCACCCAGCTCACAATTTCTTAAACCCTGGTTTCTCTTATCCTGTAACCCCCAATCCCAGCCTTCCCACCCTCACTTTCTCAGTCTTATCCAAAGGAAACCAAGGAGCCATGACTCAATTGTGGCAGGAAAGAGCTGCCACAGAGGCCTGCTGGGCAGATGGCTCCCCTCACCTACCTCCCGTATTTGACTTCGTATTTGCCCACCTTCCCAGCATAACCCACAGGCTCCAAATCAGGAGTGTGGGATGTGTGTGCTCACTAGCAACAGCTCCTTCCAGAATCTCCTCCCTCATGTGAAACTGGATGCTTCTACTACAAAAATATAAACCAGGAGTCTCCATGAAGCTACGTATGGCTAACATGCTTCCTTTCATGGCCAGAATATTTTCCCAGAAAGCACATTTTACTTCTGAAACACAACCTAGAAGCCAGTGGCTGCCCCTGTGGTTTTTCAATAGTTTAAAGCAATATTGGACACCACCAAGTGTCTCCTTTTTTTCCCAGAGAACTGAGTTACAAAATACTGGTTTCTATTAGGGTGTGTCTAGCACTTTCTGTGCTGCCAAGCCTTCCATTTTTACAGTATGCACACTGGTAGATTTTCCATGAACAGGCTCAAATTTATTCCCAGGCAATGATGCTTAGGAAACCCAATATGAACGTGAAGATTGTTCTAAAGCAGACTCAGAATTTGTCCCATGCCATTGCCTAAAAAGAACATTTCTGATATGTAATAAAATAAAATTTTTCTAGCATACCTTTATATATATATATATATATATATGGGAAGGGGGAGGATATTTGCTCTCCTGATATGATTTTTTGGATTGGATTTTTAGAGGAAACTTGTCTTTTAAATTCTTCTTCTCTATCCTTTTATTTCTATATTTGTATAGAATACAGCCCAAACATCCACCTACATAGGCATTTTACATAAAGAGTTGGAAGCCAAGTGACTGAAAAACAAAACAAAGTTATTTATGTAGTGTCTTTATAGAGATTTACATGTGAATTCGAATGGGAGCCAAGGGTAATGCTGAAGGGAAATGAACCAGTTAGGGAACTATGCTAATAGAAAGTGTGACTAAAATTTAGCTTTGTTGACAAATAAAAAGGCAAGTGCTGTATTTTTTATGAGAAAAATAACATAGGAAATAGAGCTTTCCATGTATATATTCATATACACTCAGTCTTCACCTTAAGAAGCCTTCCCACTAGAATTCCAAATCACATTGCCCTATGCTCCAAATCCTGCACCAATTACTGCTGGTGCTGCCCAGTTTTACAGATCCAGTTTGAGGTGGGTTTTCTCTCCCCAATATGGCTACAAACCTCTGGAAGGCAGGAGCACATCTAAATGCATTTCTGTATACTATCACAGCACCTGGCACCACTCTGAACACAAAACAGCTGATCAGCCAGCATCTACTGGACTGTGTGGATTGAACAGTTGGATTCAGAGCTATGAGGTCTAGAATGGCCACTTTAATCTGGCAACCGAAACTGCCCCAAAGAGGTCTAGACAAAGTTTGCAGTTCAACAACTATCCCCTGAATTCTGCTGGTAGACAGGCCTGCCATCCCTAGTAAACAGTCCTAAAGATCTGTGGAGGCCACCTGTGGTGACCACTGCCATGTGCTGCACGGACTCCCCTTCAGGAACAAAGGACTTCCTCCACAAGTGGCTGGTAGTGCTACCTGCAGAAGCCCTCAGCTGGAGGGAACAGCCTCACTCAAGGTTATTCCTAGTTCCTTGAAATGACTTGCCTTTAATGACTGCTTATTTTGGGGGTGTAAAGGTATAAAGACCTGGCCTCTCACCCCAACTCAGAATAGTTCTGATGAGCCATTCTAGCTCCAGAGTTCCCATGGGCTCAACTGAGGCTGTTGGGTCTACATGGTAGCTCAGCTTCTCTGCCCAGTCCTGCTCCCTTCCCTTCCCCCTTTTTTCCCTTGCCTTCTACAGTTATTAATTCCAAGAGAAGTCCCAAATAAACCTTGTACATGCTGCTGACCTCCATCTCACAGTCTGCTTCCTAGCAAACCAACCCACAACACCATCCATTCATCCATCCATCCATCCGCCCACCCACCCACCTACCTATTCAGCCAGCAACCTGCCACTATGCTTAGGGGACATGGGTGGCATGGGCTGATACAGATGAAAAAGACCCAGTCCTTGTCCTTAGGAAGCTAACTAACAGTCCAGCACAGGAATAACCATAAAGTATGCAATAGGAAGGGCTGGTGTCAAGGGATATGTGGTTGTGGATATGATGCCAGGTAAGGGAGGTGAGGAGTCTTCATGCACTGGCTTAGGCTGTGGTCATCAGTAGACATACCCTGTCTCCTCATCCAATGTCAAGTCCTGGAGGACAGGGTGAACTGTGTCCTTATCTCTCTTTGCATTTCCCATAATTCCTAACACAGAGTCCCAGACAGTACAGAAATCTTAAAACACTAAAACAAAACAAAACACTGAGGGAAAGCCTTGGCATCCTGTCTACTTTATAGGACAGGTTTCTGGCTGCTGGTCTGGCCTTTTAGGGCAAAGTTCTTAGGAGGTTCCTCAAGATGCTCATTCACTTACTATGTCCATAAAATCCCAGGAACATGAAGAAGCACAAGACAAGGTCCTGACTCCGAAAGCAGCTACAGCTTACTCTGTGGATGAGGCAGAGATCCGTGCAAATTTCAACAAACAGGAACAAGAAATGGGAATATGACTAATAACCAAATGGCACATCATTCCCAGGCTGTCCTTGCCCTTAGCAGGCCAGCCCATTTATCTTCAATCTGTCAGTAGACAAAGATTACTAAACAGCCTCTGCAAGGAACCTAGCAATGAGAATCAACAAACCCTCAAACCTCACAGTGCCTCAAAACTAATGCACCTGAGAAACTTAATGTCAAAGGGGAAAAGAATCTTTACCCCAAACACCACTGCTAAGTGCCTGAAGGAAGAGGCAGCGTCTGTGGGGTGGGGGAGCCTGTCTCCTGCATTTCCCTGCCTCCAGAGAACGTTACCCAACACAACATGTCACTGTCTCCTTCAACTCTCCCTCTCCTTTCACTGCTTTTGTACAATCTGTCACCAACTTCTGTTGTTGATTTCTCTGAAATGCCATTTGCACCCTCCCTCTTCCATCTTGCCTTAGTGCCACTACCTTCTCTGATGTTGTGGCCATACCCTGGGAGTTGAGGTGCCAAGTCCAGGCAAATCTTGCATCTCTCCATCTCTGCCAGATGTACATTCTGAAAACTCAGCTTTCATTTGGTCACATCTCTGCTCAAGAATCATGGGGGCTCCAGAAGCCCTGCCAAGACCAACTTACTCCCTGTACTCGCTTAGCTTTATCTCCCAGAACTCCCCAGTATGCGCCCTCTACTCTAGCTGCCTTCCTGTTTATTTGTGTCTTTTCTCAAGCTGTATGACTTCTGGAATGTCTTTCCCTTTCACCTGCCACCTCCTCAACAGGATCCTATTGAATCCTATCCATTCCTTCAGTTGGTTCATGTGGACCAAGCTAAGCATGTAGGGGAGGAGAGGGAGAGGAAGGGCAGAGTTAGGGGCCTGGTGTTTTCCCAGTCCTGTTTTTCTCTTGTGGTTCCCCTACCACATTCTGACTCCATCACATGGAAATGCTTTTCTGCAGCACCGACCCAGGCACAAGGGCACCATCAGCTTGATTGCCCTGGACCATCTATTTGTGGGAGGAAGGAGCTTATCTGCCCTCAGCTGGGTAGGCTGTCTTGATCTTCCAAGCCAGAAAGGGGAAAAAACTGACGTCGCTGTTTACTCTCCTGTTGCTTCTTAGGAAAGACTTAACCACTCCCAAGTGAATACACCAAGCTCTAGGATTTCTGAGAGATGGATGGTGGGTTTGCCAAAGGAAAGAGTGCCAAGTTGGGTCTCTGGAAAGAATCCAGTGTTCCATAAACCTTGCCTCTTCCCTAATCATAGAAAGATCCATAAAATGACAGAAAGGCAGAGGAGAATGCAGGCAGCACAATGACATAGAAGCATCATTCTGTGCTTCCTGAAAAACAGAAAATGCAGATGGAGACAAATTTCATCCTCCGCCCCACCCTCCACTGCAGCGTGTTGCTCTATGAGAGATCTGCTCTGCACGCACAAAGTGGGGGGAACTTTGGAAGAGTCTCTTGAAAGTAGTACAGTAAAAAGTGAGTTGTCTTTGTCCTCTGCCAATAGGTGACTAGAAAGGTGACCATGATGGTTCCTGCCACCTTGAAGGGAAAAGGTTTACCAATGGAATGTGGGAGGTGGAGGGCAGGGGATTGCCTCCTCTTCTTCCACTTGAAGCACCATGAAAGAAGAAACGCTTTCATCTCCACATTAGCAGGTGGACTGAGTAAGGGGTTCTGTTTTTTTTATAACTTTCCCTAGAGGCATAGGAGAAGCTGGTGAAAGCAGCAGGTTGGAATATCCCCATCTTCATGCCTTGTGCTGGAAGATGGATGAAGATGAGAAGAGGTAAACTAAAAAGACCTCCTCAAGCACACACACACACACACACACACACACACACACACACACACGTGCACACACCAGAGATAATGAACAAGAGACTGAAAAGGAGAAAATTCAAAACAAATCTCTTTAGGCAGTTATATTAATGTGATAATAACAGCAGCAACATTAATTGTTTTAAACATGCATTTATATTTTAAAACACTAGAGTTCATTATTTAGCAGTATTCTTACAACAAATAATCCAATCAGGTAATAATCAAAATAACAGCTACCATTTACTAAATGATTACCAGGAACACCTCTCGTGTTATTATACTGAATCTTCATAAACCCCTGTGGTACTACTGTTATCCTCATTTTACAGAGTGGGAAACTGAGGTTGGAGATGTTAAATAACTTGCCCATGAGGTGCAGACTGAAACTCAGGTCTGTTCAATTCCAGAGTCCAGCCTTTTACACTTACAATGTCCATCTTATGGCAGGGCTTTTTCATAAATTCAGGAAATGGAAAGGCATGGATGAGGAAGCAGCCCTTATGTCTCAACTCCCTGTGAGGCAGGTACACACACACATATAAGTACTCCAAGAGGTCCCACTCACTCTGCTGTACTTCTCAGTTACACCCATTCAGCTTTCATAGATACAGGTCCATGGATGAATGTCAAGTTTCTTGTAGAGACAAAGGTCAATCTCTAAGGAGAACACACCTGTTATCTAACCTGTATCTGAATCTGCAACAACGGTTTCCATTTGACAGGATGCAGCCCTAGCAAGGTGGTGAATTAACATCCAGCTTTGAAGCACTGTCATACAGGAGAATACTTTAAGATGGAATATAATGCGTGAGACTGACTGCCATTTAGCAGAATGGCTTGTGACATTAAAATACATGTTCAACGTGTGAGATTCAAGCACACGCAGAAAGAAGAAACAACTGCAGAAAACAGTAAGGTGCAAACAAATAGTGACAGCTCACGAGAGCTGTCTGCCCTGTTCTTCATGGGGCCCATCTGACCTTAGTGATGTTTGCTGTCAGCTACGCAGAGGCCTTCTGACACAAACTGACCGTGAATACAACAGGGATATTAAACACTGGGTCAGGCTGGAGAGAGAAAACAACAGGGTGCAGCAGAATTCTTTTCCTTCCCTTTCACCCAAGTACCAGGGATTCTGAAGATTCTCCTCCCTGCCCCCGGCTTCTCTTCCTTCCTCTTTCTCTAAGCCTCCTTATCCTCCTCCCGCTTCTCCCTCAACCCCTTAACTTCAACCAGAAGAAGAGATAGAGGGTTGGGCAGGGGAGCACAGAGAATGTTGTTCTTAGGATTTTGAGAGAGTTAAGCGTCAGGGTCAATGTCCCCTTCCCGCTTGCGCTCTCGAAATAGATACACACAAAACATCTACTGGAACTTTTAAATGATGAGAGGAGATCCACAAGTCACCTGTGAAGCAAAATCTCAGCACTTTATAGTCACAGAAACATACAGGCATGCAAAGGGCTCATGTTTATGAATTATATCATACCTAGGCAAAGCAGGTGGCACTTGCACACACACAGGAATCCTTAAATACACGCATCTTGGCATTTCCTTTCCGCCAGCCTTGGCCCTTCCCACCCACCCAAAGGTGCGGGCCACAGCCACCCTCTGTGGGGTCTGATGCAGGGTGAAGGGCGTCACTGGGTCCTGGCTACTCCCTGGCTGTGAGAAGTGGGCAAGCCCTTTACTCTATGGGAATCTCTGTAAAATGAAAATAACTGCCTGGCCAGGGGCTGTGAGGATGAAAGGGTATTAATAATATACGCAGGGCACTGTCCTGCTTGGTTCCCGAACCTCTCTTTCCTACACCCACGGCTGGACTGATGGTGCCTTCTGTTACTTGGTCCCCACCGTCAGTACTCTAGTGTGACACTGGGAAGAGTGGGGGCTTAGCCAGGGCCGCGGTCTGTACAGGAGGGTCCCAGCCCGCAGGTCACGGGTCTGCAGGCCCACAGCTAACCTTCAGAGCTGCACAAGCGCCGGGAGCTGTGGGCACGTGAGGAGGGCGAGCGGGTCCTAGGTGCGTAGACCCGTGGGTGGGGGGCGGAGCGGACCGGTGGAGGTGGGCAGAGACCGGCGGCAAGTCGACCCACGGCTGTGGGTGGCTTCCTCCTGTTGCTCAGTATCAGGGAGAGGCGGGGGAGGACATTCATTTTTTTTCTTCCCTAAGTAAGCATCCACCTATTGCTTTAATAACTATCGATTGTGAAAAGCCGGCGGGGCCTCTTAAAGGCGAAGTCGGGAGGCGCGCGCCCCTGCGTCTGTGTTCGGGGACCAGTCCGCGGGGACCTTCTGGACCTTCTCCGCCGGCTGCGCGGCAGCGATGGACCCTGTGCATGGGCTCTCCTAGCAGCCTCGGGAACCGCGGCCGCAAGCTGTGGTTTGACCCCTGCCCCAACCACTCGCGAGGCCTTTTCTGTTCAGAGCCCCCAGTCACGTTCTTGGACCCAGTCACCTGCGCCGCAGCGCAGTCCCGGCGCCCCAGGTTCGAGGACCCGGCCCGCGCTCGGAAAGTTATTTCAAAAGGCAGATGTGTTGCAACCCTCTCTGCAGCAAACTACAGTACGCGGATTCCCGAACCCTTCCCCGCCCCCACCCAGCCCGGGCGACCAGAGCCCGCCGCGGGAGACTGGCAGCAAGGAGAGCCACCCCTAAATGCACCTTCCCTCCCTCCCGCGCGCCCAAGTGCAATGGGGTTGGGGGAAGCCCCAAAGCAAACTCACGACGCGGAGCAATCCCCAGTCTTGGCCTGGAAGGGGTCGGGCTGCTGAGGATCGGCTTCCCGATTTCATGCCCCAGCCTCCCGTCCTCCCCAGCCCCAGCCCACCCGCCTGGGCCGTCGCGGCCCCTAGGTACCTGCGGCGGTCACGGGCTCGCCCTCGCTCTGCTCCCCGGAATCCGAATCCATGCTGCGGGCTGCTGGCTGGGCGTCCACGGCCACCCGCCCGTCTGCGGGGCGCTCGGGCAGCCGCGGCGCACTCAGGGCGGACAGCGGGGCGGCTGGAGCCCGGGCGGCGCGGGCGGCGCGGGCTGGGCGGTGCGCGGCGGCAGCGGCCAGGGGGCGGCTCCGCAGAGGCGAGCGCCGCCGCGCCCCGCTCCCCGCGCCCGCCGGCCGGTGCCTGCGCGCGAGGCGAGCGCAGGGCGGAGGGTGGGGCGCTCCGGGAGACAGCCGGGAGGAGGGAGGGGAGGCGCGAGCGCCGAGGAGCCCGAGCGTCCGGCGCCCGGCGGGCTCCAGGCTGGGGTTAAATATCCCGGGGGCGGCGCCGCGCCTCCCTACCCGCGCCCTGCGTCGGAGCCCTTGGACTTGCCTCGCGCGGCGAGGTTGTGCTGGTCTGCAAGGCCGAGCCCCTTCCCTAGGGTGAGGCCAAGTTTGTAAAATTACTAGGTGAAAAAGAGCTTCAACTCGCGCAGGAAAGGAGAGGTTCCGAGTGTTCCGACTTATGGGGTTGCCAGGGTTCGAGTCCAACTCCTCCGCTCAGAGACCTTGGACGAGACCTGTGTTTGTTTTCTCACTAGGAAGATGAGGGAAGGGGGGCGGGGAATAAGGGAAGGGGAGCGGGGAATAAGGGAAGGGAGCGGGGAATAAGGGAAGGGGGCGGGGTGGGGGGAGATGACAGTTGGACTGTTGTGGAAAGTAGTAAGACAAGGCGTGTGCGGGACCGAGCGCTGGGCCTGGCACCTAGTGACGAAGTAAACACACAGGCAGGTAATGCTAACTCCGGCTGTTTGAGTCTTCTGCCAGCGAGGGCAGGGCAGGTGGGGCAAGCGGTGGTGAAGCGGGTTCCGGGGGCTCGGTGAGTCTGAACACTGGCTCGCCTGGAAGGTTGGAGCCACCCTGCCAATCAAGCAGCCGTGCTATTTCGCGCCCTCGACTAGAGGGGCCAGAATTAATTTTAAAAGCTTTTCTTTGTTGATGGGATTAAACACAGAGTGCTAAACTTCCGTAACACCATCCTTTATGAAAGGAAAAAAAAAAGCATTTGTAAACCTATTTACTAATTAAGAGCCCAAACGAGGGGGGAAATGCACGGAGCACCGAGGCCTTTTTTGTTGTTGTTAATTCTTGGTTATCTATATGCTCTTATTGCCTCCCTATTATAGGCTCCTACACTCACAAAGCCTCAAGCTGGGTTCTCTGCTTGTAAAGTCTGCCCAGAGAATGCAAATTATTGGCCAGAGCAAAAGAAAATCAAGAAGAAAAAGTCTGCTAAAAAGCGCCACTTACTGAACATTTCCCTTTGTGTCCTCATCTAATCTGTACAATGACCCAGTGAAGAATTTAGGTTGCACCATTTGAAAATACTTTTTGGAAGTAGAATATGGTTGAAAGTTGGCAAGTTCATAGAATTCAACTTATTTTCATTCCCATTTTACAGATGGGAAAAGTCTCAGAGACAGCAGATGATGTCCCTGTGGTCTCAGGTCGTCCAGTAGGTGGGTGAACTGGGACTTGAAATCAGGTCTGATGTCCAGATCTGCTCCTGACTGCTATGGTACAGTGTCATAAGTGAGTTTTGGCTTCTGGTCTACCTGAAGGCTGCCGTCTTTAGTGAAGTGTGGGCTTAACAGAGTGCAAATACCACTCTACTTTGTGTTTTCAGAAAACAAAGGATGGCCAAGCTCATGGACTCTAGTGATACAAGTTGGATGGATATTGATGAAATGGTCAAAAGAGCCCCACAGTGGATGTGTTATCTTGGGCAAATGGCTAAACCTCTCTCGGTTTCCTCAAGTGTTGGTGTCTCCTTCATAGGGTGTTTGTAAATAAATGAAATAATGAGTATGAAAGCTATTACCCAATGCCTGGCACACAGTGAATGTTTGATAACTGGAAAGAACACTAATTTTTAGATTGAATGGATCCCATTTAGAAAAACAAAATATTTTAGAGTTGCATTTTTTAATGAAAAGAAAAAAGTGGGGGCCGGGCACGGTGGCTCACGCCTGTAATCCCAGCACTTTGGGAAACTGAGGCGGGTGGATCACCTGAGGTCGGGAGTTTGAGACCAGCCTGACCAACATGGAGAAACTCTGTCTCGACTAAAAACACAAAATTAGCCAGGTGTGGTGGTGCATGCCTGTAATCACTGCTACTCGGGAGGCTGAGGCAGGAGAATCGCTTGAACCCAGGAGGCGGAAGTTGCAGTGAGCCGAGATCGTGCCATTGCACTCCAGCCTGGGCAACAAGAGCAACACGCTGTCTCAAAAAAAAAAAAAAAAAAAAAGAAAGAAAGAAAAAAGTAATGGCAAAATTTGGATACAAGATGATACTCGAAAAACAAATAGCTGGGATCATTTAAAAAGTTTGCCATAATAGCTTTTCAGTTATAAGGTAAAACAACAATGATAGCTTCACAGAACAGAGCATATGGGATTCAAAAGGCATTCAGCTTCCTCTAAAGGTTGTGCCTAGATTCAATAACAGGAAATGTGAAACTTTCCCTGTTTCCTTAGACCTCCTTTCCTTGCACTTCATGGAAGCTTTTTTGGTTTTGCTTTTGTTTTAATGGACAGGTAGCCTGGGTTGCAGTGTGAGGGAGACAGACCACAGAGACATGTATGAATAACAGCAAAAAGGAAACAGAGAAGCTACTGGAATTTGATCAACAGTAAACAATGTACTGAGAACACACATTTACAACACATGTATGCTCATCAGTCGTCAGGTCTTCATTAAGTATCTAGCACATTTTGACCCAGAGATAAATGCTTTGGGCATGGGGGGGAGAGAAAGAACTGGTCAAGGTATCCTGAAAAGTCTTTGAGTGAAGTTCTTAGATAATGCCTATTCATTTACCTGCTCCTATATTCATTCATAGTATATTTCTGCTAAACGAGGCAGACATAGAATGAAAAATTGAATTGAATGTGGAATTAGACAATGGGGAAGAGAGATCCAAACTAAACAAGGTCTCGATTCCAATTTCCTATGATGTACAATCTGTTGTCATGGGACAGCAAGACAAAGGGAAATGACTACTGGCATGCGTGTGAGTTTAATGAGGAACATTAGTGGAACATACCTTATCTCTCCTCCCAGTATGGAAAAATCTGTGTAAGAGAAGGAAGTCCTTAAAATAGTATCCTATGACCATCAACCCCACTAAAACAGTGAAATCTGAGGTGGTGAATCTCCTTTTACAAACCAGTTCTGATATATTTCTTGTGGGGGGGGAAAAACTCTTAAGAAAGAGAAAAAGGGAAAGGGTTTCTGTAGTTCCTCTGTATATTTTTAGAAAAATGGCATCACTTTGCAGACTTGAATCTAGAGTCTGAGGGTTATAAGCCACCTTCCTCAGTGTTTCCACTACATCTTTTCAGCCTGGCAGCTCTTCAGATATACGAGTTTCTACCACTCATTGGTCATTTCTTAACTAGAGTGAACAAAATTGTTGGCTTTTTAAGGAAATTGCCTGTCTGGTGGGTAAAGCGTATCTATTTGTAAGGTGTCAAGAAACAGATAATAAAATAGATCCATTTCTGCTAACACAATAATACTCCTTTAATCTGAGCCAGTGCTATGACTCATCTGCCTGTCTCCTCTTGTGGGATGGAAAGGGAGCTGTCTGCAAACCTTCAGCAGTGGGAGGAGGGAAGGAGATACTTTTCACACGCTAGGACTGCTGCTCTGCTTTGAAAACCCACCAGCTCTAGAACCGCTGTTTTCTGTAGGCTGAAGTGGCCTTTGGTCCTTAGAGGTGAAAGGTTGGCCCTATTTTTAATCATTTGTCTCAAGGTAGACTTTGGTCCCAAGGAAGCTTCTACCCAGAGCTGAGGGGGCCTCCATGGGACTGTAGGTAAGCTGGAGAGCAGGGTCCAAGCTAGCTTGATATCCATCTAACAGAACATGGTGCTAGAAGACAGCCTTGAGAAAGGGAGCTTTCCTATTTCTTTCTTGCCAGTAAAAATAAGCTTTTATTTGTCTCCCCTCTTATTTAAAAAGTAATGCAGATTACTAGAAAAATTGGAAAATACATATAAACAAAAAAGAATATAAATTAATTCGTAATTTTACTAATTGCAGTCACGGTTAACATATCTTTTGAGAAGTTTCCTTCTGTGTGTGTACAGTATTCTGCTTTTGTAAATTGCTTTTTCCTTTTAACAATATGTTGTGAACATCATTTCATCTACTCTTTGATAACATGATTTTTAATAGCTGTACAATATTCTACTGGATGAGTATACCATATGTATTTAAACAATCCTCTATTGTTGAGCAGTTAGGTTGTTTCCAATTTTCTGCTATAATAGCATCAATCAATATCCTCGTGTCTAAATCTTTGCACACATCATTAATCAATGCCTGTGAACTTTCAGCCTCCTTCGTTTTCCTTGGGAGAGAGAAACAAGAAAGAAAATTGCAACTAACAAAATAATTGCTGTATATATCCCAAGACTTTAAGGTTATCAAGAATTTTCATGGGTATAATCTCCACTAGGCAGCAGGTGGGTTATTTGAGTTCATTCTTGCATTTGTCCAGCATCAGTTGAGCCCAGAGGAGGTTTAGGAGAAGAATGCAAAGTTTCCTTCCACACTTTCTTTGTGGGCAGTGTGTCCTCTGCACAGCCCCATCCAAGTCCAGACCCCTTGTAGGAGGCAGAGGGTGGATGAGGCTGGCAACTTTGGCATCCAGCTGTTCTCCTGGGTTCTTAGCTTCTGCTTCCTGAGCTGCCAGCAGGATAGCTTTCTTGGTGGTTAATGCAATTATAGTGACTCAAAAGCACTGATACAAAGGGAGAGGGAAATTGAGAAGGAGAAAGGGAGAAGAGAAAGAGAGAGAGAGAAGAAAACTCTATGGGCCCAACCTCTGTTGTGCCCTAGCCCAACCCTATGGGGTTATTTATAAGCCCTTTAAATAGCAGCACCAGGATCTTAGGTTCACTGAGAGCCTCCCTGATCACACATGGTGTGTGATCTCACTTGTGGCATTCATTTTGGCTATGGGATGTGACTCCACTGCTGCATGAGAGCTGTTCTTACAAGCATCTACACAGCTTGTATGTGGGTACCCTAAGTGACTGTTGAGCTCTGCCCAGTGCCTTCCCATATTCCTGGATCCTTACACAGCTTTGTGGCATAGAAAAGGTCAGTATTATTCCCACAGGAGAGAAGACGGAATCAAGACCCATGAGGTTTCAGCGGCAACTAGAGTCTTTGTGGTTTTCAGGATGATAGGAAAGTACCCAAAGACTGGGTGGGGCAATGTTACCCCAGTTCTCAAAGGGAAGAAAGGAGTTGATTCCGGAAATAACCAATTGATGAGTTTTTTGTTGCTGTCTAGCAAAAATCTGAAACAAACAGGTTTATAAATGGTTAAAGAAGAGAATGGTGATCACCAGCAGCCAACATGGGTTCCTTACCATGTCCTGCTAAAATAACCATGTTAACTTTCTTTAAACAGAGTCATGAAGTATATAAATCAAGATAATTTTATTTGACTTGGGATGTATCAAGTATTTGTTGAGTATCCTCTGTGTTTCAGGTGCAAAATGAAGGGAAGTGACTGTCACAGATACCATATGTTGTGATTTAAGTTTTGAGGAGGTCTTACACAGTTTCCTTGCTGCTAGGTGGATCTGGAGTAGGTTGAACAATCCTACCCAGTGAGCTTTGATTCATGGCTTTGAGTTACCTAGGAAGGAGGTATCCAGTGGAGTGACACAGAGCTCTGCCCTTGGCTCTAGTTTATTCTACTTATTTTTTTTTTTTAAAGACAACAACAAGAGTAGTGATTTAGAGAAAGAATTTGATGCTTGTGCTTATCAATGGTATAGATTACCATACTAACACAGGTAAGAGAAGACAAAATCATATGGGAAAGACATGTGGGTCTTAGTTGTCCATAAGAGCAACATGAGTCAACAGTGGGATAATAGCTGTATTGCTACAATAAGGGCAGGAATAGTTCTTCTGTATTGGAGCTAGTCTTACAGACACCTGGGGTCTTATGAACATCTGGTGCCACATTTTAAGAAGACATATCAGGGATCTCCCCAAGGTGGGGGAATCAAGATGATGAAAGAGGTTTGGAAACCATTCTGTATGAGAAAGTTTGAATGTCAGGCTGGAGAAGGAAAAAAAACAAACAAACAAGGCATGACTGGATGGATGTCCTTAAATGTGTAGAGACTTAGATTCTAGGCTGATGTGGGACTAATGGATAAAAGTTATAAGAAGGGAGAATTTGGATCTTGTGCCAGTCCTGGCCTGCCTGTCCTTGCCCTTTCCATCCTCTGTATGGAAAAGGGGCTGACCCCTACAGGCTGCATTTGCCGGGCCCCTGTACTAGCTGTTTTCTAGCTGGATACAGCCAGTGGGAGGCACTGGCAGAAGATGGGCAGGTCAGGGAAGGAATATTCTCCCCTATCCTCTATCCCTTAATCTTGGCACCTTTGACAATTGCTATATCTCCTCTGTGACTCCAGCTCCTACCAAATGGACCTGCTGTGGTTCCAGCTTTCATGAGGTGACCCCAACCCCTTGGCTCCAGTAACAGCACCTCCTCCCTTTCGTCCTTCAGCCCAGGGTGGCAGTGACTTCCTGCTGCTGCTAATGCCTAGATTACCTCACTATCCTCTGTTTGGCTTCTCAGACCTGTGTAGCCAGTTACCTGCATTGCATGATCTCCTTTGAAAATATGTAAAATAGTGCGGGGCGTGGTGGCTCACGCCTGTAATCCCAGCAGTTTCGGAGGCCAAGACAGGCGGATCACCTGAGGTCAAGAGTTCGAGACCAGCCTGATCAACATGAAGAAACCCTGTCTCTACTAAAAATACAAAATTAGCCCAGCGTGGTGGTGCATGCCTATAATCCCAGCTACTCGGGAGGCTGAGGCAGGAGAATCATTTGAACCCGGGAGGTTGAGGTTGCAGTTAGCTGAGATCCCGCCATTGCCCTCCAGCCTGGGCAACAAGAGCAAAACTCTGTCTCAAACAAAAAAAAAAAAGAAAGAAAGAAAGACAGAAAATATGTAGGCTGGGCGCCGTGGCTGAAGCCTGTAATCCCAGCACTTTGGGAGGCCAAGGTGGGCGGATCATGAGGTCAGGAGATCGAGACCATCCTGGCTAACACAGTGAAACCCCATCTCTACTGAAGATACAAAAAATTAGCGAGGCGTGATGGCGGGCGCCTGTAGTCCCAGCTACTCGGGAGGCTGAGGCAAGAGAATGGCGTGAACCTGGGAGGTGGAGCTTGCAGTGAGCTGAGATTGCGCCACTGCACTCCAGCCTGGGCGACAGAGCAAGACTCTGTCTCAAAAAAAAAAAAAAAAAAAGAAAAGAAAAAGAAAAGAAAATAAGTAAAATATTTTCCTAGTTAGACCTCATTGATACAGACATGTACCAGTGGTACAGGAATAAGAAAGTGTTTTTTAATGATTACAACTAGATGACCATGGGTAGGGGTATTGTGGGAGGCTGGAGTCCACGACTTTTTGGATTCCTTTGGAAACTGAGACATGGAAAGGAAATGATGTGTCCAAGTCCTGGGAGTGGCAGAGCTGAGACTAGAACTCAAGGCTCCTATTCCCCAGACAGGCATGCTTTCATCTGATGCTGACTCTCCTCCTGCGCATGTCTTTAAAAGTATCCTCTCGTGGTTTATGTTAATCATCCTTCTGATCTATGGAAGGGAAAATTGAGTCTCCTAAATTTGTTTTTTTCTTTTAATTCTCTCATGTTTATGTGACAACCCAGTTCAATAATGCTTACTCACTAATTATTTTACAGAACAAATATCGCTCGCCAAGTGTTGAGTGGAACCTTTTGTTCCTCCCTTCAAAGCATTTTCTACTTAGAAAAGCTAAATACATGTTCCAATCTGGAAGGTTCCATTTATGTAAGTCTCTGATTTCATAACATCTACACCCAGTCGAGGGCTGTAGAAGGGGGAAGAAATGTTCAAGGTCACCTGGTCTAACCCCATCACTTTAGATATGAAGAAATAAATCTAGAAAGGTGAAGTGGTTTGCCCAGAGTTAAGAACAAATGGGACCAGAACCCATGTCTCTGGCCCTATTTCAGGATTTCCCATCATATTACCATGCTCCTTTATAGCCCTTCTACTCCAGCCCAGGACAGCAGTGACTTCCTGCTACTTCCTTTACTACATCCAGTTTTCATTTGGTTTCCACCCTCACTTCCCAAATCTCTCTCCCCATTACTGATCTTTCCTCTCCTTTTACCTCCTGTACACCAGTGTTCTACTAGACCATATACATCTGGAGTGGAATTAACAAAAGCAGGACTTGACCAATGCCTCTTTTCAATTTCTTTATCTTATCAAAGACTCTCTCCCCTCTCCTCCCCTTCTCTTCCCTCAGCTTCCCTCCATCTCCTCCCCTTTCCCTTCCCTTTTCTTCTTTTCTGGGTCTTCAAACTTTCCATTCCTCTCTTCTATCTATCCAACATTTTCTTTCCCGCCAAGTCTTCTCTTGGCATTGTCCTTAAACGGATCCCTCCCTTCGGTGTTCAAAGCAATCTGCCTGGTTGAAGCTATCAACCCTTCTAAAAGAGGAATCTTCCATGCCTGGTTGCCATAAGCCTTTGCTCATTCTCTGAGGAGGCATAAGTTAATGTTATCCCTTAGTAAGACACCTGGGCCTCTCTCCATTACTTCTCTGGCCTCTTGACTGTGCCTGTGGGCATCTTAACACCTCAAACATTATTGCAGAGAAGGGAATTCCTTCCATGGCCAAGGATATCAACTTTATTTCATTTCAAATCATTAACAGACATCATCCCATGAGAGTTTCCAGTGTTTTAACAACTTTCTCCTTTGACTGTCACTATCAATCTTAGCTAGTTTTTAGATCTTGCCAAATTTGTGTTATCTAGACATTCATGAGTGGTTAGATTTATTGAAGCTCTTTCAGGATAACATTACAGCATAATGTTTGAGTCACAGTGACCTCATTCAAGTGGACTGGTTCTCCTCTGAAACAGACACATTGACACCATATTTCCAGTTAGTTGTACTGTGAACTGTGGTCTTCTATCCTTCCAAACTCCGTGTTACTTTCTTCTAATGTATATTTTGTCTCAGTCACATAGTTGTCGAAAACCCAGGAACTCGGTTCATCCTCCACATTCCTGTAACTCATACTTTAACTTCTCTTGATGAAATTCGTAAGTCCAAGGATCAAATATTTGGGTTCTGTCCTAGGAAACAAGCATGTGGGACATGTGCCTACTTCCTTAGTATAGGTGATATTGCTGCAAGAGTTAAGAGGAATGAGAGTTACTGGCAGGAAAGAGGAGAGCCTCTGAAACCAGGAATCACTTCCCAACGTGCTCTCCTCCGCTAGTGCAGAGTGGAGGGTGAGGTCAGTGCAACCATTCTCACCTCAATCACGTCTTTCCAACAATCACATCTCCATTGTACTGAAGGTGCCAGCAGCCTCCCAGTTCCCCAGGCTCATAGTCTCCAAATTAGTGCCCTTATTTCTGTCTTCCTTGCTTCCATGCTGCCATCCAAAGTCCTATCAACATCTGATGCTATTTCTACCATGAGTCTCTTGATTTTACCCTTTCCTTTCCATCTCCACGGGCTCCCTCCTCCCAGCTCTTTCCTGTGTCTTGATTGCTGCAACAGGACTCTCTTGGCTGTCTCCCCTTATCCAGCCTTGCCCAAATCCAGCTACACCCAAGCCAGAGTTCGAGCTTTCTCAGCCATCCTAAAGCCGGCCTCTTTACTATCCTGCTATGCTCCCCACTCACAGGAGAGTCCTGAATATACACCAAAACAAAGAACTACCCAGAGTCCACGCAGCAAGGAGTTTGTCATACCCAGCCATGTCCTGCATCTGCGCCATGTCAGTCTGTTTCTGCTCTCTGCCCTGCTCCTGCGTGTCTTTCCCCTGGCTCTCTGTCTGCTGCAGCCTCGTCCCTGATGAGTGCACTCCTGGCCCCTCCTTCCCCCAGCTTAAGGCTGTCTCCTCCCTGCCAGTGGATGCTTTGCTGTGATGGCTGGAGGTTTTGGCTCTCTGACCTGGCCTTGGGCCCTTCTCTCTGAATTATCCTCATGGGACCTTCTGGCCAGCGTGCCCTTGTGTTCCTGGAACCCACATCCTCTTAGCTTTGCCTCTAAGTGAATCAATGTTGAGTAATTTCTGCTGTGTTGGAGTGAAGACACCTGGATTTTTATTCTGGCTGTTCATGAATTTGATGTGGGGCACTAAATAAGAGATGGGCTGCCTGTGCTGGCCCTCTTCAGATGCCAGCTCTGTGCATCCTCAGCTCGCCACCTTGCATGCTTTGCACAAGCCTCCCCGCCCCTATACTTCCTTCTCTGCCAGTTCCTGAGCCAGTGCTGACCAAGTCCCTTTCCCCTCTGAAGATGAAAAGATAAGGGGATGAGTCTTGTTTGTAACGTGGCATCCCTTGTGCCTTGGGTCCCTGCATATCCGTTGACCCACAGTTTCCCCTTTGGCTCTGCCTCACAGAGTGTGGAAACCAGTGTGCTTGGGTTTTGCCGTGGTTTCCCCATTTGGACTCAGGTGTCCTTCTTGGGACAGTAGCCCTAACTTGCACACTGACTCTTTAGGAGGTCTGGTCGTTTCCCATTACTTGAGGTAAGACTAGCAAGTCAGTTTTCATCTCTAGGGAGTTTACCTAACACTACCTGCCATTTAGTGGACTCTTACTTTGCTTCAAAAATTAATTAGATTGGACTTTCTGAATGACCAAAAAAATTTTTTTAACTGCCAGTTGAATAATAGCACCTTTAAAAAATATGATCAAGAACCAGGGAGAAATCAGAAAGTAAAGACCCCTAAGCTATCAGAAAAGGTATCTTTTACTCAGGAGAGAGTCCTGCAGGCTCTCACTCATAGTCTAGTTTTCTTTCTTTACCCCAAAATTCTATCAGGTATGGGAATAGGAGGGCAGGGTAGAGAGGTGCTCCTGTCCACACCCACTTTACCTCTTACTCACCTGATGACTTCCTACTGCAAACAGCTGAAGGCTTTTGACAGTTCCTGGGTGTTAAGGGGAGTGGTTCTTAGAGAACGATGGGCAAGATTTGGAGATGAAATCTAGGTTCCTGCCCCTTGTGTGGGACACTTCTGCATAGTCTTATAGAAGTTCCGGCAGGATTGAAGCCCAGCTGTCCACAGGGGTTAAATAAATAACCTCTCAGGAATGCACCTGGATGGGCTTCCTGGTACTTCCTGGGATCGCCTCCCAAACAACTAGCTCTCAAGTCCTTAACTCAGGGTCAGCTTCTGAAGAAACTTATCCTAAGGCATGCTGCAAGAACGAAAAGCCAAGAAATGATGGAAAGAGAAAATAGCAGAACTCTGAAAAAATACAAACAACTAAAGTATTTTGGGGTCCTGGAGCCCTTTAACAAGGACCATTGGGACACAAGGATATGTGGCATAGTTTCTCTACACACTGAGGGCTGGAGTATTGTGATCTGGGTGGAGTGTATTCTTTTTAAGAGGCCCCAGGAATAAGTACGATATTTGAGAAAAGGTTCTATATGAAAAGTGAACATAGGTTGTGATACTTAAAGGAATGATTTGTTGGCTATCTAGAATCTTGAGTTTCCGAATGCCCCTTTCCCTGACGACCAGGATTTATTGGATTTTTAGTTGAAAAAAATTCTTTGCCGTTAAGCCTCAAAGCTCCCAGTTCTAGCAGTTTGGTGCTTTAAGATTCATTTTCTTTACGTTTTTCAGTCTTTGATGTTGTCCCTTTTCATCTCCTGTTGCATAATGGAGTTAGTTTTTTTTTTTTTTTTTTTTTTTTTTTTTTTTAATCTGCCTTCCCACAGAAGCCCCCTTTCCTTCTTGGTCATTTCAGTGTCCTTTCTTGAGCACCATTATCTCATTCCTGGGGTAAGGGGATCAGCTCTGCATTCAGTATTCCAAAGGCTAGTGCAGTGCACTGAAATTTATACTTCTGCTTTGTTTCCAATCCAAATTGATTATTTTTTTTTCAGTTTTCATCCAGATGTTTGATATCATGTAAACACAGCTTGAAAGTGTTCCTGAACTGCTTACAGATGTATGCCAGTGACACCCTTTCCAAATTATATATAATGATTCTCTGGGTCTATTTATATCCATGTCATAGTCTCTGGCTTGAATTTTAGCTATAAGACTAAGTTGACAGAAAGTGAAAAATTCATGTGTATGGGTAAGTTGTCCACTTGATTAAAGACTCCAGATATTTGGAAATATTCAGGGATTGATGCCATTTTCCACTGAATGCTGACATGTCTGTAACCATGATGTTATGCCTGGATATTCGTGTCCATTCCAAACTCACATGTAGAGGCCTAGCTTCTATGTGATAGTATTTGAAGAGCAGGCCTTTGGGAGGTAATTAGGGTTAGATGAAGTCACGAGGGTGGGACCCTTATAATGGGATTAATGCCCTTATAAGAAGAGACACAAGAACTCTCTCACTCTCTTTGCTCACAAGAAAGGTCAGCTGAGTACACAGCCAGAAGGTGCCCATCTGCTACCCAAAGGTAAAGCCTCACCAGAAACCAATCATACTGGCACCCTAATCTTAGACTTTCCGGCTCCAGAATGGTGAGAAAATTAGTTTTTGTTGTTTAAGCCACCTAGCCTGTGGTATTTTGTGATGGCAGCCTGAGCATGCTAATATATTTGAGGACCCAGATTCTGTTGAGCCATTTAGTTTACAGTCACAGTGGCTCTCAAGTGTGCTGTATACCTATTTAGACTATTCATCTAGTGTTTGACACCAAAAAGATACCCTTTAAGGATCAAGGTCTGTCAATTCTTATCAAAGGCTTTATTGCAAGATACAGTATGTATAAGTGATTGCATAGAGGATGTTGTAGAAAATTCTGTTTTCCAAAGATGGTGGCAACCATATCTCCCATCCACATGCTTTTTTATAATGTGATGACATGCCTTCTACCAAGAAGTGGGGTCTACGTCCCCTTTCTTTGAATCTGGTTGGGCTTGTGACTTGCTTTGCAACCAACCAAATTCAGTGAAAGGGACTTTGGATAACTTCTGAGGCTAGGCCAGAAAAGACTATCCAGCTTTTGTCTGGCTCTCTGGGACATTCACATTTGGAGCGCTTAGCTGCTGCAGAAGAATTCTGATTACTGTCAACCTCCATGCAGTGAGGCAGCCTGGGTCATGTGGACAAGCCATGTGTGAGTGCCCCTGTCCCAGCCAACAGCCAGCACCAGCCATCAGCTGTGTAAGTAAAGATGCTTCCAGATTCCGCCTTTCACATTGCCCCTATGTGAACACCAAATATCGTGGAACAGAGCAAGCTTTCCTTGTTGTTCCCTGTCCACATTACTCTTGCTCAAAATTGTAAGCAAACTAAAATAATAATTTTAAGCTACTAGGTTTTGGGGTAATTTGTTATGCACCTATAGTAACTGGAACAAATGTACATCTCACTGATTCCTCTTGCCAGGAAGATCCCACCCCTGAATCACACTAGTCCAGCAGAAACCTACCTTGCTTAGATCTTGTCTTCAGCTGCTCTTGGGTGTGGTGCCCTGGTTTGTACCAAAAGGCAGGATCAGAGGCAGCTATTCTGTAGAGATACTGTTGAGGACAGAACAGAGTTCATTTAGGGCTTACTGCAAGAAAAACTGCTTTCTTGAAGCAACTGGCATCTTGCAAATACTGTGAATCTTATCATTGCTCAGTTTTCCCTCTTTGCTTTGGCTTCTCTGATGCTTGGGACCAATTTTGGAACCAACTTGTAATAATTAATCTTATCTCGTTGTATCCTGCTATATTTATTTTTGTAGCCCCCTCAAAATACTTCTGGAACAACATGAGGTAAATGGATTAATGAAGGGAACAAATGTCCCTCAAATCACTATAATGTTTGAGATTATTATTAGACTGAGCTAGTTCCAACATATAACTTTATTGCAACTAAAAACCAAACATAATCTATACTCTCTAAAACAAAAATGCAAGAAGCTAAAAGGGGTAGTCTAAGCCAGATGTTAAAAGAAATAATCATCACTGCAAGGCAACACAATATCATGTAGTAAGCAAAATAATGAGATCCTTAGACAGGAAAAATAATATTTCTTGAGCACACACTGACTCCCAGGTACAGATTTTCTAGGTCCTTTAGGTACACAATTTTATTTAATCCTGATAAAACAGCTCCATGGGCTTGCAGCTATCTTATTTTGCTGAAGGCACAGATCAGATCCTGTTCATGTGAACACCATGCAGATGTGATTTTCGTGGAGAGGGGGTTTCGTTGTAATTAGTCATGGCCCAGAAGAAATTCAGTGCCCTGGTAGGGAAGGTGTAGTCACAAGAAGGAATAGTGACATTCCTGCAAGGGACAGTCTCTTACACAACCATTACTTTCTGAGCTCATGCTTTCAGAACAGGATGTTTCATTTTCTTTCTCCTCTTCCACATTATCACCACTGTGCCCTGACCTCCTCTGGAAAATAACACTGCTTCTTCAGCGAGGCTCCCTGGAAACATCTCAGATGTCGGCTAGACTGTGGGTGAGGCTTCTGTCATTCCCAACTCTGAGAGCCTGCTTGTTTCTGGGCACTGACACACAGAGGCATGCCATTTCTCCCCATATATGGACGGGAACTGGGAAATGTGTTCTTGGTACCAAAATAATTCCTCTCAATGGATTCAGTCATGAGCAGATCAGGCAAGCATCATGACCATGGGCTTCTGGGTGGGGCTTGGACATTCTTGCATTTTGTGTCATGAATTGTTCACTGTAATGATACCCTACTTGCTGCCTTCTTGGTGAGGCAGTGATTTTAAGCACCAGAAAGGAGAAACCCTGACCTGTGGGCAAGAACTCCATCCAAGACCTAACCACAAGCTGCTGTTTATCTGGGTAATACTGCTGAAACTATGACTTAAATTCTCAAATTTCTCTAATGGCTTGTCTGTGTAAATGATCTTTTGGTTACTACTGGAGTTATAAGTAGGTATGAAGTGACTCAAGGGGTGATTTGGGTGAGCCAAACAGCTGGACACCTTCTCCCTGCTGGCCATGGCGCCTGAAGTTCTGTCATCAGTGCTTCACATCACTGAATCAAAAGGAATTTTTCAGTGTCCAAGAGTTCCCTAATAAAAATTTTCCTGGATTGATACTTGAAGCAGGTAGATGGGAGTCAAGGTAGGCTACTGCCCTCTGTAAACTCAGCCCTCTCCTCCCCAGTTCCCAACCTACTAGCAACTAGTACCTGTGACCTTCGTAAGGTCCTGGTTTTGTCTGTACCAGTTCAGGATGTTAGTGTCCTTCACATGCCAGCAGATAGGGTTTGGCAGTTCACTCACTCATTATTAAGTCAGCAAATAGTTATTGGGCAGGTCCATCTCAGGGATCAGGCATTTTGGCCAGACTCTGGGCATACTGGAGTGAACAAAGTCCCTGCCTTCATGGAGCACACATTATAGTGTAGGAAGTAGAGAACAACAAGTTCACCGGTAATATACATTGGTGATATGGTGGCAAGTACTGGGGAGACAATGAGGTGGGGCTGGAGAGTGAAAAGGATGGGGAAAGATGTGAATGATATTGTATATGGCAGACAGAGAGGTTCTCTTGGCTGAGGTGACAACTGGGCAGAGAGCTATAAGCAATGAGTGAGCTATTGGGACCAACCAGCATGCCAGGACAGGGAGTGGCTGGGGCAGAGCCCCTGAGTGGGAGCCTGCTTGGTGGGGCTGAGGAACAGCAGGAGGCCCAGGTGGTTGGGTGGAGGCATGGAAAGGGTGGTAGTGAGGAAGTCAGAGAGGTGGAGTGACAGGAGCAGTTACTCCTGATTCCCCAGTTTGAGTGCCTAGAAGGCGTGGAGTAAGCCCTGGTAGAGCACTCACTCGGGGGCTCCATCCTGAGCCCTGGTGACCTGGATGAGGCCGTGGAAACTGCCTGTCGACTCTCTTAGGGCTATAACCCCATCCTTCTCTTCTGTATCAGCAAATATCATCCTGGCTACAGGGTGCTTTCCAGGGCCCTCCCTGGGATGACCTCTATAGCCTTTGATTGGCCACTTCCCACCTGCCCTGCACAAGCAGTGGGGGCAGGCATCTCGCAGGTGGCTCCCCTTTGCCCCAGCCCTATTCTGTCCCAGCTTCTGTGCTACCCCATAACCGTCCCCCACAACCATCCTCCCATCCCTTTACTGAGCTTGGACCTGTTTGCGTGAAATTATCAAGAGCTGTGAGAGCAGTTGTGGGCAAACACCTTCCACCTAGCCCGCCCTGGCTAAGCCTCTCCCGCCCTGGGGAAATGTACTGAGTGCTTGCTATGTGCCAGGAACTGTGCCTTTCATATGTCAAGATTTCATTTAATCTACCCCACTTCTCAATGAGGTAATACTACTAAGTTTTAGCCCAATTTTACAGATGAGGAAATGGCTAAGTAATTTGGCCAAGGTCACACAGCTGGTAAGTGGTGAAGTTTTGGTTGAAACCTAAACCTGTCTTCCCCAGAGTCCTTCTTATTGAATGTGTGCAGGAAGAGGTTCTGAATGGAGAATGATAACAGGGACAGTTCTATTGCTCTAGGCATCAAGGAGCTGATCTATGCATCCTGCTCACATTGTTCGCCCACCAGGAATGAAGATCCTGGAAACTCTCCCATCATCCTCCACCAGTGACAGCTCTACTATTCCAGCAACAAAAACGGCTCTGCTTATCTGGCCTGGAGTTCCCTGATTCCAAAAAGAAAAAATTCTGCATTTGTAGTATTTTCCCTGATGTATAAATATTCTTTTTCCTGGCCCTAATGCCTAGCCTCCTACATCCAACTTTCATTGAATGCCTGGTGGGTAGCAAGGGCTGGGAACACAAAGCCAGTTACAGCCTGGCCCCTGCCATCATGGGGCACCCAGAGCAGAGGACCAAGTGACCTCTCGAGGCAGCTGCCCCATGACCCTGTTTTCCTGATGGAAAAACCACACTGCTGTCTTCCCCCACAATTCCCCTCAGATCTGCAGGTTCTCACTGAGCAACTATTACCTGTCAGGTATGGTCTTGGGCCTGCTGAGGACACAGTGAAAAATGAGACCCTTCCAGTCTTAAGGAGTTAATAGCTGGATTTTGGGGGACAGGAGGCAATGCAGAGCAGGTGCAAGACAAGTACCCCAAACCCTCTGCCGGCAGGCAGACTATAAGGCGTCTTGTTGCTGAGCTATGTGTTTAAAAACAAAACAAAAAGTAAATAAAGACAATGCCATTTCAACAAGAGGAACCTGAAATGAGAATGGAAAAATATTTTAAAATTTTCATGACATTCAAACTGAAAATTATTTTGAATTAAACTGGTGTTTTGAAAAAGTTCCACATTTATCTCACGTGGCTTTTTGAGAGCTTTCTAGTAGATTAGGAAGCTCCTGTGCAACTGGTTAGTTCTGTTTTCACTCAGCCTCCAGATGTAGAACTCATAGGGAAAATCAACCCTGTTTCCAGGAGGAATTACAAAAACATAGATTTGAAGGCAACTTTCTTTGGCTCAGAAAGTATCATTTGTTTTCTGTTGTGGTTTCATTTGGGTCTCCTCATTCCTCAGGGAGAGCCAGGAGAAGGCCCAGTGTCCCCAGAGCTGTGAGCTACTGGGCACTGTTGGGAGATCACTTGGCACTCTGAAGTGCCAAATGTCCTCTCTGCCACCAGGCGTGTTCCTCATAATCTGCTACAGTGCCTAAAATTCTACCATGAGAGGTTTGCTGATTTATTTGACAATGTTTTCATCACACTACCTCTGGAGGCATCATCTCCAAGCAGCAAAACTTTTTTTGCAGGGGGATGATGGTAATGCAATGAGCTTTCTGCAAATGAACTCTTGTACCAAAGGCCCTGGCATACGTAATTCAGATGCGAATTAGGGATCTCCCTCTCCTTGCATTCTAGGTGAGATTCTCTAGACATCTCTCTCTCCCCAACTCTACCTACTTCCACAGGCTGATGAAGCCCCGGGGTGTGACAATCTTGTGGTCCCCTCAGCTTCTGGCTTCTGCGTCCCATTTTCTTTTCTTTCTTTCTTTTCTTTTCTTTCTTTTTTTTTTTTTCGAGATGGAGACTCACCCTGTCGCCCCGGCTGGAGTGCAATGGCATGATCTCAGCTCACTGCAACCTTCGCCTCCTCGGTTCAAGAGATTCTCCCATGTTCAAGAGATTCTCCCACCTCAGTCTCCTGGGATTACAGGCATGCACCACCACACCTGGCTAATATTTTGTAACTTTAGTAGAGATGGGATTTCACCATGTTGGCCAGGCTGGTCTCGAAATCCTGATCTTGTGATCCACCCGCCTCGGCCTCCCAAAGTGCTGGGATTACAGGCGTGAGCCACTGCGCCCGGCCCCCATTTTCTTATACATCCCCCTGATGCAGAGCTCAGGCACACTACAGTTACCATGGGCACACATTGTGGTGAGTGTTTTGTGAGTTTTGTGGAGATCCCTGAAGATTTCAGGGATATCTCAAGAGAGTTCATTCTGTTGCCAGGCTCATCCTTTTGTCCTTTGACTTCTCACACCCAGATTCTCTTGGGGCTCCACATTTCTCTCTCTGCACTTGGACTACCTAACTTCACCTGGCCCGAGTGAATCCCTCTTCCCCGCCAAGAAACACACTCCCTCGCCAACATCCACTCACTGCCTAAGCCTGGGACCGGTCATCCTTCTTTCCTTCTCTCTCTCTCTGTGTCTCATGTCCAAATACCAAGTCATATCTACCCTAAATACCTCTATTTCTTCAAGCTGGATACCGAATTTCAACATGGGAGTGCTCAAAGAATATCTGCTGCTGGGAGGGTTACAGGGCTGGGGGCTCATTTCCTAGCCGTAGGAGCATAGCTAAACACTGCTTTGAATTTAACTTTCTGTTTATTGAGGTGACTTTCGGAGGTGCTTTGATCGAGATTATGGGAAGTGGTTAAAGACCCCTAACCTCTCTGCCATCACTGTTCCTTCTCTCAGTCCCTGCCACCACCATACCCCTGAGGGAGGCAGGGCAACTACACAGCCTCCCACACAGAGTCCCTGCCTTCCTGCTTCTTCTGACCCATTCTCCACACAGCCCCCAGGACTGGCTTTCTGCAAGTTGAATCCAATCCTGCTGTTTCTCAGCTTCAGTGGTCCTTGTGGCCCTTCAGCTAAAAACCCAAATCCATTACACGACCTGCAGGGCCCACCAGTCTGGGCCCACCTCTCCAGCATCAGTCCAGCCTCCCTCAGATCAGCCACGCCAACCTGTTTTCAGTGCCATGGGTGCCCCTGTGGTGTTTGCACAAACTGTTACCTCTGCCTGTAACACTCTACATGCCCTGCTACCTGGTGAAACCCTTTGGATCTCTGCTTACCCGCCCAGCTAGACATCACTCCCTCTGGGATATATTCCTGATGCCCTAGGCTACCGCATAGGGTGCTGGCATGGAAAATTTTTGCTGAAGTTAATAATAATAATAGTCCCTAAGTCGAGGGCTTCCCTCGCTGACTGTATTGCCAGCCCTGCTTTCCAGACAAGCCATTTTGCCCAAAGTTCTATCCCAAGTCTCTGACACAAGCCTGGCAGATCATAGGTGCCCAGTAATTATGTGCTGAATAAATGAGTGAATGAATGAATGAACAGGGTGCCAAAGGGATGTTTCCATGTGAAAACAGATCTCACGATGTTTCATCTGGAAAAGAGACAACATGCAGGGGCAGGGAGGCTGTGCATGATCACTACCTGAGGTTGCTATGAGAGATGCTGGAGGATTAGAAATGAGGTGCACAAAGCCTGGGACCCAGTAAGCTTTCATGGAAGAACACTTCCCCACCCCCGTACCCATCTCCTCATTCCTTCTCCCACTACCCTCCCTGAGTGCATTGAATGAGGGGCAGGAAACACAGAGGTCAGAGAAGCAGGTTTCTGGCCCTGAAAGAAGTTTTGAACAGACCGTTCTGGAAATGAAACTGGATCCTTGTGATGGTGACATCCCTGCCCTGCATCATATGATGTTGAAACAGGGGTGCCATGTGCCAGAAGAGGTGGGCAAGGGAAAAGACCAGATGGCCCTTAGGTTTCCTTCTCTCTCCAAGAAGATGATTCAATTATGTCATCTTTTCATAAAAATCTTCTTTTGTTGCCTTGATTTAAAATAGGTGTAGGGATGCTGCAAATTTAAATGTGAGAGAAATCTCAGGAAAATTATGTTACTAGGAAACCAAAAAGGTTTGGCATTCTTTCAAGAGGAATTTCTATTCTGTCACCATGTATTGTTCCTGAGGTCCTGCCAAACCGAATTCTTTATATGCGGCAAAGTCTTCTTTGGGCTGGATTCCCTCCAAAAATGGCCAAGGCTCACATCTCTGAGCGCCAAAAGCTACTTGTTGGTTATGGCCTTTCTTGCCCTTTTAGGAATTAAAGCCTAAGGCAGGGTTTTAAAGTAAGCTTCTTATTCCAAGCAAGAGTGTGGATTTATTCTGGACATTTGGGCTCTGTCAATAAAACATATAAAATTTCTCCACATTGGCACTATGGCATTTTGGGGCAGGTGGTTCTTTGTTGTTGGGAGCTGCCCTTTGCATTGTATGATGCTGTGGCAGCATGTTTGGCCTCTACCAACTAGATACCAGTAGTACCTCCCCACTTGTGACAACCCAAAATGTCTCCATATATTGCCAAATGTCTCCTGGGGAAGCAAAATCAACCCTGATTGGGAGCCACTGATCTAAATAAAAAGAATGGAAGTAAGTTGTGTAGATGTTCAGTTAGTCTAGGTAACTAACCAAATCGCACCTGGAACCCAGCTTTTCTGACCTCATAACTTGGGCCTAGGAGGTAGGACCTTGATGTGATTAAGATCAAGGACCCAAAGTCAAATGACCTGCATGCATATCCTGGGCTTACTATCTCAAATTCTCAATCTTTGTGAGCTTTAGCTTCTTCATCTGTGAGATGGGCCGATAATTGTACTTATCCTACTGGGTGGTCAAGAGAATTAAATGAGATACTGTTTGCAAAGACTTATCATACCACCTTAGTAAGGCTACAAGTCTTGTGACCTATTATTGTTTGTGACAAAAACTCTGTAGGCCAAAAAAGATAATCTATTCTTTGACAAATAACTTAAATACCTGCATGCATTCCATATTGGACAGCATAGGCTAACTGCTATAACAAACAACCCTGATGTTTAAGCGGCTGAACACAATAAAAGTTTATTTTTCACCCACCCACTAGTCCATCACAGGTGTTTCTCATAGGGCTGCTCTCTGGGAGGCTCAGTCCCAAAAAGTGAGTCAGGAGTCCAGGCTCTTTCCATCTTGTGGCCCTGTCTCCTTTAGGATCTTTCCTAAAGCATGAATGTTCTGTGCAAATTGAAAGAATTCTGAAGTCAAATAAATTTGAGAAATAATACGCTAATGAACTCTTTCTTGGAAATTCAAAGTGCCATTAGCATATGAAGGACTCTGATAAGTTCTGCAGTAAAGAAACCTGTTGGGCTTTGTTTAACCCAGTGTTTATTAAAAAGTTAAACTTCTGGGCCAAATGCAGTGGCTCACACCTGTAATCTCAGCACTTTGGGAGGTCGAGGCGGGTGGATAATTTGAGGTCAGGAGTTCAAGACTAATTTGCCCAACATTGTGAGACCCTGTCTCTACTAAGAATACAAAAATTAGCTGGACATGGTGGCGTGCACCTGTAATCCCAGCTACTCGGGAGGTTGAGATAGGACAATCGCTTGAACCTGGGAGGTGGAGGTTGCGGTAAACCGAGATCGCGCCACCGCTCCCTCCAGCCTGGGCAACAGAGTGAGACACCATCTCAAAAAAAAAAAAGTTAAACTTCTGTGGGTATTGACTTCCCCTGCTATTTAAAAATGCTGTCCTATCGGCTATTAACATCTCCATGGGACAAGCACCCTGTGGGAAATCTGCATGTTGGTTTTGAGCAGAGGAATGACATGGTCAGACCTGTGTTTCAGGAAGGGAATTTCAGAGACAAATATAAAGTAGCTTGTAAAGACAAGTAATTGGACCCAGAAGGTGGCCTCTGTCACAATCTAAGCAAGTGATGGCCTGGCTGGTTCAGTACCCTTTGCACCCTGCTTTTTAAATCTTATTCTGCACACTTTTTCATATCTATTCATATGATTAGACATCATCATTTTAATGGCTTCATGGCATTCCATTTTATGGGTATATTATAAAGAGACTAATACAGAATTATGTTCCTTACAATACATGATTTTTAAAGTTTTAAAAGCTAACTGGGGTTACATGCCCTCAGGACAAGACACATAAACACATTTTGTAGACAGAAAAAAAAAAAAGAAAAGAAAGCAGCTCCATGTTCTGGTGTCATCTTGGAAAATAACTCCATTGTTCAGTTGTTTCTACTATGGTTCCTTTAGGAGCTGTTTGTTCTCCTTTTTATATCTAAACATACTTTCTGCAGAATCATTCTCTGAAAAAACACCCTGTGTAATTTACTTTCAAATAAAAATACGCTTCCTCCTGATATGAGACATTCAGAAGAACCCAATGGCATTACTATGTGATGCTAAAAGGGCATAATCGGAATCTAATGATGATGAAACATCAGAGAAAGCCAAATCTGGGATATTCTACAAAATAACTAGTTATTCTTGCAACTTTTCTATAAGTCTGAAATTATGCCTAAGATAAAATAAATTTTAACGAGAATACAAACATAAACTCTTTCATTTTTATTCCTCTCAGAAGACCTAGACATGCAGCTTGAAGTGTTTGGATGTGGTTGACTGGTGACTCATTAACCTTGAGAAAAATCACAGAAATTTAGCTTTCCTTGTCAGTATTGCCAATAATTCACCATCTTTGGTGTCAGCCCTGATGACACACAATCTTTCAGCTCACCATTCTCTCATGCTTGCCCTCCTCTCACTGAACCTGTCCATCCAGCCATTGGCTCCCAATCATAAAAACACTGCATCATGCCCATATCTACCTGACTATGGTTTTGCATGTACCTGTCTAGGATTCTCTCTGTGTTGATCATAACAGTCAGGATTTTGGAGAATACTCAACATCTCTGGGTCAGATCAATAATTGTAGACATTTTCTTAAGACGCTATTTTTTCCTCATACCCCATCTTACAGTGATGAGATAAAATATATTTAGACTTGAATATTCCCTTCTCTCCTTTTGATTAGGAGAATGTTGTCTTTATACCTCAACTCTTGCTCCCTATATCTCATCCCTTCCCCGACTCCCCAACCCCAGTTAGGAGTGCTTTCATTTGTCTGAAGGGTTCCAGGACTTTTGCGACACAGAAAGGTTGGAACAGAGAGGTTAGAGTGGAAGGGGAACAGCTTAGCCCAAAAATTGAAGTTGATTTTTATAATAAAGTGCAGGAAGAGAGGAGAAAACGAAAGAAGTGAAGGAGGCGATTAGGCATATAGCAAATAAAAGATTATGGAGTAGTGTGTTTGGAGGAGGAGGGGGAAAAACAGGGATTGAAGAAGAATTGCTGGGAGCTATGCATTGGAGAGATGGAAGTAAAAGACAGGAATTTTTCTTCTTTTTGGTTGATTTTCACTGTTTGGATTGTGTTTTTTATTGTTACTCCATATAAAGCCTGGACACATGGATCTGGGATTTATAATGGTTATGTTATTCCCAATCTTTCAGTAGCTTCCTATTGCCTATAAAATAACTTGCAAGCTCTTTAATCTTGTCATTCAAACCCTGTACTCCATGTCCAATCTGGCTCTTTGCAACCTTCCATTTCTTGTAGGAACCCTTTCCTCCAACGAAATTGGCTGACTTCCCATGCTCCCAATATGCCATGTGGTGTGCTCACTCTGTGCCTCTGCTCACCTTCCCCCCATTTGCAGTCTGGCTTAGAAGTCTTTCTTCTCCTTAAAAACTCCCTTCCTAGAACTAGAAATACCATTTGACCCAGCCATCCCATTACTGGGTATATACCCAAATGACTATAAATCATGCTGCTATAAAGACACATGCACACGTATGTTTATTGTGGCATTATTCACAATAGCAAAGACTTGGAACCAACCCAAATGTCCAACAATGATAGACTGGATTAAGAAAATGTGGCACATATACACCATGGAATACTATGCAGCCATAAAAAATGATGAGTTCACGTCCTTTGTAGGGACATGGATGAAATTGGAAATCATCATTCTCAGTAAACTATCGCAAGAACAAAAAACCAAACACCGCATATTCTCACTCATAGGTGGGAATTGAACAATGAGATCACATGGACACAGGAAGGGGAATATCACACTCTGGGGACTGTGGTGGGGTGGGGGGAGGGGGGAGGGATAGCATTGGGAGATATACCTAATGCTAGATGACGAGTTAGTGGGTGCAGCGCACCAGCACGGCACATGTATACATATGTAACTAACCTGCACAATGTGCACATGTACCCTAAAACTTAAAGTACAATTAAAAAAACAAAAAACAAAACAAAAAAAAAACTCCCTTCCCTGGAAGCCTAGGCCTTTCCAGTGTCTCATTCCTTTGTACTTCTATAGCACTTCTTGTACATCTCGCCCTGTAGTTCTCATTCCACCATCTCTTCTCATTAGTCACCTTTTCTTTGTGTGTGACTGGCCTCCCACTGGCTTGATAAGCTCCCTGAGGGCAGAAATGCCTCCCCTGTAGTGTCTAGCTCAGTGGCTGTGGCTGGTAGGCTGCAAACCCTTCTGTGATCTTAGTGGCTATGCCGTCTGACTAAACCACTTCCCACACCCTGAGTCTGGTAGCCAGAGGCTTTCTTAGCTCTATTCTCCCTGTTGAGTGAGCCAAGCACTACCTACACGGCAGCCCCTTCCAGACCTTTGATTTAGTTTAGGAAATTCTAGCAGATATTTGTAAGCAAATTCTGCTCCTCTCCCACATAGTTGTGCCATTGGCCGAGAATTTCACTCATTTTATTTGCAGATTCCACCTTTAAGAAGGTTAATATCATCTCTTCCCATGTATTAGATATGCTGGACCCAGACCACAGGGCTTCAAACACATGATCTGTACTCTAAGGCATTGTGTGCTTGAGATCTGCTTCTATTCATGACATCTTCGGTCCTTATTTATAAATATTCTTCTTTATTAAGGCATTTGAGGTCTATTAAGTACTCCCTATATTTAAAGATAATATTTTATAGCAACTTTTAAAAAAATCAATGTGTCAATATGTTGCTGTGTTATAAATTCCTCCTTTACCTCCTGGAGTCACAGCTATTCCTCGATGTCTTATTCTCCATCTTTGGGCTACTTAGCTTTAAGATTTTTCTGGACTACTTATTTTCCTGCACCAGAAGCTTCAAATGGTTTCCAAGTCAACAAAGGAAAAGTCTTAACTTTGCTTATCTCTCTCCATATCATCCCTCCCTGTTACTCCTGCCTGCCCTTCTCTTTATAATAGGAAAGAAGACAAAGTTTGTTTGTTTTTTTTTCCAGAATATATCTGTGCTGAGAGCAGAACAGACTCATCCAGCTAGGATCTTTCCAATCCTGGGATATTTTCTCAGTGAATTTAGTTCCCTCCCTCCCTTCCTAACTTTTCGAGAAGCAGCCCTTCAGTTAACATGGATCCATCACCTCTATCGGCTTTGTGACCAAAACCCTCTGAGCTGCCCTCTCCTCATTGGTAAGACAGGGACACGACCTTCTTCCCTGGGTAGCTCTAAAGATTAAATGAGATATGACATAATCTAATAATCTAAACTATATAATCAAATGCCTAGTATGGTGCTTGACATAAGGAAGGAGTTGAAGAGATGTGAGGTCTTTTCTCTGTAGGGAAGAAGAAATTTCTTTCCTCATCCATCAATAGGTTCATGCCTGAGACCTTTATAACAAAAGGCAGATTAACAAAAGAAAAGCATACACATTTATTTAATATGAGTTTCATGTGACACTGGAGCCTTCAGAAATAAAGACTCAAAGAAACAGAGGAAACTATATTTTTATGGACAGTCATGCAGAAGTATGATTGGAGGACAGAAGGGTGTGATTTACTGGTAATAAACTGGGGGGAACTTACCATGGCCTGTTTGTTCAGATGCTTCTCTGTGTCTCTGTGTGACATTTCTTTCCTCCAGGTATAAGGAGGATGTCTCTGGAATGAGGCTTTTATGACCTACTTTTAGAAGATTAGAGAATTCTTTCATGGCCTGCATCAGGAGAGGAGGGTGGGAGAAGGCCAGGGAGACCTTCCTGCCACTGCTGTTTTCTCAAATGCCAAGGTGCCATATCTTGGGGTAGTATGTCCTGACCCCCATCATCCCCCTCGTTCTACCTAAACAATACCTTAGAACAGTGGCCCTCAAACTAGGGTTACAAGAAACAAATGGGGTCCTTGAACAAAATCAGATTCCAGGGTCCCATACCTAGAGAGTCTGACTTAGTGGATCTGAATGAGGCCAAGGAATCTGGCTTGTTCGTCAGGCCATGATTCTAATACAGGTGGTTAGTAGATCACGCTGTGAGAGACCCTGCTTTAGAATCATAAAAGTATACAAAGATAGAGCTGGAAGAGACTCTAAAATATTTCATCCTACACCTACTCCCCATTCTGCTGGAGACAGACTGAGGTTAGGTGACTCACCCAAGGTCACAGAGGGAGGCAGTGCAGGGCTAAAACAGGAACTCATGTTCCCTGACTCACAGGGTGACTTGGACTACACCAGGCGATCACCTCTTCTTTATCAGGAAACAATGCCTCTCCTGGCTCAAGCTGAGGTTGCCCTGAGCAACTCCTTGGCAGTGGCTTAAGCTCTCAGCCTTCTTAGTCAAAAGTCCTTCTAGAAACTGTTTTCTGTAAGGATTACTCCTGTATAGCAGCCTACACATCCTTTCCATAGCCTTGTTGAGTGTGTCTTCAGATTAGGAAAAAATTTCTTCAATTATTTCTTTGATTATAGTGGATACTTTTCTGCTCTTTAATATTTTCTTCCAGCATCCTTATTAATTGAAGATTGAAATAATTTTTACTGGCAAAACATTTCTTTGTTCAATTTTGATTGTTTTATTATAAAACACAAATATGGAAAATGTAAAACAAAAGAAATGATAGCTTAGAGGATTGTTATAAGGCAAACATCATTCTAACCTCCTCCCAAGTGAAAAAACAGAATTCTGCCAGCTACCCTAGAAGCCCTTTCATGGGCCCTGTTCCAATGATGACCTCCTCCATCCCTCCAAAAGTAACCATGATCTTGACTTTTATGGTAACCACTTCCTTGCATATCTTTACAGTTTTATCACTCCAATTGTGCATCCCTAGACACTCAAGTTTAATTTTGCTCCTTAAAGAAATCTGATATGTCTTTTAAATCTCTTTCAAACTGCAGATTCCCCTCCATCTCTTTCTTCTTCTGACAGTTTATCTTTTGAAAAACCTGTTCCATTTGACATATGGAGATTTTGATAGTCATGGTTTTGCAAATTGCATTCTTGCGGTGAAATTCAATGTTTCTCCATCCTGTATATTTCCTACAAATTGGCAGCTGTATCCAGAGGTTTGATTGAACCTATATTTGATCCCTTTAACTGGATTGTTAGTGGTGTGTGTTTTTTCATTAGGAGGCTCATAATGTCTGTTTTTCACTTTTTTATCTTATATTAGCAGCCATTGGTGTTTGATGTCTAGATCCAGTAATTCACTGGAGGGTTGTAAGATGGTGATATACTTTTATGTCTTTTTCACTTATTTACTGGAATAATTTTATACAAAAAGACCCCCTCCTCCATCTACTATTAAGATACCTAGCAGTATAGTTTATATAAGAAAGGCAAAACAAATTCTTTAGTCTTTTATGTACCCAGTTTTCAAAATGACCAGCAGGCTCTCTGTCATCCTCTGAAGATGAGTATTATTTTTTCTTAATGTAATTAATTATGAACCATATTTGATTGGTTTCAGTCCATTGTAATGTTTATCCTTATTGAAACTCAAAATGCCCATATTTGGCCAAAGATGATTCCTCAGTCCTTTGACATGAACCTCATAGACTTTGATAGCTTCCTTGCTGTCTGGCATGACAAGGTGTCTGGCATGACAAGGCCTTGTAAGGCTTATTGCGTGTATTTTCTGCCCCAGAACAAAAACAGACCATTTCTCCAAGAAATTGGAGGTGATACTTCAAGTCCTCAATTCTGGGGGCTATATTGGCCATTGGGTCATTATTTATGTCTTTACAGTAGGCAGAGGTAGAAAAATGCACACACACACACACACCCACACACACACACACTTATTTAAAGATAAAACAGCTTGTGATTTCATTTGATGTTCCAAATTCAAAACAAATTAAAGAAAAATTTAAACACATTTTTGTTTTAGGATAATTTTAGATTTATAAAAAAGTTGCAAATGTACTCTGTATGCTTATGGAATAAAATGTTGAAATGTTTGATAATAATCAGGTTTTCTTTTCCTTATAAGTCATTTGCTCTTTTGCCTAGATGCCAAAGCATTGTTTTCCTTTTTTAAAAATTAGAGTCCAGTCATTTTACTATGGTATTCTGTTCCTTTGCTTTAGTTTTTATCTTTAGGCACTTCTATTATCAATTTGTTGGATCTTCTTTGATATCTTCAATATTTGTTTTTTTCCTGTCAAATTCTTTTTGTCTGTTTTTTTAAATTTAATAATTATTTTTTTCTTTTCTCCATCTATTTTTCTTGAGGAATTATTTATTGTGTCTGTTTGCTCTGGTGGTACTTGAATATATAAAAATATATTTATATAGATATGAAACCTTTCACTTTTATTTATTTATTTTAAATTTTATTTCATTTTATTTTAAGTTCTGGGATACATGTGCAGGACGTGCAGGTTGTTACATAGGTAAATGTGTGCCATGGTGGTTTGCTTCACTTATCAATCTGTCACCTAGGTATTAAGCCTAGCATGCATTAGCTATTTATCCTGATGTTCTTCCTCCTCCTGCCCCCCTGACAGGCCCCAGTGTGTGTTGTTCCCCTCCCCGTGTCCATGTGTTCTCATTGTTCAGCTCCCACTTATAAGTGAGAACATGTGGTATGTGGTTTTCTGTTCCTGTGTTAGTTTGCTGAAGATAATGGCTTCCAGCCCCATCCACGTCCCTCCGAAGCACATGAACTCATTTCTTTTTATGACTGCATAGTATTCCATGGTGCATATGTACCACATTTTCTTCATCCAGTCTATCATTGATGGGCATTTTACATATAAAATATATTTTATATTACATAACTTATGCAATATAATTATATAAATAAATACAATTACATATTTTACATATAAAATATATTATATATACAAATATTTAACCATAAATATATACTGTATAAATATGAAATGTTTTTCTTATTTTAAAAATTCTTTTACATCTGTCACTTCTTTCTTTTTTTAGAGCCAGGGTCTCACTCTCTCCCCAAGCTGGAGTTCAGTGGCACAATCATAGCTCACTACAGCTCAAACTCCTGGGCTCAAGCAATCATCCTGCCTTGGCCTCCTAAAGTGCTGGGATTACAGGTGTGAGCCTGCACTTGGCCTTAAAATTCTTATTCATGTTATTCTTTCATATCTTGTATCATTTTCTTAATGTTCCTAGTCTTGTTTTGAAATTGTATATAACAGCTCAGATATTTAAAGTACATTTTTCTGGTATGCTTTTATTTTCTAGAAAGAAGCCATTTTGCTCATCTTTTTAATATAGTAACCGTGGATGGGATTTGACATTGATACTTATCTTTTGCCCATTTTTATATGAATTTAGTTTGTCTGAACTTTGAGAAGGAGACTTGGTTCAGATAGCTTGTCTAATTCGCTTTTCTAACTTCTTTGTTTTCAGGTGGTTTTAAAACATATGGCAGCCTGCTTTCTGAGATTTACTAGCTGTGTTCCCTTCCTTGCATCTATCTGAGCTGCTCTTCAACTCTTTTGACCCTGTCCTGCTTTATTTTTACTCTACTACAAGCAGTTTCTTTTCAGTGTGGAACTGAGTTATTTTGTCCTGGAAGGAAACCCTGGCTGTCAATTTAGAGCATTCCCAGGGCCTCTGGCTGCTCCAGCCTCTTTAGTCCTTACCCCAATATATGACTGGGCACAGCCTCTCCCAGTTTTTGCCTCAGTTGACCCACCAGGCTTCCCAGTGAATATCTGTTGGCTCTCTGGGGGTTCTCTCAGGTCCATCAGAAGCCCTGATGCTGCCCTCTGCTTCTTCTCTGCACATATCCATAACTCACAGATCTGTGGTTGTTGGTGGCTTGTTTCATCTGCTTATGTTTTGGGCTTCCTTGGGACCCCTTGCCACTTAGTTTTGTTGGAAATGTTGTTTATGGGTTTCAGTTTTGTTATCTATTTGCTCTATTTTATGCAAGGGTTCAGGAAGATCCCCAGCCTGCCAGCCTGCCACTGCTGTTGCCAACTTTCCAGAATCTGTTAACTGGTTTTGAAGTTTGTTTTCTTGGTTCTGAAATTTCTCATATTTAAATATGTGGTGGAACCAGAATTAGCACTAATATCACTTATTAATAGACTCAGTTTCAGTTTTCTCACTTGTAAAATACATGTGTTTATAATCCTTCCCAATTTACTTCATCCATTAATTCACTTGTTCAGTCAGTGACCTTTAGTGAGCATCTAGATGCTGGTGAATGAGATAGAATGTGCCTCAAAGGAGTTCACTCAGTGGGGATTAATAATAATATTTAATATTTATAGAGTGTTTACCAGATTCTGGGTTTTATGTGAAGCATCTTGCATATATTATTTATTTATTTATTTATTTTGGAAACAGGGTCTTACTCTGTTGCCCAGGCTGGAGTGCAGTGGCATGATCTCGGCTCACTGCAACCTCCACCTCCTGGGTTCAAGCAATTCTGCCTCAGCCTCCCGAGTAGCTGGGATTACAGGTGTGCACCACCATGCCTGGTTAACTTTTGTATTTTTTGGTAGAGACGAGGTTTCACTGTGTTGGCCAGGCTGGTCTTGAACTCCTGGCCTCAAGTGATCCTCCTGCCTCAGCCTCCCAAAGTGCTGGGATTACAGGCATGAGCCATTGCACCTGGTCTGCATATATTATTTAATTTAATCCTCACAACAACTCTCTAAGATAGGTACTATTATTATGTCCATTTATCAGATGGGGAAACAGAGGAGTAATTTGACTGCTCTGTCAAATATACTCAACACATGTTCATTAAGGCATATGCATATAGTTCTGAGCAAAAATATACAAAGGTTTTTCCCATATATTTCTTATCATTTAGTTGGGGAAATAGACATAAATCCTCAAATCACTCAAATAATATGTAATCACAATAATGATAATTGCCTCATCTATTCACTTTCGTTTTCTTGGTAGCACAATCCTACTTTTTAGTTGTCATTTGAGTGAAAGACACATTCTCAGCATCTCTTGCAGCTAGTTACGGGCATGTGACTACGTTCTGGTCCATGAGCCAGAGGAATGGAACAATCGGAGTGTCTCTTTAAAGGAGAGGAGTTTTGTCTGATCTTCCTTCCTGGGGCTTAGAATGCTAATAATATGTTGGTTGGGATTTCCACAGGCATTGAGCCATAAGTGATTCTGGAAGCCTCCTGTTAGGATGGTGGAGTGGGGAGTAAGAAGGAGCCTGGCCTGGGTTTCCTACTTCTGGACTTCTGGTTATGTGAGAGGAACATATACTTCTTTCTGTTTAAACCACTGTAGGTGGGTTTCTATTAAATGCAGCCAAACCTAATCTTGACTGAGTACCCTTCACTGATACCATTGAAGAGGTGCCAGGGGAGCAGCAGTTAGGGAGAATTACCTGACCAGGTCAGAGAAAGTTTTTCTGAAGAAGTGATGGCCAAGCTGCATCTTAAGGAAGATCAGGAGGTAACTGTTTGAGTGGGAGCCTGGGATGGTGTAAAAAACCTTTTGACAAAGGAATGATTTGTACAGGGTTTTGTGGTGGGAGGGAGGGAGTGTGGCAAATTGAAAGAACTCCAAAAAGGTCAAAGAGTAGCTGGATCTCGACTGAGAGAGAGGGTGGTACTCACGGTGGCTGGAGAAATGAGTTTTATCTTTTTCCTAAGAGCAATGGAAAGCCATGAAGTATGTTGAGGAGGGATGAGAACCCATCATCCCTTGTTAAAAAAAGACTTCATTTTTGACAATGTCATTGTGGCTGCTGTGTGGAGAAAAATTGGTGGGGCAAGAATGTGTGTGGGGAGGCCAGTAGTCCAGGTGAGAGATGATAAACTAGGTTGGCAGGATGGAGCTGGAGAGAAGCGAGCAGGTTGCGGAAATATTTAGAAGACACAGTAACGTCTTCTAAAATAATGAACTGGAAATGGGGATAGGAGGGAGAGGAAGTTGCCTGCACTGCTTGTGGGTTTCTGTCTGGTGTAACAGGATGAAGGTTGTGCTAAAATCAGGGGAGAGGCTGGTTTGGATGATGAGATCATGAAATCAGATTTGGTCTTAATGGGCATGAGGTATTAGTATTCATTTGCTCAGCCTGCTGTGACAAAGTACTACAAACAGAGTGACTTCAAACAACAGAAGTTTATTCTTTCACAGTTCTGGAGGCTAGAAGTTTGAAATCAAATGTCTGCAGGGCCGTGCTCCCTCTGAAGACTCTAGAGGAGGACTCTTCTTTGCCTCTTCCTGGCTTTTGGCGGCTGGTGGGAATCCTTGGCGTTCCTTGGCTTGCAGCTGTGTCACTCCACTCTCAGCCTCTTTCACCACACGGTGTTCTCCCTGTGTGTTGGTGTCTTCTTTTCTTTTTATAAGGACATTGGCCCTGTTAGATTTAGGTCCCACCCTAATAAGTATGATTTCATATTCACTCGTTAGAACTACAAAGACCCTATTTCCAATTAAGGTCACATTCACAGGGACCTGAGGTTAGTACTTCAACATATCTTTTTGGGAGGCATAATTCAAGCCACAACAGTGCCTTTGCACTATCTAAGTGGAGTGGCAAGTGATCAGTAGTCTGTATGGAACAGTAGAGACAGGGCTGTGGAGAGAAGGGAAGACAGCAAGAAACAAATGGTGACAATGCAGTGTGGAAGATGCTGAGATAGGTATATAAAGAAAATGTAAGTGGAGGACTAGGATGCGGGGCTGTGGGGGAGAGGATAGAGGGGAGCCACACATAAGATGTTCACATCAAATCCCCTGCTGAGTAGGATCCTCCCAGGAAGACAAGGAGCAATGCAGGCCTGAGCATGAAGACTTGAGCATCATGGGTAGGCAGGGGACAGTACAGTCTCCAGTGTGGCCAGACTGTAGGGTGTGGAGTGGCAGTGGAGGGGCCCTGGGTCTTGAGGGATTTGGGGTTTGTGCTAAAGGCTCCACATGTAACCCTAAAGGCAAAGGTGAGCTGCTGAGTGGTTCCAGTGGGATCCATGAGAACAGATCTGGATTTTAAACAAAGGAGAACAGATCTGGATTTTAAACAAAGGCTAGCCAGCTCGTGTTGCAAATGGCTGATGAGGTTTTGGCAGAGGTTTGGTGTGTATGGAAGGGCACCTTATCCCACACGTTCCTGACTCTGATTCCTGACACTCATGCCCACCTCAGGCTTGCTGACCATTTGGCCTGGAGGCCATACAAGAGTTTTGGCTTTGTTTATCCATCTCACCCCTCCCCTTAGGAGGAAGAGGGTTTTCCACAGTCATGGGGTGGTGGTGGAAGTGGAAGAGGGGCCAGACATGAACAAGGTGATTCGCATGAAAGCACTCTTTAAACCAGAAGCCTTTCATTCAAATCTGGTTGTAGAGTCAGCTAGACCTGGGTGCACTTTTGTTTTTTAAAGCAGCTTTATTGATATCATTTCCATACCATAAAGTTCACCTGTTTAAAGTGTGTAATTCAGTGGTTTTTTTGTATGCCCACATTGCACAAGCATAACCGTAAACTAATTTTAGAACATTTTCATCATCTTCAATGAAACCCCATACCTGGAGGCACATTCTGCCTCCACCCTTCCACAACTTTGTAACTATGGGCAGCTTAGCCTTTCTGAGCCTCAGTTTCCTCGTCTTGTAGGAACAACATGTTACTGGGAACAGTATCATACAATTTTATGGGCTTATTTAAAGATTGAATGAGAGAGCAAATAATACTTTTAACACAGTGCCTGGCACGGGGTAGGCCCTCAATACACTTCATTTTCCTGAATTAATGTTGGCAGTTGCTTTTCTGTGGATTAGTCAGGAATCCCCCTGAGCAGTTATTCATGAGTCAATGTCACTGCATCCAAACCTCATCTGGAGAGCTCATAGTCCTTATGCATTTACACACACACACAGACACACACGCTAACACACCACACCTCCCACATGCATGCACAAAAATGTTAATACAAGACAGATAACTAAGCAAGCTTTGAGAGAAGTTCTGGAATTATCCTATGCTTGTAAAGCTAACTGCTCTTTAAATATATCTATCTGTATCTGTATCTATATATCTCATGTAATGAATGTCTATAATTTGCATTTTGAAGTGAAAGGGCTTAGTGTCTGATGGCGTCCAGCAGAGCTATCACAGGCAAAATTGTAAATTAGGCAAGGTTGTATTTTAGGTTAATATATATTTAGGTAATATTTAGTTAAATAGTTCAAGGTTATGTTATTATCCTTGAGTTAATAATTTCTTGGGCCAGTCCCATGCACCAGGTTTAGGATGAAATATTTTACATGTATCTTTATCTTTGCCTTGACCCTGAAAGCTAGGTAGGTATTCCTATCACAATGCAGGAATTATTATCACTTCCATTTTGTAGGAGAGGGGAAAGGAGGCCTAGAGAAATTAAGTTACTTACCCCAGGGCACACCTGAGGAAGTGGAGAAGACTGGGTATGGGCTCAGAACCTCCCACACAATACTGGGCTAACCCAGCTTCAGTTTAGGCTATTTCCAGGTGTCGCTAGGAATCTACTTTTAGGAGGCAGGTTAGGTTACTCCCAGAGTTGCTTCCATTGTGGCAGGGGCTGCCACTTTAATATCCTAAGCAATACTCTCCAATCCTGGGATGCAGCAGAATAACCCCAGGGAGCTTTAATAAGATCGAGATTTCCTGGCTCCACTCCAGACTGCTTGCAGCAGAATTTTCTAGGGTGGATCTTAGAATCTGTACTTGTAAACAGCTCCCCAGAAACCATTTTACACGGAAAATATAGAGGCTATAAAATGCAGGCATACAAGAAAATATAAACATTTTACAATTTAAATTTTACTGCAAGCACAGTCATTACACAAATGACAGTTGGCGGAAACAGTTGTAACACATATGGCAGGTGGTGGGTGTGTTAGTTAGATTGGCTCTGTTGTACATATAAACCCATTACACCCTATGGTTTAGCACAATAGAATTGAATTTCTCACTCATATCAAGTCCATGATGGGTGATCCTGTTTGGCAGGCAGCCCTCCTCCAGGCAGAGATTCAGGAACCTGGGCTCTTTCTATTGTGTGCACCGCCATCTTTAATATGTGGCTTCCAAGATCCTTGTGGAAGGGAAATTAGTAGGTAGGCTCACAAGTGGGTAGTTTTGTGGGCCAGGCCTGGAAGGGTAATACTCCACTTCCACCCATGCTTCACTGACTAGAACTGAGACTATGGATATGCACAAGCGCAAGAGAGGCTGGGACATGTGGTCTGGCTGCTCCTATGAGGACAAAGAAACAGTTTAGGTCAACCACTAGCCAGTCTCTACCCCTCAAAAGTTAACATCTTACAAACTGATAAGAAAAAGGCAAAAAAATTCAATTGAAAATGGGCAAAGGATAAGGGCAGGCCTCTCAACAGAAGCACAAATTCAAATGACGAATGAACATTAAAAGATGCTCAAGTTCATTGGTAGGGAAATGCAAGAAAAGTAACAATGGGCTATCAATTTCCACCTGTCAGGTTGACAGAAGTTAAAGGATGATAACACCTACTACTGGTGGGAGGCAGGAGAGAGTTTACTTATGCACTATTGGTAGAAATGGAGATTGCTACCACATTGTGGAAAGCCATCTGGCATTAGCAATTGAAATTAAAAATGCATGTTCTTTCAACCTGGCAATTCCATTCCAGGGAATCTCTCTGATGGAATAAAAGCAGTATGTATGGATAAATAGGTCCTCAGATAGTTATTGCAACATTATGCATAGTGACAAAAATAGAACCTAAAGTTCCCTTCAAAAGGGGAATAATGTAGTGAATTGTAATTATCACCATTATGGAATATTTTAGTTTTTAAAAAGGTGACTAAGAAGTATTCCCATGAGATATTATTAAATGAGGAAATCAGGAGCCAGAGAAATGTATATTATTCCTTTTTTGAAAATGATACATCAAGGGGTAATCTCTATTGTCTTTTTAAACTTTTGTCATCATCATCTTCATCATCATCATTCGTCTATATCTGTCTATATATCTATGTATGTTGATAAGCGTAGAGAAGGTTGTTAACACTGGTGACCTGGACCAAGTTGTGTGGATGAAAGGAAACAGAGGAGGAACAAGACAGTAACCAAGGTCGCCTTCCCACCAATACTGTTTTTAAAGAGGTAGCAATGAAAAAAACAGCTTGTGTGATAAGACATCATAAAAGCTATATATATATATATATATATATATACATATATATATATGTATATATATATATATATATACATATATATATATACCCATGTGACCTTGGACCCGTTACTTCACCTGGCTGGGCCTGTTGCAAGGAAGGGAGATGATTCCTGTGGATTATATATATATATATATAAAATACATACATATATAAATATATATTATATATGAATATATAAAATATATATTCATAATGAAATGCATGGATTTAGGTCATCAATGTATCAATAATGGTAATCTCAGGGTAGGATTTCAGGTGATTTTTTTCTTCCTTTTCTCTTTATATATTGTTTAAAATTTTAGAATAAATATAAACAGATGGAAAAACAGTGAGTTTTTCATGATATAAAAAAAATTAAAAGCTTCCTGAATGATTCTGATAGCAACCAGGCTTCATCACTGGGGTTTGACTTAGGAAGTTCAAAAAATGGAATTTCAAGCATTGGATAGCAGAGTGGTAGAAAACCATTTCTGAGTGAGGGTTCTTGCTGGGAGCCCAGAAGCCACTCTTCATGAATCACTTCCTGCAGGGGACTGGGAAACGTGAGGAATGATTCCTAAGAGGTATCAGTTAGTTTGGGCTTCAGGTGCCAACTCTTAGCATCTGAAAGTTCTAGGTTGGGGATGGCATCTGGTGGAGAAGTTGGTGGGAGGAAAGCAGTGATGCTTGAGGGGTGGGGCAGGAGTTGAATCTGGGCTCTGCCACTCACTACCCATGTGACCTTGGACCCGTTACTTCACCTGCCTGGGCCTGTTGCAAGGAAGGGAGATGATGCCTGTGGATGCTAGGGGTGGCCCGGTCAGCTTTGTGTGTTTATCAGCTTGTTGGAAATATCAGGGTCATAGTCCTGGTGAAAGCCGTTGCTCAGCTCAGTGGGCAATTGGAGGAGCAAGAAGCATCATCAAGGTGAGAAGTGGGGGCTGTCTCTTGAGGAGAGGGGCTGGGGCAAGCCTGGGCTTGAGAGGCCCTAGTCTCCCATCTCTCTTGACCTCTAGACCCAGCTTCTTGTCCTTTTCCTCCCCCATGCTTTTGGTAAATTCTTGTGAGTTGGCATTAGGTGAGTGTTATCAACTGAATGTTTATGTCTTCCTCAAATTCATATATTGAAGCCCTGGGTCACAGTGTAGTTGCATTTGGAGATGGAGTCTCTGAGGAGGTAATTAATGTTAAATGAGGTCATAAGGGTTGGACCCTGATCCAATAGGATTACTGTCCTTGTAAGAAGAGACAACAGAGAGCTCTCTCTCTCTGTGTGCACACACCAAGGAAAGGCCATGTGAAGATGTAGTGAGAAGGAAGCCCTCTGTAAACCAGGAAGAGAGCCCTCACCAGAAACTAAGCCCTGTTGGACCTTGATCTGGGACTTTCCAGCCTCCAGAACTGTGAGAAGTAAATTTCTGTTGTTTAAGCCATGCCATTTTTTTATGGCAGCCTGAGCAGACTAATACAGTGACGCGTTCATTGTAAATAGTAAAATTCCTTTATTTCATTGACTACCAACAATCTGCTGCTCAAGACAGGCATAGAACCCATGACCCTCAAAATGCTCTGCGTCCAGCAGGGAGACAGATGAGTAAACAGAAATGAATGCTCTGCCGGACAGAGGAAGTACAGGATGGTCCCGGAGAAAAGAGAATGGGTTAGACACCCAGTGCATGTGACTCAAGATTTGCTAACTAGGGCTCCTAAGTATGTTTTCTTTGGCCCCAACAGTGTTTAAATAATTGGGAAACAGAACATAAAAATCTAGGTTTCTATTTTTGCTTGAAAAATCAGTTTCTGGTTGCACTGGGCCTGCATTGCCACATGGAAGCCACTGGATGGCGCAAAGGAGCAGCTGCCACCTTCAGAGACACTGTGAGCTCTCAGTTCAGCAGTGTTCCCACTGCTCCCTAATGTTTCCTTGCTCAGCCTGATGCCCTCACTTATGCCACCTGCCATTTGAGATTCCTGATGTAAACTGTTGCTTTTTTTTTAAGAGCTCGCATATGTGCCCAATTAATTGTAGATTTCCTTCTCTATGTTAGTCAGTGAACCAGGTTAACTCAAAGTACGTCCAAAGCTATGATGCCGACACTATGAAGGTCATTTGGCACCATGTTGTACCAGAGACTCTGGAAATTTCAGAGCTGGGAGGGACTTTGGGAATCACACAGTCTAAGCATCTCATTTCCCAATGTGGAAACAGAAACCCAGAGAGGTGAATTCCCCCGCCCCAGGCCACACATCTGGATAGTGGGTAGCAGAGCCAGGAGAAGAACTCTAGTTCTCTGAACCTTGTCTGCTGCTTTCTGCTCTGAAAAATTGCTTTTTTCCTCCTATTATCTTTGTAGAAAAAGAAAAGTAGCAGTTTGCCACGTAGATTTGGGAAAATGTTGTCATGTGATATTTAATCCATGTTCAGGCACTTTTCTTCACACTGTCAGAGGAATTATCAAAAGAAAATTATTGGAAAGTATTAGTCGTGTATTATGGTTTCCAAGCTCGCAAGCACAGATGTCCACTGGCAAAATTGAAATGAAATTGGAATAAATTAAAACCCATTTTGTTTTCCAGCCCCTGGTAATAAAAAATTCTTGCTGCAGATGAGTGATCGAGCCCAGTCTCCTCCCCCTTATTATTAAACAAAAGCAGAACACAATAAAAATAGAAATGAATGCAGAAATCTGCTCCGGTTTCCTCTTTTGTGTACCAATGTTTTTGTTGGTCAAATCACATTATGAAGCGTCCATTACAATGGCTTATCTTTAGAGGCCCCAAAGTAACTAGTGAGGATGTGAAAGATGGTCTGTTGTAAAGCAGGATTATGATAGCCCCATCTCTTTGGGTCGCTTCATCCCCAAATTTGTGGTGGGAAGATTAATTAAGCATGAAATCCACTAAGGAATCAACAAGATGAGAAGCTGTGTCATGTGGTGGGTAAAACTATGGGTTTGACGCCAGACTTTCTGGGTTCAAATCCCAGCTCTGTTATTGGCTGGAAGTCTGACTTTGGGCAAGGTACTTAACTTGTTGGTTCCTCATTGGTGAGGTAAAGATGATGATCCTGGTCCTTGCCTTCCAGAGTATTTTGAGGACTCAGAACACCAAGTCCCAGTGTCTGGCTTCATAACTGTTATCTGGACCTTTGTGGCAAGTGACAAAAACTCTCCCTTTGACCAGACTTTAGTGAGGCTCCTATGAGCCTCTTCTCAACTGGGCCTTGACCTTGGACTTCTTTGTCTGTGTCTGTCCTTGCCCAGTCAAGTTTTAGTAAGAATCCTGCCAAGTCAGTTTAGGGAGAATCCCCCATGCTTGATATCTGATCACATTAGTTTGTGTTTAGCAAGAATCCTGTTAAGTTGATTTCACAAGAATCTCCTATCCTTGATGTCTTCTCTTAGCAACTTTCCATATCCACTAACCCTCTCACTCTGTTCTTGGCTGACAATCCCACTTGTCCTTGAATTTGAAGTTGAACCTGATCTCTCACACCTATTGCAATACTCCATTGCAATAGTCCTGAATAAAGTCTTCCTTATTGTTTTAGCAAGTGTTAGAATATGATTTTCTTTAACACAGAGAAGAGGGTCTTGTTGAGACTGAGGACCCAGGTGAGTTTGGGGGAGTTACTGAGGACCTGGTGGGAATTTTGTTTTTAGTATGATGAGAGTGAGCAGAAAACAGGTGTGAGCAATTGGGGCTGACTGCTGGCTGTCCCTCACAGGATATCTGCAACCTGATTGGGGTCACTGTGGGCCCAGAGTCTCACCCCATTTTCACACATTCAGAGGTTTGATTCATCAGAGTACTCAGGAGTCAAGGAGGTGTTAGAGTGCAGTGTATGAATCTCACAAAAATCCCTGTTTCACATACACTTGAATTCTGAGTATTCTTCTTAGTAGCTATGGGAGCTTGGCCAGTTCATTTAATTTCTAACTCTCAATTTTTCTATCTCTAAATTAGAAATAACAAAATCTTCCTTTCAGGCGTTCTGATGATTTACCACAACATGGGTTGAAAGCCTCAAATAGCTAAGCAGCTAATAAATAGTCATTATTCATTGGGCTCTGGATAACCTCATCTAATCATTAAACTCACAAGCTAAACTATGATGTGAATTAGTTAATTCACAGGAAGTGAAACACTGTCCAGGTACCAGAGACCTTGTGACTGCATTCCACCCAGGCTTTTGCTTTTCTCATCACATATCTTGGGATGCTGGATCACCAATCCAAGGCTGCACACTGAGCTGGGAGCACATGCAGCAAGGTGACCACAGTGTGGGCATCTTGCCCACACCCCACGCTCACTGTACATGCCTGAGGGCTGCCTACTGCAAATACCTGCGACTCTGCCCTGGAGCTTCTTTCTGGCCATGGGAACACCCTCTGCCCACACAAGGAACAATCTGGAAGCACCTTAGAGTTATTGCCCTTAGAGGCGGCCCCCAGCCAACTAACCAATTAACCCCCTAGGTTAGCATAACTCTGAGCTTCAGTTGTCCACTGTAACTTGCTTGATAACAAGCCCCTTATTGACTTCTTTCCCCTCCCTGTCCCTTTCTCCTCCCTATTTCCCCATGCCCCTATCTATGTTGTCTGAGGTCATCTCCCAAATAAAGTACTTGCACTTGAATCCTTGCCTCAAGGACTGCTTCAGTCTAACACAAAGGGTGATGATCCTATAGGTGTTCCAAGTCGTGGTGCAACGTCTGCGGTGGGCCTACACTTCCTTTGGTATGACATCATACCAGCTTCATGTAAGAGGGTAATGACGGTCTCCTTGAAGGAGACTCAGCAGATATCCATGTGCTGTCTCCAAGGCATGGGCTGTGCAGCCGTCAACGATGTGTTCCATCTTCTACCTGCTGCGTCAAGCTTGCCTGTCAGCACTTTCTCCCATTGTCCTGAGGTTCTGAGGTTCTCTTTCAAGGGGTTAATGGCTCTTGCATTAATGAGCACAGATTTCCTGAACTTGGAAGGGGCTAAGCTGGGGGATTTGGGACCTGAGGGTGTTTGAGTCAAGGAAAAGTTACTGAGGACTTTACTTGACTGGACACGCAAGGGAATCTTTGAGAATTGTGTTGAGGTAAGAAATCCAGCATGAGAGTGGAAAGGTGATCTTTGCTTCCTAAAAAGAGTGTTGAGCTGTGGAGAGCTGAGGCAAGAAAGGGAATTTATTTTGTTGAACCCAGGCAGTGTTCGGGTCTCCACCTTCACTTGCATTTAATTTTCACACAGAGCCTGTGGGCAGGCGTTAGTTCCCAATTTCACGAATGAAGGACTGGAGTCAGATGGTTAAATGACTGTCCATGGCCAACTGGCTCGTCTGTGCTGAAGCTGGGGTTGGGGCCTGGAGCCTGTTCCCTTCCCCTCTGAACTCCTGGATTCAAATGATCCTCCTGCCTCGGCCTCCCAAAGTGCTGGGATTACTGTCAGGAGCCCCTGTGCCCAGCCTGAGTGACCTCTCCTGCTTGTATTCTGTGATGTCTTGGGGCTTGCTCTCAGCTGGCTGCCAGCCAACTTACCCAGGCGGCGGGGCTGCATGTCAGCTTGGTGTGGTCAGAAGGGCAGCCTGGCTGCAGAGCTTAGGAGGTCAGCCTTACTCTCATCTGTGCAGGCCCCCTTCTCAGAGGTCAGAACACAGGTGCACTGAGGCTTAGAGGAGTAGGGGCTCAGGTGGAGAACCATGAAAGGGTGCTGCATGGGGTCGGTAGCCCGAGTGCCATCAGACGTTGAAGCTGCTTTAGGGAAGCCTGGGGCTCACCCAGCAGGCCCTCCAGAGGCTAGAAGTCCCTCCTGCTTATCCCAACCAGGCCACCTGGACTTGCCTGTACCCTCTTCTCACACTGTCCCTATAGCCATTCCTCTAAGGACCAGCCTTCTTCATTCTCCCACAGGACCCACATCTCCTGCTCACTTTGCCCATTTATGAAAATGAAAGTACAGTGTCACCTGAGAGTGACACGTGAGCCCTCTCCAGGTTTCAGCACAGCCCTAGGACCAGGGGGCTCTGTCACATGCCAATAACATGAGTGTGTGGGTAATAGTGTCTTTGCCTGTTGTTGCCAAATGCATATTCCTTCATACCCACATATCTGCTTTGATGAGGTCTCCAAAAATGTTTGCATCCTATATTTTAGGATGCAGGGAACCTGTGTGTGGGGGCAGTGTTGGGGGAAGGCCACTCCTTGGTTTTCCCTGTGGAGCTATAAGATGTGAGCCCCTCTAGACTCCAGGATTGGCCATAGCCCAGGCTCTAATTTCAAGAAGATACTGGGCTTCAGACCCATCTGTAGGATAGCCCCAGTGGATACCCCTGAAAACATGTTCCTTAACACCTTAAAGCTTATTTCTCTTAGCTTTGAATCCTTATGATCCCTCTTCGTAACCAGTGTCAAGCAGAGTATTTGGCATGTAGTAGGAGCTTAATAAGTGTATGTGGAACAAATGAGGTTTGGATGACTGTTAAATGTTTCAGTCATGTTTACCATAATGTAAAGGAGTATTCAATTTATTCCAGAAAATATGCAGGTGGCAAGGCTGGACAGGGTGACCGAAGAGAACCCCTGTCAGTTTGGGAGTTGGTCTGTGTCAGACTCTACTTACCCCTCCAATCAGGGATGCCAGCTGCACATGACTTAGCTTTTAGCTAGTGTCAGGAGCCCATACAAGACAGCCATAAGTGGCCCAGCTCAGAAGTTCAGGGGAGAAGGAGGTCCCCACCCTGCTGGTCTCTCAGTCACTCTGGGATCTTCTGAGGAGTCTGTACATAGTCCAGGCATCACTTTCCAGGTCGCTGCTGCTTCCCCTCCTGTAAGCAGCCTCAGAAATGGGATGGCTGCTGTCACTGGTCTCACAGGGCCTCCCAGGAAACTGGAAGGTCTGTGGATGTTTCCCTGGTGATGTGACACAATCTCTAAGACGGGAAAAATGGTTATTGGGGAACATGAATGTCCCCTGCAGAATCTTGGGTGGCAAAGAGAGGAAGGAGAGCAAGTAGGAGCTTGTTTCACTCTGCCTAAGGAATTTCTTTCTCTCTGTCTTAGAAAGAATGAGGCAAAGGCCGACAATCCCATTAGCTTCAGAAGCTGCAGGGAAAAGATTGCCGTAAAGACCACACTGCTCAGCATGAAGTGGGAATTTGGCAGATGAGGCTGTCAGACACGGAGACCATCAGACCTTGAAGGGACCCTAGAGAGCATCTGTACTGGCCTCCTCATTTCAGATGTGTGTTGCTCAATTTCCAAACAGTTGGGGATTTTCTTATCTTTTTTTTAAAAAACCATTTATTAAGATATAATTCACATAGCATACCATTTACCCATCTAAAATGTACAATTCAATGGTTTTGATGTATTACATTAATTTTTAAAAACTGTGGTAGAATATGTATAGCAAAATTTTCCATTTTAACTATTTTAAGTGTACAATTCAGTAGCATTAATTATATTCCCATTGTTGTACAACAATTACCACTATTTCCAAAAACTTTTCATCATCCCAAGCAGAAACTCTTTGACCATTAAACAATAATACCCCACGTCCCCTTCTCTCCAACTCCTGGTAACATCTATTCTACTTTCTGTCTCTATGAAATTTTTTATTCTAAGAATCTCATATAAGTGGAATCATACAATTATTTGTCCTTTTGTGTCTGCCTTCTTTCACTTACCGTATTGTTTCAAAGTTCATCCATGTTGTAACATGAATCAGAACTTCATTCCTTTTTATGGCTGAGTAATATCCCATTCTATATATATGCCAGATTTTGTTTATCCACTCACCTGCTGATGAACACCTGAGTTGTTCCATCTTTTGCCTATTGTGAATAATGCTGCAATGAATATTCTCATACAAGTATCTATTTGAGTCCCTGCTTTCAATTCCTTTGAGTACATATATACCTAGGAGTAAAATTGCAGGTCAAGTGCTAATTCTGTTTAGTTTTTTGAGGAACTATCAAACTGTTTTCCACAGCAGCTGCACCATTTTACATTCCCACAGTAATGCACAAGAATTTCAGTTTTCCACATCCTCGACAACACTTGTTGGAAACATGGAAAATAGCCATGTTTTTGGCTATGGCCATCTTAGTAGGTGGAAAGTGGTATTTCATTGTGGTTTTGGTTTTCATTTTCCTAATGATGAATGATGTTGAACATCTTTTCTTTTTTTTTTTCACTGAATTCAATGTTTTTATTTTTTTTATTTTTTTTTAAATTTTATTTTAAGTTCCAGGATACATGTGCAGGACATGCAAGTTTGTTACATAGGTAAACATGTACCATGGTGGTTTATTGCACCTATTAACCCATCACCTAGGTATTTAAGCCCTGCATGCATTAGCTATTTATCCTGATGCTCTCCCTCCTTCCACCCCCTAACAGGCTCCAGTGTGTGTTTTTCCCCTCCCTGTGTCCATGTGTTCTCATTGTTCAGCTCTCACTTATAAGTGAGAACATACAGTGTTTGGTTTTCCATTCCTGTGTTAGTTTGCTGAGGATAATGGCTTCCAGCTCCATCCATATTCTTGCAAAGGACATGATCTCGTTCCTTTCTATGGCTGCATAGTATTCCATGGTGTATATGTACCACATTTTCTTTATCCAGTCCATCATTGATGGGCATTTCGGTTGATTCCATGACTTTGCTATGGTGAATAGGGCTGCAATGAACATACATGTGCATGTATCTTTATATCTTTATAACAGAATGAGTTATATTCCTCTGGGTATATACCCAGTAATGGGATTGCTGGATCAAATGGTATTTCTGGTTCTAGCTCCTTGAGGAATTGCCACACTGTCTTCCACAATGGTTGAACTAATTTACATTTCCACCAACAGTGTAAAAGCATTCCTATTTCTACACAGCCTCACCAGCATCTGTTGTTTCTTGATTTTTTAATAATTGCCATTCTCACTGGTGTGAGATGGTATCTCATTGTGGTTTTGATTTGCATTTCTCTAATGATCAGTGATGTTGAACTTTTTTTCATATGTTTGTTGGCTGCAAACAATGGACACAAACAAATGGAAAAAAGTTCCATGCTTGTGGATAGGAAGAATCAATATTGTGAAAATGGCCATACTGCTCAAAGTAATTTATAGATTAAATGATATTCCCATTAAATTACCATTGATATTCTTCACAGAGTTAGAAAAAACTACTTTAAAATTCATATGGAACCAAAAAAGAGCCCGTATAGCCAAGACAAAGTCAAAGCAATCTTAAGCAAAAAGAACAAAGCTGGAAGCATCACCCTACCAGACTTCAAACTATGTTACAAAGCTACAGTAACCAAAACAGCATGGTACCAACAGATAGACCAATGGAACAGAATAGAGATCTCAGAAATGAGACCACGCATCTATGTCCATCTGCTCTTCAACAAACCTGACAAAGACAAGCAATGGGGAAAGAATTCCCTGTTTAATAAATGGTGCTGGGAAAATTGGCTAGCCATATGCAGAAAATTGAAACTGGATCCCTTCCTTACACCTTATACAAAAATTAACTCAAGATGGATTAAAGACTTAAATGTAAAACCCAAAACTATAAAAGCCCTAGAAGAAAATCTAGGCAATACCATTCAGGACATAGGCATGGGCAAAGATTTCATGACAAAAACATCAAAAGCAATTGCAACAAAAGCAAAAATTTACAAATGGGACCTAATTAAACTAAAGAGCTTCTGCACAGCAAAATAAACTATCATTAGAGTGATGATAGTGTTTGGAATAGTTTCAGAAGGAATGGTACCAGATCCTTCAGAAGGAATGCCAGCTGGTTATTTGTACCTCTGGTAGAATTCAGCTGTAAATCCATCTGGTCCTGGGCTTTTTTTTGGTTACTACAGGCTATTTATTACTGCCTCAATCTCAGAACTTGTTTTCGGGCAATTCAGGGATTCAACTTCTTCCTGGCCTAGTCTTGGGAGGGTGTATGTGTTCAGGAATTTATCCATTTCTTCTAGATTTTCTGGTTTATTTGTGTAGAGGTGTTTATAGTATTCTCTGGTGGTTGTTTGTATTTCTGTGGGGTTAGTGGTGATATCCCCTTTATCATTTTTTATTGTGTCTATTTGATCTCTGATTCTTCTCTCTTTTCTTCATTAGTCTAGCTAGTGGTATATCTATTTTATTAATTTTTTCAAAAAACTAGCTCCTGGATTCATTGATTTTTTGAAGGATTTTTCGTGTCTCCTTCGGTTCCACTTTCATCTTAGTTATTTCTTGTCTTCTGCTAGCTTTTGGATTTGTTTATTCTTGCTTCTCTAGTTCTTTTAGGTGTGATGTTAGGGTGTCGATTTGAGATCTTTCTAGCTTTATGATGTGGGCATTTAGTGCTATAAATTTTCCTTGTAACCCTGCTTAAGCTGCGTCCCAGAGATTTTGGTACATTGTCTCTTTGTTCTCATTGGTTTCAAAGAACTTCTTGATTTCTGCCTTAATTTTATTATTTACCCAGGAGTCATTTAGGAGCAGGTTGTTCAATTTCTGTGTAGTTGTTTGGTTTTGAGTGAATTTCTTAATCTTAGTTCTAATTTGATTGCACTGTGGTCTGAGAGACTGTTACGATTTCAGTTCTTTTACATTTGCTGAGGAGTGTTTTACTTCAAATTATGTGATAGATTTTAGAGTAAGTGCCATGTGGCACTGAAAAGCTTGTATATTCTGTTGTTTTGGGGTGGAGAGTTCTGTAGATATCTATCAGGTCCACTTGATTCAGAGCTGAGTTCAAGTCCTGAATATCTTTGTTAATTTTCTGTCTCGATGATCTGTCTAATATTGACAATGAAGTGTTAAAGTCTTCCACTACTATTGCATGGGAGTCTAAGTCTTTTTGTAGGTCTCTAAGAACTTGTGTGATTAGTCTGGGTGCTCCTGTATTGGGTGCATATATATTTAGGATTGTTAACTCTTCTTGTCGAATTAATCCCTTTACCATTATGTAATGCTCTTCTTTGTCCTTTTTTATCTTTGTTGGTTTAATGTCTGTTTTGTGAGAAACTAGGATTGCAACTGCTGCTTTTTTCTGCTTTCCATTTGCTTGGTAAATTTTTCTCCATCCCTTTATTTTGAGCCTATGTATGTCTTTGCACGTGAGATGGGTCTCCTGAATATAGCACACCTATAGGTCTTGATTCTTTATCCAGTTTGCCAGTCCGTGTCTTTTAATTGGGGCATTTAGCCCATTTACATTTAAGGTTAATATTATTACTAGTGAGTTTGATCCTGTCATCGTGATGCCAGCTGGTTATTTTGCAGACTAGTTGATGCAGTTTCTTCATAGTGTCATTGGTCTGTGTACTTCAGTGTGTTTTTGCAGTGGCTGGTATTCAGCATCTTTTCATGTGCTTATTGGCCTTTTGTATATCTTCTTTGAAGAGACATCTGTTCAAGACCTTTTGCCTGTTTTTAAAATTTAGTTTTTAAATTGGCAAATACAAATTGTATATATTTATCATATGCAATGTAATGTTTTGAAATATGTACACATTGTGGAATGGCTAAATTGAGCTAATTAACATATGCATTACTTCACATACTTTTTTTTGTGATGAGAATACTTACAATCTTACTCTCAGCAATTTTCAAGAATACAGGTGAGGCTGAGGCAGGAGGATTGCTTGAGCCTAGAAGATCGAGGCTGCAGTGAGCCATGTTCACACCACTGCACACCAGCCTGGGCAACTGAGTGAAACTTTGTCTCAAAAAAAAAAAAAAATTACAGTACATTGTTATTAACTATAGTCACTCTGTTGTACAATGGATCTCTTAAACTTATCTTGTTATCTTTTTGTTTCTGATGCTAGCTTAATCCTACTGTACATGGTCAGAGCATGTACACTATATGATTTCAGTCCTATGAATTGTGTTGAGACTTGCTTTATGGCCCCATGTACAATCAATTTTAGTAAATATAAAAGTTCGGAAAAACAGGAAAAAGTGTATATCATATAGTTGTTGAATGCAAATTCTTTATAAGTTAATTGGGTCAAGTTTATATATTGCAGTGTTTAAATCTTAGATATTTTTGTGATTTTTTTCTATCAATTATTGAGAGAAGCATGTTAAATCTTCCAATATGACTATAGATTGTTTATTTCTCTCTAATTCTGTCTAGTTTTGCTTCATATGTTTGAAATTGTTATTAGTTGCAATCAAATTTAGAATTATCATGGCTTCCTGGTGGATTGGATTTTATCATTATGAATTGTTCCTTTTTATCTCTAGTAATGCTTCTTCCTCTAAGTCTACTTTGTCTGATATTAGTTCAGTTCTAGAGTTTTCCTTAGGTTTGTGTTTATATAATACATCTTTTTCCTTCCTTTACTTGACCTTCCTGCATTGTGATATTTAGATGTGTCTTTTATAAGCAGCATATAATTGGGTTTTATGAAAATTTCTGTCTTTTGTTTGATATATTAGGGCCATTTACATTTAATGTAAATTATTGATGCACTGGATTTAATTCTACCATCTTGCTTTTACTATTTTTTTTTTTTTTTGGTCCCATCTGTTGTGTATTTCTTTTCCTCTTTTTTTGTTGCCTTCTTTTGGAGAAATCAAGTATTTTTAACATTATTATATTTTTTATTTTTGTTGAAGTGAAATTCATCTAACATAAAATTAACCATTTTAAAGTGAACAACCCATGGCACTTCACAATGTTGTATAACCAACACGTCTATCTAATTTCAAGACATTTTCGTCATTCCAGAAGGAAATCCCATATCCGTTAAGCAGTTGCTCCACAATTTTCCCTTTCCCCTGTCCCTGGTAACCACAAATCTGCATTTTGTCTTTTTGGATTATGGACAAATCAAGTATTTTAATAATTCCATTTCCTCCTCTAACCACTTGTTAGTCATACATTATTTTACTGTTCTTTTAGTGATTACCTCAGAAATTACAACACACATTCATGATTTCACTGTAAGTTAGTACTTTTATTGCTTCTAGGGCAAAGAAAGCATTTAGCACACACTCCAATTTTTGTCTCCTCAATTCTGTGCAGCTGCTGACAGCTAAGGTGAGCTTCCTAAACTCTGAAATACCATCCATCCACTTACAGCCAACTGCTTATGAGTCAGCAAGCACTTTGTTGGGGAAAGTGCTGGCAGATTGTTGAACTCACGTCAGTCTGGTTCCCTTCCCCCAAGGTCCTATCTCCTCAAGTCCTGGCTGACAAGGCATCTCTCCAATACTTTTTGTGTGTGTGCGTGGCCTTTTGTATCGTCTAGTTTTTTAAGATATTCTCAGTGGGAGGTTGGTCTTCAACAAGCTGCTCTGCTGTTATTTTTTTATTTTGTACGTTTTATTTTTTGAGACGGAGACTCACTCTGTCGCCCAGGCTGGAGTGCAGTGTCACGATTTCGGCTCACTGCAACCTCCGCCTCCTGGATTCAAGCGATTCTCCTACGTCAGCCTCCCGAGTAGCTGGGATTACAGGTGCATGCCACCAGGCCTGGATAATTTTTGTATTTTTAGTAGAGATGGGGTCTCATCATGTTGGCCAAGCTAGTCTTGAACTCCTGACCTCAAATTATCTGCCCAACTTGGCCTCCCAAAGTGCTGGGATTACAGGAGTGAGCCACCGTGCCCAACTGCTCTGCCATTATCAAGGGCAGAAATCTGGCTTCCTCATTTTATAGCAAGGAAACAAAGGTCTGGAGGGGAGAAGGGGCCCATCTAATTTTAGCCTGCTAATTAAGGCATAGCTGGACTTAGCACTTAGGTCTCCTGATGCCCATTCCAGTGCTGTCTACCATAGCATGCTTCACAACGATGCAATCTTAGTCTATCAAATACTCATCCAAACCATCACTTATTTACTCAAAAAATATTTCTCAAGGACCTGTTCTATGCCAAGCACTGGGCATATAAATTTGTCTTTTTTTATTTTTTTCTGACCGCTTTCAAGATTTTTCTCTTTGTCTTGGTTTTCAGCAGTTTTATTATGATGTGTGTATTATGGTTTTCTTTGTATTTATCCTGCTTTAGTTCCTACAGCTTCTTGAATCTATGGCTTGATAATTTTTTTTGGTCAGTTTTGAAAAATTCTCAGTGATTGTGTTTTTAATTATTCCTTCTGCCTCACACTCTTCATTCTGTTATTTGGGCATTTCAATTACACGCATGTAATACCTTCAAGAATTATACAACCTCCAGGTGGGGATCAGAGGTAGGCAAGTATATTATTTAAGAAATAGGCTTAGCTGCATGTTACAGAGACACAGAATAACAGTTGCTTAAATAAAGTGGTTTCTTTCTCTTTTACTTAACGACTACAGCTAGGCTTCCAGGGAATAGTATGGAAGCTCTTCTCCATTGGATGTTGCCCTCAGCTGCTTGAACCAACATGGTTCACCACCACCTCTCTGGTCTCCTCACAAGGATGGAGAGAGTGAAAAGATAATAAGCTTCCCCTTCAAAGTTTCTCCCTAGAAGTTGTATACCTCACCTTCTTTCTATTCACATCCGATTGAATGAAAGTTGATCACATGGCCACAGTGAACTAGAAGGGAGACTGGAAAATTGAATCTTTCTTTTTTTTTTAGAGATGGCCTCACTCTGTTGCCCAGGCTGCAGTACAGTGGTGCAATCACAGCTTATCACAGCCTTGAACTTTTGGGCTCAAGTGATTTTCTCACCTCAGCCTCCAGAGGAGCTGGGTCTACAGGCACAAGCCACAATACCTAACTCATTTTTAAAAAATTTTGTAGAGATGGGGTCTCACTATTTTGCCCAGGCTGGGGAAATGTAGTCTTTTTTTTTTTTTTTTTTTGAGACGGAGTCTCTGTCTCCCAGGCTGGAGTGCAGTGGCGGGATCACTGCAAGCTCCGCCTCCCGGGTTCACGCCATTCTCCTGCCTCAGCCTCCCGAGTAGCTGGGACTACAGGCACCCACCACCACACCCAGCTAATTTTTTTGTATTTTTAGTAGAGACGGGGTTTCACCATGTTAGCCTGGATGGTCTCGATCTCCTGACCTCGTGATCCACCCACCTCAGCCTCCCAAAGTGCTGGGATTACAGGCGTGAACCACCGCACCTGGCCGAAATGTAGTCTTTATTCTGGGAGATCACTTGTTGGGCTAAAATTTAGGGAGTCTACTGTTATGGGAGAAAAAATATAATAAATATTGGGGGACAATTAGGAGCCTCTTCCACAGCAAATAAACACAATACAAGGCAACAGTTGTTAAGCTGAGGCCTCAGAGGAAGAAGCTGGAAAAAGTGTCACAAAATAAGTCACATTTGACTGGGCATTGAAGGGTGAATAGCAGTTTATTGAGGGAAAAATCATCAAAGGCCATTCCAAACAGGAAGACTGGCATGAGCAGTTGACTCCTGAGTGCAAAGCTACCATACTGTCATCTATTTAACCCCAGTTCCTGGCACATACTATGCTACTATGCTACTATATAGATGTTGTCAAATAGAATCATTTTTGAGGGCAGAAGGAAAGGGAGGGTTTTACTCTGGGGGTTGGACGTCTAGAGGAATCTGAAAGGCAGTTAATAAGTGTCACTTGTGGGGCTGGGGAGAGGATTCATGCCATTGTAGACGCAATGAAATTTAAGGTGAAAATGGGCAGGCCAAGTTGAAATTGCTGTACGGGCAGTGGGGAGACAGCCTGAGCAGAAGTGGGGATTGGAAATGTGGGCTTGGGTGGGAGCTGCCTATGAAGCGTGACCATTGAGGCTGTTAGAGAGGGTGCTTTCTTCTAAGAGAACATATATTGACAGTAAAGAGGATTGAACCTTCTCAAAGGAAGAAAAGAAAGCAGAAAGGACTGCCACATGGGGCAAGCTGTCCCCAGAGGGCTTTCTGAGGCCTCTTTCCTCTCTGAAGGGCTCCCCAACACTTCCCAACTTTATCCTCTCCCCTACACCTGGCCACACCTCCCTTCTTGTGTCTTGATCTTCCCTGGATCCTTGCTAGCCTTCTATTAATAAGTAATTTAATATCATGCTCATTAAACTTTGATTGGTTAGGTAATTTAACTTCATTCATAAAAGGATTTGAAGCAATATTGTGGTTTGATTTTTATTTTATTTTAATTTTTTTTTGAGACAGGGTCTCACTCAGTCTCCTGGGCTGGAGTGCAGTGGTGCTATCAAGGCTCCCTGCAGCCTTGACCTCCGGGGCTCAGGCGATCCTCCTGCCTTAGCCTCCTGAGTAGCTGGGACCACAGGTATGCACTACCATGCCCAGCCAATTTTAAAACTTTTTATAGATATGGGTCCCCCCATGTTGTCCAGGCTAGTCTCAAACTCCTGGGCTCAAGCAATTCTCTCACCTTGGCCTCCAAAAGTGTTGGGATTACAGACGTGAGCCACTGCACCTGCCTTCTCACTTAATTTTTATTATAAACATAATACATATTCATTTTTTAAAATATCAGAAAATATGGTCAAACAAAATAAATAACATTAAAATCACTTATAATCTCTCTCCCAAGATTGTTAACATTTTAATACTGGTGTGTCCATACTTTATGCTCTTTCTCTCTCTGAAAAAATTAATATCAACAATTGCTATTTATGAGCTCTTGCTATGTGCCAGACACTGTTCCAAGTTTTATATCTGTATTTCATTATTGAAACCTCGTAGCAATCTACAAGGTAGTTGCTACTATTATCCCAATTTTCAGACAAGGAAACTGAAGCTCAGAGAAGGCTGGAAACTTACCTAGCATCACTCACATGGTGTTACTCTAACTTTTACATACATAGTGATTTGTTTTTTAACTTTTGATTATGAAAATTTTTCAAATTTATACAAAAATAGAAAGAAAAGAAAAAATGGTGAAGTTTTGTGCAGCCAACAACCCAGCTTCAACAAGCATCAACTTATGGTTGATCTTTTTTTATCCATTCTCCTAACTAGCCCTCATCCCAATTATTCTAAAGCAAATCCCAGACATTATACCACTTCATCTACAACACATGTGCCTACATAGATGAGGCCTGTTTTTAAATGTAACCACAATGCTATTATCACCACCTGTCCAAATGAAAAATTCCCTAAAGTCATCTTTCTACCAGTGTTCAAATCTCCCCAATTGTCTCATCAATGTTTCCCCACAGTTTGTTTGAATCAGGACCACACATGCTCTTTTATGGAGTTGGGGCTGTAATTCATACCCACATTGGTCTTGCCCCAAACCCATGCTCTTTCCAAACACCCAGCTCACATTATGGATGGAAGAATCTGTATGCTTTATATAACAATTGACTTGTTAACATATATGTGTATGCAACCATTTATAAGTTTTAGGTATTGACTTAGGAAGTAAAACCAAGGTATTAATTTGTAATTTTTCTTCACTAAGGAACTAGTAAAAACCATTAGTATAGTCTCTCTAATCTCTGGTGCAAATCTCTTCTTATGACCTGCAGGACTCTTTTTATTTTTTATCGCAAATGAGTTTCTATTCTATTTTTGTCCCACAGTAGATTGTTCTGAGGTTGTTATTTCCTTATATCAGGGTCTTTATTATTATTTTCATTAATCCACACAGTCATCCAACAAATCAATTGAGCATCTATTATTTGCCAGAGAGTGTAATTGACAGATAGGGTCCCTATTCCTGTGGACTTACATTTTATGGGTGAGACAAAAAATAAGTGGACAATAATTAGAATAACTTCAAATTGTGATAAATACCATATGAAAGCAAACCAGGAGTGAATGTAGAAAAATAATGGTGGAAACAACTTTCAAAGGCATTTCAAAATGATCTGCTTTTACTTGCTGGAAGTTCTTTTTAAAAGCAGGCTCCATCATTGGTATTTAAAAGATATTGCATCTTTCAATATGCTTTTTGCTAACTGCTTGCTACTAACTACTTATTACTCCCCAATGGCTTCCCTTTCTTTATTTGTGTCACTGCAGTTTTGCTTCTACAGCTCTTTAATTTGAACACTCAATATTATAACTCCAACATGGCAGTGGTGGGGCCTTCATCCTTGATTTCTTTGGTTAAAAGAGTAACTTCCATATTGAGTCCAAGCAGAATGCAGATCTCCCATGAGGCAAAACATGGTTACCACAATGCTTATTGAGTCATTCCTTTTGGTGATGGTTGTTCAATTTGTGAAAATATTTTTAATTGAGTTGGTACATAGTCATTGAAAAATGCAAACAATATAAAGGTTTATACATGAAATAAAGTCCCTATCAAGCCCCCCTTCTTCCACTCCTCATCCCCAAGTGAAACCCTTAATGGCATTTCAGTGTGCCTTTTCCATCTTCTCCTATGTGTATGAGGTCAGCTAGAATAGATTGTCCAACAGGGCCACCACCAACAGATATGTCTGGATGGAGGGTGTCTGGATGCTAGACTTATTTTGAGAACCTTCTGTGCTGAGTATCCAGAGTCTTCATGGTTATCACACTCCAGGGCACTGTGAGCTTCATTGGTGTTGGCCTACACTGTTAATGTTCTTTGGGAAGTTTGCCTTTTGAGCTGAATACAACTTAGTACAAGCTTAATCCTTGGCAATTTGGGGAGATAAAAATATAATGAAGTGTGTTTATGACCATTTTGTTACTGTAGGACTTCTGGCTATTATCCAGATTGAAATAAACCATGAAAGGAGAGGATCTGACACCAAGTCATCAAGTCTGACAAAACAGGCCATCATTGCAAGGCAATTTTAAAAGAGATGTTCAAATAATATTTCAGCAGGCACTAAAAGTGCTAGAATAATATGAACATGCAAAGGTAAATACATTGAAGAATATTAACAATGTAATTACCGATTATTAAATAAAATGTATTTAATTCACTACTCCCTAAATGCTTTGATCTCATTTTGGGTATATGTGGATTTATACATAATGTTCTGCAACTTTCTGTTTTCACTCAAGAATATCCATATTCAAAACAGTCCTATCTCATTTATTGATAGAAAGCATAGTATCACATAATATGAATATTCTGTACTGTATATAACCATTCCTCTATTGGTAGACATTAAAGATGCCTCTAACTGTGCACTATTATCAATAATGCTGCAAGAAATATCTATGTACAAATATCCTTGAATGTGTGTGTATTCCCAAAGGGTAGATTCCTAAAAGTGAGTTTCTGGGTCAAAGCGTAGATGAAATGTTAATAGACTTGATCAGATTGTATTCTGAAGACATTCAGACAAAGCACAACATATGGGAATGTTCTTTTCAGCTAGAAAAGTCAAAGCAATCTTAAGCAAAAAGAACCAAGCTGGAGGCATCACATTGCCTGACTTCAAATTATACTAGAAGGCTACAGTAACCAAAACAGCATGGTACTGGTACAAAAACAAACACATAGACCAATGGAACAGAATAGAGAGCCCAGAAATAAAGCCGTACACCTACAGCCATCTAATCTTCAACAAAGCTGACAAAAATAAGTAATGGGGAAAGGACTCCCTATTCAATAAATGGTGCTGGGATAGCTGGCTAGCCATATGCAGAAGAATGAAACTGGGCCCCTACCTTTCACCATATATAAAAATTAACTCAAGGTGGATTAAAGATTTAAATGTAAGACCTCAAAATACAAGAATCCTAGAAGAAAACCTAGGAAACACCACTCTGGACATGGGCCTTGGGAAAGAATTTATGACTAAGTCCTCAAAAGCAATTGCAACAAAAACAAAAATTGACAAGTGGGACTGAATTAAGCTATAGAGCTTCTGCACAGCAAAATAAACTATCAAGAGTACACAGACAACCTACAGAATGGAAGAAAATATTTGCAAACTATGTATCTGACAAAGGTCTAATGTCCAGAATCTATAAGGAACTTAAACAATTGAACAAACAAACAAAAAATAACCCCATTAAAAATGGGCAAAAGTCATGAACAGATACTTCTCAAAAGAAGACATAAAAGTGGCCAACAAACATATTAAAAAAGCATTTATCATCACTAATCATCAGAGAAGTGCAAATTAAACCCACAGTGAGAAACCATCTCACACCAGTTAGAATGGCTATTATTAAAAAGTCAAAAAGCAACAACAGATGTTGGCAAGGCTGCAGAGAAAAAGGAAATGCTTATACACTTTTGGTGATAATGTAAATTAGTTCAGCCACTGTGGAAAGCAGGTGAAAATCTCTCACAGAACTTAAGATAGAGCTACCATTTGACCCAAAAGAAAATGAATCACTTGACCAAAAGGACACATGAACAGATATGTTCATTGGAGCAGTATTCACAATAGCAAAGTCATGGAATCAACCTAGGTGCCCATTAATGGTGGATTAGATAAAGAAAATGTGGTACATATACACCATGGAGTGCTACACAGCCATAAAAAAGTGTGAAATCATGTCCTTTGCAACAACATGGATACAGCTGGAGACCATTATCCTAAGTGAACTGACACAAGAACAGAAAACCAGATATCATGTGTTCTCACTTACAGGTGAGAGCTAAACATCAGGTACTCATGGACATTAAAGATGGCAACAATAGACACTAAGAACTACTAGAGGGAGGAGGGAGGGGGATAGGTTTGAAAAACTAACTATTGGGTACTATGCTTGTTACCTGGATCATGGGCTCATTCATACCCCAAACTTCAGCATCATGCAATATACTCATGTAACAAATCTGCACATGTACCCCCTGCATCTAAAATAAAAGTTGAAAAAGAAAAAAAAGTGCTCTTTTCTTTCAATGCTTCCACCATTGGATATTATCAGGCCTTTCATATTCCCAATATGAGGGGTCTAACATAGCACTGTGTTTTAATTTAAATTTCTCTGATAACGACTCTGATATCATCTTTTCACATGTGTATTAGCTATTTGCATTTCTTCCTCTGAAATTTTCTTGTCTATATCTTTTGCACATTTTTCTGTTGAGCTGTTTGTTTATTTTCATATAGATTTGTAGAAGCTCTTTTTGTATGGTAGGGACACTAACTTCTATATTGTAAACATTTTCCAACTGCTTTTGTTTTCAAGTGTTGTTTAATTGTGCATTTTGCTATAAACAAAAAAACCTTTTCATTTTAAGGAGTCAAAAGTTAAGTCTGTTTCTGGCTTCTGGCTTCTGTTTTTCCCAAGGTTAACCATCTTTCTTGGCTGTAGCTGCACCAGTGCCTCCTATTTTTCTACTTCATGCACATTAAGAGATGGGCTACAGCCAGAGATGGGAGAAATGAAGTGGGGTGAGGGAGGGGAAAGAGGAAGAAGGAAGAAGAAGGAAGAGGGAACCCAAGCCAAAGACTCTCAGCAGAACTTGCTAGATCTCCCTTTCCTGGCGCTAACCTTTGAATGGCTTTTGCTTTCCTGGCAGATCTCAGGAAAGCTAATGGGAAGGATGGGAGAAGTTGCACTTGATCAGACTCCATTCCCTGCCACCCTGGGGGGCCCTGTTTGTTGCAACCTCCCTAGAAATGCTCCAGATTTGCTTCTCAACCACAACCCCCATTTCTCAGGGCTCCTCTGGGGTGGAGGTTTGGGCTCTTTTTACAAAAACAAGACAAGCCCTGATTCTCTACCAGAGAATTTCTTTACTGAAGGACATGTTACGCTGCTGGTGTGGAGGTCATTTTAAGTGGTTCATCAACCCACTATATAATAACTTTGAATTGCAGGGTGAGAAAGTTACGCCCTTTCTAATTTGTTTCCTAATCTTTCTGATTGTATCAAGGAGTATTTATCATGGTGGTAATGTTCTCCACACCTCCCTAACTCAAGCTAGAGTCTCTTTTTAACAGACAGAAAATAGGCCTCAGGCTCACATTTTTTTGGCAGACAACTATTTAGTTAGAATTTAACAACATGCTATTGTTCTCATTGTATTTATTTTCTACAGTTATATTCTATTTTTGGCAAATGATTCTGGTAGGGATTTAGAATGGATATATAAAGTTTCCTTTTGAAATATATTTAGTTTTAGAAAAACAGTCAGTAGTGGTGCAGATGGCACTTGAATATAACAAAAGTCATGCTGGCGATTCTCCTCGAGTTGGGGCTTGGGAAACCTAAATCCAAGTCTACTCGGCCTCCCAACAGCTCTAGTCTCCCTTACTGCCCCCCTTACCTACAGGCCTCCACTGCCTTCTCTTTGCTCCCTGGATGCCTCATTCTCTCCTGGCCTCCACCCTCCCGCCCCCAGTCATATCTATACTGACCTAGTCTTGGAGCTCCCCACCTTTTTTTTTCTTTTTTTCTTTTTTTCTTTCTTTCTTTTTTTTTTGAGATGGAGTCTCACTCTGTTGCCCAGGCTGGAGTGCAATGTTGTAGACATGGCTCACTGCAGCCTCGACCTCCTGGAGTTCCTTTCCTAAAAAATTTTATGCTTGGGTGTTAATGGGTGCTACCTGTTCCTAGTCATGATAGGCTCATTTTAATAATGACCTTGGGGAGAGGGTTTCTTAATATGAGAGAGATAGTGGTAAGAGCATATGAGTTCAGTGCTCAGAGAGATCACAGTCTACCTCCTGCTTTGACCAAATATTAGCTGTGACCTTGGGCAAGACGATGAACCCAAAAGAGGAAGGTTAGCATTCCAGGAAATTGGGGCTCTCTATTAGAAGAGAGATGGATTGTGGCAGGATGATCCAATGCCACCCCACGAATGATACCAAATGGGACAGCTCTTCCTAGAATCTTTCAGAAGACTCCATGGTCCCAACTTTCATTGTCCTTCTAACCTGCAGGGAGGAAGACAGCTTTGTGAGGACACAGGCAGAGCCCTTAGAAAGTCTTCCCTGCATAATAGCATTATTTTTAATAGCCCAAACTGAAACAACTCACATGTCCATCAGTGGGAGGGTGGATAAATAAGAGGTACCTGTATGAGGCTGTTCTTGCATCATGGTAAAGAAGTACTCAAGACTGAGTAATTTATAAAGAAAAAAGATTTCACTGGCTCTTGGTTCTGCAGGCTGTACAGCAAACATGGTGTGGGCATCTGCTCTACTTCTGGGGAGACCTCAGGGAGCTTTTATTCATGGTAGAAGGTGAAACAGGAGCAGACAGGTCACATGGCAAAAACAGGAGCAAGAGAGAGTGGAGGAGGAGGTACCACACTTTATGACAACCAGATCTTGCGAGAACTCACTCACTAAGGGGAGGACAGCACCAAGCCATGAGGGGTCCACCCATGTGACCCAAACACCTCCCACCAGGCCCCACCTCCAACATTGGGGATTACAATTCATGACATTTGGCACGGACATAGAGTCAAGCCATATCAGTACCCTAGTTTAGCAATGGAATACTATATAACAATGAGGGTGAAGAACTACAACTGCAAGAAACAGGATGGGTGAAATTCACAAGCATAATGTTGAGTGCAAGCCAGGAACAAATGAATTCTCACTGTATGACTCCTCTGAAGTACAGCATAAAACAGGCTAATGAATCGGTGCTGTTAGAAGTCAGGATAGCACTCCCCGTTGGTGGGAAGATAGTGCCTGGAAAAGGCCATGGTGGACTTCTGGAAGTTACTCACACTCTATTTCTTGACCTGGGAGCTTGTTTCACAAGGGCGTTCACTTTGTGAAAGTTCACTGAGCTGAACACATGTGATATATATACTTTTCTGGATGTCAGTTATTCTTCATTAAAAAGTTTTAAAGAATGTTATTATTATAAAAAATAAGCCCTTTTCACTATATGTGGGCACAGCTCCTTTTGGTGACAGCAAAATGGGGAAGGATTATCCTCTCAAGTCATAAAAGGGAGAGGAAAATGGATTGGGAAAAAGTGGGGGATGGTGAAGAGCAGGGCACAGAGGAGACAGCTGAGGGGCCCGCCTGGTTTGGGACTTGCTCTTAGGAGGGGTTTCCCTCATGGCTCTGGCAGACAGCAAGGTCTAGGGGTCCCCGTGAAACGGAAGTGTGACTGTTTTTCATGGAACTGGTGCCTGCCATGGTTCCTCCTCACCTTCCTCCTCATTCCTGCGGTCCCACTTTCTCAAGGAGGATTGAGATCCAGGTGCACCAGCCAGGAATTTAAAGGTCAGTGAGTCAGAGTCCAAACACCAGAAGCTCAAGTGAAATTGCTGTGGCAGAGTGGAAATTGGCCCACATTGGATTTCCAGGGAGCCTCTGGGTTAATTCTTCCTATGAGATTTGAAAGAATATTCGTGGCTGCTCTAGGCATCTGCTTTGTTAGTTATTTTTGCTGTTGTCTCTGTGGTCTGGCAGCGCTGAGAAGCCTGAGGGCTCCCACAAAGAAGGCAAGGGTGTGCGGACTGGGGAAGGAATTGGGGGCCGGTTGGGCCAGGCTGGTTTTGGAGGGAGAGATGTTTGGGTCCCAAGAGGCAAGGAGTGAAAGAGCTGAGGCCGGGAGGGGAACAGGAGTGTGGGTCCTAGGGTAGGGCCGGGAAGAGCAGGGTGGAGGGCCCCCTGCCAGGTTGGCTGGCCTGAAGGATGTTGTATTTCTGTCCCCAAGTGGTTTTGTTTAAAAAACAATTTAAAAAAAATTATGAAGTTTACACTGCCCCCAATATACATGCCTTACAGCCAAGCCTGTACCTCTCTCATTTGTCACTTGGCTTTGGAACCCCTTGCCTGCCTTCCACTTTAAAGAAATCAAACAGATGGACAAGTCAAGGCCCCGCCACTCCCTTCCTCTCTCTGTGAGGTGGCTGATCTCCAGAACTCTATGCTCAGCCTTGCAGGATATGTTTTTAAATGTTTTCTGCATCCTCCACTGGCATCTCCGGTGGGTGTTTCCATAACCAGAGAGTCCTTTGTGCTGCAGGAGTGATGGTTTGGGCACACAGGCAGAAACAGGAGCTTCTGGGAAGGAGGGGTTGCTCAGGACCAGGCAGCTGTTGGAGGCATCAAGTGCCTGGGGAAACAAGGAGGAAGCAGACAGGTCATGAGGGCTGCAGAACAGCTGCGGGTGACGGCTGTGCAAGGACGGACGTTCCCAAGGAAATGCGTGAGCCCTGTGGTGTGGTCCCTCCTGGTGACCCCATGAACCAAAGAAAGTGAAGTGTCTGGTGTGATGGATGGATTTCTCAGGGAAGCCAGTGAAGACTCTGTAGTGTGCCTATGCTGGCGGCTGTGGGGGGCACAGGGGGTGCAGGGGCACAGCTGGCTGCTTGTTACCCTTAAAATGCTGCTCTTAGCACAGGAATGTGTGCACCTGGGGCTCTCTCCCTGTTCTCCTTGTCTACAATGCTGGGTCTGAAATGTAGAGGGTAGAGACTCGTACTTATCTGGAATAATTTGATAATTACTTAATGATTCCATTCATTGATCCAACAACACTCATCCAATGCTGTATCAGGCACTGGGGAGTGCACAGAGATGACCAGGATGATGTTCTTCCCTCTTCTCCTTTGGGGAGACAGGCCTGTGTTACAAACCCCAGCAAGAGGCCTGCTGTGGGAGAGAGGTCCAGGCTAGCATGGAGGGACCACAGAAGTGTGATAGGCTCCCATGGATGGGATGGGAAGAACTTCCTAAAGGAGAGGGACCGTGAGAGGGGAGGATGTCTCTGGGTCCAAAGAGCTTTGAAGCTGACAGTCAGTAGGAGCGAGGGCAGGAGGGGATGAAATACACCTGGAGGAGGGGGCAGGGAGGGATGAACCAGAAGGGGAGTGAGGCCTTATTGCACACTTGGGGCTTGGCTATCGTGCCAAGAAGTGTGAATGTTACCTGTGGGTATTTCTGAAGTGATGTGATTCAATCAATTGTCCCCCCCAAATTCATATGTTGAAGCCCTAACTCCCCATGTGATGATATTTGGAGATGGAGCCTTTGGGAGGTAGTTAGGTTTAGATATGGTCTCAAGGATGGAGCCTGCATGATGAGATCAGTGGCTTAATAAGAAAAAACAGCAGAGAGCTTGGTCTCTCTCCCCACCACATGAGGCCACAGTGAGAAGGCAGCTGTCTGCAAGCCAGGAAGAGAGTCCTCACCAGGACTTGACCATGCTGACACCCTGATCTTGGATTTCCAAGAACTGTGAGAAAATAAATTTCTGTTGCTTAAGCCACCCAGTTGTGTTTGGGGGGAGTCAAGTGAAGAAGCTGTTGTAATCTTGCAAGTGGGTTGCATGAGGGACTAGATAGGGAGAACGTTGGGGATTATCCAGAGCAGCCACTGCTTTGCATGTTTACCAAGGGCTCCTTGCATGCCAGGCGCAGTGCAGAGTTCTTTACTCGAGCCTTCTTATTCACTCCTCCATAGAAGGGATTGTCGTTCTGGCCATTTTACAGATGAGGAAATGCAGGCTTAGAGAGGTGTAGTAACCTGTGTGAGGGACCAGATGGGTAAGTGGCCAAACCAGGATTGGAAGGCAGATCAGGCTCCACATCCTGCTTTAACTACTCTGCCATTCTAATCTGTGCTGAATTCAGACCTCCCAAGATTCCACCTCTCCTTGAGGAAGGAACATTCCCCAGTCTCCTAAAGGGTCAACAAAATCACAAATGTCTACCACTAGGGATCTGCATGAAGTATGTTCCCTCAAATCACAGCACCCTTTGTCATCATTGCAGGAAAATATGACCTGTGTGTCCAGGACAAAGTGGGAGGCAGGGCTGGGGCTGGCTGGGGGAGGGGTGGCAGGGTGGGCGCTCTGGGGAAAGCAGCTCGGTGAGGGCTCCTGGCTGACTCGGAAGGGAGGTGCCTGGGCGTTGGGAACCACAGACAGGTGCACCTCATTTTGAAAGGCACTGTGATCAGTGAGAGGGGGCAGGAAAGGAGGTATCAGTCCACACTCAGGAGAGCCTCCAAGGCCAGAAGCCAGCAGAGAAAGGGCTTCATGACGGTGATGGCCGACTGCCTGTCATTTGACCAGAACATCTTGGAGCCCCCACTCTTAGGGACCTCTTTGGGCTTCCTCATGGCAGAGTGTATGGGGGCAACTGCAGCCTCAGCGGCCTGAGGGAATCCATGAAACCCATTAATGGGAACTCCTGAATCTTACTACCTTGTTAGCCTCCTCCTGCTTGAGCACAGTCTTAGCAATCCTGTTAGAGTTCCTGCTTCCCTCATGGATTTCTGGACATTTTAGTAGTGTCTGATGTGGTCCTAGGCCTCTGTTGCTTCAAAATAAGGATCTCTCCCCACCTCCCACTGACTCCCAGTTTGCCCCTAGGAGTTGGAATCCTAATTAAATGCATGATTAAAATGTTTTCTCCTAAGGTTCTTAAGCTCCATGTATAACAGGCAATACAACGATGTTTGGATGTGTCACCTAACACCATCCATGAGAAGTGTATAGATCTGAATGTTGTCCCCACTGGGACCACTGACATGGAGTAAGAAATGGAGAAAGAAGGGTGTGGCACCTGCCATAATGGCAAGTCTCTTCTGGGCAGCTTAGGCATCTTGCCGATGTAGTCCAACTCTTGAGGTAGATATTAGTAGCCTCATTTTGTAGATAAGGAAACTAAGGCAAAGTTTGCACAACTGGAAGACAGCAGACCTGGCCAGGGGCACTGACTTCCTGGTTTGGAAGTCCCTTCTATCACGCCCTCTTGTCCCTCTTTTCCCCCCCACCTTCCTATGCTGTAAAGAAGGAAGTACCGCCAGGAATATGGTCACATGATTTATAGGCTGAGATTGGCATCTGGGGAGTTGGGTTGTCTAACAGGAGACCTTAGTTCTTGTTGCGACTCTACACATCCCTCTGGGCCTCAGGTCTGTCATCTGTCAAATGGGAGGGTTGCTCTACTCATCTCCAAGGTCCTTCCAGGAGTGACAACATGACATCCAAGGCCTATGGAAGGTGCAAGGACAAAGCAGCTTGCTTGACCCATTCCTCCTTGGGACTATGAGGCCTGATTTGTGGCTCTGCACCCCCTATCCTTGCCAAGGATGATGCCATCTCCAGATGGGTGAGCCTATACCATAGGCAGGTGCCCTTCACACCCTGGAGTGCCACGTACTATGCCTGAGCCCGGGAGGGAGGGCGATACTGGGGGGTCTTCTCGGGTGGGCCTAGGCTGCTTCCCTAGAAAGAGGAATCAGCAAGGGTGGCTGGAGAGTCTGGGGCTGGTAAAGGGATCTGCCCTCAGGTGTTTTCACCTTGTTCTTTGATAAAGGGGACATATTTTCTTCTTTTTATCCTGTATATAGCCGGCTTCCTAGTAGAAAGTAAACAAGCACACAACAATTAGACAAATAGATATGGTATGGTTCTGATTAGCCAAAGCAGGACGAAGCTAAATTTTAAGGACACTAGGCAGCCACTGACCAGCTGAGAGACCATAGACATGTCATTTTACCTCCGTAGGTCTCAGCTTCCTCCTTTGTTCAGGATGTGTCTGGATTGGGTGATGGGAGGCCTGGCATTCCTTGGCTTCATGAATGAAATGGTGAAGTTGAGTAGGAGCAGGGCTGACTTCCTGGGCGTGCAACCCCGGCAGTCACACAGGGTCTCATACTTAGAAGAGTCCCGTGCTTGGTCTAATGCTTTGCTGCACCACTTTGAAATGCATAATATTTTTTTAGCAAAGGGCCTCACATTTTAATTTTGCACCAGACCCTGCAAATTATGTAGCCGGTCCTGGGAAGCAGTGCCCACTCTCTGCTCTTAGACACTGGAGGCTGAGTGAATGTCAGGCCTGCCCCTGGCCAAGTTGTAAGGTAGAGACACTTGTCCCTGGCCCTTCGTCTGGCCTTTCTGAGTCTTCACCCATCATTTCTTGGAGCTAAGGCCTCCTGCAGACACTGGGTGCTTCTCCAGAGTGTGCCACCATATCCTCCTAGGTGTGCCTGCCTCTGGCGTCACACCATGCACCACCAAGACTTTCCCAATTCTTTGTAGTGAACCTACCTCTGTGCTTGTCCATGCTAGGGGCTTAACATTTATTCACTAAGGTGATTGACTAAATATGTGATCAAATAATATGCGATGAAAGCAGCTCGACAGAGTGTCCGGTGCCAAGGGCACTGGCCTAGGAATCCAGTCTGGGCTCTGATCACCTCACTTCCCTGGACCTCCTTTTCCCATGGAGTAAAAGAGGTGCTTGGTGAGATGGCTGGAGGTCTCCCCCAGCACTCGCTCTCAGACACACCTTGCTGGTGCCTCTGAAGTGACATTGCCAGGTTCATCTCAGCTGACAGGTAAGCCCTGGGTAAGATGTCTCAGCTGATCAAGTGGACCAGAGGGCACATGTGTTCTCCCTGATAGACCTCTGAGGACCCACCCTTCAGAGGGGGGCAGGGATATGGTGTGGGGGCTGAGAAGATGGATTAGGGAGGAGATAAAAGTGGTGTAGGGATGGGAGCAAGTTTCTAAATTCCATTTGAAGTCAATTTGCAAAAGCAGAGACTTGAGGAGCACTCCCCACCCAGAGAAACACCTAGACTGTGAGAGACACTAAAAGTCTATCTAGAATTCCACATTTACAGTGGAGCCCAAAGGAACCAGCTGGGCTCCTGGCCCCTGCCCTCGGGGACTGGCAGCTGAGTGGATGCCCTCCCATGGCACTGAGCCGGCTGGGCGGACACGAGTTTGACTGGCTCTTTTGTCTATAATATGTATCACTTTGCTGTTGAGGCTTTCAAGTGAAGTCATAGAGCAGTTACTGGCAATACCATCTCCTTTATTCCGAGGGGCTATTTATAGAAATTCTTGCTCTTAAGTATATTGGCAATATCTCCTCACAGGAGGGCCTTCATCTCGGCTCACCCCCGGGGGAGCTCTCAATTCCCTTAGTTGTCTTGCTTGTGAAAAAGCAATTTTAATTTCCCAAACAAATTTCCCAAACCTCTAGGGGAAAAGAAATCTATTTCCTAGTAGATTTTAACTGAGCGAGGGCTAAACTGGGGGAAGCAGAATTGTTTTTCAGTTTCCTCTGAGTGAGGTCTCTGGGTCTATGTCCATCCTGTAGGATCTTGTTTGAATGGGAACCAGGCTTCTTAAGCTATCTGTTGTGAATCATTCCCTGAAAAGCAGACTCTGAGACAGATTTGTGTGTGGAAGTTTGACTGGAGTATGCCCTTGGGATCAACATTGGGAAGACAGAGTTGGGCCGTGATGCAAATGTGACAAAGGTTTCAGCCAATCCCACTGGGGGTCTGGATCTAGGATGGTCCCTCAGAGTTTTGCTGTACGAAAACCAGGGGTCCAGGCCTTGCCCCCTGCATCTACCCATCTATTAGATGTGGATTGTCTATGGGAAGGGGTTATCTATTGGAAGGGGACATATCTTTCGGTGAGGCAGCTCTCTGTAACTGAGAGCAAGTTGAAAGTGAGCAAGATGAAAACTCATCTAAGCCATCATCTGCCAATGCCACAGCTGGGAAATCAATGCCTCAGTCCCACAACTCACACTGTTCGGTCCACACAGTGACTTGTAGATATGAGCCTTGCTTCCAGAGTCGGAGATGATGACAATGGCTGGGCCCAGACAACCCCAGCCAGATCAGTGCAGCGGCAGGGGAAATGAGACTCAAAGTGACTGCATGGGATTGTATTCATTTGAAACCTCATTATTAGTTCTTGTTGCCTCAGGGAACCTCAGGAATGTTAAACCCACATGGTGGGGATGAACATATGGCCATCACATCCAGTGTTGTGGTTGGAATCTGGGTCATTATTGCCCTAGCTGTGCACCTCCTTTCCTGGGTGTGCAGAAGGACCAATGTCCCTGACCCCTAACTCTTCCATAACTCTGTGCTTTTTCATTTGCCATTCCCTCTGCCCAGAATGCTCTCTGCTTCACATTTCCTTCCCCCTCCTCTTGCTGATAAACTTCTATCCATCTTTCAGCATCCAGTATGAATGTCACCTTCTCTTGGGAACCTCCCCTGGCCAGCCTCTCCCTGCTGCCCAGCAGAATTGGTCTCACCCTCTCTGGCTCCCCAGACACTCATTAGCCCAGCCTTAGGCAGCTGTCTCCACACCCTGGGTCTGCTGGTCTGTCTTCCTCATGCTGAGCAATTTAAGGTCAGGAACTGAATCCCACCCCTGTTTGTATCTCTGAGCACAGGATAATGCAGACTCCTTGGATGAGCTGCATGGATGCAGGAGGGAACTTTGAAGGATTTTGAGTCAAGGAATAAAGGAGAGAAGTCAGGTTGAGGAGGCATGGTGGATTGAACTGGAAAGAGATCATGCTGCTCAAGCCCAGCAACGAAACTATTTCTTCTTCTCCACCTGGGCTGCCTATTTAAAGCCATCTGTAAAGATGTCCTCTCCTGATTCCACTGGCCATACTGGCCTCTTCTCTCTACAATGCTGCAGCTGCAAATAACAGCAGTCGGTGTCCAGTCAAAACGTGTCGAATAAATGAACGAATCCAGAATTCAGGCCATAAAGGTCAGGGCGTGGCTCCAGGAGGAAAAGGGGTGAAAAATATTTTTTTGGCTTTCTAGACAGGCCTAGATGACAGGCCTTAGTAGCTGGAGAAGTAGCATGGTGGCATGTCATAGGTGAAGGCAGGGTTGGAAAGCCAGAAGAAAGAACCAGTTTCAGGTTGGGACCTAGAATATGGTCAGCTCAAATGGTCCATATACTGGATTGAATGTTGAAGTCAACAAAGCAGGACTGTGGTTAAGGGGAATATATGAAAATAATGTTGGAGAACAGACAGGGATCAGGACACATGGACCAGCTGAGACCACACCTGGTCTTAATCTGTGATGCTTCACTCTAGGTACAAATGCTAAAAGCAATGTTTGAAGATCTTTTAAATGAGATGTGCTTCTAATCAGAAATGACACGCAATTGTGGGTTGGCCTGCTAAGACTGCTTTGGCCCCTCAGTGGCTGTCACATGTCTGTCCTTGGTGCAATGTGACTGGGGGCTCCAAGTGCCTATGGGGAGCCTTCTCCGCTGGCTCCCATTTAGCAATGTCCACTAGGTGGCGACAGAGACTCACTTGCCTCCCCTGCAGAGAGCCTGCTTTTTTGAGATACAAAATTAGCCTCACAATATTCCAGCTCTATAAAAATAGATTCCTCTTTGAAAAAAAAAAAATCCCATAAAACTTCATTATATAAAACAGTGGAAATCTTAGCAAAGATATCGTCAAAGAGTGGAGAAGCCATTTAGGATAAATATACAAACAAAAGATCTAATTATCTCTTTTATCTAAGCAGGCACTATGCAGCCTGATTTTCCGTTTAAGAGCTCATGACTCATTGGGTTCTGGCAGTTTCTCTTTCGGAGTTCTGTCAATCTGTCTCAGCTTCTCTCCTGTGGTTTCATGGAGTTTATTTCTGCCTTTTCCTGAGGTTTGGGACACTACACCGTTTGTCTCTTTCCTCCTACCTAGATTTCCACACAAAACAGAAGCAAAGCCTTGCTCTGCAGGTTGCTTTATCAACCATTGGAAGATGGACAGAGGTTTTTTTAAGCTGTGTGAACAGAAGCAGACAATTTTACTTTGTTATTTTCCCCTGTGCTACCCAGATAGCAGCAGCCACCCTGTAGTTGGCCACCCCCAGGGGCCACAGCCAATTATAGACGTTTCTGTCTCCCAGCTGTGGAACCTCAGGCAAGCCTTTGAACCTCCTTGATCTCAGCTTTCTCACCTGTAAACTAAGGATTAGCATAACACCTCCCTCTTGAAGTTATTTTAAGACTGGATAAGGAGAGGGCAAGGGAGACCGAAAATTGCAAATCACTTTACAAATGTTGTACATCAATAGATCTCTTTTAAAAAGGGGCCGCTCTTGAAGAAAAAGTTGATTAATTTTTAAAAGCATGCTAGCTTTGGAGGGTTCTTGTGGCAAATGCGACATTTGAGGAGGATCCATCTTTGCTTACTGAGTGTGGAGGGGCATGCTCTAGCCCCTCCTATGGAGTCAGGAAGCACCCCCAGTGGCCATTCTGTGAAGAAGCCAACGCGGTGCCCTGAGTGCCTTGTGCCCAGGATTATGTGCCCAACAGCTGCTTCACTGGGAGGAGGCCATTATGAAATCAGTGGTTTCCTGAAGCTGGTCGTGTCCATAATTAAAGAATGTTAAAACTCCGTAGTTGATTTTCCACTTCTGTCTCTGGCGGAAAGCAGGCTATTAATTGTCCCGTTAAACCGGGGTGGTGATGGTCAGCCTAGAGTCCAGAGCTGGCTGAGGCTGGAGTCTACATGGCTTGTGCTGGGCACTACCTTAGCATGGAGAGCACTTTTCACTGCTGTGGGCTGCTGGGGTCTGCCACACAGCATGGCCGTCCAAAGTGCTGAGATTACAGGTGTGAGGCACTGTGCCTGGCCAAAAAAAGAGTTTTTTTAAGGCAGTGCAACGATTGCAAAGGCCACACCCCAAGTGGATGTATGGTTATAACTTTTGACAAGTACTGCAAAATCTTCTTCCATATCTCACCCCTCTATCTCTCTATCTCATCACTAGTATTAACTGGGGCTGATACAGTTAATACAAGTGGAAGCTGTTTTTATTTTTTCTAAGATTTACTTATTGAATAGTTATATGTACAGTCTAAAAGCCAATTTGCTGAATGTTCTATTAATATTTCATTCTATCAAGAAAAGAAAAAAGAACTGCCTGAAGTTCTTTTTGGTATGTAGCCTGAGATTCATTTTCTACCATTATGGTTGGTGATTGTTATAAGAAAGAAATTAAATTCTCTTCCTCCCATTAAGTAATATGCTTAGAGAACCTATAAACCCATTTAACTATATATAAATAGCAATCAGGCAGAAGACAAGATTGGAGAAAAGAATCCATTTGTAATAGCGATGAAACAGATAAAATACCCCCCAAATAAATTTGTCTGCTGATGGCCACGGCTCTCTGAGGAATGGTATTGAGTTTCTCAGCATCACCAGAAGTATTGTTTTCTACTTGAAATTTGAAAGTGTAGGTGCAATAGCACATTGCTACTTTTTTTTTTTTTTGAGACGAAGTTTTGCTCTTGTTGCTTAGGTTGGAGTGCAATGGCACAATCTCGGCTCACTGCAATCTCCGCCTGCTGAGTTAAAGCGATTCTCCTGCCTCAGCCTCCCATGTAGCTGGAATTACAGGCACCTGATACCATGCCTGGCTGATTTTTTGTATTTTTAGTATAGATGGAGTTTCACCACGTTGGCCAGGCTGGTTGCGAACTGCTGACCTCAGGTAATCCGCCTGGCTCAGCCTCCCAAAGTGCTGGGATTACAGGCGTGAGCCACTGTGTCTAGCCCACATTACTATATTTTAATGAAACTTTAGTATACTCATCCTAAAACTCCACATCCATGTTGCTTTATTGTAAAAAAAAAATGTCCAGAAATGGCAACAAATGGGGGCTGGCTCTTACAGGACAGGGCAAGAAGACACAGTGGTCAGCTCTTGTGAAAAACATATTAAAATGCTCTTTTAAGCTACGCAAAGAAAGGAGACACAAAAGAAGCCTTAAGCAATGGAAAGGTCTACTGTTTGAACGTTCATACTTGGGAAGATTCAATATCATGAAGATGTCAAGTCTCCTTAAATTAGTCCAGAAGTTTTTAGGCATGTCAACTGAATCTAAAGTTCACATGGACAAACAAGCAAGCATATTCTTGGACAGAAAAATTGTGAGAAAAAAAAGAGTAACGAGGAGGGAAACATCCTACCAGATATTGAAACATATTATAAATCTATAGTAATTAGAACAATGTGGTACAAATGCATGATTAAATCAATAATACAGACTAGAAAGTCAAACCAAATACATATGGGAATTTAGTATACGATATAAACTACACCCTTAGGGAAAATGCGGACTATTCATTTAATGATATTGAGACAAGTGGATCATCTTATTAAAAAAAAGCTGGATCTCAGGTCTTACACCAAAATAAATTTTAGGTAGATTAAATATATAAACATGAAAAGGAAATCATACAAGTAGTATATAAAAATGGGAGATTTAACTAATAATATCAGAATGGGGAAGGCTCTTCTAAGAAACCACGCCCACACACAAATTAGTAAATTCGACAAAACAGAAACAACAAAAAATTTTGTGTTAAAAGTAACACTAAATCAAAATGAAAAGATAAAAGGCAAACACAAAATTGACAAGGATGCTTGCAACTTGTGTAACTGATAAAGGGCTATTTTCCTGAATATATTTCTCTATTCTATAATTACTTTCTTTAATATATTTTAAAAACTTCTGTAAGTAAGTATGAAATAGACAAATGATAAGAACAGTTATCAGAAAATGAAATACAAATGATTCAAACATGAAAAGATGCTCGAGCTCAGTCTATAATAATAGACCCTTAAAAGTATAATGAAATATCTTTTTTTAAACCCCTATCTGATTAGCAAAGACCAGCAAGTTGGAAAAACAGAGGGCTTTTTCAAAGATCAAGCTTGTGAGCCAAACTAAAGGATTCTGTGCTTTCAAGAATTACACTGTTTAGAGTTTGGACTTTTTGAAAAAAATGTACATGTCTATGAAATAAATTGGCCTTTTAAAAAAGAGTTTGCAGCAATGCTGAAAGTAGTGGCCAAAAGCATGATCAAGAGATAGGATATTCATCTAATCTCAAACCATCTCCCTACAAGCTATTTATCAATTACAAAGTGAAAAATACTAACTGCACAGTGGTGAATCCAGGTAGCCACCATCCTGTCAGGAAGCCCAAACCAGCCACCTGGGGAAGGACTGGGGTTCTCGGCCACACACAACACCCAGTGCTGTCATGTGGGTAAAGGAGTCTTCAGATGATTCCAGCGTTTAGCCTTTGAGTTTTTCAACTAAGGCCCCTGACATCATGGAGCGGAGACAAGCCATCCTTGATGTTCTCTATACAAATTCCTGATCTCTAGAATCCACAAGCATAATAAATGGCTGTTTAACGGTGCTGAGTTTGGGGGTAATTTGTTATGTAGACAAAGCAAATGGAACAGGGAGTGTCTGCCAAATTTCTCCACCATGTTACCATTTTCTCTTTTGTAAGTAATAAGTAATTTGAGGGGAGATGCATTGAGACTGTAAATATTCTGTTTCTCATCAACCTTTCACCCTTATCAAACTAGTTTTGGCAACCACTGATGATTTTCTAATTCTATCATCCCTTCTATATTTATTAGTTGGCTTTTTTTGTTTTTTTTTTTTTTTTTAGACAGAGTCTCATTCTCACTGTCGCCCAGGCTGGAGTGCAGTGGTGCAATCTCAGCTCACTGTAACCTCTGCCTCCCAGATTCAAGCGACTCTCCTGCCTCAGCTACCCGGTTAGCTGGGATTACAGACATGCGCCACCACGCATGGCTAATTTTTTTGTATTTTTAATGGGGACAGGGTTTCACCATGTTGGCCAGGGTGGTCTTGAACTCCTGACCTCAAGGGATCCGTGTGCCTCAGCCTCCCAAACTGCTGGGATTACAGGTGTGAGCCATGGCACCCCGCCTAGTTGGCATTTTTCTATCAGTGTGCTCTCAGGGATTCCTATTTTATTCAGTGAAATAGAATACATTATTATAATTGATGCTCAAATTGTCCCAGATGTAGAAGAGTCCCTTCAGTGGCCCATGGAAGTTCCTTCAAGCTAATCCTGGGTCCTATTGAATGTTCCCCATTTCTCACTGAGCATCTTCTTAGGTTCTTGTGAAATAAGATATCCTAAACTCATCTTGTGTTTCCACACCCCAGTCCTGGAATCCAAGACTTTTCTTCAAGGACTCTTCGTTCGTTTTAGTGGAGAATGGTATTTAGAAACCAAGATCTAAGTGCTAGATGTACTCACTGCTGCAGGTGTGTTATTGCTCCCAGACACTTTTGGTGGACAGAGCTAGGAAATATATTTATCTATTCATCTATGTATCAAAAAACACAAGTTCATACTGGTACCTCTAATTCCAATCCATAAACTCAGAGAACACTCTAATTTTCCCCTTTTTACATATTTGTAACTCTTTTTTCTGACAGTAAGAAACATGGCTCCTATTTTCCTCAATGTATTTATTCATTTGCTCAAGCATAAGATACACAGAAATTAATTTCAGAATTGCTAACCCACACTGCTGAGAAAAGCAAGCCTACTAGTAGAGTACAAAATTTATATATAGTAAAATACACAAATCTTAAATATATAATCTGGTATGTTAAAAAATTTTTAAGTTGACAAATAATAATTTCATTTATTTCTAGGGTACATAGGAATGTTTTGATACATGTAATGTATAGTGACCAAATCAGGGTATCAGTGTATCCATCATCTCAAACATTTACATTTCTTTGTGTTGGGACTATTCAATATCCTCCTTCTAGCTCTTTGAAACTAATAATATGTTATTGTTAGAGTCATCCTACAGTGGCATAGAACACTAGAACTTCTAAGGAACATATGCTCACTCCTGTTAAGGCATAAAACATTTCTACCATCCAGAAAGTTTCTTTCTCAGTCTATCCCCCCCAGAGCCAACCACTTTTCTGGTTTTGTTTCACTATAGATAGTTTTGTCTTGTGTAGAACTTCATATAAATAGACTCATATAATATGCACTTTTTCATAATTGGCTTCTTTTGCTCAGCATAATGTCTATGAGACTCATCTATTACATAGAAGCAGATTTTTCCCGTTTGTTGCTAAGTAGTATTCCATATTATAAATGTACCACAGTTTGTTTATCCTTTTCCCTGGATTTGAGTTGTCTCCAGTTTGACTGTTATAAATAAAGCTGCTATAAATATTCCTGTACAAGTCTTTTTGTGGATATACATTCTCATTTCTCTTGGGTAAAAACTTAGAATTTAAGTGCTGAGTCATTGGGTAGGTCCATGTTTAACTGTAGAAGAAACAAATCTTTCCAAAATTGTTTTACCATTTTACACTCCCACCAGCAATGGATGAACATTCTGGTTGTTTCACATCCTTACCAACATTTGGTGTTTTCAGTCCTTTTATTTTTAGCCATTCTAGTAGATTTAATTTTTATTTCTTTGATGACCAGTGACTTTGAGCATTGGTCCAAGTGAAGTTTTTTAAGCATGGGCATCTCCAAGGCGTGGGTTTGGTTCTACTCTGTTCTCTCTCTTCAGTTGGATTTGCTTCAGGGAGTGGGGGTAGTGCTATGGTTCTTAAGATTTTTAGAATGAAGCTTGAAGAAATGGATCAAAAAGTTCAAGAATGTTCTTTACATTCTTAATTCAGATTTACATAAGTTTTTGTTAATAAGACAAAAATTTTGTAATTAATCACGTGCATATAATTTACTTGGGTTTGTTCTGTTTTGTAAAGCTGATTTCAATTATAGATATTTATAAAGAAAATGAATATCTGGCATTGTTTACATGCTAACACTTCCAGAGTTTTTATGAAAATTATACAAGTAGAAAGATGAATTTTCATAAAATTTTCTTAGCAGCCTTTTTTATTTTTAGAAAGTAATACAAACTGTTCAAGGCTAGCATCAACATATTTCCAGACTAATTGTACTTGGTGTTTTCATACTTTTCTTTTGTGCATTCATTTATTATGCCCACCATATCCCTATTTGGTATTATCTGCATTTTACAGATGGAGAAATGGGAGTCTCAGAGAGGTGAAGCAATTTTTGCCTAAGGTCTCACAGTTGGTAGCAGATCAGGAATTAAAACGAACAGGTCTGGGTCCATGCTGATTTTATTAGGAGTTGTCTGGGTCTCCTCATGAGCCCAGTGTGTTCTTTGACCTTATGAAAGCAGCTTGTTTGTTGGCTTCCTTTAAGTAGCACCATGAAACAGCCTAGGGGGCCAGATCCAGCCAGGGATAGGGAAGGTCTACATTTGGTTACACGGAGGAGTGGAGGACCCAGAACTTTCAGGAAGGGGCAGATGTCTCTGTTGGCTTTTCATGGAGAGGGACTCTTCTACAGAGCATCAGAGGAGATCAGCAATGAGAACTGGGCCTCCTTGACTCTCCTTGGAGAAACAATTGCAGGACTGGGGGCTGGAGGAGGTCCTCTTTTATTCCCAGTTCTCAGGAAACTCTGTCAGCATGGCTAAGGTCTGGGTTGCAATGTCCCAATGGGCTGAATCTATCCTCTGCTTCTGGATGCAGCATTAACAATGTATTGACGGTCTCTTACGTGGTTCTCTGGTCAGATAATTTCAGCTCATTTCAAGGCAATTTCAGTCCATAGTTCTAGGCCCTTCACCTGGGTCCACATCCTGGTAGTAACACTCTTATTCAGCTTTTTCATTCCTTGTTTCCAATTAAAAGGGACAGCTCAGGGAACACCCTCCAGCTACAATTTGCAAATTATTTGCCCAAAGGAAGTTGATATTGGTATGTCTAATAATATACTTGTCCAGTATAGGTGTTTCTCAGACCATGGAACAACTTTGACTGGAATTATAGCACAGAGAGACAAAATAATTTGTGAGGAAAAACTCTAGAAAGTATTGCAAAGAGATGTGACTATATCATTTGTTAGTACAGACTTTTGTAAAATATAAATCTAAGGATAGCTGCATGGATATCATTAAAATACAGTATCATTTGATGATGTAAATTAGTCTGCACTTATAGGCATGAAGTATAAGAGCAATTATGCTGAAGTACATAAGAAATTGTTAAAGAGAATTTGGCTACAAATTGAGAATAAAAATGAAAACACTTAAAAATTATTGTGTTAGAAATGAAATCCTACTTTGTACAGTAAAATCTCAGTTATGTGACAAATATAACCCTGAAAAACATAATACTTGAAAGCATTTTCTTAGACACATAAAGTCTATGGGAAGTTGGGAAATGGAAGTGTGATTTGATGCTTGTCTTTCATGTGTTGGAAGTCTGAGTAGTGTAGTGAAGCCAACAGTGATACTAACACCTTCGTTGGTAGATGCAAAAGGGCGTCTCAGGCAGTGGGAGTTACTGGTCTTAGAGACCAGATAGAAATAAGGGCCAGGATGAGGTTTGGACCTAAGAAGTCCGGAGGGACAGGGTGGGGCAGTCTCAGGCCTGGGGCTTCGATAGGGAGAGAGAGGGAGCAGAGCTATTGTGGAAGTCAGCATTCTGGGCAGACAGGCCTGGGTACAAATACCAGTGTGGGGACCCTAGCACAGTATGGGAGCTCTGGAGCTTGGGGGCTAGTGAAGGAAGCCTGGAAGCAGGAGCTGGGACAGGGAGGCCTGTCTCACCTCTCTCCCGCTCCTCCTTTCCTTCCTCCTCTGGAGCTGGTTGTTTAAACATCACAGGGAAATTTGCACAGCCTGGTGGGTTCTCCCTACAAAGTTTCCAGCTTACAGACTTAGTACAGACAGAAACAGCTCCATGATGTTGAGCCTGTTGCTTGTCACAGAATGGGACTTAGTACACTGGTGACTACGATTAAAAGGGAAAGAGCTTTAAAAGGAACCCTGTAAGAGGGTTTGTTCTGTCCTGGGCAGTGTCGTCTCTGTGACCCCAGCGTGGGTGTTGGGAAACATGCCATTCAAAATGAATAGCGGTGAGCTACTTAGCGGGATTACAATCAATACACACAGGGCTGTTTGCTCTCCTTTCTCGTCTGAGACAAGCCTCAGAGCATCAGGAGGAGGCATTTGCCAGGGGTGAGGACCCAGGTGGGCAGAGCCAGTGGCTGTCATGGTGGACCACTGTCGTCCTGGCCTATTCAGAGCACCCTCACCCCACCCATGGCTTCCACTGGGGATTTGCTCATCCTTGCCCCAAGCATGCAGTACTCACGGGGTACCACATAGAGCCTATCTCCCTGCCGTTCCCCAGCTCCAAGAGATCTGGTCTAGAACTGAGATAGAGAATCTTTCCTGGGGCCAGGACTTTAAAGGGAAAGACTTTCTTAGAGCCAGAGGAGACTATTTGCAACAGGGTCTTCTCAAATATGCCCCTGTGCTATTGGTTTGGGTAAGATCTAGTAGGTCACATCAGTAGTCAGAGAGCTAATGGTGTTTACACATTTTGATCTTCCCTCAGCCAGGGCTAAAGGACTACTAATAGCTACAGGATGTCAAATCCTGCAAGAATAAGAATGTGGATAGTAGAAAGGGAAATTTTAACTGCCGTTAGAATCGTAAAATTTAATCAAGTCCAGAAATTAAACAGCTGAGAGAAGGCCAAGTTTGGGGAAGTGGAATACAGTGAGTTATTCTCCTCACCTGGCCTCTGAAGACACAAGATCAGAGAGTGTTAGTGGAGGCACTGGCAAAGTCTAAGAGAGAGTTAAGGAGAATATGTGGAATGTGGTTGAGTTCCTCTCTCCCTCCCTCTCTTCGGGGAAAGGAAATGAAAGTTGGCAGCAGGGTGTATATATTTTTGTACTACTTGAATTCTTTATCATGCCAGAGCGCTGGTTTTCTATAAATAAAAAGTAACGCTGTAACAGTAACATTCAGTATGACTGAGTTGGGCTGAGATAGCCTTTCTTAAATATTGGCAAACAATGCTAGAAAGTAATTTGGCAACATGTTTCAAAAGCCATAAAACATACATATCCCTTTACTCTGGTTTTACTTTTAGGAATTTATCATAAGGAAATCATCCTTGCAGGATTTTTCTAAATGGAAAAATTGAAAACCACTTTGGAAATACCCAACAATAGGGAAATGAAAAATCAGATCAGATACCAAAATGTGAATGTTGGTCATCTTTGCATGTGGTACAGGACCACAACCTCTAACTTAAGACTTTTTGGGCATCCTGGCTAACATGGTGAAACCCTGTCTCTACCAAAAATACAAAAAAATTAGCCGGGCATGTTGGTGGGCGCCTGTAGTCCCAGCTATTCGGGAGGCTGAGGCAGGAGAATGGAGTGAACCCGGGAGGCGGAGCTTGCAGTGAGCAGAGATCGTGCCACTGCACTCCAGCCTGGAGCCTGGGCGGCAGAATGAGACTCCATCCAAAATAAATAAATAAATAAAAATAAAAGACTTTTTGGGTCAGATGGTGTTAGAATCCAGAATCTTTTGGAGTTCAGAAAGGTTAACATAGACCACTGGGGCTAGGAGAAGTGCCCTGTTATCAAACTCATTAATAGTTCTGCCTTAAAATATAGGATATTCACACTAAGTGGAATAAATGAAAGCTATGAACATTTTCCATCAGTTCAGCTCAAGTTTCCTCACCAAATTTTCCATCTTCAGAGTTCTCACATTTCCCACTTCTGCATAGAGAGTGCCCCAAGGCAAGGCTACCTTCAAGGGGCTGGTGGCCACTGAGCACCCCAGAGGCTCCTCTGCTAGTGAGCAGGTGAACCAGGGACTGTGGCTCTGTTCTGCAGACCTGCCTTTCAGGTTTAAGGGAGCCATGTGACGGGGAAGTAGAAAACCATTTTATTTCACATTTAGCATTTTCTCTGTGCAAACAGCTCTCTTAGCAGCAAACTCCAGAGGGTAGAATCTGGGCATTCATCCTAAACTCTCAACAGACCTTTGAGTTAATATTTGGGGGAGGAGCCAAGATGGCCGAATAGGAACAGCTCCGGTCTACAGCTCCCAGCGTGAGCGACGCAGAAGACGGGTGATTTCTGCATTTCCATCTGAGCTTTGAAGAGAGCAGTGGTTCTCCCAGCACGCAGCTGGAGATCTGAGAACGGGCAGACTGCCTCCTCAAGTGGGTCCCTGACCCCTGACCCCCGAGCAGCCTAACTGGGAGGCACCCCCCAGCAGGGGCACACTGACACCTCACACGGCAGGGTATTCCAACAGACCTGCAGCTGAGGGTCCTGTCTGTTAGAAGGAAAACTAACAAACAGAAAGGACATCCACACCGAGAACCCATCTGTACATCACCATCATCAAAGACCAAAAGTAGATAAAACCACAAAGATGGGGAAAAAACAGAACAGAAAAACTGGAAACTCTAAAACGCAGAGCGCCTCTCCTCCTCCAAAGGAACGCAGTTCCTTACCAGCAACGGAACAAAGCTGGATGGAGAATGATTTTGACGAGCTGAGAGAGGAAGGCTTCAGACGATCAAATTATTCTGAGCTACGGGAGGACATTCAAACCAAAGGCAAAGAAGTTGAAAACTTTGAAAAAAATTTAGAAGAATGTATAACTAGAATAACCAATACAGAGAAGTGCTTAAAGGAGCTGATGGAGCTGAAAACCAAGGCTCGAGAACTACGTGAAGAATGCAGAAGCCTCAGGAGCTGATGCGATCAACTGGAAGAAAGGGTATCAGCAATGGAAGATGAAATGAATGAAATGAAGCAAGAAGGGAAGTTTAGAGAAAAAAGAATAAAAAGAAATGAGCAAAGCCTCCAAGAAATATGGGACTATGTGAAAAGACCAAATCTACGTCTGATTGGTGTACCTGAAAGTGATGGGGAGAATGCAACCAAGTTGGGAAACACTCTGCAGGATATTATCCAGGAGAACTTCCCCAATCTAGCAAGGCAGGCCAACAACGTTCAGATTCAGGAAATACAGAGAACGCCACAAAGATACTCCTCGAGAAGAGCAACTCCAAGACACATAATTGTCAGATTCACCAAAGTTGAAATGAAGGAAAAAATGTTAAGGGCAGCCAGAGAGAAAGGTCGAGTTACCCTCAAAGGGAAGCCCATCAGACTAACAGTGGATCTCTCGGCAGAAACCCTACAAGCCAGAAGAGAGTGGGGGCCAATATTCAACATTCTTAAAGGAAAGAATTTTCAGCCCAGAATTTCATATCCAGCCAAACTAAGCTTCATAAGTGAAGGAGAAATAAAATACTTTACAGACAAGCAAATGCTGAGAGATTTTGTCACCACCAGGCCTGCCCTAAAAGAGCTCCTGAAGGAAGCGCTAAACATGGAAAGGAACAACCAGTACCAGCCGCTGCAAAATCATGCCAAAATGTAAAGACCATCGAGACTAGGAAGAAACTGCATCAACTAACGAGCAAAATCACCAGCTAACATCATAATGACAGGATCAAATTCACACATAACAATATTAACTTTAAATGTAAATGGACTAAATTCTCCAATTAAAAGACACAGACTGGCAAGTTGGATAAAGAGTCAAGACCCATCAGTGTGCTGTATTCAGGAAACCCATCTCACGTGCAGAGACACACATAGGCTCAAAATAAAAGGATGGAGGAAGATCTACCAAGCAAATGGAAAACAAAAAAAGGCAGGGGTTGCAATCCTAGTCTCTGATAAAACAGACTTTAAGCCAACAAAGATCAAAAGAGACAAAGAAGGCCATTACATAATGGTAAAGGGATCAATTCAACAAGAGGAGCTAACTATCCTAAATATATATGCACCCAATACAGGAGCACCCAGATTCATAAAGAAAGTCCTGAGTGACCTACAAAGAGACCTAGACTCCCACACATTAATAATGGGAGACTTTAACACCCCACTGTCAACATTAGACAGATCAACGAGACAGAAAGTCAACAAGGATACCCAGGAATTGAACTCAGCTCTGCACCAAGGGGACCTAATAGACATCTACAGAACTCTCCACCCCAAATCAACAGAATATACATTTTTTTCAGCACCACACCACACCTATTCCAAAATTGACCACATAGTTGGAAGTAAAGCTCTCCTCAGCAAATGGAAAAGAACAGAAATTATAACAAACTATCTCTCAGACCACAGCGCAATCAAACTAGAACTCAGGATTAAGAATCTCACTCAAAGCCGCTCAACTACATGGAAACTGAACAACCTGCTCCTGAATGACTACTGGGTACATAACGAAATGAAGGCAGAAATAAAGATGTTCTTTGAAACCAACGAGAACAAAGACACAACATACCAGAATCTCTGGGATGCATTCAAAGCAGTGTGTAGAGGGAAATTTATAGCACTAAATGCCCACAAGAGAAAGCAGGAAAGATCCAAAATTGACACCCTAACATCACAGTTAAAAGAACTAGAAAAGCAAGAGCAAACACATTCCAAAGCTAGCAGAAGGCAAGAAATAACTAAAATCAGAGCAGAACTGAAGGAAATAGAGACACAAAAAACCCTTCAAAAAATCAATGAATCCAGGAGCTGGTTTTTTGAAAGGATCAACAAAATTGATAGACCACTAGCAAGACTAATAAAGAAAAAAAGAGAGAAGAATCAAATAGACACAATAAAAAATGATAAAGGGGATATCACCACCGATCCCACAGAAATACAAACTACCATCAGAGAATACTACAAACACCTCTATTCAAATAAACTAGAAAATCTAGAAGAAATGGATAAATTCCTCGACACATACACTCTCCCAAGACTAAACCAGGAAGAAGTTGAATCTCTGAATAGACCAATAACAGGAGCTGAAATTGTGGCAATAATCAATAGTTTACCAACCAAAAAGATTCCAGGACCAGATGGATTCACAGCCGAATTCTACCAGAGGTACAAGGAGGAACTGGTACCATTCCTTCTGAAACTATTCCAATCAATAGAAAAAGAGGGAATCCTCCCTAACTCATTTTATGAGGCCAGCATCATTCTGATACCAAAGCCGGGCAGAGACACAACCAAAAAAGAGAATTTTAGACCAATATCCTTGATGAACATTGATGCAAAAATCCTCAATAAAATACTGGCAAAACGAATCCAGCAGCACATCAAAAAGCTTATCCACCATGATGAAGTGGGCTTCATCCCTGGGATGCAAGGCTGGTTCAATATACACAAATCAATAAATGTAATCCAGCATATAAACAGAGCCAAAGACAAAAACCACATGATTATCTCAATAGATGCAGAAAAAGCCTTTGACAAAATTCAACAACCCTTCATGCTAAAAACTCTCAATAAATTAGGTATTGATGGGATGTATTTCAAAATAATAAGAGCTATCTATGACAAACCCACAGCCAATATCATGCTGAATGGGCAAAAGCTGGAAGTATTCCCTTTGAAAAGCAGCACAAGACAAGGATGCCCTCTCTCACCACTCCTATTCAACATGGTACTGAATGTTCTGGCCAGGGCAATCAGGCAAGAGAAAGCAATAAAGGGTATTCAAATAGGAAGAGAGGAAGTCAAATTGTCCCTGTTTGCAGATGACGTGATTGTTTATCTAGAAAACCCCATCGTCTCAGCCCAAAATCTCCTTAAGCTAATAAGCAACTTCAGCAAAGTCTCAGGATACAAAATCAATGTACAAAAATCACAAGCATTCCTATACACCAACAACAGACAAACAGAGAGCCAAATCATGAGTGAACTCCCATTCACAATTGCTTCAAAGAGAATAAAATACCTAGGAATCCAACTTACAAGGGATGTGAAGGACCTCTTCAAGGAGAACTACAAACCACTGCTCAAGGAAATAAAAGAGGATACAAACAAATGGAAGAACATTCCATGCTCATGGGTAGGAAGAATCAATATCGTGAAAATGGCCATACTGCCCAAGGTAATTTATAGATTCAATGCCATCCCCATCAACCTACCAATGACTTTCTTCACAGAATTGGAAAAAACTACTTTAAAGTTCATATGGAACCAAAAAAGAGCCCGCATCGCCAAGTCAATCCTAAGCCAAAAGAACAAAGCTGGAGGCATCACACTACCTGACTTCAAGCTATACTACAAGGCTACAGTAACCAAAACAGCATGGTACTGGTACCAAAACAGAGATATAGATCAATGGAACAGAACAGAGCCCTCAGAAATAATGCTGCATACCTACAACTATCTGATCTTTGACAAACCTGAGAAAAACAAGCAATGGGGAAAGGATTCCCTATTTAATAAATGGTGCTGGGAAAACTGGCTAGCCATATGTAGAAAGCTGAAACTGGATCCCTTCCTTACACCTTATACAAAAATCAATTCAAGATGGATTAAAGATTTAAACGTTAGACCTAAAACCATAAAAACCCTAGAAGAAAACCTAGGCATTACCATTCAGGACATAGGCGTGGGCAAGGACTTCATGTCCAAAACTCCAAAAGCAATGGCAACCAAAGCCAAAATTGACAAATGGGATCTAATTAAACTAAAGAGCTTCTGCACAGCGGGGGAAACTACCATCAGAGTGAACAGGCAACCTACAACATGGGAGAAAATTTTCGCAACCTACTCATCTGACAAAGGGCTAATATCCAGAATCTACAATGAACTCAAACAAATTTACAAGAAAAAAACAAACAACCCCATCAAAAAGTGGGCGAGGGACATGAACAGACACTTCTCAAAAGAAGACATTTATGCAGCCAAAAAACACATGAAAAAATGCTCATCATCACTGGCCATCAGAGAAATGCAAATCAAAACCACTATGAGATACCATCTCACACCAGTTAGAATGGCAATCATTGAAAAGTCAGGAAACAACAGGTGCTGGAGAGGATGTGGAGAAATAGGAACACTTTTACACTGTTGGTGGGACTGTAAACTAGTTCAACCATTGTGGAAGTCAGTGTGGCGATTCCTCAGGGATCTAGAACTAGAAATACCATTTGACCCAGCCATCCCATTACTGGGTATATACCCAAAGGACTATAAATCATGCTGCTATAAAGACACATGCACACGTATGTTTATTGCGGCATTATTCACAATAGCAAAGACTTGGAACCAACCCAAATGTCCAACAATGATAGACTGGATCAAGAAAATGTGGCACATATACACCATGGAATACTATGCAGCCATAAAAAATGATGAGTTCATGTCCTTTGTAGGGACATGGATGAAATTGGAAACCATCATTCTCAGTAAACTATCGCAAGAACAAAAAACCAAATACCGCATATTCTCACTCATAGGTGGGAATTGAACAATGAGATCACATGGACACAGGAAGGGGAATATCACACTCTGGGGACTGTGGTGGGGAGGGGGGAGGGGGGAGGGATAGCATTGGGAGATATACCTAATGCTAGATGACGAGTTAGTGGGTGCAGCGCACCAGCATGGCACATGTATACATATGTAACTAACCTGCACAACGTGCACATGTACCCTAAAACTTAAAGTATAATTAAAAAAAAAATAATAATAATAATAAATATTTTATCAAGGCACATGTTGGATATTTGCCCAATATAAGTTGTTGGTCTTTTCATCAGATCACTGTCTGAAAACACCAGCTCTCTTGCGCCTTCTCTTGTTTATGTACACGTTGGCTCTAGCGTCACTGTTACAATCTCTCTTTATTGTCCTTTCTTCACTAGGTCACACTGCCCTGCATGTGCTCCCCTGCTGCATATACACATTGTGACTAAATATCATTTAGTCTTGTTTTCACATCTGTCTTAAATGTCTAAATCCCCAACTTAACTCTTTCTCATTTAACCTTTTTATAGGTAGAATTGTTTCCCGTATAGAGTTCACTTTTCTTCTCTAGGGGAAGGTAACTTTTTTGAGCTTCCTATTTATAGTCATTAAGGTTCAAAATTTATAGCATTAGATGCTAGCTTGCAGAAAAATGGAAGGGAGGTGAATGATTTTTGCCTGGTTGAAGTGAAAATGCTTCTGTCTGGTAGAGGAGGGAACCCCAAGAGTGATGGTTTTATTGCTATGTAGGGCATTAACTAGTTTCATATCTAATTTAGCAATCTCATTCCCCTGTTCTCTTTTTATCACTGACTCTCTATATATATCATTTCCTTGTGTCATCCTTTGAGCCAGTTTTTTTCATCCTGCCTTCTCTCATTAATGAATTATGTAAATCTTTTGACACATGCTCCTTATATATTTATATGAAAGTTACATTTTTAGCATTTTGAAATTATACTTTGACACCCCCAAATGTGACTGAGATTGAGTTTCTCACCACTCCGGAGAGTCGTCAAAGCTGGATTATTCTGAGTTAGAAAAATGAAGTAGTCTGGAATTCTTGCTCCTGAGTGTGGTGGTTTAAGGACCAGTTTTAAGAGTGGGAAATTATCGGGCCAGGGAGCCGCCCCTAAATCTCTCTCGAGGGCAATGTTTAAAGCTTAAAAAAATAAAATGGAGTGGGTGGGATGGTGTTCCACTGTGCAGTGCATATTACATATTTATTCATTTATCCAATCAATTTACTCACCCACCACACGTTTATTGAGCATCTACTATTTGCTAGGCACCGTTCTAGAATCTAAACGATGGTTTTGGGAAGACAGAAGTGAAAGTTCTGTTCTCCAGAAATCCCCAGAGTAATGTGGTGGGTAGAGGCCTAAGAGGTCAGTGATGTAAGCATGGTGGTCAGTGCATAGAGGGTTATGAGAACAACATGGTGTGGGTGAGAGCATGGGGATCATGGGAGCCTGCAGCACTGGCTCCTGACACATCCTGAGAGGTGGCTCCAACTGAGTCTTAATGTAGGAGTAGGACTTAGCCACATATGAAACTGAGAAAAGACCATTCTGGGCAGAAAAGCATTGAAGAAAGGATGGAAGAGAAAACATCTTTGGATGTGTGGATGTGTACGGAGGTCCTTGTCCCCAGAGCATCAGGTGTGATCAAGGAGTGGCATGTGCTCCATAAATAAGCTTTTATTTATGGTTAATTTTAGGTGTCAACTTGACAGGGCTTGGAATGCCCATATAGCCAGTTAAACATTATTTCTGGGTGTGTTTTGAGAGTGTTTTCAGATGAGAGTAACATCTGAATTGGTGGGCTGAATAAAGCAGATCATACTTCCCAAGGTGGGTGGGCCTTATCCAACCCCTTGAAGGCCTAAGTAGAACAGAATGGCAGAGGAAGGTCGCATTCTTTCTCTTTGCCTAACTGCTGAGCTGACACATTTGTCTTCTCCTACCCTTAGGCTGGGACTTGCACCACCAGAGTGGCTGGTTCTCAGGTCTTTTGACTAAAGTTTACACCCTTGGCTTTCCTGGGTAAGGAGGAAAACTTGCAGATGGCAGACCATGGAACTTCTTAGTCTTTATCATCATGTGAACCAATTCCTTATAATAAATCTCATTTGAGAATCTATCTATCTATCCTCCCTCCTATTGATTCTGTTTCTTTGGAGAACTCCAACTAATACAACTTGTATTCTTAATTGATGTTCTCCTCTACCTCTACCATGTGCTCTTTTTTTTTTTTTCCTTCTATCTTGTGGACATTCCTCTCTGCCAATGGAAGGGAGGGAATGAGAACAATTCTTCTCTTTTCTAATGGCAATTAGGGAAGAGTTAGCATCTTCTTTGAGGGGAAAGAATCAGAAAACAAGCAGCAGCACATTTCTGGTTTCACCTTCAAAGGTCTCTTACACAGAAGAAGAGTTTTCAAGAATTACATGAGCATATTTCCCAGCCCCTCATATTGGAAATAATTTTCATGACTTTGGGGAAAATAACTTGAGTTTCCAGCTCAATTCTCTAGTTCCAGAAATCACAAGGGAACCAGTTTCAATTAACATGTCTAGTTGTCTACTGAGGAGGCCAATGAGGACTGCCGCCAAGAGGCAGTTGGCTGCAGGGACTCCGTTCCCCCAAACTTGGCTCAGCATCCAGCTGACACCCATGGACAACCCACTTTCAATGGCCCAGAACTCTGGAGGCCCACTATATAACAGATGGTGGGGCTGGGGTGGTGAGGGGTGAGGTGGTGTGAGGCTGAGAACTCCTGCACCTGGGCAAGTTGGGAGGAGAAAGAGCCGGCTGAGATCACTCCTCAAGTGGAATAGGATGGATTGACTTCTTTGATTACAGCTAGCACCAGTGTCTGCAGTCTACAGGAAGGGTGCTGCATGTCTCCCACATGTCCAGACGGAGGCAGTGAGAGGAGGAGGGAAGCTGTGCCTCTCTGGATGGGATTTCAGCAGGTTGGAGAGTGCAGGTCTTTTGGGTGTCATGTGTGGTCATTCCAAGTTGCCTCTTTAGGTTCCGTATCAGTTGGGAATTGAGTATGTCTATGTATTAGTTATTTATGACTGTATAATAAATTTAGTGCCTTAAAACAACAATAAACATTTATTATCTCACACAGTTATTATGAATCAAAAGTTTGGGAGCAGCTTACTTGGTGGTTCTGACTCAAGGTCTCCAGTGGGATTGTGCTCAAGATGTTACTGGGGTTTCAGTTGTCTGAGAGCTTCATGAGCCAGGGGCTCTGCTTCCAAGTGTTCATTCACAGGGCTGGCAAGTTGATGCTGACTATTGGCAGGAGGCCTTGATTCTTGGCCATGTGGACTTTTCTGTAGGGCTGCTTGCGTGTCCTCATGACCTGGCAGTTGCCTTCCCCTAGAGTGAGTGATCCAGGAGAAAGCAAGGCAGAACCCACCATGTCTTTTATGACCTAGAAATCACAAATTGTCATTTTCTTAATATCCTATTGGTTACACAGGTCAGTTCTATTCAACATGTGGAAGGGCTATACAAGAGCACAAATCCTCCCAGTGGTCCCAGTGAGGACCACTGGGAGCCACCTTGGAGGCTGGCTACCAAACTCCCCTAATAACAGGCCTGAAACAAGTGATAGGGCTTTATTTTTCTCCTACATAAAATAAGTCTGGAGGTGGAGATCGCTACCACAGGCACCTTTTATCTCTCTGTGCTCTCATCCTTAGGGTTGCCTCATGCTTCCAAGATGGCCTCAGCAGCTCCTGTCCTCATGTCTGAGTTCCAATTAGCAAAGGAAGGAGGAAATGCAAAAGGGCTTCCCAGATGAATCTGCTGTTTCTTTAAGGAGCTTTCCCAAATGCCTCATTCAGTAGCTTATGCCTATATATTATTGGCCAGAATTTAGTTCTGTGGCCATCCTTATCTATAGGGTAGGCTGCAGAATATAGTTTTTCTTCTGGTCACATTGAAACCCTGAGTACCAGGCTTTTGTTGGTGAGGAAGAAAGGGAAAATGGATTTGGGGAAGGCTCCCATTCTGCTCCCACCCCTTATCTAGGTCTTAAGACATCATGAGTCCCCTCCCACTGACATCCCTCCCACCCTTACGGTCCCTGCTACAGACTTGGAGCCCAAAAATGCTCACTCAGCTCCCTACGTTCATTCAGCTGGCTATGGTTTGGTTGTGACCTGGCAAGGAGGTTGTCTTCTAGAATCATCTATGGTTAGGCTTCTAAGCTGTAAAACCTGGGGGTTAGAAGTTACATCATTTAATCCTCATGACATCTCCATAATGTAGGTAGTATTATCCTCATTCTCCAAATTAGGAAAGAGATCCACAACTGGTAAGTGTGAACCAGGGCTTGAACCCGGTCCTGTCTGGCTCCAGAATAAGTGCTGTTTCCACGACATTACTTCCCATGGACTGGGAGGGCTATTTCAGGCGAGGTAATGGCAGTAATAAAAGGACCTTAACAAGCTGTTGATAAAGGGTGTGGTTTGCTTGTTCAGAGTGGAGTTCATCAGTTAAGTAGACTTTTACGATAGTCTATTTTTCCAGGATGTAATATATTTATACTAGGCTTTTGCACAGATTCCCCTTGCTCCTTCTTTAAGGGAAATCCATTGGTTTGCTCTGATTATGTTGCAGGCCCATAAAACAAGGTAGATTCACGTGATAGACTGAGATCAAACCCTGATGGCACAGTCATGATCAGTGTGGCGAGTGGATTCCAGAGGTAGCCTTGTTGTTGTCGGGGCTTCAGGGCAGAAGGCAGTACTATATTATTTATCATTCAGTCATCCATCAAAATGTGGGATTTGCTCTGTGTGTTGTGTGCATGGAGGACGGAGCAAAAGAAGAGAAGTTGTACTTCTGGAATAAATACATGAAAAATTAATGGTTTTTTATAATTTAACCAATATAAATTAGTTGATATGTGGATTGGAAATGGTTCCTGGCCTCAAGGAGCTCATGGTGGCATATCTTCCACCCTCTGGGTGCTCACTGGTGGTCCAGGCTCCTCTCGGTGCTTCTCAGCTCCAGGGAGGTGTATATCAGCATATCCTTGGAGGGGAGCTCTTCCATACTGTCCCCCCGCAACATCTTTATCTATTTTCACTCTTTCCTCAAAGAAGCCACCCACTCTGGAGTTTGCTTACAAAGTGTTGCTTCCCAGCTGTGCATGGTCATCCTGTTGTCTGAAAAGTGTGGAGGGGAAAGGGCATGGTATTATTGAATAACATTCAGATCGATGCTTTAGAAACATGAATTCCAATGGAGGACGCTCTAGGACCCGTCCCCGGGGGCACTTACATTGCTCTTTCAGAAGCTTCCTTAGCCTCTGAGTTTCGGCCCCGACGTTGGCACATCCAGCTGTGTGCATACCTCGCTGCCCAGCTCCTGCACCTCCTCCCAGCTAAGTCGGGAAGGCCCAGCCTGGTGAGGACACTCGGTATGAAACAGAGATGGCTTTGCTGTGGTCTTAACCTCCTTTCTCCTCGGATAGCCTCGACTTATGTAAAATCTCTTTCTCATGACTTTGTGGTCAATAAACCTGCACGTGCCAGGTCTGCTCCAAGGCTCGCAGAGTTTTTCCTCTGGCTCCTGCATCCGTGTCATGCTGAGTGGGCTACTCCCCTGGAAAGTCCTCCTGATGGCAGCCGGGCCTTCTGGTAACTTTCCCCATGCTCTCTGGCTGTCCTCACCATCCACTCCATGGCCTGCACACGACTCTTTTCCTTAATATCATCAGTTCTCTAATGTGAAATCTCAATTGGGTTCTCTAACAGTCATCCCGGGTTCTCAGACCCGCAGTTGGAATCATGTTAACAGCTCCTAAAACTTACAACTGTGGAAACAGCTTTTATTAGTCCATACTTGCTTACAGTGTTATAAACCACAGTCGAATGCCCACAGTGGTAATAAGAGTTGCCGTTTATAGAGAGCTGATGATGTGTCCGGCACTAGCATTTTATATGCTTTTAAACTTCAAGATAACCCTGTGAAGTAGGAGCTACTATTTACAGTTGGAGAGACTGAAGGTCAGGGAGGTTAAGTACACTCCTGAGTGTCACACAGTTAAGTGTCTGTCTGAGTGTGGGGCTCAATACTCCCTGACTGCTGCCAGGGCAGCCATGCTGCATAATATCCCCCTGCTGCAGCAGCTGCGACCTGTTGCCGTCTTCTGAGCACGCCACACCCAGAATGGCTGTGGGTGGAGGGTGGGGGTCCAGCTAAGATCAGTCCAGGTAAAATTAATGTTAAGACTCCTCCTCACAGGACCCAGAACACCAGTCCTGACTTGAGCATCTTTTCACACTGCCATCTTTTTTCTCCCATGTTGGCTATTGGGAGAAGGAATGGCAGGGAGGAAGTCATGGCCAGGAGTTACTTGTGACTGAAAGTTGGCATATTGCTGAAGGTTTTCAACCCTTGGTATAGGCAAAATCATGGTGTGTTTGATGGTGGAGTCGGGGAGAGGGGAAAGCAGTTTGGTTTTCTTGATTTCCTCAAGGGGAGGAGGTGATGTTTGTCTCAGCCTCAGAAACAGCCGCTATCTTTCTTGTTTTCATATCAGCCTGGCTGTGCAGCCAGTCAGTGGCTAAGGGTGTTGCTAAGGCTCTTGAGAACATAAGAAAGAACGTTATCTGTCCAAATAAGATATGGGCCAACTGTAAGGCATTATTGCAAGAGAAACTTGCCTGTGCTTTATAATTCAACATATATGGTAATTCTAGTAGCTGTTGTTCTGTCCTAGGAGGAAGAGGAAGGTTTGTCAAACTTTCTCAAGAAGTGAATTGCAGCACAGAATTCTGTTGACCTGTGTTCAGTTCCCTCTTGAAAATTCTAGGCTGTCAAAAGCAGACAGCTTTTCCAACACAGCTGCATTATCCACGACAGCAAGACAACAATAACTCCCGCTGCCCTGGCTATATTGCTTGGGGAGTTTGTGGGTGTGTGTGTTTCTTATTCTATTTTTCCATCTGGTGACTTTTGTTTTCTTATAAACGGTGCTGTTTAAATGCTTTCCACAAATGCAATCTTGAAAATAAACACATTGAGTGAACAAGAACAAAAGAAGATCCATTCTCGATGCTGATCACTGCTGAGAGGTTTCCTCAGCTGCAGGGAGATAGGAGATGAGCGGATGAGCAGATCATCAGTGTGAAATGCTGCTCACGGGTGCTGTTGGGATTGGATCCAATCGGAATGGCATTAATGGTGCCCTGGCCCCTGTACATACAGAAGGCTCAACAACTAGATACCCGTGAGCTACCAGCGGGCCTTGAAAATTTAGGAAGCTCATCTCCCAGTTGGCAAGTCAAAAAAAGCCCTGGTTTCATGACTTCTGGAGCTTCCTAGTAAAAGAACCCTGTGGCTCGATTGTCACTTCATCCTGCAGAGATTATCGTCAATCTTTTCCCATCTTCTTCAACCAACCACCTCCTTTTGATCACTGCCTTAGTTTGGGCCCCCCCGGAAGTAGATGCTGAGACAGATTTGAGCATAGGCAATTTATCTGGGAGGGGCAGAGAATGTCAGTAGGGGAGGGGGAAATGGGGAAGTGATTCAGGAAGGAAGGCAGCCAACAAAGGATGCAGTTCCACCAGCTCTCATAGCAGGCAGATGGAGCTTAGTCCTGTGGGGAAGCTCTGGAAACCAATATCAAACACACACCTCAGAATATTACCACCCGAGGGAGAGGACGGGGGTGTTTATACAGCAGCTTCCAGGTGCATTGGTAGAAGTCTGCTCCCTAGGGGTGTTAATTCTCCCCCACTTCTGGCTTTCGTTGCATGTGAGTTGAGGGGTTTTCCACAGTTTTGGAAAAAGTCCCAGGCACAGGCATAGAGACACACAGTTTGAAGTTGGCTGAAGTCCACTGAAAGGTCTGAGGGATGTGTCTGGGACACTAACAGCCTCTTTTTTCACCATACGCACGGCTTCAGGTGAGCAACTCCCTGGGAGTTAGAGTGATGGGGCCATGTCTGAACGGTTTTCTCCTCCTAGTATTTTCCATTTTTTTGTTTCACCACCATCAAGTTACCACACATCAGAACTACTCCCCACACACCCCCACCTCCATTCCCTGGGTGTGAGTTCTTGAGAACTGCAAAGAATTGATTCCTTGCCTTTATGGGGGAAGATGCCGAGAATCATGTCTTGACAGCTCATGCATGAACCACCATAGGGACCCCTGATCCCAGCTGCCCCAGGAAGCAGCAGCTGTCTGCTGGCAGCAGGACATCAGTTGTTGTGGGTGGTGATGCTCCAACCCTGGCTTCCTTCTCCGGAGTATGCAGCCACAGAGACGTGGCAGATCAAGAGTGCTGTATCAGTTATGCTGCCTTTAGCGGCAATAACAGAAAACCCCAACTTGAACTGGTTTAAGCAATACAGAAAATGTATTTGATTTCACCAAACAGGAAATTTGAGGTAGAGTGCCCCAGGTTAATTCAGGGCCCCTAGTACTTTCCACCTCCTCATCTTGCTATCTGCAGCATGGCAACTTTGTTTTCTGGTATCTCCATTGTTTGCCAGGTGGCTGCTGCAGGGTCAGGTCTCATGCACATAACACAGGCCTTCCAGACCCAGCTACTGTGGCGTGGAGGAAGCCCACACCACCCTATACAAGGAGACCATAGGGAGAGGCCAAGTGTAGATGTTCTGCCCAGTAGCTAGCTGAGATCCCAGCCGACAGCCAGAACGTGAGCAAGGACAGCTCCAGGTGATGCCAGCCCCTGTCATCCGTCAGTCACCCTCAGCCATTGAGCTTTCCCAGTGGAGGGTCCAGACATAATGGGGCAGAGACAAGCCACCCCCATGGTACCCTCTCAGAGTTACTGACCCACAGAATCCGAGAGCTTAAGAACATAGTGCTTTATGTCGTAAAGTTTTAGGGTGTTTTTAAAGCAACAATAGAAACTGGAACATTGCTCCTGGTGGCATTTGCTTTGTTTCTGAGGAAAATCTGAGGGGAAGTTAAGGGGCTTTCGATGTTCATTACCTGCCACTGTTCATGTCTTAGAGAGGGGCCCAGAATCACTGGTGGATAGAGAAAAAGCTGGCCCGGTGCCCGGACACGTGGTAGGGGCCAGAAAGGCTTCTTTTTCATGGGTAATGTGTTCCATTATCCTGGAGACACCAGGAGAGGGCTTTCCAAGAAAGGTTATTGGGATCAGGCCACATGTTGGAATACCCCTCAAAGGATAGTCTCAAAGGTTTCTGAAGACTCCCAAATCCCAGAATCTCATTACTTCTCCCGAAGCCCTTGCCATTCTGTTCCAACTACCACCGTCTCCTGTCTGAGCTACTGTAAGTGGCTGCTGAGTGATTTCCTGCGTCACCCCTGCCCCACTAGACTTCATTGTCCATGAAGTGACCAGAATAGTTCTTTTACCTAAGCCAGCCCGTGTATTTGGTCTGCTCAGGACCACCTTCGAGTCACTCAGCATAGAAGGCCCCTCTGGGTCTGCACCTCCTGCCTCTCTCCAACACGTCTCTAACATGCGTGCCCTCATCCACTTTGGTCCAGCCACAATGGCTTCCTGTTGCTCCTCAAACATGACAAGTGTCCTCTCACCTTAGGGCCTTTGCACCGCTGTTCCCGCCATCCAGAATGTTCTTCTCCCAAAGAGCTGCATGGCTTATTCCCTCACCTCCTTCAGGTTTTACACAAATGCCCCTAAATGAGGCCTTCCCTGACCACCCTAAGTACACTTGCACACTCTACCCCCACCCCTGGCTCTCTGTATCCTTTCTCTCTCTAATTTTCTCTACCAATCTTATCCCTAGCTAACATACTATATGTTTTACTTATTTATGATGTTTAGTATCTAAATGCTCCACTGAAATTATAGCCCTATGGAAGCAGGGATTTTTGCCTGTTTTATTCAGCCTAGAACAGTGCCTGACACATAATAGGCCCTCCATTAATATATGCTAAATGAATAACATGTCTGACCTCTCCTTATCATCAGTCCTACATTTCAACTTCTGGCTGGACAGTGCTGCCCGAGGTCCTGCCAGCATGTCAGATCCACCCTCACATCCTAGCATCTAGGATCAGGCCTCTCAGCCTCCTCCACACACAGTGGGGCTGATTGGCTTAGCCTGGGTTTAAATCCAGCTCCTTGTCACTTCCCAACTAGAAAGACGCAGTAACATGCACCCCCTCATGTGGTTGCCTTTAGCATGTGATAAATGAGGAATGAAACGACAGGACACGCTGCTCCCTGGGCATCCTGCCTGGCAGAGAACAAATGCTTAATAAATGCCAGCCATTACGACTGCCATCACTAGCTACTTCTTCTCTTAAAAGAAATTCCTGTGCAGGCATGGTGGCTCACACCTGTAATCTCAGCACTTTGGGAGGCCAAGGTGGGCGGATTGCTTTAGCCCAGGAGTTCACAACCAGCCTGGTCAACATAGAGAAACCCTGCCTCTACAAAAAATACAAAATTAGCTGGGCCTGCTGGTCCCAGCTACTGAGGAGGCTGAGGTGGGAGAATTGCTTGAGCCCAGGAGGTGGAGGTTGCAGTGAGCCAACATCATGCCACTGTATTCCAGCCTGGGTGACAGAGAGAGACCCTGTCTCAAAAAAAAAAAAAAAAAAAAAAAGAAAGAAAGAAAGAAAGAAAGAAAGAAAGAAAGAAAGAGATTCCTTATGCATCTTTGTTCCTGTGGTTAAGAATTGTAAAATACTTACTTTTTGCTTTGGTAAATTAATGATAACTTGACTTATTTTTAGTTTCGTTCTATACTTCACCTTGGGAGGGTTACAATGTGTTTTTTAGGTCATGGGAAAATAATAATGATGAATAGTGCTCTGTTGATCAAAAAACCCAAGAGCCACAAGCACTTACTCAATGCATCCTCCACCAGAAGCTGCAGTCTCTCGTGGACAATAACAATGAAAATAGCTGCCATTTATCACATGTTCAGGGCAGAGGTGGTACCAAGAGCCTCACGTATATCACCTTACTTAATTTTCACACTGCCCTTTCCCAACCCAGGAAATAGGTACTGTGGTATCACTGACATTTTAAAGAGGAAGAAATGAAACTTGGGGAATTTGTTAATTTGCCCAGACCACAGAACTAGAAAAGGGACCTAGTTCCCTTTCCTAGGAGAACCTCTATTAATATATGCTAAATGAATAACATATTTGACCTCTCCTTAGCATCAGCCCTACATTTCAACTTCTGGCTGGACAGTGCTGCCTGGAGGTCCTGCCAGCACGTCAGATCCACCCTCACATCCTAGCATCTAGGATCAGGCCTCTCAGCCTGCTCCACACACAGTGGGGCTGATTGGCTTAGCCTGGGTTTAAATCCCAGCTCCTTGTCACTTCCCAGCTAGAAAGAGGCAGTAACATGCACCCCCTCATACGGTTGCCTTTAGCATGTGATAAATGAGGAATGAAATGACAGGACATGCTGCTCCCTGGGCATCCTGCCTGGCAAAGAACAAATGCTTAATAAATGCCAGCCATTACGACTGCCATCACTAGCTACTTCTTCTCTTAAAAGAAATTCCTGTACAGGCGTGATGGGACAGGGAAAGAAGAACCTAAACCTCAGTCCTTCAGGATCCTGTGTTTGCGCCTCCCCAGTTAGCCACATTGTTTTCTTTTTTTGCACCACCAAATTCCAGCAATCCAGTTTGGTCCCTCAGCCCCTGGGCAGCCCATGATGGGGCCCGCAGCTCTGGCCTTGCCACAATCCTTCCCTGCTCACTGTTTATTGCCTTTGGGCCAGGCAGAGTTCCTTCCAAAATCCACTCTGCCTTCCGCTGTCCATGCCAACCCTGGCCAGGAAGCGGAGGACAAGGCCAACCTGGGCCCTGGCCTCACGCCTGCCCTATGAGGTCCACTGGGCCTCCTGCCAGCAGATCATGGTACAGTGAAGAGGGGGCCTTCCTCAGGAAACCCAGGGGCCACGCATCTGAACCTGACCTCTTCCCATGTGATAGAGGATAGTCTTTTTAAATAAGTAAAATCATGGTTCTCATGGAAATGTACAATGAACACATATCAAAGATTTTATTTAACTCCCTAGTTGAACGAGGGAACTGGTAAGATGTTACAACTGGTTCAAAGAAGTCAAAACAACTGCAAGTTTATATGGCGTAAAGAAATGTTGAAACAATTTTATGTATATATTTGAAACTTGCTTTATTATTGGGAGGGGGCACAGAAACCAAAACGTTCTGCTGTGAGATTCAGCCACATTGTTGTATGTAGTTGAAGTTTGTCATTCTCATTGCTGTCTCAAAATACAATGTATTCACCCATTCTGCAATTGGCAGACATTGGGGGCAGTTTCCAATGTATGGTTCCAGCACATACCTTTTGGCCAACAGAGGTGCACATTTTTATGGGGTCTTCTTAGTCTTTAAAAGAAAAGTGGTCAGTTGTTTGGCCAAGACATTTTCTTGACCCAGGCTTAACAGATGAATCAGCCTGTTATCTCCTTTGCCATAATCAGCAATTTTTCTTTTGTACTTTCTCTTCCTTGAAGTGCACCATTCCATCTGCAGGATTCTTCAACATTGCTGAGCAAGGCCAGTGGCTGTCCTGTTATATTTTTAACATATGCAGGTGACTTATTTACATCCTGGCTACAGACTGGCTCAGGGGTGAGGGGACGAAAGCAGCTGCCCGAGCTGGCCGGTGAACCTGGACACTCAGCTGTCCAGCCAGCTGACGCTGTGACTTTCTCCCTTCAGACACTCAGTTGTGTTTTTCCACTCCGGAAACAGTGATTTCTACCCCCTGCCCTTCTCTGTCTCTTGATGGGAAATCTATCGCTAGTTGGCCTCGCTGTCCCTTGCTCTGCTCCTGAAATGGATACTAAAAGCAACTTATTTCTGAACCTGTGCTTTTCAGCTCACACTTCCACATCGTCCCTTTCTTTTGTCCCTTTCTTTTCTTCTCTGCCCGCATGATGGGCTGGCCCTTGGCAAGGTCTTTACTTTCACTGTGTTTTCTTTCTTTCCCCAGAGTCTCCGATCCTGTCTTTCTCAGAGGTGTTTTCATTGTTGCTGTTTCTCCTCCGTCTCTCATCCCCTCAGGCCTCGTTAGTCACTTCCTTACCTGTAAATATTTTTTTTTTTTTTTTTTTTTTTTTTTTGCCGGTGGTTGGGGGGGAGGTGGGGGAGGGGGGTTAGTGGACTTCCTTTCCCCAAAGTGCTCCGCTCTGACTCCCATCAGTAAGGCAGCAAGCCCAGACCCGTTAGTGGCCTTCCTTTCCCCAAAGTGCTCCGCTCTGACTCCCATCAGTAAGGCAGCAAGCCCAGACCCCGGCATGGAGCAGGTCAGGCAAGAGATGTATGCAGTGACTTAATAAATAAAATAGAATGGAATACGAGAACCAACAGAAAAGAAGCATGTAGAGCCGCTGGTCCTGAGGATCAAAAGAGCAGCAAAGATAGGCCTTCAGCTTTGGTGCTGAGCTTCCTCATAACAGGGGCAATCAAAGAAATAAGAGATTACAGTGTTGATAATAGATAAATGATAGAAAATAATTGTAACATTTTTGAAGGAGCGTCTTATTAATTTTTCTGTCTTCTAAACGCTTGTTTGGGTCAGGGCCTTAAGCATAGTAGATGCTCAATAAATACTTGTTTAAAGGATGAGTTAAAAGTAAAATCACGTATTATTGCTGGCTAATATGTATTGAGTACTTACTACATAGCAGGAAATTTCTAATTTGTTTCACCCAACAACCCCAGTAGGTGGGCACTATGGTTCTCCGCTTTTTCAAATGTGGAAACCACAGAGTAACTTCCCCAAGGTCACAGCTCTTCAGCGACCAGGTTATGATGTAAACTCAAGTGCCCGGATTGGAGCCAGCCACTAGGGAATCTGAAATGATGGAGCAAATGAGCATTTAGGGGTATTTTCATTTTACCAGACAGTAATACCAACCTGACTGGCTTTTTACTGCTGGCCCCTGGCAGGCAGCCCAGTTCAGTGAGCAGCCCTGCTAGAAACCAAGGCAGGCAGGCTCCCCTCTACCGGGAGCTGCCCGGCTTCAAAGCCGGTAAACCTTTTCCCTATCTGCCCCCTGCTGGCGGATGTGAGCATAGCAGGGCTCTCTCCCGACTCCTTGCAAGAGCACCCTGGAAAAGAGAGCGAGGCTGAGTGAAACCCCGGCTGCTGCTTGGGCTTCCGTAATTGTAGGGGAGTGGTGAATTGCCATAACCCCAAACTGGGACCTGGGCTCTGACATATAGGAATGTCTTAGGATGGGCTGGTTAAAATTGGTTGCTCTCCTGGCAAAGCTAGTTTGTGTAGTCACTGGATGTGGGGTGGAAACAGTGGGGCTTGGGGGAGGACGGTGGGGAATTAGAGATCATCTTTAAAAGCATTGGAACACCATTCAGGGGGCTCTGGGTTCTTGTCCAAGGGTCACCTACTCCAGCGGCAGGTATCCTGTCTGAAGCTGTGTCCTAATTTGTAAAAGGAGGCATTAGACTACATGACGTCTAATGGTCCTTCGATCTGAAATCTCTACCTGTAAGCTCTTTAAAGATTCCTCTAAGCAGGTCTCCTCGCTGGATCTCACATTCTCTCCCCAAAGGTCTTCCCCAGTGCCCATACCACATCTCCAGCCCTGCTCACCTGCATCCCCCTGTGGCCAGACAACTTGCTAACTCCAGCTGCCCACCCTGACCCCCAACCTGAGCCAGCTTTGTATGAGGTCCCCAGGCCCTGTTCACTAAGAATGGGAATCTTATGGTTCAGAAAGAAACTAGCCTGTGCTTCTTGGTCTTGAGGCCAGTTTGCCTCTCACTTCCTGACAAGTCCAAACCCAGGACAGCTGAGACAGCGAGAGCTATCAAGAAATGAGGGGAAGGGAGCTGCCGGCACTTTCTGTTGAGCAAATGGCTGAAGTTCCCAGAAAAGCTGGAGCGGAGGAACTCTGGGGAGGCACATAAAGTTGTTGTGGTCCAGGAATGGATGCCTGAGGAGCCCAGAAATTCCCAAGGGAAATGTTGTAGGGGTCGGAGTTCCTGTGCCAGCAGGGGTGGGAGGTACAGCCAGCCGTACGTGACTATTGCTATTAATGTGACCTCATGTTCAACCCTGGTGTTTTCTAAAGAAACAAGACTTTCCAGAGAATTTTTGTATTTATTTTGGGGCACCCATATATACACATATATTCAGCCTCAGCAGAGCCTAAGGCAGGGTTCCTGGGGTGAAGGACAAATTATTTTTCTTAGTTTTCAACCCATAGGGACTGACACTTTAAAAAATGCGATAAAAATAAATTATTAGAAAATGAAATGAAGACCACCAAAACTAGTCTCTACTCTTCCTTCCCTTCCCTTTTTCTTTCTTTCTTTCTCCTTCTTTCTTTCTTTCTTTCTCTTTCTTTCCTTCTTTCTTTTCTCTCTGTTTTTCTCTTTCTTTCCCTTTCTCTCTCTCTTTCTTTCTTTCTCTTTCTTTCTTTCTTTCTTTCTCTCTCTCTCTCTCTCTCTCTTTTCTTTTCTTTTTTCTTTCTTTTCGACAGAGTCTTGTTCTGTCACCCAGGCTAGAGTGCAGTGGTGTGATCTCAGCTCACTACAACCTTCACCTCCCAGGTGCAAGCGATTCTCCTGCCTCAGCCTCCCAAGTAACTGGGATTACAGGCATATGCCACCAGTCCAGCTAATTTTGGTACTTTTAGTAGGGTTGGGGCTTCACCATGTTGGCTAGGATGGTCTCAAACTCCTGACCTCAAGTGATCCACCCCTGGCTTGGCCTCCCAAAGTGCTGGGATTAGAGGTGTGAGCCACCATGCCCAGCCTCTACTCTTTTTCATGAGGCAAATCCTCTGGTGATGTGCTTAATGATGTGGCTGTTGTCAAATTGCTGTAAATTTTCTAGACACCGATTTTGTATCTATGTTTATCTCACCAGGAACCCTCAAACAGTTTGCAGACTAGCCCCAGCCTATGGGTACACTTTGAGAAGACCTGGTCTAAGCCACTCTTACTTCTGTATTCTCTGGAGATGAAGGACATCAGTGGGGATAACAATTTTTAACAAATAGACAGTTTCCACAAAGAGGAGAGGAGTATTCATAGCACTTTATTTGTCAACTTTACAAATTACACAGTCACATTAAAGGTACATTTTGTGTGCAGATGACCATGGCATTCTGAGGAATAATTGAGTTTCTCGGCATCACTAGGACTATTGTTTTCCTACTTTAAACTTGGACATGCTTCATGCTTAGGATACCAGACAGTAAAAAGTACGGGAACACTAGCACATTACAAAATTTTTATAAAACTGTACTTTACTCACCCTAAAAGCCCACATCCATGTTACTTTATTGAGAAAAACATGTCCAGAAATGGCCACAAACAGGGGCTGTCTCTTATGGGACAGTAGTCAACTCATCACCTATCTTTCCTATTTTCCACTTATTTTCAGCTTTGAATTTTAATAACTGCATTTCATCCGTTTCTGTTTTGATTTCAGCTACAAAGTGAATTACATTTTTTAAATTAGAAAATAAGGATTTCACATTATATTTAATGTTTTAGGTACATTAGCAATCTGGCTTCAAAATGATCCTCTTGTTTGGAAACACCCTGAAAATATGAAGGAAAAGACAGTCCTAACCCCCTGAATGAAGTGTGATTTTAATGGAATAATATTGGTTTTCAGTAGACATACCAGAACTTCTACGTTAAATTTAGGGATCATACTGTTATTCTAATGATGCTGCCACTGCTTGGAAGAATTTTGGAATGGCTTTTTTTTTTTTTTTTTTTTTGGAATTGCCTTCAGTGGACAATTTTGAAGAGAGATGAATAAGAAATAGTGTTGGGCTGTGCACGGCAGAGGCCACTGGCCTAAAAGGCTCCATGTGAGCCAATGATTTCCTAACTTCCTGTGTTCACAGTGTGCTTCATGCTACTACTGCCTTTATTAAAGTAATCAAGGACCCCAAACACGGCTAAAGACAGTGAAAGTTATGATGAAATTAAAGTGTAGTCACAGTGTAGTTACAACTACATGATGAGGTTGTCTCAGAGGGTTTCCAAAGGCACACATAGTTGTGACTCTATTCATTTAGTCACCTGGGTCACAATTTGAAAAGAGTCCTTGCTGTCCTGATCAGGCTCGCTTTTTTTTTTTTTAATCAAAGACGAAGTTCCTGCATGTCCCCTGGGTGTCCTTGGCATAGCTGCCCTGTGTTCCTGCCCCTTCCTCTTAGGAGTCACAACCCCTAAACACTATACCACATCACACCTCGCACTTAGCTCAACTCCGAAATCATATGTAATAAAATTCATTTCACACGTGGGTCACATGTGGATCAAGTGTGATTGCACCACGGCGAGGGATTTGCGGTACCAGTAGCTGCAGCATAGGAACTGAGCAGCACTAGTCCCAGGTAGCTGGAGACACAGCCTTAGATAGGAGTCTTCCTCAGCATAGCGAACAGGGACACACGTTTCTTTATTGTAAAGCACCAAAATTATAGATACCAGCCAAGCATTAGAGGATTAACTACAACAGAGATATCATCCAGGTACCATGTCCAGCACCCTGGGAAGACAATAATCAACCCTCCTGAAAGAATGTGAGGCCGGGTAGCTGGTGGGAACCTTTGATACACATTAATAAACTTTATCATTACAGTGATATGTAATGATCATATTACATTAATGATTACATTTAATCATTTGAGACTTACGGAAAGAATTGTAGTGGAATCTTTTAGATATGTGTAAACTAACAACATAATTTTAGGATTATACTATGTCAATTCAGGTGTAGGTAAGACAGCCAGTGAAAAATTATGTGAAGCAAATAATTGGAAAACTTTATATATATGTTTCAAAATCTAGCTGAGACCTCCAAGGATAACTGGGCTCCTAAATAATGCCATTTTGCCTTTGATGTTGGGGCAGCCCTGTGGTTTAGGATCTGGCTTCCATGGGTTTGTCTGTGTCGTGCAGACGATCCAGTGGTCTAGAAGTTCTGGCCAACATGCCAAGTCTCTGGCACACATGCTTCAGAGGGTCCTGGTGTGAATCTACTTTAGTTTCTTGTCCCTCCTCTGTCCCATCATGTAACCCACTTTCTTCCTCTCACCTGCTTTCCCTATGTGACATGCCCTCCAGTTTCTTCAGCCCACATCCTCCAGCTTCATCCAGCCATTTTCCCCACCATGGTCATTCCGCATCTGCTGCCCTGTCTAAACCATGGGAAGAGACAAATCTGGAGGAGAGGTAAGGGATGATGGAGGCACAGATCACAGATCTAGGAACTGGGGGTAGAGAGGGGAGAGCCAGTGGCAGAGGGGCCAGAGACAGGAACGGGCAAGAGTGTGAGCTGGGCACTTGAAACAGGGCTTCCTCTCACTTTATAATCTTCCCTGTGCTTCCCAGGGTCTATGCATTTGCACCTGCACCTGCATTTGTGGCCAGGTTCAGGGCACCTTTCCTAATCCATCCCTCAATCACAGCAAAACACCCTCAACTGTTGGCTCCACTTTGTCTCTATAAATGGTACCTCAGTAATATGAACTGAAACAAGTTATTTAAGACCATGGGTTAACAAATAAAGGGTTTTAGCCAGATGATAACAAAATTACTTTGCAGACATATTGCATTTTCCAAGAAACCACACAATATATGTACACCACTCATAAAGAATTTCTTACTTAAAATAAATGTAAATGAACTTGGCTTCTGGGACAACAAACTATTTAGAGCTGTGGTTAATCCCCAGCATTTAAAGGATGTGGGGTAAAAGATGGAGTCCTGACAGTGGCTGTGGGAAGTAGCTTTTCAAGCCCAAGTTGAGGCTACAGGATCAGTTGTTTGGACAAGAGAGACAGAAGCCAGGCTGTGTAGCCAGGTCTGAGGAGTCCAGCTAAGGAAGGCAAGGGTTTGGCTATAACAGGGACATCTCACCAGCTTCTTGCCTAGTCTGGCTGCTGGGCATAGCTACCACTATCTAGATCAGCCTGGGCAACAGGAGACACTGTCTGTACAATTTTTTTTTAAATTAGCTGGACATGGTGACTCGTACCTGTATTTCTAGCTACTTGGGAGGCTGAGGTGGGAGAATAGCTTGAGCCCAGGAGTTTGTGGCTGCAGTGAACTATGACTGCACCACTGCAGTCCAGACTGGGTGTCAGAGCGAGCCCTCGTCTCTTAAAAAAAGAAAAAAGTCAATTTTCAACCACCTCACACCCATCAGGCTGGCTACTATTTAAGAAAACAAAAACAAACAGAAAATTGCACTGTTGGTGGGAATATAAATTGGTATAGCCATTATGGAAAACAGTATGGTAGTTCCTCAAAAAAAAATGAAAAAGAGAATTAGTGTATGATCTGGCAATTCCACTTCTGGCTATATATCTAAAATAACTGAAAGCAGGGACTTGAAGAGATGTTTGTACATGAAAGTTTGTAGCAGCATTATTCACAATAGCCCAAGTGCATATAGACAGATCAATGGATAATAAAATGTAGTATATGTATACAATGAAACATTATTCAGCCTTAAAAAGAAAGGCTATTTGGACACATGTCACAACATGGATGAAACTTGAGGACATTGTGCTAAGTGAAATAAGCCAATAAGGACAAATCCTATGTGATTATACTTACGTGAGGTATCTGGAGTCATGAAATTCATAGAGACAGAAAATAGAATGGTGGTTGTCAGGGGTTTGGGAGGAAGGAAAAATGAAAATGTTTGCTGGGTACAGAATTTTAGTTTTGCAAGATGAAAAAGTTCTGCTGTGAGTGGTATACAACAAGGTGAATGTACAAGTACCACTGAGCTGTATAAAAAATGGTTAAGATGGTACATTTTATGTTATGTATATTTTGTCACAATTAAAAAGTTTTTAGAAAGGGAAAAAAAAAGAGGGTTACGTCTTCCCATCTGTGCATCTCACGACTGTGTTATTACTGAGAGCTCGATGCCAGTCCCTTAGAAACACAAGGATGACTTGAAAACTTATGTACCAATTCATTTCCTCCAATTTCCCCCCTAATGAATAGAACCATAGTTCATCAGGAAAAAAAAAAGTAACTTTAATATAGGCCAACTAGACCAAGGCTGGCCCACGTCCAGACCTCAGAGGAGGGAAGTGCTGAAAAAATCAGCTTCATTCATCAATGGGCAAGGCATCTTTTGCCATTTCTGCCTTGCCTTGCACAGGCAGGCTGAGATACGGTCTTGCTTTATGGTTCAGGAGAGAGGGCCAGAACCAGGCTGGCAGGGCCCTCTGCTGGGAGGCGGCCTCCAGGGCTGAACTGAGATTTAAACCCCATCCCTGGGGTGGTGGCACCACTGCAGAGGCAGCAAACAGCCCTACAGCTGGCAGCCAGTAGCCTGAGCTTCCTGGCAGGGAAAGCTAGACTTTACTGAGCACAGCCTGGACTGAGAATAGGGAGGCCGAGCTTCCAGTCCTCATATTGCCCTAAATAGCTGTGTGGCCATACACAAAACGTTCTTAACTTCTAATACCTCAGGGTTTGTAGATGGTGGATTGTGCCCACTCTAGCCAGAAATTTCCATTAAGCTATGAACGTAGTAAAATCATATAAAGAATTTCCCCGAGACCCTGAGATATGATTAATTTCCAAGAAGAAAAGGTGCCGTTCTTTCATCCTAAAGAAACTTAGTCATTTTTATTTCCAGAATCTGTATGAGGGTCTTTGAAGCTCTGACTCATTTGAGACATTCAGATGTGAAGTCTGGTCTGATGGTAATTTTAAGTGAGGAAGAAAGCTGGTTATAGAGCAAAAGTTTAAAGAGGAAAAGAATACTAAGTGCGGGCATCAGTTATGTCTGTCTTGTGTGATAGTAAAATGAACACAGGACTTCAAGTCAGAAAAGCTTTGTTCAAGTCTCTCTTATTGCCCCTCCCACACCCGCCCCAGCTGTCCTCTCATCCTCCAGGAGCCATTCTCCGTGCAGCAGCCAGAGGGATTATTTTAAAACATATTAGGTCATAACATCCTCCGGCTTAAACCCTCTAGTGAGTTCCGACTGCACTTAAATGGCACATACACCAGCGGTGTTCTGGTAAGTGTTTAACAACTGGCTCTCTTGGAGGAGAGATCTGGGAGAAGAACCTGGGTTTGTTGTATTTGCCAATTATCATGGTGTAAATACTCCCACTATGGCCAATTTCAAGCTATCAATTTGACATTAATCAGCTCTTAAAACCCTGAAAACTTAACAAGTGGCTCTCATGAGCTAGAATGAGCCAGATCCAGCAACTCTTTCTATTTAAAATCCAGCTTCCTTCTGAGACCCTCACGGCCCAGTGTGGTTGTCCATCTTGCCAGCTTCACCTTGTTTCATGTTCCCTCTGATCATGACACTGCAGCCACTCTGCCTGTGTCAAATATTCCGTCTCAAATATACACCCTTAAATATTCCAAGCTTGATCTCACATGAGAGCCTTCTCACTTGCTGTTCCCTCCACCTGGAACTTTCTTCTCTAGATCTTGACTGGTTATTCTTTGTCAGTTTGATCTTAACTTCAATATGTCAGGGAGGCCTTACCTGAGCATCTAATTCCAAAATAGAGCCCCGTCCCCCATTACTATCTCATTACCCAGTTTATTTGCTTCATAGCCCTTGCCACTATCTGAAATGATGTGTTTCATTATTTGTTACCTTATTTGTTAGTTCTGTTTTGACATATAGAGTGCAAAGTTATAGGCACTAAGAACAAGGTCCAGCACATAGTATGTGGCAATAAATGTTTGTTGAAGAAATAAATGATTAATAGGTCAAAAATAAATTATTTCTGCTATAAGATGGAGTTATTTAAGCAGTAGAAAATTCCCAAATTCATTCTGACAACTTATAAAACTGGTTTCAAAGTTTTTTTTTTTTTTCAGTTGACATAGTTTTCTTTTGATGTGGAGAAAAGTATACATGCACTTTTAAAGACCAGATCAGGAACAGTCTTCTCTTCAAAATGAATGATTTGAAAGACCTCTAGGCCAGGGAGAAGGAGGAGGAGGAAGAAAACAAAAATATGTAATTGGCGTATTCATTTTCCTAAGAGCCACGTGAAGAGAAGAGGACCAAAGGAAGAGCAAAGAAAGGAAACAGACATTCTCTGAACATCGTTGCTGCCCCTTACATGCTGGGTTCTAATACTCAAGATCTGCCTAATGGAAGAATCCTGTGGGGCATGTGTTTCACAGATGAGTAAAACTAGGCTGTAGGAGGTTAAGCAACTTGCCCCAGGACACACAGCTGGTAAACAGTAGAATTTAATTCTAAGTAGACCAAGTTCAAACTTTTCCTGATTATGTATCTCCTATATAATAGGAGGTAGGGTGGCAGGAGGGTCTCCTCCAGAGGAAATTCTATGAACAAAGAAACCACATGAGTAATGATGTCAGATACCTAACAGAAGATTTTAATTATGGTAATATCCATTCTTAATTCACTGGGATGAAAGAAGAGACACATTTTCATAGTTTGAATCCTTATGAGTAAAGAGTTTGATGGGAACTTCAGAAGAGTGGAAAAAGCACTTTTTTTTTTTTGAGACAGAGTCTCACCCAGGCTGGAGTGCGGTGGTGCAATCGCAGCTCACTGCAACCTCTGCCTCCCAGGTTCAAGCAATTCTCCTGCCTCAGCCTCCCGTGTAGCTGGGATTACAGGCACCTGCCACCACATCCGGCTAATTTTTGTATTTTTAGTAGAGATGGGGTTTCACCGTGTTGGCCAGGCTGGTCTTGAACTGCTGACCTCAGGTGATCTGCCCGCTTCGGCCTCCCAAAGTGCTGGGATTATAGGCGCGAGCCACCATGCCCGGCTGGAAAAAGCACTTTTAGTTGATCACTGTATCAAAAAAAAAAAAAAAAAAAAAACCAGGATTACAGTGATAATTTTCTAGTGATTTATTTGAGCAGGATAAAATCCTGTTTGGTAGCTTCCATATTTGTCACAGCTGTTGTGGCTTGATGGACTTAACAGTCTTGGGACACATGGCTACTTGGGTTGGGGTGTAGGTTGGGGACATTTATGCAATAGAACAGTGTGCAAGGGAAGACGTTAATTGTCTTCCAAGTGCTTCCACTTAGGGGCATAGAGGAGTTATAATCTGTGCAGGGCTGCAGAAGACCTGCCCCAATAAGGCTGAAGACTCCACGAAGATAGGGTGCAGAATGTGATCAAGAGGGGTCTTGGGTATAAAGCATGAAGATAAAAAAACCTTCTAGACTAGATCAGCGCTTCTCAGCCTTTAACATGCAACCAGAGCGCATGAGGATCTTGTTGCAGTGCAGATTTGGACTCAGCAGGTCCAGGTGGGGCCTGGGCATTCCTATTACAACAAACTCCCAGGCGGTGCTGCTGCGACTGCTCTGGGGATCACACAGCTACACATTTTGGCTCACCTTGCTACTCAAAATGTGGGCCACCTACCTCAGCATCAGTGTGACCTGGGAGCTTGTTAGAAATGCAGAACCTCAGGCGCTACTCACACCCAGAGTCAGAACTTGAATTGTATCAAAATCACTAGGTGATTCACACATTAATGCTTAGACATTACTGCTCTAAAAATTGAGAAGTGCCAGTCTATTCTGGGGGTGCAGTGGGTCAAATGGGGGCCCCCAAAAGATAAGTTTACATCCAAATCCTTGAACCCATGAATCTGACCTGATTTGGACAAAAGGATCTTTGCAGATGTAGATTAAAAGCCTTGAGATAAAATCAACCTAGAATACTTGGGTGAGCCCTATATCAAATGCTGTGTCCTTAGAAGAGAAGGTGGAGGGAAATTTGAGACAGAAGAGGGAAAGATACAGACAGAAGAGGAGGAGGCAATGTGACCACAGAGGCAGAGATTAGAGTGATGCAGCCACAAGCCAAGGAAGCCAAAGATGGCCTACAGCCACCAGAAGCTCAAAGAGGCAAGGAAGGATTCTCCCACCAAATTCCTCTCCAAGGGAGCGTGGCCATGCCGACACCTTGATTTCAGGCTTCTGGCTTTCAGAATTATAAGAGAATACATTTCTGCTGTTTGAAGCCACCCAGTTTGTGGTAATTTGTTGCAGCAGTTTTAGGAAACAAATATAAGGAGGAAGGACTATATCTCATCCACACAAGACTTTGTCGTGATAAAAGGAGGGTGGCTGCCTCCGCTTCACCAGCTCAGAATAAAAGGGTGACCTCAGCCTGAGCAATTCAGGATGGTGAGTGCAGATGGTAAGAGAAAGGGGAAGTGGATAACAGGAGGCTCAGGAGGGAATGAGGGAAATATGCAAGATGGATCCGCAGAGGTAGAAGAAAGAGAAGGACAAAAAGCAAACACACCCCAGGTTTGCTGGGGTGGCATTCAACAACAGGGGCAAGATGGCAAGCTTGGGGCTGGGAGACAGGCTGGGGTTTCCCCAGAGCACAGTCCTCAGAGCTGGTCCTGAGACAGGCTGAGGGGAACTGCAGAAGGAAAGAACTACTAAGAGGATTCATTATGCAAGGAGCCGCAAAAGACCTGCGAGAAGTAGAAATACAGGCTGTTGAGAGAGGTTAGAATGAGACTCAAGAAGGAGAACCAGGAACAATTGCATTAAAATAGGATGAAATGTGCTTTTTTGATTCATTTGGAAATGAGTTAGTCTTGTAAATAGGCATAGTGTTACTTATCCTGGCAACCAATGGGCATCAAATGTGATTATTAAACACAAAATACCATATATTTGTGATCCTTATGAGTATCAGCTGATTATTAAGCTAAGAGAGATTCTTCTGAAAGATGTCTCCTTTGAGACTATGTGTTCCCGAAAGCCAGCTTTTTGGCTTAACTTAGAAAATGTGTAAATCCTCACCAGTTGGTTGTAGAGAAGGGCACAAACCCATGGACTTGTGGAATCTTCAGTTGCAGGAGTCCTAAAGTTCATCTCCTCCAATTTCGCAATGAGCAGGAATATCTACCCCCAACTGCTAGTACCCCTGACCAAGATATATCTGGCTTCCCCCACCTGGCCATGTTTTTCTTGCTTAAGCGTGTAGATTGATCATTCACTGTCTTTCAGTGGCACTTAGTAGACTGCAAAGGCCGCATTTTAGAATGTGTACATGTGGTGCCTATTCTTAGGAATTTAATAGTACTAACTTCTCTTACTGGTTTAAAGATTCACTCTCTCATTCAACAGAAATGTACTGAGAGCATGCTGTGTGCCAGACATGGAGATGAGTAAAACGTGGATGACTAGAGAACACATATGGATCATTTTACTTTGGTTGCTTAATATAGCTGAATCAATAGAATTGGTTTGACTCACCCCTAGCTGTTGGTTGGAAAGACAGGGCAAAGTCTCAAGTCACTGTTCTTGGACTTATTCCCATGGTGGAGTGGCTGGTGTGAGTTATGATAGGAGCCAGAATTCCCTAGTTTCCTCAATACCTCAATTCCTCCAATATTAATACCTAAATTGTTGACCAATTAAACCCTACACACATTTATTGTTATACTATATTTGATTTCCAAAAGGACCAAAGCACACTTTTAGTGTAGCATACAGGAAAGATTATCATAGACTTTGGAATAAGCCAAGAAGTTAAAATTCCTAGCTGAGTGAGTGTAGGCAAGTTACTCTGGGAATCAGTTTTATCAGCTGCAAAATGGGAAATAATCCATACTTTGCATAATTGTTGTGAGGTTTAAATAAGATAACATGGTCTATGGTCTGACTGATTTATAATAATTCTTTCCCCTTCACACTTGCCCCAGGATCACACGCAAAGATGTGTCAACCATTCCTGCATCATCATGGGCAGGTATTTCTCTGAAGCAAGAGTTCATTTCTCCTTGCCTGTTTTTTGGTTGTTTTTGGAGCCACATGAGTAGTAAAAGCAGCTGCTGCATTATGAGAAGGTGTAAGCATGCCAGAGGCATTGGTGCCCAGAGAAAGTGGTCATTTCAGCAGGGAAGGGAGGTATTATTGAGCTCTTAGTGCTTCAGTTGGTTTGAGTATAAAACCAATGCCACTTAGAAAAAAATTATTTGCTTCAGCAAACCCGTTGGCTTGCTCAAAAGTTGCAATAGGAATAAAGTAATTATTTGTGAATGAAATGTGTTCCATCAACATCTCCATCCCCCTGCAGCAGCAAGTTAGGGATACATGCAGGCATACTAGTGTTTGGGGGCTTGCAGTCAGCCAGTTGGTGCACACTGGATGCCCAAATCATCCTTTCAATGGCCAAATTGCATGCTTGACCTGAGAGTGCCGTATACACTCAATTTGCTATTAGGGCTTAGATACAAAGTGGAAAAGATGCTATTATGTTTATGAAGCAAAATAGTAACTTAACATAATGAAGGCATTGGAAATGACTGTAGAGCTCCTCTGGTGTAATCCATATTTACAGAGATAGCTAGTGATATTCAAATTGGTGAAAGGGCATTGAAATCATCATGAGAATGTGCACAGCTATGAAGGGAAGTCAGCCAGGTGAAATCAAACAGCCCTGGACTTGGAGCTGGGATCCCCAGAGGAGTCCTGGATCTGTCGCTTAGTGAGTGGCTTTGGACAAACCACCTGGGCTCTCTGGGCTTTAGTTTTCACTTCAGTGAAATGGGACTTCTCTGCCTTTCTCACTAGGTGAAGACAGGGTGCAAGCAAAATGTTGGATATGAACAGGAATGATGTTAAAGACCTTAAACCATGGGCCCAATCCAGCTCACAGATGAGTTTGGTTTGGCTGGCACTGTGTTTGGTTTGGCTGGGACTGGCATTCAGGAACACGGAACCTGAATGCCTTTAGGTGAGGCATGTTCCTTGTCTCCCACAGGCTCTACTTATAGCTGGTCTGATTGTCCAATTTATGTTGCCTGCCTGGCTCCTATAGGCATTCTGATTTGGGAACCCTTGCAACCTAAACACCACATTATAGTGGACCAGCTTCATGTGTGGGTGAAGTAGGTAGTATCATTTTAGGGCTATCTGGAAAGTACCATCTCCTTTCCCTCCTCCTCTCCTCCCACAAGCCCAGCTTGCAGATGCCTATCAAGCTTTTGTGCAATTCCCTAGAAAACCAAAAGCTTCTACTGTAAGGGAGGATGACATTTTGAAACTTAGCTATGCTTTATAACTTAGGTAGACACATTTAGCAATTTATTTATTTATTTATTTATTTATTTATTTTTATTTTTATTTTTTGAGATAGGGTCTCGCTTTGTCACCCAGGCTGGAGTGCAGTGGTACTATCACAGCTCACTTTGATCTCGAACTTCTGAGCTCAACCAATCCTCCCACCTCAGCCTCTCAAGGAGTTTTTAAAAAATGTTTTGGGAGTAGTTTTTGATCATAGAACCTGAGACACTGGCCATATGTGTTAGGGTATATGTGGATAGGGAAGGGAAACTCTACCAAGCAGGTAGCAAAGGAATAAAAATGGATGGATTGGGGGGAATAATAACCACCTCACAGTATTGTTGAGAGAAGTAAATGACATGACTGTTAAAAGGGCTTAATGTAGTAAGAAAGTACCTACAGTTACTGTTTTCCTGGCCTGAAAGAATGAATGCACTTTCACAACCCTTAGTTCTTCATCTATCCAGGCTTAACTAGGCTAGAAGAGGAAGACTTTGTGCACATGGGTCTGGCTTTGCCTCCTCCACACCAAACCCCTAGCTTATCTCCACTGGAAATAACTATGTGAGGGACTGAATATTTCAATCATATATGGAAACCTTGCCCGAAGAAGAAATTGCATAATAACTGTCAATCATAATAGACTTATTAGCATTTGCCAATTTGGCCAAAATGTAGGCAATTATATGGCCATGATGCAGTCTGCCTTGCACACTATGTGTTTATAGAAAATGACTATTTTTTAAATCCACTCCTTATTTTTTAATGCAGTGACAAATCTGAAATGAACTGAAATTGTGCGAAGCTAGAAATGTTCCTAATGGTGAGGTAATGGCCAAATGGAATCTGATAATTTCCTATTGAGGCAACTGTTGGAATACACTCATTAGTACTACTACCACTTTATACTAACTAAACTTTTACAGCACTTTCCCCTATCTCTTTTGAGAAAGCACCTTGAAACACATTTGGGAAGTAGGGAAGGCAGGTAAAATCATCCATATTTCATAGATGAAGAAACTGAGATATTCCTTGCTTCAAATTCCTTGGGCAATGAGATGGGGAATGAGCAGCTCTTAAAAGGAGTTTACCCAGCATCACAATGGCAAGAGAGCTGGGGAAGTGGAATGAGACTCCTCAGCCTCTCAGCAGGTTAGTCCTGCTGCAAAAAGATGGCGTGAGAGAGGGGACAAGGGCTTTGGAATGAGAGGTGGACTCAAATCCAGGTTGCTCCTTTACTAGTTGAGTGCTTGGGTGCAAGTCCCCAAACCTCCTGGGACTCTGTCTTATCAATAGGCTGCAGGGATTACTGAGGCATTCATACTGATGGGAAAGTTGTCGTGAAACCTAATATGAGATAATAGAAGCATCTGGCACATCATCTCCTGCCGCCCTCTACTGCACAAGAAGAGGTTTGAGATCACGATTCAGCCTAATTACTGAACTTGTCATTATCATGCCCTATGCTCAGTGAGAGGCTGCTGTGTACCAGCACTGTGCTAAAGGGCTTCACAGAAATTATTTCTTGCAATCTTCACAGCAATGCTTATGAGATAATTATTATCCCCATTGGATTGATGAGAAAACTGTGATATGGAGAGATGAAACAGCTTGTCCAAAGCATATTCTTACAAAAAGGCAGGGCTCCACTGCCTCCCTATTCATGGAGTCGCAGAGCTGAAAGGAACTTTAAAAATTACCTGGACTACAGGCACTCAGCTGCCATGCCTTGTAATTAAGACCTTCTTTGCAAGAAATGTTTTGCTAACAAATTAAAATACTGAGGTTTGTGAAACATTTGCTTTTGGTTATAAATCACAGTGGATTCAAAGTTATTCTTATGATAATTATCATTTTCTTATGACTCTCATTTGTTTTGCACTTCGAAATGTTTTCTTGATGGGAGAGAGCAGGGTATACTTAATGGGCTGGACTTGATGAATGGGGGTTGCCCTGTCTAAATACATTCCATTGTCTTGTTGACCTGGTAGAAACAGGGTTATGGCCATTGACTTCCTAGAATAGGCCAATACCTGCTAAAAGCTGCAGAAAGGAAATGAGGAAGTTGAAACAGGTAAGCCCTGACAGGATTGATCCCTGAAGGGTTAATCCCTTGACTTTGTTCTTTGAGCTAAGAGCAACTGAAAGCATCATACGCTCCATTTGACTTACTACTTTGACAAGGTTTAATTAGTATGTCTTTCTGCAAGAATAGGTGAGAGATTCAGTCCCAGAGCCCAGCTGATATAGATTGAAAAGGGTCCCTCTATCCTTCAGTGGGCCAATGGCACATGCTTTTGTGGAACATTAGCATCATGAACAGTGAAAGGTGCTGCTTAGGAATAAAAAGTGGCAATTTCCAAATGGTATTTCTCAATAATGAGAGAGCTTGCTGGATGTGATTATTTTCCACTTGAGAGGGGGAAAATGGGATCTCAATGAAGGCATGGGGGTGTCTAGCATGCCCAAAGATATAGAAGGGTACAATTGTCCTTACAATTTGATAATGATAGAGCCCTTATATGCATGCATTTCACTGATAATTTACACATTGCAGTTCTTTCAGAACTGATGAAAATGGAATCCACAGCACATTGCACATTCAAGAGTGACGGTTAAGCACTTAACAATGGGGCAAAATTCTGAAGATAATAGAATTTTCAAAATGTGTTCATCAGCCTACTGAAAAGCCAATGGTATTCCAGAATTCCAAGGCCAAGCCTCTACAAATATATGGGGTTTGTCTATACAGGCTAAGCAGAGTGAAAAGTTGAACAACTACCCAGGTAATTTGATTCTGGGAGAGTTTGCTTGGATCGTTCAAACCAACACTTCTCCTCTTCCTGTCCCTCCCCCATGTCCCTCACTCCCACCCCCCACCCTTCCACTCCCAGTTTTCCCCCAGGATATTTTTGTACCTGCAAAATAGATATCTATGTACAGCTATATCAAACATGCATTTCACTTTGACTGTGTAGACATAGACATTGGCTTCATATATACAGATAAAATACACATAAATGTCCCAAGAGTATTGGATGGGTGAAGTACATGGATCCAAAGTTGGGCTTCTTCCACCATGCAGCTCCAGCCAGAGGCAACGTAAACAGAGTGTTACTAATTTTCAAGTGAATTAATTGGGACACATTAAATTGCAAATCCTGGCCTTGCTTTTAGGGGTCTAAGTTATTTGGATGATTGTCTTGACCTGACTACATACGTATTCAGGTACACAGGCATAGTCCATATATTTTTAGGCCATATAGATGATCCAAATAATTCCAAGCTCAAATAAATGTTTTATTCTTTACTAATGTCCATTCTTGAATTCTTGGAATACCTACCTCTTTATTTGGTTTCTGCATCAGTTGGGAGTATCTCTGAGCAGGAATGTCTATTCAGAACTGAGCTTGGGAGTGAATACAGGGAGACAGGACAGGGAAATGGGGATGGAAATAGATTACAAAAGAAAGAAAGTAGCTCCTGCTTTCAGGGAGATTACACTGTCATCTTATACTCAGCTTATTACTAGACAGTAGGATGAAAAGAACAGTCAAATGGGATGGCAATGGATTCAATGACAAATATTTACCTATTTGTAAATAAGTTTAATTTTTTAGTTTTTCAATGACATTCAGTAGAGATAGTTATATTGGCTATATAACACAAGTAAAGTGGTGTTTGGAAAGTTCCTCCATTCATTTGATTTCCTTTAGAAAGCGAATTCCAAGGTGTGCAATTTATCCATGACCACATACAATGATTCAATGAACTAGATAATGTTAAATCTCTCAGGTAACTGTTAAATTTTGAGGTAGGATTAAAAAATACTTCAGGGGTTCTACTCTGACCACGTTCTTTACTGATCTGTTGCCCTTGGCTTTGGGGTCATGGGAAGAAAGAGGGAGAAAATGTCGAGGGAGAAGGATAAGGGGATGAGAGGAGTACCCCTTAGAAGTTTGAGCCCATTGGGTTGGGACTTTTCCTCCCCCAATCACTGAAGCTGTAGTAAGAGCAAATCAATGTCACATTTACAGTTATCTCTTGGTTAGCCACACTAATTGAGCTAAGCAAAAATGGGAACATGCCAAAAGGATTTTTATTTGAATTTGAAGTGCATCATGTGAATTTTTTTTTCTACAGCAGACACAGGGCCCTAATAATACTTAACCCAGGCTATTACTAAATTAGTTTGTATTACTTGATGATTATATATAGTTTGTATTACCTGAATCTACAGGTAACACAATGAATTGTAGCACAGGCAAGTGGCTGAGGCATAAATCGACAGACTGGGAAAGAATTTCCTCTGATTAAACTTTTGCCACAGACAGATCATATGTAGACAAACAGGAATTAATTGGGCTTAATTCACAGCAAGGGTCAAATGCTGAATTTCTAAGCATTTCTCCAAAGACTATGAATGTTGCTTTTCCACCTCCACAGAAAACAAAATTAAAGTACTTTAATTCACACTAGCAGGTGGGTTTGGCCCCAGGTACCCTGACATTGGCCTGGTCTTTCTAATCAACTTGAGTGTTTCTGCCCCAGACATAAAAATCCCCTTGGGTTGAGGCAGTAGAGCTCTACTGGGGAACCAGACATACATTTTGTTAATGAAGGCCTATCCTTCTCAAAGCACATTTGGTGGAATCGGGTCTTTATGGATACGGTTTCTTCACCGACTATTTCTCCCTCAAACTCTTGGCCTCTGCTTTTTCTCTTGTAGCCTGGTTCTCTGGTGTGAACAGGAGCAGATGACAAATAGCACCTAGCTTGGTGACAACCCATAGGAGGTATGCCTATAAAATGCCATGGGCCACTGAGTGTTCACTGTGAGGATGACACTATTGGCAAGGATGGATGATTTGTATGTGAACTACTGATGAGAAATGCTCCAGAGTGGGTACTGACCAGCCTTCTCTAGTGTTCCAGACACCTGTCTGAGTTTCTTGGGGTAAAGATCATTTCCAGCATGTTTTTAGTCTCATCTGGGTGCAAGGACAAGTCGTGTATCTTCTGTATGCTCTCAACACACTGTCCTTGCAATGTCTTCACGTGGAATCGTCTCAGAAGTGTAACGAGGATGGCTTTCATCATCACCATGGCGATGTACTTTCCTGCACAGCCACGGGGCCCAAAGCCAAATGGCTGAAAGTACCTATAAGGAACCTATGAAAATGATCAGACAGTTAGCCAGAATATTAAAGGCTAGAGTCACTCAGTCTCTGTTTGATTCATTCTGAAAACATGGGTCAGTCAGAACACTGTTTTGGGGTTATCAGCTACAATGCCCTCCATCCCCTCAGATGAACAACTGGAACTCAAGCCCTTTCTATGTCCTATTTCATTCACCCCCTGTGTTCTGACCCAACCTCAGAGAGTCCCCAGTTTTGCCTTTCATGTGCTGGGGTAAAGCAATGCAAACCAAATCTTATTACAGCAAGTGTTAGTATAATCAGGTAGCTCTGTGGAATAGCCACAGATTTACTATTGTTTTATAAGTCACTAAGGCAAAGATTATTTTTGTGTGACACCATATAAGAGATAAAGGCAAGCAAGGATGTAGATTCCTGGCCTATTCAGTGCCAAGCATCTAACTATTTGTAGTTATGCAGAAAATTAATGAGGACCACAGCTGTCTTGTCCACATTTGGACTTAGTGCCTGGCATATAGTAGATGTTCAATAAATTTTTGTTGATCAGTTGACTGATTTACATAGCATTATCTGGATTGCCCGTGTAGAAACAAAATGAATTAGAGTACTGAATTATTTAGCATCATGTTTCTACACCATATGCAAATTGAAAAAAGGGCACTTAGGGAACTGCGTACGTAATTCAGATTGAAAAACATATTGCCTAAAATTTGACATAATGAAGGTGGAATCTGTAGTACACATCAATTATAAAAAAAGAAAAACTGTCTCTCTTCTAATTATTAAGTCCTATTTAGAATGGGACCTACTGCTCATGGGGCCATTTGATGAGCCAAAGGCACTTTGCAAAAACCAAATCTTTTGGTCTCATTTGATTTTCATCTGAAGCAGTAGTGGACTTTCCTTTGCTCAGATGGTGCTATAGCTGAATGTGATGACATGATGACAAAGTTTAAATGGAAAAGTAGGTTGGTTGGGTTAAACAAAAATCACTTCATTTTAGCCAAATGAAGGGCCCAGCTTTTTCACATTTTGACCTATTTTGTGGCCACCATGTAGATACTTCTTAGAGCTGGAGACCCAACATCCTTGAAGGCTTGAGGATGAATACGGGAGCCCTGCTCCAAGCTAGGGGACGTGTGTGCTCCTGGTGAGGTGGCAGAGGGAATGAGTAAGAAAAATGAAGTATTTATGGTGCAAACACAAAGAACCAGAGAGGATTTAACAGTTGACATTTTCAAGAGTGGCACACTCAGTTTTAAGGAAGGGCTCTTACATTCTTTGCAAAATTTTCAAGAGTAAATTCATTGGGTTTGGGGAAAAACTCGAGTCTGTGCATCCTTCCAATATTCAGGATAATGTTTGTCCCCTTTTTCACTGGGTAGCCATCGATTACATCATCTTCTAAGGCTTTGCGCATGACCAAGTCCACGACAGGCTGGTACCGCATGCTCTCATAAATGAAGTTTTCCATCACTTTTAATTTTTGTATATCATCAATCTTTATGTCTCTCTCACCTGTGGAAACAGATAAAAGGAACAAAGAAGGTAATGTTAGTTTCCATCTGTGATTGGTATTAAAGCTTCTATTTTTTTCCACAGAACCGTTTGCTCTTGGTTGAAAAAAATTGTGGCTCTAATTCTAATGCACACCAGCAACCAGGGCCAAATATGTTATGCTTGGGCCACAGAGTGTTTTATAAAAATTCAGATATGAAGCCAATTACCTTAAAAACTGGTGGAGTTTATAGAAAAGTCTGAATGTCCAGAAAATTTGGTGATGCTGAACTTACATTCCCACATAGCAATAATGGGCTGACGCTGAGTGGCCAATTACCTGTTTAGAGGGGGCATACATCATACAGTTCCATCTAGACCACACCCAATCTGCTTCAAACATTCATCTCATGTGCCTGCTTTCTGAAATCTTTGAGTTTTTGTTCCCTACTCTAAATTGTAGGGGACATTCATTTCCTCTCTTCACTTACGAGCAAACTGGCACCACAACCATCCCAGAGATGATGCACAGGCTGCTGCAGAGTCAAAGTGAGATGGCAGATTTGATCTATTTCAATGAAATTTTCTCTTCTGGTTACCTGTGCAGTCATCTGCCCATACATGTCACTGATAGTCCCTCTGCATCTCATCAAGAAAGACCTGCAGTAGAGTGACAAGGATGTTCTCCCCACCACGACAAAATAGGTGCCTCAGATCAGCCCTGGGTGAGCTGGGGATAGATGGACACCCTCACTGTCTCAGATTAGCCTGACACTGGTCAAAGAGACTTAGATTATTCCCAGACATGGTAAAGCTTCAGAGATGCCACTTTTGCAGGATGAAAAATAGCCCAGGGTCCTGAGGCAGCCCTGTCTCATATACAACGAAGCCACTGAGGAAAGGTCTAGTTTGGTCAGAGTCTTCTCATGGCCCTTCCTCTTACATACTGCCCTTGGCACACTCAAGGGTCTAATGGGGCCTGTATAGCTGGGGTTGGGAGGTAGAAAAGAAGATGATGGAGAAGGTGACCAAAGGTGCTCACTAGGAAGTAGTTAGCGAGTCTGTGTGTGGCACACAGGAGGGAGCATGGACGCTTGCAAATGGCTCTGCTGCTTTTCCATCTTTGCAGAGGCCTTTTGAAGTGTCAGGGGAACATTAACATGTACACGTACATTTCACCTCTCAAATAAATGGTATTCAATATGTATTAAAGGCTTATGGTTTCTCTGAATGCCCTCCTTCGGTCTCTCTTTACTGTATTGAGCTTGTTTTCTTTTTCCCACCAGACCATGAGCCCCGTGAGTGCAGGGGTGGTGTTGGCTTGTTCAAGGCTGTAGCCCTGCACCTGGCACAGAACCTGAGAACCTGCTAGGAGGCACTCAAGAAAACATGCTGGAATTTGGATTCCAGATGTTATTCTGTATCCTTGCTATCTACCTTGCCTGGAAACTTCCCACCTGTGTGAGGCATCTGCAGATCCCTTCTCTCCCATATTTAACCCTTCGATGAAATTTTCCCTTACGTTTAACTATTTCAAGGAGCACTCCAATGGTTTGAAAAAGATGATGCCCTTCTACAACCAAATAACTTGTTTTGCAGGGTCTGTGTAAAGTCAAGAGAGGGAAGTCCACATTCTGTGATCTCTCTTCACATCTGTAAGAAATGTGTTCCTAAAAGATTACTTATGTGAAGGAAGTGTCAAATGAGGAATTCTGCTTTCTCCCAGAAAGCAAGTTTGATTTCTTTCAAAGATGGCCTTGTTTCTGTAGAAGAGTGGAGCAGGATGAAATTGAAGCAGAGACAGAGTAGTGAGGCGGTAGAGTTGGAGAAGACCTGAGTGTGGACCTGGAAGCTCCCCTGCAGAGGGCAGGGGAGAGGAAGGGGCTAGCATCACTGGATTGGAGTGGAGAGGGAAATGTATCACTACCCTGTCTTTGCTGTCATCCTCTCCTCTTCCTTCTGCCACAAACTGGAAGTTCATTTGTGAAGGGGCTGCTTGAAGCCCAGAAACAGTGCTATAAATGATAGACTATCACTTCCCTGGGACGATAATTTCCCTGGGAGAGTCCACAAAAGTCTTTTGTAACTGACAAGGTAGGCAGAACATTGTATATGATCCCATGTTTTTGTAAAATGGACAAATCCAACCATAAATATGTGTTTGTGGGCAAATAGAAAAAGATTTTAGCAAATACACAGCAAACTATTAACAATGGTTGCCACTGGAGAGGGGAGATGAGGCTGGAGAGGAGAGCGGAAAGGATTGGGGGATGTCACTTACTGCTTTACACATCATTCTGTGATTTAAATTCCTCCCAATGAGCATGCATCATTTTTATGATTAAGAACACAGAAAGAGCTATCTTTTCCGTCTATCTGGTGTAATCAAATGTGACAGAATGTCTTGCTTTATTGTTTGGAGCAAATTATAAAAAATTTCATGTTTGATATCAGATTCTTAGGACATAAGAAATGGACATTCAGAAGAAATTGTTTTTAAGATGTATTATTTATTTGATAAATTCTTACCAATAACAGTCTGGATTTCCTTTATTATTGCCTCTTCAACATTAGGGTGCTTTGCAATGAGAAATAGCATGAAGAACAAAGAGACAGACATGGTGTCAGGAGCTGCGATCAGCATTTCCAATATGCACTGGTTCACATTCTCTCTTGTCAGGTCACCACGTTTCTGAACAATTGGAAGATGGGAAAAATTTGGAAAAGTGAATCAAAGTTTCAAAAAATGAGGGGAGGTGACACTCAAGGATCAACAACCTCAACAAAATGAAATCATAGAAACCACATGTCTCTGTGATTGACTGTGGACATTTTACATGACAATCTTTAGCTGAAAGATGAACGATTAGGCCGACTGTCTATGTATATGTAGTGTCTTTGGCCTCCCCCAACTTGTTTTCATATTTTATACTGTTACACAGAAGAGTCACAATCTTAGCAGTCAGTCTTACTAGAATGTTCCAATCTTAAAAGCCTTACTGAAATATCTAATGTGTGGGCTATTTGGATTGGGATTACAGAACTGCTAGAGAAAGTATTTAAAAGCAGAAATATGCAACAGTTACAAAAGGGGATCTTTACACACCTCTACACAGTCATAACATATGTGGCATGGGAATTACAGTTAGTTCAGGTCAGTACCTCTGCTAAAATCAACTCAGTGGCAAAGTCCATACATTCTTCCAGTTTCTCTTCTGTGGAAATCCTGCGTCTTTTTTCTGCTATCAGAACTTCTATGGCATCTTTCAAATCCTTGCTGGAAAAAAAGTCAAAATATTGTCTATTTTTACTCAGTTTAGACATCTAGCGAAACAGATTTATTTGCCATGTATTTAGGTAAAATGATCTGCTTTAATTGAAAACATTGGTGCTTATGAGTAAGTGAATTACTATTTTATTTCTTCATAAATACCCTTAAATTACATAGACCCTACACTTCATGTTAAGGTGCCAGAGTTAGCTAAGATTTCTGGATACTGGTAGCGAAATCAAGCCTGTGACTTCTAGTTAAGGGTTAAAAATTGATATCAAAAGGCTAAATCTAACAATGTTTTCCAATTTCTGATTTGGCAGGCACAATGTTTAAATTAAAAAAACAAAAACAAAAAAACCTGTGAGTGCTGTCAGGTGCTCTTCAGTTTGCCACAGGAACCTCCATTCCCTTGTCTTACATTCCCATAGCCTGCTTTTTCTTTTTTTCTTTTAACTGAGACAAAGTCTCAATCTGTCACCCAGGCTGGAGTGCAGTGGCATGATCTCAGCCCACTGCAGCCTCTGCCTCCTGGGTTCAAGCCATTCTCCTGCCTCAGCCTCCCGAGTAGTTGGGATTACAGGCACCTGCCACCACGCCCAGCTAATTTTTTGTATTTTTAGTAAAGACAGAGTTTCACCATGTTGGTCAGGTTGGTCTCAAACTCCTGACCTCAGGTGATCCACCCACCTCGGCCTCCCAAAGTGCTGGGATTGCAGGCATGAGCCATTGCACCTGGCCCCCATAGTCTGCTTTTATTTGCCTAGTCCTGAAGACAGTTGAGTTTGAGATTCCTGTTCTAAACAGTAAACTCCAGTGACTAGGTATCATTCTTGATATTTATTCTCATGCCTTGTTAGTTTCTGCCACATTGTAAACACTAATATGTGTTGAATGAATTACCAGCTGCATAAATATGTATAGGCATTTTGGCAGTGTGGTTGAAAGAACACTTGGACGGGGTGGGGTCAGGTCCTAGTTCAGGTTGTTCTCTTTCTATGTAAGATACTTTAAGTCTCTGGGCCCTACATCCTTTTAAAGTGAAGGGATCAGACTGGATGAAAAATAAAGTCACCTTAATCTAAATTCAATTTTTCTTATCTCTGTCCTTAAGTGTATGTGTTCTTTGTAAGTGTATTGTTCCCTTATCTCAGGGAACAATGTTCTGTATTACGTTAAATGTACAATAAATCCATCTTCCAAATTCTAATTGACATGTTCACCTATACACTTAAATACCCTACTGATCCACACATTCATCAAATGTTTGCTAAGCATCTCTTATATACAAAGAACAGATATTCACTCAGCTGGGCTGTGGTGCCCTCTTCCTAGTAGGCTGAGAATGCTCATAGCATTCCCATCTGGGCACTAGCCCCAAATGGTCTGGGAGGTGTTGGAATGCCCCAGCCTCTAAATTCATAGAGAGCTCCTTGAGGGAACTGCAGAAACCTAAGAGAATCCGTTATACAGACTCATACAATAAATTTCTGTGGGTCCAATGGCCAAGACCAAGGCTAAACTAATGACTGAGAACTATGTAATGAACTCTCCAGACCACCACTACTGCCAACAACTCTGATCACAGGGAAGAGATGAATCTTTTATCTATTAGTTTTCAAGTCACAATAAGCTCTGGTGGAAATGAAATGTATAAAGAACCAAGTGTCTAAAACATTCACCTAGTACTTATCAACCATGAGAGAATAAACAAAACAACATCAAGTCGGCTTCTTCTCTAGAAACTAATATTATCGAATTTCAAAATCCACAGGTAGAATAAAGTCAGGTCTTCAGACAAGCTTGGGGACATTTAGAGATGGAGAACTTGAGATGGTTAGGAACATCTGAGGAAGATATGAACACAGGAAAGGGAGAAACTAACATATTTAGTACCCTCTATGTGCCATGCTCTATGCTAATTGCCTTACTTATATGATCTCATTAACCTATGCCCCTACTCTAGAAGATAGGTTATATCTTATTTTAAATAACTTCCCAAGGCCATTAGAAACAGGACACAAAACAGGAGTTCCTGTTTCTAGATTCCACAGGCTTTCCACTGGTGGTTAGAGGTAGCAGTGTTTAGTGACTGGCTACCTGTACTCTACAAGCCCATTGATTAGCCTGTAGGCCACTGGGCATTTGTCCAGTTTTCTGCTGGATGATTCTAAGACCAAAACAAAGTCATTTAATGACAATTTCAGGACCCCCAAAACACAAGATACATAATTTCAAAAACCCACACACATTTTATTGAAGTTAATTGTACTCATTAAGAAAAAATTCTATTGAGACTATTGTCAGTTCTTACAAGTTGAATTATGTTAAATTCATTCAAAAACAACACAACTATAAATTGATTCTGTAGTTCCAGTTTTTTAGTTGTGCAAAGATAATTTTGACAGATATTAATGACAGGATCAGTCGACCCTTCTCTTCAACTCAAAATACACTAGTGTCCTAGTTACCAAGCTGAAGCTCCCAGACCACACACTCAGCCCCCTTGCCGAGAAGCTGCCCAGCCAAAGGCTTCATTTACTCTCTGGTCTGGCCAAATGCAGCCAAATTGCTGTAAAAAGTGTTTCATCAGCAACTTAATCAACAGCTCCCTTGTGGGCTCTAGAGAGCAGAAAAGTTACCTGAGAGGCCAAGAAAAACAGCAAAGACACAAGGGAAAAAAACCAATCCAATTGTACTCATAAATCTTCCAAAGTTGTATTACTTACACAGACTTCTCATACTTTTTGTATAGCCAAGAAATCTTAAAGAAGATGTCTGGTTTGATGAGGAGAGCTTGCCATGCATCAAAATAACCTTGGATTTTAACCACGATAGCACTTTCTGTAGGAAAAAAAAACACACATACACAAGAAAGAGCAGTTGAGCAAAATGTGAGCCTAAGAAGGTTGCTCTGAGCAGAAAACATTCCCTGCAGATTCTCCTAACAGTCTGGGGGTTCTAAGCTCAGCAAGATTCCATCTTCAGTAGGAGTTTTAGCCACGTGAATACCACTAGACAAATCAAGCACTGATTTGTTCTCCTTGCCATCCAAATTGGCCTACTTAACCAGTGAGTTGCCAGTTTTCAAGTTTGTGTTTTCAAGTTTTCAGCCTAGAATTTCACATATTCTCCTTGGGCTGAGCTTTCAACTAGCTCCTGTTTCTCTGTACAAATGGAACTAGTAATTATGGCTGTTATGGCCTTCACTCTGGTACCTGGGAGTGTAAAAAGCAGAGCCTGTTAGGTGGCTAACAACCACATTTTAACTTCATTTGGTGCTGGGTAAGCAGAGCCATGAAGTGGACAGTTTATCTGGATTATACACTTAATAGCTTCTAATCATGTTCTCATGGTGCTTTATTCATTTTTCCCCCATAACACTCATCACATAGCTTTCATAGTTATTTATATTCAGTCCAGAGTGTAGAATTCATCTTGTGTTCTTTAATGCCTTGTCCTAAGCCTCACATACAATCAGCTCTTAATAAATGCTCTTTAATTAAATTGAATACTAGAGGAAATAAACCCTTATTTTTTCAAATTATACCAGATAATATACAAAAGAGAGAACAGACATATATTTCCAACTGCTAAATACCAGTCACCATGCTAGGCACTTTGTGAAAGAGATTTTTAATTTCATCTTCATATTCTTGCCATGGGCGTTGTGGTGTCATCCTTTTGCAGTGGAAGAAATTGCAATTCATAGAAATTCGGAAGCTTGCCCAAAACCATACAGCCAGTGTGGCTGACAGGCAGGCCCTGAGGCTGGAGCTGCTTCTGTCTGACCTCAGGACCATGTCCTTTTCTCTTTTCTTGCACTGGGTCCCTTAGGCAAATTGAGAGTTTAACAAGGATCCCTGTGAAAAGGGATTATGTAACTCTGTGGGTTGCACAGGTTTGCCAGCATCATAGTCTGCATCCAAAAATGAATGGAGAGATTTACAAATCCTTTTATATGATCCTTCCTAATGAGGCAAGGCTAGAGGGGGACCTGGAAATCTAGACTTTTAAAATACACGCCTGTTTCACTTTAGAAGTGATGTCTGTAGAACAGGCACCCTGGGAGTGGCATCCCTGCCTGAAAAGAGATCAGGTGAGAAAGTGTGACTAAAACTTCTTCAAGTGATTGTGGGCTCCCATCCAAATGGCCATCAGATGAAGTGTCTCCAGCTCTTGTATGGAGTAGCTGGAGTAGGGGAGATGCGGCAATAGGGAGGGCTTATAGCTTGTCTATGTGCCCAAGTGTAGTATACCAGGTAGCATGTGTTCCAGTTCAGCTGGTTGGGGCAAGTGTTAAAAGTACGCATTGTTCCTCCGCCTGGAGTGTTCTTCCCTCATATCTGCCTGTGGCTTGTGGCCTCACTAAATTCGAGCTATGGTCAAATGTCTTCTCTGCAGAGGCCTTTTCTAACCACCCTCTCCATGACATCTGTGCCCACACACACTGTTGCCCTCCTTCACTTCCTGTCCTCTTGCCCTGCTTCATTTTGCCTTCAAGGCACTTATTATTGCCTAATATTTTATTAGATATCTATGTCTTTTCCTGTCCACATCACTCACTGGAATGTAAGCCCCTTGAAGGCAAGAATTTTATCTGTCTTGCTTACTGTTATGTCCCCAGAACCTAGAACAGTGCCTGGCATAAAATAAGCAATCAATAAATGTTTGATGAATGAATGTATGAATCAATGAACACTGGTGTAAGTTAATTCAGGAAAAGTCACATTGAGTTGTACATACTTAATGCCAACAGTAGAATGGAATTAATCCAAATGATTAATTTTCTATTGATACATAATGGATATACATATTTAGGGGTAACTGTAATATTTTGATAAATTTGTATAATGTGTAATAACCAAATCAGGGTAATGAGGATATTCATCACCTTAAACATTTATCTTTTCTTTATGCTGAGAACATTCAAATTTTCTCTACTAGCTACTTGGTTGTACATAGATTATTATTTATTTTCTTCACTACACTGATTTTTTGAACACTAGGTCTTGTTTCTTCTATCTGCCTGTATTTTTGTACCCATTAATCAACTTCTCTTCATCTCTTCTCTCCCCACTACCCTTCCCATCCTCTGGTAACCACCAAACTACTCAAATGATTAATGTTTGTTTTTTGGTGGTGGTAGAGTTGCATGCACATGTTTTTTTTTTTTCATCAGTAGAGTGATTTGGGGGGATTTATAGGTTTTTAGGGTATATTCACTACTAGGGTTACAAAATGTATGAAGTCACAATATGAGTTATGGATTTAAGAATCCTGTTTAATAATAAATTCTGTTCCTCTTGAGGCAATGTAAGGCCAATGCTTATGGATAAGAAGTAAAAACAAAACAAATTCTATTATTCAAGGGCATAATAAGCATTATGTCAACTGTATAAATATTTAGTGGTAAATAATGTTCTAAAAGACACCTGAATGGGCTTGTGAATTTTTCTTTGTGTACATGTATTACTACCTTATGCACAGACTACTAAAATGGAGACTAAAACATTCTTTAAGAGTAATACATAATATAAATGACTTTAAGAAGAAAACAAAAAGGGTGTATCAGAAAGAATGCCAATTCTTTTATTCCTATACTTTCCAGGTTAGTGTGTGGATAAAGGTCACAATGGCAATAAAAAATGTAACCCATAGAAAACAGTGTAAAACAATTAGATACAAGTCCAGTGAATTCCATTCCTGTCAGGTGTTTGGTCATTAGGTTAAAAAGTTATCAAATAATTCAATGACTTTTGCACAATGGCACAACTTTTCAAGAACTAGCTGAAATATTGGCATTTGTACTCAAGTTGCAAATTGGTTTAATCCTGCCAAAATAAAATCAAGTTCTATGAGTTTGACATGAGCATGCACATGTTTTAATATTCATTTCTGTATCATAGTGCGGAAAGTAGTCTTATGAGTGAGACATCTTGTTAAGGTTATAAATAATAAATGGCAAACATGTATATACAGCAATTTTTAATATTGTTTGGCACACATTAGATACTACGTTAATGGCAGCTAATATCGTCATTTCCATCAGCATCAGTATCACCAGCAATATTGACATTTTTATCATATAGGCACAATGTTTTCATGTTTAGTAGCTTTGAGGGAGGAGTGTGTGTATATATGTGTGGGTATGTATGTATATATGTATGTATATATCATGCCCAAAAGAACAACTGGAAATGGTTAAATATATAAAGTTGATTGGTGGTAGGATATGTTAATAACCAAACGAACTAATCACATTTGTTAAGTTTCAACTGTGGGTAGAATTCTATTTCCTAGAGTAATGAGGAAAGATACAAAAGGCTAGTAGATGCTGGCCCCTACTTTATGGAAATTTATATTTTATAAGTGAACAAAGCAGAAACACTAGGGAAAAAAACGAGGAGTACTTAGAAATGTTTAAACAAGAGCAATGTAGAAAATGGCATGTGATTCCTTTGGTCTGTTATCCCTCCTAGCTCCTTGTTCAGTAAAGGACAGATGGTCAAGATGTGAGAGTGAAAATTTCAGTACCGTCCAAAGGGATCCTCAAGAAGAGCGTGTTAGAGGTGTCCAGCATGACACGACGCAGAAGGGTCAACACGTCCACATAGCCCGATTCATTGGTCACCTCCTCCAACCTGTCCAGATGTGTTTTGAGGGATTCAGCACAGACTGTGACCATACGAACAAGGCCGGGGCCTGACAGAGCTGCAGAGTACACATCAGAGAATCAGCCATCACGAACTCCAGGGCACACACACAATCATGCCATTTTGGCTTTTTATGTTGGAGCTTAATTGTCCACAATTTTTAATTTAATAATTGGGTGGAAGTTTTCATAATATTTTCGTATGCTTTTCTGTGGTCTCCTAATTTTACATAAGCATGTACTATCCTATGGTTAAGAATGAATGAACGGAAGGAGATAGGGACAAATATTATTTTAAACAAACTATTAAAAATTAAACTTTTTTTCATGCTCTAGCCAGCCATTTATGAGATTGCAAATGAAACATTTAGTACTTGTGGTCATAAATCACAAATCAGTGATTTTTTCATATTTATTGCATACATTTCCCTCCAAAGATGATTTGGATTTGCCTAGGGTCATATTTATTTTGCGTTTCAACAGGTGGCAGGATATTATTGGAAAACTGGTCAAATTGGATCCTATTTGATCTAAGGTGCTTCCTGTTTAAGTGTAAAAGGCTAGTTGTAAAAATCCCCCAAAGTGCCCTTCTCTTAATTTTGATTTCTCTTCAAACTACTTCCAGGTTTATTTTACTCAGCCAATGGCATGACAGCTAAGCAATTCCTTGCTTGCTTACCAGTCTTCCCTCACTGAACTGAGAGCTCTTTAAGGACAGTGACAGCCACTCATTAGCATTGCACTTCAAGCTGATGGTCCATGGGGGCCTTCATACATATTTTTTCAATAGAGGAATGAATGAATGAATGAATGAATGAAAATAGAGTAAACTGGCTTTGATCTTACTCTTGCCCTGTTCATATCTGAGCAGTGGCTGGTGGGTCCTGATGGTAGGTGGCCTACACAGGAGGGTTTAACCCTTAAAGTGCCCCTTTCTCTCTTTGTGTTACGTTTCTTTAAGCATCTTTTAGGAGTAATCTCTTTTTAAGTCTTTTATTATTCAGGTTTGCTGTTAACATCAGAGTCTTTGAAATGAGATGAAAAATATTGGGAAACTTTGTAGACGTAACTCCAGAAGAAGACTATCCTCTCTCTCTCTCTCTTGCTCTCTCTCTCTCTCTCTCTCTCACACACACACACACACACACACACACACACACACACACACACTGGGTTAAGCTGCGGAATCCCCATGCCTAAAGGTATACTTTGCAAATAAGAAAGGAGGCCTGAGGACTGGTCCTAGACTTTTGAGATTTCCATACATCTTGGAAGGAAGGTTGAGGAAGGAGCAGGCTTTCTGACCATAGGAAGGACTTGGCAGATATGAAAGGCCAGGATGTTGTTCTCTGGGTGACTGCCACTTCAGCAAGCAGGACAAATGACTCAACCCTTTGTGTGGAAGGGTTGGCTTAGAATGTCACTTGTGGTTTTCTCCCAGGCCGATGCATGATTTGCCTCTGTGTTTAAAGAGCTTGAAGCCACATGCCAAATTTATGGGCAAAAATGTAATAACATGGCTTATAGGCAGTGGTATGATGTAGATATGATTTAATTTTTAAAATATGCTAAAAAGTATTGACTCTATCTAGTGAAAAGAAAATTGGGCAACAATCAGCAAATACCATCAATATGGACACATTTCTCGGCAGTTTTGGGAAACACATGCTATTTCTTCACCCCTCGCCACCACCCTTCCCTACCTCCCAAGATGGGTCATTGCCTAAGTTGCACTTAACTATTTCTCTACAGACTCACCCAGTAAGTCAATACTTTCATTAATGTTACTGATTTAGATACTAAAACTTGTGCCAAACTTTCCACTATATCAGGAAAACCAACAGGGAGTCTAACTCCAAAAGGAGATTCACTGAAAAATGCTTAGGACCCTCATTGATTATAGAAATGTCAGACACCACAGTGAACTTTCCAATAAGCAATTATCCCCCTATTTCCTGAGATTATGAATTTGGGTCCAGTTATGTAGCACTTTTTGTAGAAACCCTGATCTTGCCTATAGAAGGCTGTCTAAAAAAAAATCACAAAGATGTTTTGCTTAATTTCCAAGTACTATAGGCTCTACTACTGTAGGGTCTACCCTTTTGACATTTCTTGAAACCACAGCCTCCCCTCCACCCTTCCTGCATCACTGCAGTAGCTCCTAAATGTTCTCACTGCTCACAATCCTGCTTCCTTCCAATTAGTCATTCTCTCTGCTACCAGAGGGATTTTTATAAAATACAAATATGTTTATGTTATTCTGCTTAAAATCTTTAGTGATTCTCCATAGTTTTTGAGATAAGCTCAATTCCTTGCCTTAACTGAGAGGTCTTTGGTGATCTGGCCCTGCCCTCCCCTTGGCCACGTCCCTGAATGTATCTGCACCAGGCACAAGGACTTACCGACAGGGCCCTGGATGCATCATGTCTATCTATTTGTCTGTGCCTTTGGTTATCCTATTCTTTACTCCTAGAATATTTGTCTTTTGTTTTCTTAATTAGCTTCTACCTTCATTTAAAACTCATTATAAGCATCCATTCCTCTGAAAAGTCTCCCCTGCCCCTCAATGTGCTTTAGATGGCCTGTTCATCTGTACTTGGCATCACTCTGGGCACACCGCCAGCATTACCATCACCTAGGGTAGTATTTGGTGATGTGCTGGGCTGCCCCTTCCTAATTCAAACCTCTCTCCCCCATTATAAGTTCCTGGAGGGCAGGAACCACATCTTGTTTGTCATTGTATCTTGGTACCTAGTTCAAAGATGAGAACGGTGGGGTGTTAAACAAATGGATGAACTTAGAGATTCTTTTAATTAGCTCTTGCATGTCAGGGTAGAGGATATTGGTATGTGAAAGTTAACTACTACTAAATACTAGTTCACATATTCCTAATACACCTGAGCCAAATGAAAAAGTCAAATGTACATTTCTACGGGATCTTATAGCATTATTTCATTTGTTCTTCACAACAGCCCTAGAGTGCAAGTTTCATAACATTTATCACCTTTTGTGGATAGGGGAACTGAAGCTCAGAAAGGCGAAGTGACTTGCCTAAGGTCAGATAGGTAGCAAGTGGCAGTGCTGGGACGCAAACCCACAACCTGTAATACTAAGTCCTATACGTTTTCCATTAATTCATTCCATAGTTTTATAAGGTATAAGGAGATTTATCTCCCCCAACATGAGTGATAGGCAGAATAATAGCATCCTAAATTTGTCTGGGTCATAATCCCCAGAACCTACTAACATGTTACTTTACATGAAAAGGGGGACTTAGCAGATATGACTAAGGTTAAGGACCTTGAGATGGGGTGGGCCAAACCTAATCATGAGTTCTTAAAGGCAAAGATTATAGGCTGACGTCTGTGATCCCAGCACTTTGGGAGGCTGAGGTGGGCAAATCATGAGGTCAGGAGATCGAGACCATCCTGGCTAACACGGTGAAACCCCGTCTCTACTGAAAATACAAAAAATTAGCTGGGCGTGGTGGTGGGCACCTGTAGTCCCAGCTACTCAGGAGGCTGAGACAGGAGAATGGTGTGAACCTGGGAGGTGGAGCTTGCAGTGAGCCAAGATGGGGCCACTGCACTCCAGCCTGGGTGACAGAGCAAGACTCTGTCTCAGAAAAAAAAAAAAAAAAAAAAAAAAAAGCAAAGAACCTTTCCAAGCCGAGGTCAAAGCCAGAGAGAGATGGGATGACAGAAGGTGGGTCAGAGAGATGTAATGTGCAAAGGACTCAACCCACTGTTGATGGCTTTGAAGTTGGAAGAAAGGGCCACAAGCCAAGGAATGTGGCTGGCCTCTAGAGCTGGAAAAGACAAAGAAAGAGAGTCTCTCCTAGAGCCCCCAGAAAGGCACATAGCCTTGCCTATGCCTTGGTTTTCAGCTCATTGAGATCCATGTCAGACTTCTGACCTACAGAACTGTGAGATAAATGTGTTCTTTTAAGCCACTTAGTTTGTGGCAATTTGTTACAGCAGCAATAGGAAAGTGATACACTGGGGTCTACAGCAAGAGTTGTGCTGAGTCCTGGTGAGGGAGGGCAGCTCTGAAGGCTGGGCTCAACACCCAGTGGGCAGAGGTACTGGCATAGCTCCCCCCATCTCAGCAGGCACATGGAAGGCGGCTACCTAGGTTCACAGCACGGGCTGCTGGAGGGAAGGCTGTGAATAGACAGGGCCAGACCTAAAATCATCTAGCCCCAGATTCCACCACTGACAAGGTTTCCAGGGTATGATTATCTTTCTTTATGCTTGATAGTAATGTCAAGGGTTAGTCGTGTGTATTCCCCAACAGTTTCATTTCCAGCATGATGAGGTTAAGGGGGAAAACCACTGGATAAGGAAGCTTGCAACTGGGTCTCAGCTCATTCATTACTCCCTATTTTGCCTGGGTGAAAATCATAACTTCGTTGGAACTTTATTTCCTCAACTGTTAAAATCAGAGGCTAGATGACAGATATGGTCCCTCTCAGTTCTAAAATTATCTAATTTCATTCACAAATTGCTTCCTGCTAAATCATCTGGGCTGTCAGTCAAGCACTCAGCAAACACATTGTTTGGCCGTGTTTAAATCAAACATATGGGTGACATGCTAAATTCTTAACTGAAATTACTCTAAATATATAGCTACATCTCTTCTTTTGCCTATAAAATTGCTTTGCACATCAATAAGAAGAAAAGAATTTGTGGTGATTAAGAAATATAGGCTTCAGGGCTATATTCCGGGCTATCATTTACTAATGTTTGGACCTTGGGCAAGTTACTTAACCTCATTTTCTGTGAATTGTAGGAGATAACAACATTTACCACATGGGGCTGCCATTCAAGTGTTTAGAACAATGGCTACAACAGAGTAAAGGCATAATGAATGTTAGCTCTTCCTCCTTTATTGCAGTAGAATTCAAAATATGATTTCAGACTAGGAATGATAGCTCATGCCTGTAATCCCAGCACTTTGGGAGGCCGAGGCAGGTCAATCGTTTGACTCCGTGAGTTTGAGCCCAGCCTGGTCTCAAATATGGCGAAACCCCATCGCTACAAAAAATACAAAAATTAGCCAGGCATGGTGGTGCACATCTGTAGTCCCAGCTACTCGCGAGGCTGAGGTGGGAGAATCGCCTGAGCCTGGGAGGCGGAGGTTACAGTGAGCCAAGGTCGTGAGCCAAGGTCACTCCTGCCTGGGTGATAGAGTCAGAGCCTGTCTCAATAAATAAATAAATAAATAAATAAATAAAATATTTTAAAAATATGATTTCAAAAAAGGCACATTCATAGACAAAAAAGATTGTAGCTAACTAAGTACCTGCTTACCTTTCATAAAGAAGGGTCGAGTTGTTTTCCAGAGCTCTGGATTGTTGTTAAATATGATGCCTTTCTCATGCATACCGATGCACTGCAGCCCAAGTTTGCTGCCGAATCGAGAGCTGTAATGATTGTGCTTCATTATGTGGAACATACTTGAGGACCTGAAAAGACAGGAAACTTTGGTGTCAATTTTTAAGGGTCAGGAGAACTCCTGGTGGTACATTTTGACTAGGAGGTAGCTCTCTTAGCAAATGCATGTTGCTCCAAATGCAATGTGCATGATTTCTAGTATTCGGGTTGAATAAGCACTTCTGTTAGCATGAGGACATCCTTCTCCAGTTGAATCATTTCTACCTACTGACTCCCTGTTTCAACATCACCAAAGATAGAAAACACACACACACACCCATATACCATTCCTTACTTCTCTTTCTTCTCTAACCTCACCAAAATACTACCCACTACTGGAGTCAGAGCTGCAAGGCTGCTAAGAAGCTGAACCCTCCATACCACCAGAGCCAGAAGAACCTCCAGCCTCCCAGGTATCATCCAGCCTCACTCCACAAAGTGCCACCCACTACAAGAGTGAGCCACAGAATCAGAAGTTTGTGGAATTACTAAAGTCTTGTTTTCCTATTTTGGAACCAGCAGTTTTGCCTAGTACCACCCAACTCCAGTCTCTAATCAGGCCTGCCCCCTCCAGTGGAGTATCAGTCAGGGCTTGAAAAATATCTCCTTGGGCACTTCTTCTAGCCCTGAGCTTGGCCAGCGCCTGGCTGGACTGGCATGCAAAGTTCACTGTGGTAGTAAAGGAAGCTATTTTGGGGCTCTGCCTTCCATCATGACTCATCAAAGTCTCCAGGGTCACAGAGTTCTCCCACGACACAGGATGTGATGAGTCATGAGACAGGGCAATTTGCATGATGCTCAATTATGCAAATTCAAGATGCATTAGATGTCATTGGTATTATCTTGATTTTAGATGTTGTTGTTACTTTCTTGGTGAACTTAATATTTATACAAAATTTCATGTATTAATTGCAACTTTGGTCCTCCCTCTCCTCTGGTCTCCTGAAATTTTGTTTCACAGCTGCAAATTCTCCCACTATGGAGGTTTTCAGAACAAATAACCCTCAAAGATTGCAAGTGGTTACTATAATATCTGCAATTGGTTCTCAGGTTGGAGAGACTTGCTCCTCCATCTCCTAGTTGACACTTGGCTCCTAAAAGGATACTTTTGCCTTAATGAGGTTGTTCAGTTAATGCCTGTTGAAATACATTCCCAGAGGACTCTAGACCAAAAAAGCGCTGCTCTGGTTCAATGTATTAGGTTGTGGGCTAAGTATTAATCCAGCTCTCACATCTGCGATGTGTTCCATAGTCCTATTTAAGCTTTAAAAGTAAGCCCCTGAAATAATGGTAGTGTCAAGAAATTAGAACAGGATTATTATTGTATAATAATATATAATATATAAGGTGTGGTAGTGTGTGCCTGTAGTCCCAACTACTTGGTGGGCTGAGGCAGTAGGATAGCTCGAGCCCTGGAGGTTGAGGCTGCAGTGAGCCATGATCAAGCCATTGCACTCCAACCTAGGTGACAGAGCAAGATCCTATCTCAAAAAAAAAAAAAAAAGCAGAGTTATTGTATAAATAACTTATTAATATTTATTTCAGGAAAAACCACCTATTTTCAAATAAAAACACTATTAAATATTCTCTTGATCTGATTCCAGATAATATTCATCAAATAATCCTAAGTTTTGGACATGTTTGCCTCTCCCTAGCAAAAATAAATAAATAAATAAATAAAAATCCAGATGCTTCCATTTGTATTCTGGGGAATTTGTCTGACGTTTCAAATTTTGTCATATATAGAAAAATTATGCTATAGGAAGGAATGAAATTCTTACTAATTAAAATATTTGAAAACTCTAGCTTTACTTACCTTCCCCTCCATCATTCTATAATTAAAGCAGAAATTAAGTAATTTATATATTCTTTATTCACAAACTAATATTTAAAAATTTTAAGCACTTAAAGGACAAACACTATTTTTCTGCTCTGACCCTGGGGCTTTTGCATACTGCATTAATCATATTGGCCTGTCCATTTCATTTAAGAACTTGCTAATCAGTTTTAAAAAGAGAGTAAGAAACTCCAAACATAAAACAAACCCAACGAAATATTTGCTAGTTATTAGTAATAAAGAGCCAACCTTTAAAATTCTTGTGTCCTTTAGGGGGCACCAACTTCTCAGCTATTTTGAATCCAAAGCTCAGGCTTGTTAGGGACAAAGCTAATCAGGCCGATGTGATAAAGCAAGGGATGTGTGACTGGCCACAGATGAGCAATTTAAAACAAGGTCACTTACTAAAAGTAGGCTGGATTTATCTAACCAGAGTAAATCAGAAAAGTGAAGAGAAGGTCAGTGATGAACTAAGGACCCCAGCCCAGAGCTCCTCCTGGCAGTCAAGACAGGCCTGGCTCTGGCTTGTGGGCCAGCCTGCAATACTGCCAGAGGCAAGTGTTATACTGATTATTTGGGAGAGTGAGGATTTCTTAGCACTGAGGAGAGTCCAGCTGAGTCCCCAGCCTCAGCAGGGACAGTGCACAGCGTTGGGTGTCTGATCACTAGGGTTATTATCCCTCATTAAGCATGATTGAAGATAAAAGACATCTCCAAAGATGGCAAACCTATTGTCTGTTCAAAATGAAAAGTAGTCAGGGAGTAAGCTCTTAGGTGATGAGAAGAAAGCCACCTGAGTTCTGGGATTAAACAATTCACACACTTGTGGGCAGATTCAACAGTGATGAGGAGGCAATTAATGGACTAATTGGTGCCTTCTTTTTTTTTTTTTTTTTTTGAGACAGAGTCTCACTCTATCGCCCAGGCTGGAGTGCAGTGGCGCAATCTCAGCTAATTGCAAACTCCACCTCCCAGGTTCAAGCAATTCTCGTGCCACAGCCCCCTGAGTAGCTGGGATTACAGGCACCCGCCACCACACCCGGCTAATTTTTTGTGCATTTTTAGTAGAGACAGGGTTTCACCATGTTGGCCAGGCTGGTCTCAAACTCTTGACTTCAAGTAATACACCCACTTTCACCTCCCAAAGTGCTGGCATTACAGGTGTGAGCCACTGCACCCGGCTGGTAACAAACATTTAAAAACACTTGCCTCATGTAGATCTGTTCCATCAATCCTATCACCTTTTCACTGTCCTTCACTTCTCTAATATCCTCACTTACCCAGCTTAAATTCTAGGTGACTACAAGAGATAAACAATCTTTATAACAGAGGAATCTCACTGTAACCACCTAACCAGTGATCAAATTTAACATCAGTGCTAGTGGGACAACCTGTTACTCATCTTCTGATGTGATGTGATATGAAGTTCCTAGTACTACTGAAGTGTTATTGCAAAAATGTGCAACCTTAATCTAATTGAGCCTTTAGACCCAATTTTCAGTTTATAAGAAATACAGAGAATAGATGAATATAGTAAATGACACCCTGATGAAACAGTGAGAGAAATTCAGAATGTGGGATATGTTATAGCTGACCTGGTCTCTTCAAAATGTCAATGTCACAGGGGGAAAAGTGTGGCAGGGGGACGGCTCTTTCAATTTTCCTACTCATTTGACAATTTTCTTAACAGAAAGTTGGGAAAAAATTACTGTCAATCATTAAAATTAAAATACCCTTCCCTGAATCCTCAACTCCCTTGACCCTCTTCTTACTTTGTCATGGTTGTCTGATAAGACCACACTCTAGCTAAATCCAACTCTTAGCTTATTCTGTGCTTGCACCTGGCAGTTGAAGTGGGCTGGGAAAAAAAGAAAAACCACACATGCGCACACATGTGTGCGCATGTGTGTACGTTAGCGCACACGTGCCTGCTGTCAGGTCTCGGTTAAATTCAAGTGGGCCCTTAGTGTCGCTGGCAATGCTACTGCATGTCCCCAGCCCATTCACTCTCTCACTCTTCTAGATGACTATTATATTCTCCCTACTCAGCCCCAGCTGAAGACTTTATTTCCAATTTTCCCAAGAAAGTGGAAGCAACTACAAGAGAATCTCCACAATCCCCAACGACCCGGACCTGTGCCCATATATTCCACCTTCCCTCCTATTACTATGGAAATTCCATGTCCCTATTCAAGGCCAACCCATCCACTTGTCCCCAGGGACCTCTTCACATCTCACCTAGCACACTCTTTCTCTTCCATCAACAATCATTTGATTTTCCTCCATAACTGACCAGTCCCCCTACAACTCACATGCTGTAATTTCTCCTATTTTAAAAATCAAAATTCCTTTGCCCACACATCTCACTCATCTACTGGCCCATTTCCTGCCTTCTTTATGGCAAACTCCTTGGAAGACTTGTCTACACTTGCTGCCTCTGATTCTTCTCCCCCGATTCTCTTCTCTGGTCAGACTTTTGCCCCCACTAGTCCATTGAAACTGCTCTTGTCAAGGTCACCTGTGACCTCCCTGTTGCTAAATGCAGTACTGAAATCTCCATGCATTCCCTTGCCCCATCAGTGGTATTTGACATGGTTCACAATTTTCTACTCCCTGATATGGATTTTTCACCTGGTTTTCAGACATTACACTTTCCTGGTTTTCTCTTCTCGGTCTAGCTGCTCTTCTCAGTCTCTGTTGCTAGTTTCTGACCTATTTACACTAGAGGGTCTCAAGGTTCAGTTCTCTCTACTCAATCATCCCACTCAGATGTCAACTGGGCATGTCAAATCTAACATGTCTGGAATGGAACCCTAATCTCTCCCCTTCCCAAACTTGCTCCACCTATCTCAGGACACGATGTCCCCATTCAATGCAAAACTGGACAGCACTTTGACTCTTTTTTTTTCTCTCACACCCTACATCCAATCTGTCAGCAAGTCTGTTGGCTTTGCCTTCAAAATATGTCCAGAATTTTCCCTCATCTCTTATCATCTCTACTGCTACCACCTGGACCAGCCACCATCACCTCTTGCCTAACTGGTCTGTCTGTCCCCATCCCTTGTCCTCTTGCACCTATTCTCAACAGAGCAGCCAGAATGATTCTGCTGAAACATAAATGAGTCATATGTGTCAGTCCTCTCTCAAATTCTTCAGTGGCTTCCTTTCTTGCAGGGGGTAAAAGCCGGAATTGTTACAATGGCCTGCAAGGCCTGACGTGATTTGGTACCCTATTGCTTCTCTCATCTCCTGTATTCTTCCACTCAGGTTCTTGCCTTAGAATATTGGCACTTGCTGTTCCTTCTGTCTAGAATGCTTTCCCGCCAGGTCTCTGCATGGGCTACTTGCTCATTTCCTTTAGGTCTTTATTTAAATGCTGTCTTCTCAGTGAGGGCTGCCTGAACCACCTGTTTACAATCACACCTGCGTCTCTACAACTGGTCCTCCCCCATCCTCCTTCCCTATTCTTTTTCTATGTAACACCTATCTGCCTGATAAGTGTGACCAACTATCCTGGTTTGCCCGGGACTATGCCAGTTTCAGCACTGAAAGTCCCACATCCTGGGAAAGGCCCTGGTCCCAGGCAAACTGAAACAATTGGTCACTCTACTGATACACTATATATTTTACTTGTTTATTGTTGACCTAGTGACGACATATTGCTCCATGAGGTAAAGGAATTTTGGCTGGTTTGTCCACTGCTGTATTCCCAGAGTTTAGAACAATACCTGCTGCTATACATAGTAAGTTTTCAAGAAATATTTAATGGATGAAGAGCCAATAATGACTATTACAACTTAGAATCATTCAGTGCTTAGTATATAATAAATTCTCAGTAAATGTATATTCACAGAATAAATGAAGGAAGCCCCTGTAAATGATGTGTAAATTTGCACATTATTAAGACAGATGTAAAAATATAACCCTAATTAGTATGTTAATTGCTAACAGATATGCAAATATAACCCAAATTAGCATGCTAATTGCTAATTTCCCTTTATGAGTGATACATAAATTTTTTTTGTATTCATGACAAAAACTAATCTAGGGACATATAATGGACATATAGTGTCATACGCAGCACCTACAGACCTTCATTAATTTAGAGTACAGCTGCCTGGGTAGCTGCCTGGGGAACGGTGCACACATCATCTACAGCTCACCAGATGGACCGTGCCTCCACGCCCCCAGTGGCACACGCGGCATCTCAGCAGCGCACATGCCTGACTTCTCCCCTGAAGTTCTGCAGCCCCTACTACTTTGGGACGAAGCTGGTTGGAAAAGTTGGACCATAATTTCTACACAGTTGTAATGACTACAGACCTCAAACTTTTCAAAAGAAAAAAAAAATCTGGCAAACTATTCAAATAAAAATAAAAATCTTTCTGAGGTCCAATGGGGTCTTTTCAAGAGGTACGGGGAGTGCTGGAAGGGACTTGAAGAGCAGGCAAGGAAAGGAGATGGGGACAAACATGTCCTATTCCCGCGGGGAGCTCAGCCTTTAACAACAAAATTGAACTGCTCTGAGGCAATTAAAGAGAACACAAAGACTCCAACAAGTGAAAAGCCTGAGAGGACAGGAAAAGGAAAGAACTGGGAGAGCTGATGGTAGTGTGGGTGGGTTGTGGCTGCGTCTCAGCGTGCACCAGCGCCTGAGTCGGTCGGGGTTGTTGGAGTCAGTTTCCTAATTAAGACTAGCGGAGTGGTCAGATGCCACCCCCACTGTAACGAGCAAGCACTTCAGGAATTGTCTTTGGAAATTCACGGACTTTTTCTGGAGATTTAAGAATCTAGCATCGAAATATCTAGTATCTCAGAATGATTTCTGTCCTGGTACTGTGGTCCTTTCTCAAGTCTATCATTCTTTACTCCAGTTCTAGTCTTAAACCTCCACCACCTTAGCATAAGACAAAACCAGTCCTGCATCGCTGCTTCCTGTAACCCCGGGGAGAGGCCCTCCTGCCCCATGAGCTTCCTCCTCCACCCTCTCTCTAGATGGAATGTTCTCAAACTCCCAGGGGAGTATTAAACACCACTGATGCCTGAGTCCTACCCCCAGAGGTTCTGATCTAAAAGTGGGGGTGTGGCCTGGGCAGTGGGGCTTTGAAAAGCTCCCTGGGTGACTCTAAGGTACAGCTAGGGTGAGAGGCACGGCACTGTGCTAGATCCTGGGCAGCAGGTAGATATCCTTCTAGATAAATATCCTGGGGGTCACTTCACCTGTCTGCTGAGGGAAAGAGGTGATGGGGAAGGCAGACCCTGGGCTGGGGAGAGCTGAAAGGCAGGTGGCTGTGCGGGGAAATGAAAGAGCAGCGGCAAATGTCCCTACCCCCAAACCCAAACACCAGTGCTTCCAGGATATTTGTGAGACCATAGCCAGTTGTAAAAGTGACTCAAGTACTGATTTTTAAAATGAGAACGTATCAAGAACGTATCATAGTCACTTAAATTTGGCTGACTAGAGCCTAATAGACCAGGAGAATTAAAATAAAAAAGTAATTATGATCTAGTTCTTAGAGCAGTGGTTCTCAAACTCAAGTGTGCAGCAGAATCACCTGCAGGCTTTGTTAAAACACGGATCGCGGGTCCTACCCCAGACTGTCTCATTTAGTAGGTCAGGGTGGGGCCCAAGAACGTGCATTGCTAACAAGTTCCCAGGCTTGTTGATGCTGCTTGTTGAAGGACCACACTTTGAAAACTACTGCATTAGAGTACTTCACAATGAACCCAATGAAATGATGTTTCCACCTGAAGCCATTTCTGTTTAGTTGTGTGAGGTCTGCCTCAGCTACTCTTAAAAGTGCTACAACACAAAACTGAATGAAACAAACAAACAAAAATCCCAGGTCAAAAAAATTCTTTTTGGATAGTTTGAAATATTTAGAAGTATTAAAATAATACCAATTTCTCCCCTGCTCCCTTCTTTCAATATCTGCTTCAAATATTTGGGCTTTGAGGATACCGTGGTATTTTATGAGATGATGTATGTAATCTTGACCTGAAAAAATTATGTAGTTTAGAAAAGCTTCACTTACTTTTGAGCTATAGTCTTTGTATCTGAATGAATAATTCTAACAAATTGGTAAAACACCCTGGTCAGCTTTAGTTTGTGGGTAAAGCGCTATCAGGGATTACGAATATAAACATGCGTTAATGAGACAATGTTTGCAGATAGCTTTGCTAAAAGTCTACTAAAGCTGGCTGAAAGTCTAGGGAAATACGCCATCTTTGAAATTCTCCATTTTCTAAGATCAATAAACAAGAAAACAAGTATTTCACCAAACTAGTTCCTTATAGTCAATTCCTATTTAGTTAACCATAGAGCTAATTCAATCTGCTAGTTATCCACAAAATATAATAATGCAGAGAGGGAGGACACTATTTTTTTAAATGGGTAATATTGTTCCTGATTTATGTAAGATCACTCCACCGGGATACTCGCATAAAGTCATAAATGGGAAAGCAGCATGTGAATTACTTCTTTTTCTACTGTCTTGTTCTTTTATTTTCCTTTTTCTTTACTTTAATCGGATTCAGCCAAGGTCGGCTTACCATCTGCTCTTTTAGAGGTGCTCAGTTGCTTGGCAGGAGAATAAATTAGCAAATTGCTAATCAGATACCTCTGCCTCAGGTTTGTTTTATTTTTTAAAAGACAGGGTCTTACTCTGTCACCCAGACTATAGTGCAGTGATGTCTCGGGTTTTATTTTTGTTTTCTGTGGGTTTTTTCTTTGTTTGTTTGGCTTGGTTCTTTTTAATGTTTATTTGTGGTTAAGACCAAAAAACTTGGGAAAGCAGAAAAGATAACACCTCTCCCTAAAGTATGTTTTGTCAAAATCAAATTATCTGGCTTCTAAGTTTCCACATTCACTGCTCACAGAGATTGTAAATAATTTCCCAACTTTCCAGAGTTAGTTATTTATGTACTGCTGGCTTCAATTCAAGCAAAACCCAATTATTCTGTTTGCAATGTTAGATTTCTGGGGATTGCTCACTTCATTTCAGTGGTAAAAATATAGCGTTAGAAACAAAGACATCAAGATTCAAAATAAAGTTGTCTTAAGTGGAAAAAACTCCAGCCTCGATTTAAAAAGTATGTCTTCGATTATGAACAGACTCACTTGCTGATAATGAGTGTTTCCTCTCCAGAGATCCAGACTCGCATGAATTCTCCATATACCCGGTTGTAGTAGTTGCAGGCACTGCCGATCCCCATCCACAGGAATCTGCCGTGGGAGATGAGGGGTCCAATTCCCATGCAGTAGCCAGGACCTAGGACAGGTGTCAGAGCATAAGCAACATCTTAGTTACACCAAAAATTGCAACTGTTTTGTGTTACTCCTGTTTTTGTTCTTTTATAGCTAAGTGTTCTTTACATGTGATGTATATCTGTGAATCACGAATAAAGTGATTTGAAACAAAACAAAACAAAACAAAAGCCTCACGCTTAACATGAGGCTCTTCACTTCTCCATGAGTAAAAAGGAGTTCAGTATCCATACCACACTAGTTTTATTTGGTCTCAATCATTTCAGTCTGAATGAACTGGGGTGTGTGTGCTAATTTCTTCCCAGGTTAACTGGTATCAGTGAGTTTCTAATACAAGTCAATTGGTGCATTTGGTAGCAAACATGGAAACACTGATGAGTGACAATCTGGCAGATCTGTTTGGCGCCTAGTTTTTTCTGGAAACTTTTGGTTTGAGTGCCCCGGTTGACACAATGGGTGGGTTAAAACTGGTCTGTAGTTTTGTAGGAAATCTTTCAACTGAAAGAAACAAGATCTACAAGGAGAATGTCCAATCCAAGAACATCTATTTCTTTTGTTACCCTCAAAAAAGACTCCGTTTAAGAAAAGGCTCTTAAGCTAAATCTCATTAGGCAAAATAAAGCTAAGAGATGGGGAGTCAGGCAATGGGTCTTTGAACCTCTAGATTGGAGTTTGAGTCCCATGATCTGGTTTTAGCCGAGAGTAGTGGCTGCTTACAATCTTGCTTATGCAGAGGATGGCAGAATTGTAAAGAACATGCGTCCAGGGAACAACTGGGGAATTTGGTGCTGCTTATATCAGAGAACAACCTTGGTAGCTTGATTTTACTGGTGTTGGTAAAACGTTAGATTAAAAAGTTTTAGAATGTTTTCAGGAGTTGACAAGTAGCAGTTTTTCTAAATCTTTCTCCTTTAATTCCATTCTGTCAGTGAAATCATTCTGAAGCCAAAACATGCCTAACTACGTGAAACAGCATTCTCACCTTACGGGCAAAAGTTGTGTAATAATATACATAGTGTAAGCTTTTGCTTGAATCATCTGAATTGGATGTTTAATCCCAAACACAGCAAACAGTGTTTAGTCTTTTACTTTGTAATAGCTGAGTTAATATGAGCAAGACTGTCAGCTCTTTTTTCCCTTTAAATAAAAGATCTTTGCTAATACCTACAGAACCAAAATATGGTCTAAGGTTATTAATCTTGTGATTATTTTAGTAACACTACATTATACAGTAGATGACTGACTTTGTATTAAAATAATTTCATTAAGCTCTTTAAAAGATTTCCACAGCAGATTTGATTGAATATGTATTTCCTTAAACTGTCATTAGATATATTAACTTTTAATCAATTAATATATGCATAATATAATATCTCACTGGATATTTATAGCTTGGCACATTGTAGATGCTCAACGAATGTTTCCTGAATAAATTTTAAAAATTAATTAGGCATGTGTATCTAATATAAAGGATGAAGTTTTAAATGCCATCCTTTTTTTTGAGACAGAGTCTCGCTCTGTTGCCCAGGCTGTAGTGCAGGGACATGATCTCGGCTCACTGCAGCCTCCACCTCCCGGGTTCAAGCGATTCTTTTGCCTCAGCCTCCCGAGTAGCTGGGATTACAGGCTTGTGCCACCACACCCAGCCCGCCATGTAAAAATCTTAATATTTGGGACCTGCCATTCAAATGTAAGCTGTGACGCAGGAGAGATATATCTACTGAAAAAGGGAGATTGAACCTTGTGCTTAGATTAAGAACCTGAGTGTTCTAACCAGAAGAGAACCAGAGTTTTGAGTCCCTAGCGATCAATTGTATATCAGCTTAATTCATCCAACAAACAATTACTGGTATAGATACTACTGGTATAGACACTAAAATTAGGGACTGGAGATGTTATAAGTATAATGGTCCCCATCAGAGTCTAGGGGCAAGAGAGGAGAGTATGTGAAAAATAATTACTAAATAAAAGAATGTTAACACAGTGTGACCTTTTCATTTACGTGTATATCTTAGGCCTTCTACCCACCCTCCAGCTGGAGAGAAGAATGCTGGAGGAAGGTAGAAACTTTGGCAAAATATTAGGGAAATATTCTGGTTGTAGCCACATTAAGCTGATCGTTGCTTCTCAGATTTGGGAATGCTTATCTAGGCATGCAATGATGGTGGGAGCCTCTTTCACACCCTAAAAGAAGCAGTGAATACTTTGCTGCATTTTTGTACAGAGACAGCCTCCTTGGAGCCAACAGCTGGGACCTCTCCCCAGCTGTCCTAATCAACAAGCTGTTGCTTTCCACGCCTTACAGATGTACACCATAGAGAAACCTGTGTGCACATATACATTCAGAACAGCCCTGTTCACAATAGCCCCAAACTAAAGACACCTCAAGTGTCCCTCAACAGTGGAACTGGCAATTAAACCATGAGATATTTATATAACTCAATACCCTATGGCAATGAAAATGAACTACACCTGCATGCCACGATGTGGATGGATCTTAGAAACATACTATTGAGCAAAAGAAGCAAGATAGAAGAATACATAATGTATGAATTGACTGCTAAAACCTTTAAAACAAGGCAAAATTAACCTGTATTCTCTGGGATGTGAAATTATGTGGTAAAATGATAAAAAAAAAAAGCAAGGGAGTGACTGTCACAAAATCAAAGACAGTGTTTTGCTCTGGAGTGAGAGAGAGAGAGTGATTACAAAGGCACACGAGGAGCTTCTGGAACAAGGGTAACATCCGCTTTGTCAGGCTGCATTGTGATGGCAAATTTGTCACCGCACTGTCCAGTTTTCTGTGAAATATTATCTTAAGAAAAAGAGGAATGTCAGTTGCCATGCTTTTCTCCCCCCTAGTTCCCTGCTCTGGGATGTGGTACCCCGGGCAGAGCATGGCATCTGGAGGGAGAGGACCCTTGTTTAGAGCTGGGGATGGCTATACGTCCTGGGGGAAGGGAGAGCAGCCAGTGCCAGGTGACTGTGAGTCCTGACCCAGATCAGTGGTCTGGGAGCAATTTTTCAGAACTGAAGCTTCCAACCCCGCCCCCCTCCCCCGGCCACTCCCCCTTCTCCGCAGAATGACCCTTTCCTCAGGACTTTCATAGCCCCTACCTGGCACTAAGTCAACCACCTATGTGTGTTTCCTTGACTGTCTTTACTACTTTTATATAATCCCCTCGGGGCAGAAACCACATCTCTTTAATCTTTTCACACATCCTCCTGCCCCTAAGCAGGAAAACAGGGCAGCCTGTTTACTTAGCAGTAAATACGGCTAGAAGAAGCTTAGATATGAGCCCCAGTTTCATCATTACTAGTTGTGTGACTCTTTGAGTCTCAGTTTTGCCAACTACAAAACAGACACAAACACACCAACCTCACCAGAGAAAATGGGCACGAAACTGCTTTGTAAATTATAACTCACTTAAGGGCTTTAAATCATTATAAGTCCCTCCAGCTTTCACTGTTCCTGAGCTTTCCTGACTCTGTGCTTCCCCTAAACCTCTAAAACCAAGAACCTAGAGAGCCACTGATTAAAGGGAGCTGGCAGGAGCTCAGGAGTATTGATCAGCAAAAGCCACCCCAAACAAGGCCAATTTTCTTATCTTCCCTCCCCCAACCAGAAACCATAGGATCTCACAGTCTGTGCTACTAGTGGATTCTAACTAGACCTTCTGTTTTCAAAAGGAAAGTGTGAAACTAGAAACTACCTGTCTAGCAAAATGATCATCAACCTGGGCTTTAGGACTTCCTGGTGGTCCCCCTACATTCCCACTTTCTGTCCAGCTGGGGAGATGACAAGCCATTTCCCTTCACTGGGCTTTAACCATTCACTTGTAAAACGACAAGTTTGAACTCCATGGCTTCTCATGCTTGTCATAGTGTTTTGTCTGGGCAAGGCAGATCAACTCCCTGGGTCTCAGTTTCCCCTTCTGTCAAATGAAGGAGTTAGGCTCATATTTGTGGCTCTCAACCTTGGCTGCTCATAAAAAATCAGGAAGGGAGATTTTTTTAAAAATAGCAACCCCAAACTAGCTGAGCTCCTACCTCAGACAGTGCTGAGAATCACTGTGCTACTTGATCTGACTGTCAGTGGATCAGCATGATGGCCCTGGCCCAGAAATGGTGGACAGAGTGAGGTGCTGCCTACTCTCCCACTGATCCAGAGCTTCAGGGCTGCTGGTTCTCAGGCTTGTCCTAACAGGCTGACCTCCTTGGTCAAGGGTCCAAGGAAATTCCACCAGTGCTGATTAACATAAGCATCTGCGGGGACTTTTTAAAAATGCATGTTTCTAGGCCTGAAGAGTCTGAGTCAAAAAGTCAGGAGCAGGGTCCAGGAACAGAAATGTTAACAAGCTCCTACCTGCTGGGTGTTCTTACATAGACTTAAAAGCTTGAGAACCTGTGGCTCACTGGATGGGCAATGCTGCGTGGGCAATGCTGGACTCTCCTGGCCTGATTGTCTGCTAACACAGACAAATTGGAATTTAGCACCTGAGCCTATGAAGGGAAGAAGAGGAAAAAAAGGCTCTCCACCCCCACCACTTACTCACCCCACCCCGACCATTCACTGACCCTGACCTAGAAGCCCCCTTGGGAGAGGAGAAATCCAGTGAGGAAGGGCCACACTGGGGAACAGAGTTCAAGTTAAAGACCATGAAACAGTTGTCCCTTAGCTCTGAGCCTCCCTTCTCTAGAGTTGACCCTGTCAGGGAGCAGAGAACAAAATTAACTAAATGTTCCTTTAAACTGGGCATTAAAGTAATCTAAAATATCAGGCTGAATCAGGCAGAGAGACAGGCAATTATCTGGAATGTTAAAAAGAATCCAGACACAGAGCATTTTGTGCTAGCCCCATGCTCCCACTTCTGATCCCACTGAGACTAGGCCCACCACACTTACCAGTGTGTAACTATGCTCTTAAAGTCTCATTGGATATCTTATGGAATTGGGAACAGATGTGTCTGCAATGAAGCATTTTCACTGAAACCTAAAGAAGCAGTCTGAAATTTCAAGTCATTCTGAATTAATCTGATATCTGATCATTGCGGCTTTAAGGGTGGAAGGGTGGGGTTTTCTATTGGGATTATCTGAATAATTATATTATTCTCTGCTTTTGATTGAACCACAGATCTTGTTGAAGATTCTCCCGGGGTATGATGTTCCAAGAGCACTGGAGTGGTCCCCATTTTTCTCCCACTACCAGGCTCCCATAAGGGTCGAATGGGATCCAGACAGTGGGAGAAAAATGGGGACCACTATCACCACATTCCCAAGAATAAGAGAAAATGATGAGTGGAATAAAGAGAAGGGATAAATACAAGACAAAGAGGGGGCATGGCGGAAACAAAGTGAAAGGGAGAAGAAAAGCAGTGAAGAAGATGTTCCAGAGACATTTTCACCTTCAGAGCAAAATTGCAATCTATTTTTTAAAAGTTAACCAGAAAACCCTGGAATTTTACTTTACTCCACCCCATCTTGAGCTTGTTTTAAAGGGTACTTGTGCCAAGTCTACTTTACGAAAGCACAGCACAGAGTGGAAGGGTTTATCTAAGATATTTTTTAAGTGCTTTCATTTAAAATGTGCAGATAATTGGTCTGAAAATTTTCTCCCAAGTCCTCATTTGCTAACACAGACATAGTCTTCAGAGATCTTTCCAGGTTTGCTTTTTGTCCTTTTGCAAAATTTTCTTTACCATCATGGACCAAAATCCCAAGTAAATAATCTCCTTAGATACAGAAATAAATGACTGACTTACCTGGTATTGAGGATGTGCCCTCATAATTCCACACCAAGAGAAAAAGGCCAGTGAGGAGCAGGACTGGCATGGTGGCAGCAGGCATGGCTTCAGGCACGATGCTGGTGATGTTATAATGTATCGGGTTCAGCATTTCCAAAACCATCTTGTGTTCCTTGACCTCAGAGGGGGCAATTTAGAGTCCTGTGGAAATCAAAGGGACAGAAAAATTACAGAATCCCCTAAAAGGTTCATCTATAGCTCCTGTTGCTTCAGAGGGTGCTGTACAGTACAGATTCACTTACTGTTTTATAATGTGATCAGACATTTAGGCAAGACTAATTTATGGTTACAAGTCAAAACAAGGAAGCCCAAGAAAGATCTTTTGGCTTGAATTGCAGCATTTCTGACCTTGGTAGAGTCTCAGGTTCCTTTAGACGCTTGGTCTGATAGAACCTTATCATCTTGCCCTTGAGTGGGTAGAGTGACGTGCATTCCCAATTGAAAGCCAAATTTCTTGCCAAATTATAAGAAAATAAAGCTCATTCCAGAGGTGGAGTCATTTTGTGACTTCATCAGCAGGTTTTGTTTAGGCAATCTTCTTCCCTTGAAGCCAAATCAATTTCAAAACAAAAAGGCAATCTCCCAACTCCCCTTTTTGACCAAAATGACTTTTTTGATCAAAATAGTAAGTTTCTACAGTAAGAACACATTTCTTGGGCATCGTTGAGGTCTTCTCAGAGCCTTCCATCAGTTTGTCTATTGAATTCAAAGTGACTCACTCAGGCCATCTCTAGTGACTTCAATGAAGATCTAAAATCTCTTGTACCATGGGCCAGATTAAACAGTATCCCTAGGGACCGGCCAACGGTAGTGTGGAAAAAAAGAATTGCAGAGGAAGAATAAGGGAGAAGAGAATGAAAGGAATGGGGAAGGAGGAAGAAAGAGAGAACAGGCAGAATAGGATGCCACCAGCAATAGGCTCAGGTGCCACTCAGGAACCTCATTCGAAGAGCAGCTAACATCCTGTGCAAGACAATCAATTTACAGTCTGATGTGCTGGTTCTGCTGTGTTTTTCAACATGCCATTGAATCTGTCTTTTCAGCCAGGTTTTGTAATCCCTTTACTCTCAGAACAGAGTTTCAGGGATGGTAGGTAGTCTGTAGCTGAAGAGGTGTAGGTTGAACAAACTTGTATAGTGAGGAAAGAGTGAGTCATCATTAAATGCATTTTCAGTGGCAGATGACATACTCCAAGGTTTGCCTTTACTTAGACAGGGCCTAGAGTTTCTGTGACTTGCAATGGCTCTCAATCAGACTTGTGCTGGGTTTCACCTGTAATAAAATTCTAGATTCACAGCCAGGGCTTCTAACTGGATATTGGGGGCTCTGTGTATTCCTTGAAACACTGCATAAAATATTGTAATCGGCACATTCTAGTGGAGAAAGGCCATAACTTTCATCAGATTCTTAAGGAGTATGTCATTATATTTCTCCTCTGATCTATATGAGATCTTAAAGTCCAAAGACTGATTTCTGTCAACTACAAAATTTTTACAACATAGTTGAATTTATCCAGTTGTTTCATCATTTTATGTTATTCTACCATTTAAATAATCATTAATGCTTGGGTGCAGGGCACTGAAAATGCACTGGAAAGGTCCTTTGAGATTCTCTCCTGAAAGCACATTGTGCTTATGTTGAGCAGTTTTGTGGTTGTTTTTTTTTTAATATATATAAGTCGAAACTAAAAAGTCAGCCTTGTGTCTGTTATCATCTGGTTCCTTTGTTGATGACAAGCTATTTTTAACAGGGTGAGGTTTTAAATTTCTAGAGTGGAATTTGACATCATTCTGAGTAAGTTCTATGTGACTTTCTGACAGTTGGGACCCTTGAAGTTTCGATTTATATTGATGAAACCTGAAACCATTGTTCAAAGCATAAATGAGGAAAGTGGTTGCAACAAAAAGGATGAAGATGTCCCACAGGAAGTGATCCCAGCAAAAAACTTCACATTATAGGAACTTCCAGAGGTATTTCACAACACTGAAAGCAAAGAGATAAGATGTTGCAAGCTGATGCAAATTTATAAAGGACTATGGCAATTCACTGGCATAGAAAAGATGTTCCCTCAGTATCGTAAGTTATGCAAAGAGAAGAAGGCAAGCACTTTTAAAAAACCTGTTAGTAAGTTTATTTTCACAAAGAAAGAAAACACTTAAAATGTTGCATTGTTTCTAATGTTTCAAATTACTGTGTCCTAAAATATTTTACTATTTTTGTTTGTTTGTTCCCCTACACACTTATAACCTATGGTAAGAGTTTCTAATGCTTTGACAACAAATTTTAAAGGTCACAGAACAGTTTTAATTTTTCTCTTGATTTTTAGGATTGCTTTGCACGGTTTTAGCTTGCATGGTCATTTTTACAGCCCCATACTGCCATGAAAAGTGAGGACTGTTTGTGTGTCTAAAATGTTTAACAGAGTTAAGAAGCCTCGTTTCTCATCTTCCTCAAAAGTATGTCATAAAGATCCCCGACAAGAGCATCACTTAAAAATCCAGCAGGGTAAGAATATATTTTATTTTAGTTTATTTTATTTTTATTATTATACTTTAAGTTTTAGGGTACATGTGCACATTGTGCAGGTTAGTTACATACGTATACATGTGCCATGCTGGTGTGCTGCACCCACTAACTCGTCATCTGCATGGGCAAGGACTTCATGTCTAAAACACCAAAAGCAATGGCAACAAAAGACAAAATTGACAAATGGGATCTAATTAAACTAAAGAGCTTCTGCACAGCAAAATAAACTACCATCAGAGTGAACAGGCAACCTACAAAATGGGAGAAAATTTTTGCAACCTACTCATCTGACAAAGGGCTAATATCCAGAATCTACAATGAACTCAAATTTACAAGAAAAAAACAAACAACCCCATCAAAAAGAATATTTTTTAACACCTAGAAAACATGTGCTATGTGTCAGATATTGGTCTAAGCACTTTAGAAATATTAAGCCATTCATCTTCACGACAAGCCTGAGAGCTAAGTCTAATTATCCCCATTTTACAGATGGAGAAACTGAGGCCTGGGGCAGTTAAGCAGCTTGCCCTAGGGCACCCAGCTCATATGTGACAGAGCTGGAATTGGGGCCTAGGTGGTCTGTCTCCAGAGCCCATGCTCTTTATCATGCCATTTTGCTCCCTATTATGGGATTTAGTCCCCACATTCATGGACTTTTCATTCATTTATGTTCACTCCTGGGCTATTTAGAATGATTCCTTTTAAAGGATTAAGCTTTATGGACCTCTGAATGCCACAGCTGGAAAGGTCCTTTGAGATTCTCTCCTGAATGCACATTGGTTTTCCTGTTCAGTGGAACATTCTAATGGGCCACGTGGGTAGGTTAAACAGAAGCCTTCAAATAGTGGTACAGGAATATAGGAAGGTCCTAGAACTTGCACAGAGGTTGTTTACATGTCCCCTCGGCCAGTAATACCCTCCCCTCACCCCCAAACACACATGTACATGCACATGGCCCTCAGGTGCTATGCATTTGCCAGGCCGTCTCAAATGCCTGGGTCTCCACTGCCCTCTCAGGGTCATTTTCTTGGGTCGCACCATTGTTATTTGCAGAGTGGTCTCTGCCTGCTCAGCATCCCACGTTGGCCTGGCACCAAGCAGGGACTCTGGCCACTTGATGCACTAGGCCTGTGTGCCTGTGCTACGTGGAGCCTACTAACAACTTCATTCAACGCCCCACCAACCTCTGCGTAAGAAAACGCGAGTCCTACACCCAAAGTCCTCAGCCTGAGTCAGGGCAAAAACCTCTGGGGACACAGCAGAGCCCAGGTGTCCTGATGACCTGGGGGTCTGAACACATTCAGGGTCCCACAGTGCCACGAAGGACTCCCAGATCCCCTAGTACAGCTATAGCCCTAACCCTAGCCTGCCACAGGGAGGGGAGGCAGGCCCTGGCCTTGTGGAACTTCTGCCTAGCATGACCAGACCCTGCTAAATCCTTTTAGCGTGGGGGCTACTGGCCCAGCAGGGAAACAGACCCAGCCACCCTGGATGTGAGGGCTGGGTGCCAAGCTTGCACTCCCTCTTATTCTCTCCAGCAAACCTGGCCCATCCCTCTTTCACACCCCAGCTCCTGGAGAAATGCATTTTTTTCTCTATCCATTTCCTCATCTCCTGACTTCTGCCTGATCGCACCAAAACCTGTCTCTGAGAGCTGACACGTGACCTTACTACTGCCTGATCTGTACCTCTTCCCTGTCTATGTTTGTTCTTGATCTCATTCTGTGGCGTTGGACCCATTTGGCCATTCCTCCTTCTTGTATCTGTTCTCCAGTGATGGTTGTGGCAGGCTTCTCTCATCGTTTCTATTCCTCTACAGCTGTTCTTATTCCTCCGTCAGCCCCCATGCCCATGAGAGATCATGAGCATCTCTCCAGCCTAAAGCGTTTGCCCTCTCTGCTTTATTCTCCTTTTGAGAACTCATTATTTTCCTCTCTTAAGCTCTTACTTCTGTGAAGGCACCTCCCCCTATTCCCTTCTTGCCTCTGTCTTCTCCATGTCTGAAGCACTGACTGCCTAGTGAACTCCACTATGCAGATATTTCACCATTACTCCATAGTTACGTCTAAAACCCAATCTGTCAACCTCCTCCTGACCTTCTCCCCCTGTCCTTACTTTTTTATTTTTATTTTTATTTATTTATTTATTTATTGAGACAGAGTCTTGCTCTGTTGCCCAGGCTGGCATGCAGTGGTGACACAATTTCAGCTCACTGCAACGTCTTCCTCCCAGGTTCCAGCGATTCTCTTGCCTCAGTTCCCAAGTAGCTAGGATTATAGGTATGCACCACCATGCCCAGTTAATTTTTGTATTTTTAGTAGGGAGGATAGGGTTTCACCATGTTGGTCAGGCTAGTCTGGAACTCCTGACCTCAAGTGATCCGAGTCCTAACCTTCTTATACATCATTACCCCATCATCCAGCTTCAAAATATTGGTGTTTTGTACTTCCCTTTTCCCTTTACTTTCCTACCATATCCCTTCCCATCCCAGCCTAACCATATCCAGTCACAAAGTTCTAGGCATAGTCCCTAATAATGTCGTGTCCCTGTATCTCAAGATACGTCCCTGTATTTTTTTAATCTTCTGGCTTATATGTTAATTTTTATAATGGGCCTTAACCCTACCCTCTGCTCTATTCAAGATCAAAGCATATCTCAGTGGTCAGTTGAAGGCAAATTCCTGGCTTCCTTCTTTGCCAAAAATTACCCTACCTCAAACTCTCTAAGATTAATTGCTCTCAAAAGCCTCTGTTGTGAAAAATCTACTGAGAATTCCTGGTGGACCCTCAATCCTCTCTTGGCAGTCCCAAGCTCTAGTGTCTTCAAGGGCAACACAGGTGACATGAATGTGGAGGGTGGGGAATGGACTGCAGCACAGCCCTCCTCTCAAAGGACCAGGCATGATGCCAAACAAACCATCTCTCCATGAGCCCAGTGGAGACTCCAGCCCATTTGCCGCCATTACTTAGTATCTGAACCAACTGTCACAACCTTCACGGAGCTACACACTGGGAGCTAGTCACTTGTGTTCTTTTTGCAACTACCTTTGTCTAGCCATGCTTTGGTGCCAGGCCATAAGCTACCTCTGAGTGACTTTGTAATGTCAGCCATAGGGAACTCACCATTTTATCTAATGAAAGGATGTTGTCAAAGACAATAGGTAAAATCACTTATTTTTATTATTCTGAGTGGATGTATGTTTGTAAATTTCCTCACACCTCTTACAGAGTAAAATGAGGCATTAATTCATGAAAAGTCAAATTCTTCCCTCTGTTTCCTCTCCTTCTAGAAGGTGAATTCCCAAAGGACAGGGATCTGTGTCTCTCTCTTTCAGAACTGTATTCCGCTTCTAGAACAGTGTCCAGGCCTTCATACGTGCTTGTTACAAACCTGTTGCCTGAGTTTGCACTGTCTCCAGCTTTGTCCGGCTTTTATTCCCCATTGTAAACTCTCCAAGACCCTCCTTCTCAGACCTTCTCTTTCACTCTGTTCTGCACATTGCTGCCAGATTTGCTTTTTGACTCAGCTTACATCACGTCAATCCTCTGCTAAAAACCTTTCTTTGCTTCCAGTTGTCTACAAGACTTTCAAATTCATCTTTTTTTTTTTTTTTTTAGACAGAGTCTTGCTCTGTCACCCAGGCTGGAGTGCTGGAGTGCAGTGATGCGATCTTGACTCACTGCAACCTCCGCCTCCCAGGTTCAAACGATTCTCCTGCCTCGGCCTCCCGAGTAGCTGGGATTACAGGCACCCACTACCACGCCCGTCCAATTTTTGTATTTTTAGTAGAGACAGAGTTATCATCATGTTGGCCAAGCTGGTCTCGAACTCCTGACCTCAGGTGATTCACCTGCCATGGCCTCCCAAAGAGCTGGGATTACAGGTGTGAGCCACCATGTCCGACCCCAAATTCATCTTGACCCAGCCTTATTTCTTGGTTCTCTCCACTCAAAGTCTGACTCCTGCTTTACCACAACATCTTACCTGCTGAGTTCTTCCTCCTCCATGTTTCCCTGCTCATCCAGTTCTGCCCCACTGGTTTCCCAAGACAAGCCTGCTTCTTCTTCTCCTTGCCTGAGCCATCTCTTACCTGGTATAAATACTCCTCCTCTTTTTCTCTCCGACATGGGTCTTGGACTACTACTGCTTTTGACTGCCAAGGCACTATATAAATCAGAGCCTTGGAGGGTTTCATTAAATAAACATTTATTAGGAAGCTTGTCTGAGCAGGGTACTACATTCAGACATTCAGTTTTCTTTCTAGACGCGGGAGGCAGTAAGACAAGCAAACTGAAGGTGCTGCTAGCTAGGACATCTTATGAGAATCACAGTTCTCTAGGAAGACATGTAGAGCTGCCCATGAACTTCTACATCAAGGAGACACAGAGTATCAGGACTGGAAAGAAATGCTGTGATCTTCTAATAATACAGTTCTCTTCCTTTAAAAATGAACCACTTACATGAGATCCAGGGAAGGTCACTTGTCAATAGTTACTTAAAAGCAGGGAAGGTTCACCCAAGTGCACATTCTGTGATATGATTTCCATCCCCTGGCACTGGGGTCATGACACTTGAGGTTCCAGTTATTCTTCCTAGCAAGCTTCCAGTGATTCCCTGGGACATTCTTCTTCTGGAGCAGGAGCAAGACAATAGGAACCAACAGGAAAAATGCAGCTAGATACACATGGTGTGGACTACCTTCAGGGCAAATGCCTTGTCCACCCTATAGTTCCCATCCCTGCTGTGGTCTCTGACTGACCATTTGTGTGGAATGAGCAAAAAGCCCTGAAGGCACCAATGGGAGACCTCAGCCCCTAGGGTTTTACCCACATAGGGAAGACTATTGATGGTGTATGAAAGGTACCTGCTGCTAAAACCCACATTTCACATGTGTGTGAAGACCCAAGGCTCTTGGGCATCCATCAGGCAGGACCGTGGCTTTCTCACTCACCTCTGAGGTTCCGTGACTTCTAGCACAACACCTCCCCAGGAGGTGCTCCATGTGGGTTTGTAGAATCACTCCTTTCTTCACAATGACTTATTGGCTGACTACCAGCAAGCCTGGGACTTGGGAACATTGGCAGTCAAAAGCAATAGTAGTCCAAGAGTGCCCTTATCTCAGCTAGCCTATTTGCCTGTCTGATGGTGCTTCTGGTTCCTCAGATACCTAATCTATTGTCTTCCCAGTGGGCTGCATCTGATAGAGTCTCCCAGAGAAGTTTTTCTGAAACACAGTGAGAAATGACTGTTTTAAAAGACTTCTTGATTATCTAAGGCATTTCAGGCCATGAGACAAAGTGGGGGCACTATTTGGGGAGCCTATTGAATTGGGGTTGATCCCCCAGATCCTATTGCATTGGGGTTGCCTGACACCCAAACCATAGTTTTTCTCACGAGGAGTCTGACCTCGCCTTATGGAGGAGGCAGAAAGGGCCAGTTGGGGATTGTTCCAGGAACAGCAGTCATTTTTCTAAGAGGTTTCCCATGACTTCACTTTTCAATTCAATTTTGTAAGACCTAACAGGTTACCTGGCCCCAGAGTAGATAAGGTAGTGGAATTTTCCAGCCAAAACTGGGCTTTTAACCTGAGGAAGGAAAAGGCAGAAGTGACAACAGCACAGGAGCAGGCTTTAGGGTCAGATGAGCTGAGTACAAGACCCAGAGACCACATCACAAGAACAGGCTTTGGGGCCAGATGAGCTGAGTACGAGTCTCAGAGACCTGTTCACTTCCCAGGCCTGCCACGCCCGGGCTGAGGGGGAGCACTGAAACTGCCTCGGGACACTGAGGTGAGGGCGAAAGGGAAGCCTCCGGAGCCAAGTGCCAGTGGTGGTGTTTGTCGTTCCTCCGGCTTTAAGGTCTCTGTGGCACATGGAGTTGTGGGATTCCTTGCCTCTGGTAGCAAAGACGGAAGGTCCCCAAGTGGATACACAATCCTTAGGGCAGCCCAGGTGCCGCCAGCCAGAGAGGCCCCCTGAACCTCTTTCTGTGGTGAGATCCAGAGCCATGCCTGAGTCTTGGCATCCAAGATTTGTCACACTGCGGTCCCAAGTGGCCTTGCTTCCTTCTGCGCATCTACCTGGATATGATAAGTTCTTGTAACGGCAGAAACAGGGAATGTCTGTCAATATTTCCACAACATAAGTTCCTCCAGAGCAAGGACTCACACCTCGCTTTTCTATCTAGCTCCCGGGGGCTACCACAAGTGCTTCACACCCAGTAAGTGCTCAGTAAATGTTTGTGAAGTGAAGTGAACCAATGGTTAGCCTCTTAAGCCTTTTAGGCCTGGGGTCATCAAAGAATGATACATTCACATATCCTCAGAGGGATGTTTGCCTTCTGCACATCTTAGCAGTGATTCCAAATGCCAAGTCCCAGCAACTCAGTGGCCCATAGCTACCACCCAAACAGTCAGATAGCAGCAGCACTGCTGGCCTTTCCTTGAGAGCTTATCTGTTGTTTAATGAACAGACTGTGAGGCCATAGAGATGTCCTAGAGCAGGGACACTCTGGCAAGGAAGCTCCTAGCTGACCCCAGAGTGCTGGGGCCACCTAGCCTCTCTGGACGTCCATTTCCTTATCTATAAAATGAGGGGGTTGAGCCACAGGGCCCCTCTTATCTCTGTATCTCTGTGTCTGCTGCCCAGCATTCTTACCCTTTGTCTTAGCTGCCCCTCCCCAGCCCTTCCCTGTGCCTTTGCCCTGCCGCCTTCCTTGGTTCTTTTCTTCCACGTTGTCTTAGGCCAGCCAGTGGTGCCTGTAGGCCCAGGTATGCAGAGATACACTGAGACGTCAGGGAGGCTGGGGTGCATGTGGCCCACTTTGGCCAACTTCTCTAGCTCTTCTCATTTCTTTTAGAGTCCCAGACCCATTCTAAGGATCCAGTGAACGTGGTGGAATCTTGCTCTGGAGAAACACACTCGGGAATCAACATGCAAAGTTTCAGTACAATTCTGGGATCCCAGACCCCCTAAAGCCCAATCCAAAGACCTCAAATGAACAACTCCTGGGCCCAGTTCCTTTCTCAACCTTCTGCCTCAGGTGTCCAATGTCCCAGAGGCTCTTTCCTGATTAAAACCACCTTCACTGACTGATAGAAAGTTGTTTCCAGGTTATAAGAGAATACAATTTCTCTTGAAGATTTTTCATTTTAACTAGACCCCAAATTACAGTTGATAATGGGGTGTTACATTTTTCGGTCCACAGAATCAGTGAGAAACGTTTAAGGGGAAAGTGAGGGGCAAAATTGGTACCCTGATATCCCATCTGTGGGCCCTCAGACTGACAGACTCACACTGTGGCCCTGAAGAGGGCATCAAGGCTCATGGAATCTCCAGGTTTCTGCCAAGGAGGGTTCCAGTGCATGGAGGGCACACGGAGTGTGCGCCTGTGGAGGCCACTGTCTTCACCTCCAACACTGAGTAAATCTACAATATCCTAGCCACTAGCCACTGTTTTAGGCTCTAGGCTGTAGGAATATGGGGAAATGAGGTTGTTGCTCTTACGGAGTTAATCTGGGGAAGACAGATTGCACAAGTGTTCAGAGGCATAAACAGCTATGAAAAGAGAGGAGAAAGTGACTACCCTAGGAAGGTCACCTATGGCTTTATGAGTAGGTCTTGAAAGAAAAGCATTACTCTGCAAGATACCAAGCTGAGGAAGGGCATTGCAGGTAGAGAGAATGAGAAACTAATTGGCTGGGGAAACTCAAAGCTGCTTCTGCATTCCTCCCCACACCATTCACATTCCTGTGTCCAGGGGGACCCTCTATCACTATGTCCACTGCTAGATCTCTACCTTAGTTTCCTCATTAGAAAAAAATGGGGGAAATAGTGGTATTTCTTGATGTGGTTACTAGGAGGAAGAAACGAGATAAAGCCTGTTAGGGCCTTATCAGGTGTCTAGCATATAGCAAAACCTCAATAAACTTATTATGATTCAGTCTCCAGCAAGAGCAGAAATAATAATGGACAGTCCCTGGGGTAGCTGGAAGGAACAGTTTGGACTGGAGTTGTGCCCTCAGGGGTCCCTAAAGAGCTATATGCCTTTGAAAAGGTTACTATATCTGTCTTGAGAACATGGAGCAGGTTGGGGAGTGGGGTAGTCGTGTAGCTCCCAATACATCCCTCTTGTCACAGCTATATTAGGGGATCATGTGAGAGCCACGAGGTCACTGAACACACTTGTTGGGATTCTCAACATTTGCCTCCAGTGCCCCTTCCCACCCACACTTCCTTTTATGTGTCATTTCCCCACATTTTCTATCCACCTACTATCCTCTGCCCAGTCAGAGGATATTACCTCATCAAAATAATTCATATCCAGGGGCTAATCCTTCAACTTGTTCTCCCTCCTGGGATATTTTCATTGTAACATGTACCTGGAGAAGTTCCTAATTATCATTAAGCAAATGTTTGGCACACTCTCAGCTCTAGGGAAGCCTGCAGTCTACTATTGGGAGAGAAAACTAAGAAGCTTGGTACTGTTGACAAGTACAAAGAGATATTAGCATACAGACGAAAGGAGGCTTCACGTGAATGATGGGACTTGTTCTGGGCCTTGAAATGTGGTTGAGATTTTGATGGCAAGTAGAGGAGAGGTATTTGCAATGCTGGAGGTAGGAGTGCATAAAGCAGTTGGGGGATAACAAAAATGAAGAGGCTAGATTTGTGTTAGGAAGCAATAATATCTATTGTGGAAATATAAGTAGAAAGGCAGTTGATGAGGGACAATACAGGAGAGGCAGTGCTCTCTTAGTCGACCCCAGTTTCTAATTTGTTCATTACCTCCCATTCAGTGATACGAGGAAAGTAAAGGAGGTTTTGAGAAAAACAGAGCAAACTCAACTAGCTAAACTGCCTGTGGGTGCTGATAGCAGAGGCCAGGCATCTTCAGAAGTCTATTATCAGCCTTGCAAATAATTTTAAAATTTTTCATCTAATTTAACTTACGTCTCATAGTCGACAAGAACTAGGTTTGATTATCCATCTTTTCTACCACACTTGGTTGCAAATGACCTTTGACTGCTTCCCAAATTAAGTCTATCTTCAGTGATTGATTGAAGGATTGGCCCCAGTGAGATATCTGTATGTGACTTTTTACTTCTGAGACTTCAAGCAGTCTTCAGTTCTTCCTTAATATTTGACTGTGGCCCCACCCCCCTCCATTTTTGCCATTTTTGCTTCTTAGAATACCAATTAGACAAACATTCAGTCTCATGGATCCATCCTTCATATTTCTTGCCTGGTTTCTCATATTTTTCATCTCTTTTCTCTTTGTGCTACATTCTGGGATAATTCCTTGATTGACTCTCTCAATCCAGTTTGTCATCTGTTTGTCCTTTCGGGTCGTCCATTCACATTTTTATTTCAAAAACTAAAATATTAATGTCCACTATCTGTTTATGTTTTTATGGATGCAATATCTGTTTGTGTCTCTGATGCTAACAATTCAATATATACTTGAATATATTGAATGTTTTGAATGATCAGTAAGTCTCCTCAGGTATAAACTCTGTTTACAACTTGCGGTTTCCTTTCAAGGTGTTGGCATTCCTCAAATGCACAGTGATTACTTAATATGTGCTCATTTGTGGCTGAAATTTCCTGTTAGTTGGCTAACAGGAAAAATGAGATGAGATGGATCGAAGGGAGCTGTGGGGTCCTATGGGAGGATGTAACAGAAAACCCTCCAGAACCTCAAACAGGGTCATGGGCTCCCTTAAGCTGAGTCTTAAGGGTGAGTGAGTGTTTGCCAGGAGAAGAAATGGCCAAGGAGTGACTTATTCCAGGGAGAGAGAACAGTGTGTTCAAAGGCCCTGATGGTGAGGGAGGCAATGTTCTTACCCAAAGTAGGAAATCTCCCTCTTTCCAAATTATGTAGGCATTATTCAGTAATTGGGGGCAAACGCTATTTGTTCTAAGGGTCTCTGGAACAGCTGATCAGTAAATTCCCACATGGTTTCTACCCAACAGGGTATGGGGAGTTGAAGGGAGGGTAGCCCCAGTGCAGGTGGGCTTGCCCTAATTGATGTGTTCACCATTTCTCATTAAAGTCATTTATGACATGGGAAACAGAGAACGGTCCCTTGTCTCTACAAAAACCCAGTTAAAGTAATTAAAAGGAATCTTTACTCAACAGAATATTTGAAAGCAGATTACATTTTCAGTTTGTTATGCTTACAAGTGGCTGAGGAGGGGAGGCTCTCTGATGTTCCACTCTTCAGAACTGGGATCAGCACCACTGTTGAAAGTCAGGAAGCCCTTAACTGCTGGAATGGAAACTGTCCATGATGCCCAAGTTCAGTGGAGACAAAATCCATGGCTTGCTTGATATTAATCCCAAGTTCCACATGAAAGCTGTTATCAGCGGTCCTGAGAAATCAGCAGGTGGGGCAGGCGGGGAACTCAGGGAGCTTTTCCACATGCTAGGATATGATTTAAGTAATGAGATTACTTCTGAACAAGCACCCTGGAGGTGACAAGCTTTTTAAGGATGGATAAATAATGTGTTTGCTAAAGAGCTCTCTTTTCACACTCTTGACAGTACTATAGGAAGCAGTCATTTTCTCACACTGTGGGAACTATCCTGAAAATGATGGCCCCAGAAGTGACAAAGTTGCCCAAACAGTTCAGCTGAATTCAGAGTATCATTGCCCAATTTTATGGGAGCCCTAGCTTTGCTCACATAGAACCAGACATTTATTTAAAGGTAATGTTTTCCACCAACAAATGCTTAATGGGCAAGGCAGAGTATCTTTATCACCACAGCAGAATCAAAAGTGCACATTCCTGGAAGAAGCGTGTCTGTACAGCTTATTAATAAACAGCATTGGCTCTAGAGAGCCTGCTCTTCAACACCACCCCCTCTACCTAACCTTGGGAATATCTGAAATGGAAAAAATAAGGACAAATTCTTCAGCAGGCTTAGCTGTACAATCTTTAGGTCTTATGGAAACTATACAAGATTCCTTTTACAAAGAAACTCAAACCAGGTTTAACAGCCTATATTTAAGAAGCTTCCATTTCTGCGGAAATCTGAGGGCAGCCAATGGTTATTCAGCCCACTGCTATGACCTGAGAATTGGGGAATTGGTGGATGTATGACAGGAAGATATACACCCTGACACCTACCCCATGAGTGTAGCAGGGGAGAGGTGGGAGTGGGGGTCCTGCACAAGTCATTCTGGGGTCACCGCTAAACATTCTGATCCGCAAAGGCCAATAAAATGCTGTTAAAATGGCAAGTGGCAAATACCAAATATACCATTTAATAGACCTGTAACCTTGGCTGGGCAAGTGACTTAACCTCCCTAAGCCTCACATTCTATAACCGGGTAATGGAAGTAGCACCTGCCTCCCAAGGTTGCTGCAAGGATTTTAGAGCTCATTTCCATAAAACACCTAACACAAAGGCAAACACATGTTTGCTCCTCAGTAAGTGATAGCTAATGTTAATGGCAGAATCATATCCTTCAAAAACAAAGCGATCATACCCTTCAAAAAACAAAGCGATCAGGAAGAAGAAAAATATCCCACTGAGATCTATGCTTTGAAGAAAGAGGTGTAGTCAGATGATGGGTGGGCAGTGGGTAAGGAATCATGGGCAAGTCTGCCTAAGACTGTCCCAATTTATGCCTGTTGTCCTGGCACCATTATTAATTGCACCCCCTCCAATCTTAAGTGTCTCCTTTTGGATAATAAATTGTATGGTCACCTAATTACATGTGAGTGGCAAGGGTGCTTTAGGCAGCAGCCTCCCCCTTTCTCTCTGCCTGCAGCATCAATACTGCCCTCGTTGCTGCTGGTAAGAATGAGCACAGCTACCTTTTATTGAGTGCCAAACTTCACCTTATTATATCTAAACCTCACAATCAGACCCATGAAGTAGATTCTATTCTCATATCCACTTTACAGATGTGGCTTGGCAATATTAGGTAACTTGCCCAAGAGTTCATATTCCACCAAGTAACCAAGTGTAAACCTTGTGGTCATGGCCCCAATTCGCTACACTTCTGGGTTGGAAGTAATAGCAGGCCTAGGTAGGCCCTCCAGGCTGGGGCAGGACGCAGGAAGGTGAAGGGTAGTGATTCGGTAAGGACAAGAAGAGCCATTCTGGGATTTTCCCTTAGCAATCAAACTGGTCTCCCACAACCTCGAGGGCCCAGACCACAAACAGCCCTAGGAAGGGTGAAGCTCACAGGACTGTGGGCTCTTGGGTTGGCAGCCAAGAGGAGCTTTGCCTCCATGTCATGGCGTAAGGAATCCAAACAGGCCTTGGCTTCCTGGACATTGTGCTCCAGCGCCTGAGCCCAGGTCTCCAGGATCAATCCCACACAGCGCTGCTTCCATTGCAATGCTTTCCTCCAAATGTTATTTCAAAGTGCTGAGCCACTTAAAAACAGCAACAACACATGAAGGTCAAGTTTTTTTTTTCCCCTAACTTTTCAAGGTGGCCTGTGGAACATAATAACTTTTAATTTTTGGATCCTAGTGCTACTTGCAGATCACAATGGGCATTTTGTGTGTGCAAATGTGTACATACTGGTAAATGTACATGCATGCATATACTTCTATGCATGTATTATCACAATAATAGCTAACACTTATTAAGTGCTTACTCTGTGCTAGGCACTATTCTAAGCACCTTTTAGCCAATAGTCTTATTTAATCCTCATATTGACTCTGTGAGTTAGCTGTTACCAATGAAGTCCAGAATAGAAGCAACTTGCTCAAGGTCATCCAGGGATTGAGTGGTAAAACAGGACTCAGAACTAGGCTCTGTCCCTTTGACTGCCTCTTGCTTTCTTTTCTCCCCTCTCCTTTGTGCTGGGCAGATAACATTATATTTATACCCTACCTACTTGCAAAGGACCGGAGGCAGTAGGTAAGACTCTGGGATGCTGCCAGTGGCTGTAACCATTTTCTCTCCTTTTAGTTTGGGTTGCACACTTCCAAATCACAGTTCCTAGCCCACAGCACTTGTTGTTCTCTCCAGCCTGCCGACACCTCTCCTACCATTGCTCTCCTTCATTGTATATGACTACATTTGGCATTTGGTATATATCCTTGGTGACATTTCTAGCATATCTTTATTCCAACAAAGCCCAAGTGCTTGTTTAATTTTAATGCATGAGACTTGACTCTCCTATAAACTATCCTGTATGTGCCTCAGCCTCGTTCCAGCAGGACTCCTACTAGCCAATGCTGCACATTTATGTGTTCTAGAAGAGCCTCTGCCTTCAGGAGGATCCACTTTGGAAAAGGCCCTCCTTCAGCAGAGCTTGGACTGGAGTCCAGGCCCCTGCTCCACATTCCTTCCCCCATCTATTCCCTCCCATCTCCAACCCCTGCGCCAGTCTCTGGAAGAACTAACAGAGGTGTACGATATGTACCTATTGCCTGAAATTCTAAGGTAAGGTCTGTTGAAATTATTACAAAGATTTACAAAAATGAAGGAGTCTTTTAGAGAAGACTTTTCTTTTTAACATGTAAATCTGATTTATTTAATTTGAAGAGTTTAAATCCAAAAAAATGGGGAGCCAGCAATACCCAAGGAACCAAAGTTGACCAAAGTGAATGCCACTAATGACACATTCGACAAAAGCTTGAGAAAGTGGGAAAGTCTTAGGAAGCTGGAGGTTCAGTGTTGCCCCCATCCCTCCACCATCATTGACAAACTGTGGCAGTTTAGGCAAATCAGGAAATCTCTCTCCCAGTCCCAGAATGAGCATGTGTAAAATGAGACTAATGATCCTTGCCCTCCCGCCATTCAGGATATGATACGTCATTACAGGAGACAACAAGTAGGAAAGCACTGAGAGAATTGTGAAGTACTGGGTAGAGTTGGGACTTACTGTGATTATTATCACCAAGGACATCTGTCTAGTAATCATCAAAGCCCAAAATATTTTTTTTCCTTGAAAAATAATGGTGTATCCGTTACACACAGTGATCAGTTCCTGGCATACACTACATTTATAAATAATTGTAACAACCACATTATTCTGTCTATATGCAAGAAAACATGGTATAATGAAAGAACCCAGAGAGAAACCAGATTGTTTTCAATTCTCCAGTTTCAAGGGGGATTTGGGGGAGTGAATCGGACACTGCACCTAGCTTCCTTTGGCTCAAGTCAACCAGCTCTTTTGCCAAGGAAGACTTTGTAAGCTTTTCTTGTTGAGTTGCCATAGGTTGGATGAGGTGGCTAAGGAAGGGTCAGGGGAAGGGAGGGTGAAGATGGCATAGTCTTATCAGGGCTGAAGAAACCAGGCATGGTAAGACAGTTCTCTAAATGCAAACGGTAAACCTTGGAGCTAGCCTTCCTCAACATCTTTAACAATGAGTCCAAAGAAGGTGCTAGGGCTGCACCAGACTGATATTCTTCAGAGGTAGAGAGAAATGCTAGACAGATGGGGAGAAGCCACAGAAAGCCAGTATGAGTGGGCAGAGAAAAGACAAAGATAGGTGACACATTTTGTGAAAAAATTGCCCCAAATTACATTTATGATTCATCCATTTACCAGCTTTCCTAGAACCCTGAACACCAAAAAAGTGCAATGCATGGTGTTAGGATTCCAGTATTGGGGAGAGAAGGACAGGTAAGAAGAACACTAAATGAATATTGTTTTTGCCTTTAATGATACATCTAGAGAGAAAGACATGAACACAGATAAAAACAGCAAAGCTTTATGTGATAAAATGCCGCAGGAAAGGCATATGCCAATTATCAAAGTAGACCAGTGAAGGGCAACAGGAATCAGCAACTGTCTCCCAGTGAGGCAATCTTTCTTGTCTGGTGGAATCACTAGGATTTTGCTGAAACTAGATGGTGGCATGCTCTAGGTGATGATATACGACACAGATTCAGATGTATTTTGAGTGTTTTCCCAGAAATACTGGTCCTAAAGGGCTGCTGAAGCCTTAGTGATGTTGGGAAATTTTTGGAAAAGCATTAAATGTGAAGTCAGGGGAAAGCATTAAATATAAGAAAGCCTATAGAAGCTAACCCACAGCATATCTGAGGTAAACCATGCTATCATATGCATCCATTGTGACTAAAAACGTCTGGTTCCTTTTAAAAGGCTAAAGCAGGCCCACACAGATAGCTTGGAAAGAGGTTAATTGGAACCAGCTGAGACGGACTGAGATTACCACGGGTTTTCGGGATATTGAGTCATTTAGAAGTCAGAGGTGGTGTCTCAGGCTATCCCAAAGTTAAGAGATTGTTTACTTCAAAATCAAAGGAAGTGAGAGACAGAACTAGATGGATTTCCTAGGCCGACTAAGAATTCCTAAGCCTAGCTGGGGAAGGTGACCGCACCTACCTTTAAACACAGGGCTTGTAACTCAGCTCACACCCGGCCAATCAGGTAGTAAAGAGGGCTCACTAAAATACAAATTGGGCTAAAAGCAGGAGGTAAAGAAATAGTCAAATCATATATTGCCTGAGAGCACAGAGGGAGGGACAATGATCAGGCTATAAACCCCAGGCATTCGAGCCAGGTGTGGGCAACCCTGTTTGGGTCCTCTCTCCTTGTATGGGAGCCCTGTTTTCACTCTATTAAATCTTGCAACTGCACACTCTTCTGGTCCGTGTTTGTTCTGGCTCGAGCTGAGCTTTCATTCACAGTCCACCACTGCTGAATGCCACCATCACAGACCCACCATTGACTCCCACCTCTCCGGATCCAGCAGGGTGTCCACTGACCTTCTGATCCAGCGAGGTGCCCATCGCCACTCCCGATCGGGCTAGAGGCTCGCCATTGTTCCTGCATGGCTAAGTGCTCAGGTTCAGCCTAATCGAGCTGAACACTAGTTGCTGGGTTCCACGGTTCTCTTCCATGACCCACGGCTTCTAATAGAGCTATAACACTCACCGCATGGCCCAAGGTTCCATTCCTTGGAATCTGTGAGGCCAAGAACCCCAGGTCAGACAACAAAAGGCTTGCCACCATCTTGGGAGTGGCCCACGACCATCTTGGGAGTGGCCAACCACCATCTTGGGAGCTCTAAGAACAAAGACCCACCCGTAACAGAAGGAGCAGGCCAATGTCATCCAAGACCTTGCAGTTCTATAATCTTATCAGAGAAATGAGTAATGGGTATTATTAACACGACCTACCAAAACTTCATAAAAAAGCAAAAAGAGGAAGATAATGCTTTTGGTCAGTTAATACTAACTGCAAGTCAAGGAAATAAAGAAAGCAAGTGTGTTTCTTCAAATGTATGGGTTTTTTAGCCATTTCATTACAGATGGCACAATGCCTTGATATAGCTAACTGCATAAGCACTCGTGTTGCATACAACTGGAAATAAAACTGACCACTTGACAAGTGCTGTGGGGGTAAAGAGAACAGAAAGAGTTACTTTCGCAGGGTAGTCAAGGAGAGTTTCAGAGAGGTCATGGTGGAGGAATAGAATTCCAAGGAGAGAAGTGTGGGGCAGGTCCTCCCAGGGAGTAAGAATAGCATGCAAGTGAGGGCCCATTGGAGAGGCCGATGGGTGAAGCAGTAGAGTCTTCAGGTTCTGGGCCACTTCTCACTGCCCACCATCTCTCCCCCAATCAATTGTTATTTCATCTCTGAAAGTCCCTCCTTTCCCCTTTCCTCTCTGTTGGGAACAGGCCCCCAAATCTGGCCATAAACTGGCCCCAAAACTGGCCATAAACAAAATCTCTGCAGCATTGTGACATGTTGGTCATGGCCATAATGCCCATGCTGAAGGTTGTGGGTTTACTGAAATGAGGGCAAGGAACACCTGGCCCACCCAGGGCAGAAAACCACTTAAAGGCGTTCCTAAGCCACAAACAATAGCATGAGCGATCTGTGCCTTAAGGACATGTTCCTGCTGCAGATAACTAGCCAGAGCCCATCCCTTTGTTTCTGTAAGGAATACTTTTAGTAAATCTATATTCTATAGAAACAATACTTATCACTGGCTTGCTGTCAATAAATATGTGGGTAAATCTCTGTTCAGGGCTCTCAGCTCTGAAGGCTGTGAGACCCCTGATTTCCCACTCCACATGCTATATTTCTGTGTGTGTGTCTTTAATTCCTCTAGCGCACTGGGTTAGGGTCTCCCCAGCTGAGGTGGTCTCAGCACTCTCTATTCTCAAGGCCATCCATGAGCTTTCATCAGCCCTCTCTTGAAACAGAATCACAACAAATAACCCTGCCCCTATTCTCTCCTCCTACCAATTTTTCTTCCTTACTGCTGACAGTTAGTCTTCCAAAATCTATAGAGTTTGCCATGTCATGCCTGGACTCACAGACTTGAGGCCTCCTCACTCCCCCAGTGCTAGGGTTATTGATATACGATTTCCCCATTTCTGGCAAAAGAAACTACTTGACTTCCTGTTCTGCAATAAAGAAAATATAGTTGCACACTTAAATTTGGAGAAAAGGCTGCAGTGACATGTCCTAGCTCTTAGAAAATTTCATGATACTTGCTTTGGCCTTTGGCAGACAGAGCATGAACCCATTGGGTAGGAATTGACATTGAAGCTGACTCAACGGATTATGGAAGTGGTGAATAAAAAAAAGACAATGCTTGCACTCCTGGAGCCTATAGTCTAGGAGGGGAGACAAGCAAAATATAGATAATCACCCAAATAAGTACTTAATTTCAGTTCTGTAATGGAAAAGTTAAGATTTCAAGAAAGATTAAACCAGGGACCTAAATTTGGCCACTGTAGAGATGGTATTTAAGGTCTTGAGAGAAGCTGAAATTGCAAGGCAGAATATGTTGTGATATGAACTCCCAAAGAACTCAAGAATTTAGAATTTGGTAGGAAAAGGAACAGACAAAAAAAAAATCCTCAGAAAGAACTGTCATAAGGTGTAAATAAAACAAACAAAAAACCCCTATTTTATCACTGAAGCGGAAGAGAGAGTGTTTCAAGAAGGAAGATATGGTTAACTGTATAAAGGGCTGCTGAGTGGTCAAGTCAGATGCAGGCAGAACATTGACATTGGATAAACTGGTGACCACGACAAGAGCAGTTTCTGCAATGTGGTGAAGCAGGAAGCCAGAATGGAAAGGAGAGGAGGAGATAAAGTAGAGGCAGTGCCTATGCATAATGGTCAAAAAGCGTGGCTGTTAAAGGAGAATAGACAGAATGGGTGATAACTTGACAGAGGTGTGGAGTTAGGGAAGTTTTCACTTGCTTGGCTTTGTTTGTGAGGGTGGATTCTTGCATATATTTGAGTGCTGAAGGGAAAAATCCAGTAGTGAGGAAGAGGTCAAAGATTTGGAAAAGAGAGGGTATAGCTGACAGAACAAGAGCCCTGACCAGGGAGGAAGGCATGAGATCCAGGCACCTGTGGAGGGACTGTACTTTGCTGGAGGCAGTGATGAAAGGAGAGGACAGGAGCAAATCCAATGGACCCATCCAATCCTCCCAGGCTGCTGCTCTGGGAATAAAGGGGTTGCAAGCATTCCAACTCTGAGAGGAAGAAATGAGATTGTGATTGTGAACATGGAGGGAGCTTCTAGAAAAGCACAGTAAACCTGCTAGGCAGTGTGGAGGTCCCAGCTGAGTTTGGAGAGCATGAAGTTGGAGCCATGCCAAAATGCCCAGTTGTGTCACATTCTCCAGTAATTCTGATCTGTTCAGGCAACAGGCATGAGTAAATCTGGGAACAACTGAGAGGTCAACAAAGGATTTAGTGGTATTTTTAGGACACTGTAGGAAGAACCATGGCCTCTGAGCTAGATACAAAAGAAAATGAAGATAGGAGGAGATTTATGGACATAGGCAAAGTGGAGGGACCATTGGCTTGGAAATCTCATTGAGGCTGGAGAACTGCTGTAGAGAAGGGACTTGAGCAAGGGAGCTGGAGGGTGGTGGCAAGAGAATGAGATTTCAGAGGAGGCACAGTTTCTGATGATGACAGGTTCACCGCTGTGTCCATGTGAGTGTGCTGAGGTGAAAGGGCAAATAACATCACTGACGGTGCAGTCATCATGGAACTGGGTAGTCAGGGCATTGGTTGGATCAGCCACAAGGACATTCAGTTACTTAGAATGATGGCAGGAGTCGGGGGGGAGGGTAAGACCCCGAGAAAGATACCAAAGCCTTTGGTTAGTAGGGGAGACAGGGTGAATTGGTGGATAGTGTGAAGTGAACCTTACAGGAGATTTCAGTCTTTTAGAAGGAAAGAGTAACGACGGTCAAGGGACAGCAGTGAGTTGCCTGGAAGACACTAACACCAGCTCCCAGCACTGAAATTATAGAATTTATTATTGAAAACGCAGGGCAGAAGGAAAAAATGGAGTCTTCAGGGGCCAGCCCCAATATAGTGAAGAGAAAGAGTTGGAAGGATCACCGGGGAACAAGAAGAGTTGGATGCAGCTGGGGAAACAGGGAATAGGAACTGGGGTGGGGTGCAGGCAGAAAGTAGTAGCAGTCCCTTGGTTACAGCGGTGGCACACCTCTCAGTGAAGTCTGATGTTACTTGATATCCTCAAATGAGTCCAATCAGTATCAGTTTGGATACTTCATAGAGATCAAGACCACCCCCAAATTAGGATAGATGTGCTTTCCAGGTCATGGTTTCTGACACTCTGAAGGTTCTTCAATGTATGTCACTTCAAAGTGCACAGATGTTAAATTATACAAAACCAATGTAGGGTTGGGTCACCAGCTTTACAAAAATAACACATAAGTAATCAGACATTTGAGCCAATTACACTTTCTTATGTTACATAAATCCTATTTCATCCACTTTTCCAGTCTCATCCCCTGCCACTTGCCCTGCGCTCCATGCAGCTCTATCAAACTGGGCCTAACTTCCCAAGCACACTGCCCCGTTTGGGCCTCCAAGGCTATGTGTGTGGCATTCCTCCACCCAGTATAGCCTGCCATTCTGGATCCCACCTCCCCTGGCTGCGGGCAGGTCAGACAGCGTTCCATGTCCTCCCTTCCCTCTGAGATGTTGACCTGTTTGCCCTTTACTCCCTCCCCACATTAAGTCAGCTGAGCATTTTTCATTGCCTAAGGGAAGCAGAAAGCAGATGGAAAAAATAAATATTTTGAGTTTCAAAATCCAGATCCCATAAAAGTTAGGCAAGGATTGGCCACAATATTGGCTTGAACAAAAGGGATGGGGACAGATAGAAAGTCTCCTCAGCCCGGAGGGAGGAAGACAGGCTGAGGGAGGCAGGGTGCTCCTGTTAGGGCTCTCTGTGGGAACCCAGGCAAAAGTGCATTGCTCTCAGATTTCCCAGTCCTGACTGCAGTTTCCTATCATTCACCCACTCGACCTGCTCACCTGTCTTCTTTTGGCTTATACTGAGTTTTACATTTGCTTTCGTTGTCTTTATTTAAAATTTTGGATATCTTAAAGTCCAGATTACAGGCCTCTTTTAAGAAAAAAATCAGATCTGGCTCTAGAGGAATCACATTACCTTGTGGCAACAACCAGCTGTCCCCAAGCAAGGACTGCCCTCTTTCCACAGGGCAGGGGCTCTCCGCTCTCCTCAGTGCCAACCGTTCCCCCACAGTTTATTATACTCTGGTCGTTATCTGCCTGCCCTTTTTAGCTGTTTGAGCTTCATTCGGATCCCTGGATGCCCACTGAGCCAGTCAGGCTACAGGCTAGAGGATATGCCTGGTCTGGATAAATCTAGTGATAGCTCCAGAAACATAGCAAATCTAGCTTCCGCCAACCTTGAGGGAAATGGCTGGCTTCCTTTGCACAAAGGTAAAAGAAGCTTCTGTTCTCTCCCAAAGTCTCCCCAGCTGTGCAGCCCAGAGCCAACTGAGGAAAGATTTTGCTCTCACCTCACAAAAAGCTTCCAGATCCAATCAACCCTACTCTGCCAGGCTGGGAGAAGAGCAAAGAGAAATGAACACATGAGGATGTGTGCCTACAAATCACATTATGTACATGACACATTCCTCTCCTTGCAAGGCACTTGCATCTCCACGGACAGAGCAGGGCAAGCACTGGAGCATCCTAAGAGGTTAAACTATGTACCCAAGGTCCCACAGCTAATTAGTGACAGAGTTTGGAGCCCAGGCCACCTGTCTCTCATTCCAACCAGTGCCCCCTAAAGATGCGATTGCTTCGTCCTGCCTATGGAAGGAGGACTGAGTGGGAAGCCTCCCCTGTGGCAGGAAGAGAAGCACCTCCCTCCTCATCTAGACGAAGGTGGACAAGCTTCTGCCAGTCCTTCTTCAAACCTCGGAGTCGAGGATTCCTGCACAATTTCTATCAGGCCCTAAGCCTTTTAGTGGAACTTTCCAAGTTTATTTTTATTTTGAAATTCCATGGGTTTACTTCATTTGTAGCACATGTTTCCTAAAAACAGCTCATCTCTGCTCTTGCCCTTTTAGTATAAGCTCTCGAAAGCAGCCCCGGACCGTGTGAGAAAGCTGGAGGCAAAGAGCTGACAAATCACGGAGGTCCCCTAATCTGTGGAAGGCCCCAGGGCAGGGCACGGAAAGCCTTCCCTGGTCTGGTCTTCCCTTCCGCTCTTTTGGTGCCGTTGAGTCGTTGTCTGACTAGAGGAGCTTTCATTCTGGAAGGGAAGGCATTGCCAGTGAGCTTTACACATTTTACTATGCTCTCCACGATGTGACTGTTGTCATGGTTACTTTTTTCACCAAATTGAGACCCTCAGCCTTATTCCACACTGGAGAGGAAGTCAAAGAACAGGGCAGTCTGCATCCAGAAGAAAATCTGAGGTGGGCAGGAACTTTCCCTGCTTCTACCCAGACACATTCCCTGCTCTGGAGAGCAAAGCTGCCCTCCCGTTTCCTGCTTTTCATGACAAAGATTGGGTCTCTGTCACTCCCAAGCAGGGCGAATCGAGCCAGATTTTTGTTGGACGCTTTCAGGAGCAAAACCAGCTCCTCGTATTGTGTCCCATTCACAGCTGGAGCAGCTCGGGCACTAGGCGAGGCAGGGGGTGCGGCGAGCGGTCTCCAGCCGGCTGCCTGCGGTCGGTGCCGCCCGCAGAATCTGCGCGGCCCAGTGCAAAATAAAAACGCGGGGCCCCGCGTTCAAAAAGCAGGAAAAAGCCTTTCCCTTTCTCCCGTGGTCTTTCTGTCCACCTGTCTCGGCAGGGTTTATTTGCTAGTTAAGTTGCGCTGGCTTGAGCACAGGGACGCTGGCGGGCCAAAGGCCGACCCTCACAGGCGACCCAGCGTGGCGGCGAGGTCCCTTGGCTGTACGCCGAGGTCTGCGCCGCCCCCACGTCCGTGGCCGGCCACTGCCCAGGGCGGAGGGCAGCGGTGTTCGCCGGGTGGGGGCCCAGAACCTGTCCCAGGAAGACGCAGGAGACGCGACCGGGGTGAGACAAGAGTCCAAGCTCTCAAGCATCCACTGTGTTATTGCACTTCACTTACAATACACGAATTTGAAGGAAAAATGATTAAGAATTTCATATGGTGACTGCAGAGCATTCATTAGATTCCAAGCGGGACCCCTTCTGAGCGCGGGACCCTATGGCGGATTGCCATTGAAACCAGCCCTGCCGGCTCCCCATGCCCCGGGGAAGGGTCTTCCCTGTGCCCACCCCAGCTTAGCAGGCGAGAGCACTGGAAGGAGCCTGAACGCCACAACTGGTTGGCACTAGGCATTGCTCCGCCTTCGCCCCTCCCCACCCTGGGGAAGAAGCAGATACTAAGTAGATAAATATGAAAGCAAAGTACCATATCACTTTCCCCTAGGTTTCCTCCAGAGCACGTGTCAAATCTTTTTACTGTAGAGGTGGGGTTGCTTTCCTTCCATCAGACCCACCCTCCCCCATCCCATTTAAAGGACTTCGCCAAAGCATAAGTAACATGCAATAAACCTCAAATATTTAAAGTGTACTATTTTATGAGCTCTAACATATACACATGCACTTGTGAAACCATTACAAAATCAAGGTGGCATTTAATTTCCATCACCCACTTGTCACCCATCCTTCCTCCACACCCATCCCCTGATAACCACTGATTTGCTCCCTGTCATTATTGATCAGTTCGTGCTTTCTGGAATTCTATTGTCATAATCAAACAGTCTGTACTCTTTTTCATCTGGCTTCTTTTACTTAGCATATTGATTTTGAGTTTCATTCTTATTGTTCATATCAATAGTTTGTTCCTTAACATTGCTGAGCAGTACTCAATTGCATAGCTATGCCACAGTTTACCCATTCACTTCTTAAGGAGCATTTCCATCGTTTCCTTCCCCCCCCCCCTTTTTTTTTGGCTGTTTCAAGCAAGGCTATGATGGATGTCAGTGCACAAGTCTTTGTGTGGACATATATTTCACTTCTCTTGAGTAAAAATCTAACAGTGGCTGTATAGCAGGTGTATATTTAACTTTTTAAGAAACTGCCAAATTATCTTCCGAGGTTCCACTGCATTCCCATCAGCAGTATATGAGAGTTACAGTTGCTTCACATTCTCAGTCTTTGAATTTTAGCCATTCTAGAGGTATCTGATTGCGATCTTAATTTGCATTTTCCTGATTATTAATAATTTTGAGCATTTTCAAATGAACTTACTGGCCATTCATATATCTTTTATGAAGCATCTGGCCAAATCTTTTTTCCCATTTAAAAAAATGGGGTTGTCTTATTGACTTTTTTAATATATATATATTCTGGATTCGAGTTGTCTGATACGTGTTGTTTTGAATACTTTATCTTAGTCTGTGCTCTGCTTTATTTTCTTTGTGTCTATTGAGGATTAAGTTTTAAATTTTTGATCAAGTTTGTCAAGTGTCTTTATGGCTCCTACTTTTTTTGTGTTCTGAGAGACCTTTGTCTACTCCAAGGTCACCTCCTCTTTTCTTCTGTAAGTGTAATAGTTTTAGGTTTTATATGTAGGTCTATGATCCATTTTGAGTTAAATTTTGTATATGGTATGAGGTAAGGGTTAATAGGGTTATTATTTTTTCTTTCTTATGGATATATCCAGCACCGTTTTTTTGAAAAGGCCCTTTTCCCCCCTCAAATTGAATTGTCTTAGTACTTTTATTAAAAATTGGCAATATATGCATGGGTCTATTTCTGGATTTTCTGTTCTGTTCCATTAATCTATATGTTTATTTTTTGCCAACACAAAACTATTTTGATTACTATAGCTATAGTAGGTCTTGAAATATAAAAGCAAGATTAGTAAATTGGAGGATGAGCTCTCCAACTTGGTTCTTTTTTTTTTAAATTACTTTATGGGGTTGCCATGGAGGTGGACTGCTCAAATCTCCTTAAAACAACAACAACTACCACTACTACTACTATTTGGAGCATAGTTGACAGTTCCACCCTATGGATTCACCACCATGTTCACAGAAAGGCCATATTTCTCTGGGTAGCTCCTAAACAATGACAAGCATGCTAAGGGTACTAGTGGTAGCCCATTCCAGCCAAGGCAGGACTCTTCCAACAGGCAATCTTTGCTTGGGGGTTCCCTACTGCTGACTGAAACTGTCTCAGAGCTATACTGTTGTCTGAAGCCCTTTCCACACAACTCGCCCTTCCCTCTCTTCTTTCACAGATTCCAGACTACACTGGGGACTGAAAGCTTTTTGGCCTACTCCCGCTCCCTCCCTTTTTATCTTTCCCAGTCATTTGCCCCTGTAAACCTCTTGTATGTTTAATGCAGTCTTGCCAACTGCTTCTTAAAGGTTCCTAACAAACACACACTGAAATTCTACCCCAAAAAGTCTGCTGAAATTTTAAATGGAAGTTTACTGGCTCTATAGATCAATACAGCCAATTATCCACGAACGTGATATATCTCACCATATATTTAGGTCCTTTACAATTTCTCTCAGTAATGTTTTGTAATTTCTGGTGTAGAGGTCTTAGACATCTTTCTTTAGATTTATTCCTAAGTATTCTTTGGTTTTTTTTTTGGTACTACTGTGTTGAAATTGTTTTAAATTTTTTATGTTCCAATTGACTGCTGAGAGTATATAAGAATACAATTGGATTTTGTATGCTAACCTTGTATCCTGAACTGAAACCTTGCTGAATTCATTACTAGTCCCAGTAGTTTGGTCTCTGCTTCCTCCCCTACCGCCTTAAGCAAAAGCTTTTGGGGGATCCCGGTGCTCTGGTAAAACTGGGATGTGGGTAGCTGGAGCTCCTCCAATCAGTATCCCTATCCCTACCTGGAACCCCTTCACCCTAAAAACAGCTTCTAGAAGTTGCTGAAGAAATCTCATACTCCAAGTAACACAGTATAACCAGCCACTGTTCTAGGGAAATTGGTATTTACTGAACACCTCCCCCATATTTTATAGGCATCTTATCTCATTTGAGTCTTTAAAATTAAAAAAGGAAACCACTGTGTGAGATAAGTAGAAGTAGCTCCATTTTAAAGATGAAGAAGTAGAGATTAAATCTCTTTGACAGGGTCTCAACAGTTGGTTTCTTTCTGAGGAAAGACCAAAATCCATCCGTCTGACTCTAGAGTTCATGCTCTTTCCTCCCACCGCAAGCTGACTATCCCCAGGCTACACAGGCAGACAGATTCCAAAATGGGTTTCTGCTGAGGCCCAAGTCTTTAGACCGACTGTCTTGTGTTCATTCAGCACGTGGCCCTGTGGGTCTTGAGGCCTGACTAGGCTCTGGGATTCCACCCCCACAACAACTGCCACCCAGTCTGGTTTCCTAGGTTCCTGTTCCTCCCAAATTGCTTTCTGAGGGTATCAGTGGCCTCCCTCTCACCCTGTCTGATGAACTATGTGCAAGTCTAAGCATTTTTTTTTTTTACTTCTCTGCTGCCTTTGCAGAGAACGTCTCCTTGGAACCACGTGGCTCAGTTTGTTTCTGGTTCTCTTCTCACATCTCTGTTCACTTCTTATTCATACTCTGTCCTGATTCTTTTTTATCGCCCTCTTCTTAATCACCCAGGTCATACAGTCTGTGGTCTCCAGATCTTCTGTTCTGTCCCTCTCTCATTCTTAGAGATGCTCTTTCAAGCACCTGTGGGAGCAATACCCCTCTAACCAGGCCTGCGAGTCACCTAAAGTTCTGACTACCCAGTTAACCCTAATGTACCCATAAAAAATTATAACACCTTGAAATTTCTAATAGTTTAGCATCCAAATGATGTTTTCCAGATCGTTCCCCTGTCTTCCTGTACTCTCAGAAGAGTACATCTTTTCTGAGACCCAACGTGTCTTGATTTATAGTTTGGGTGACATATTTAACATCTCCAAGGAATACTCTCACTTGGGTGGACAATTTACAAGATCTAAACCTTGTTGACAAACTAGCTCCACCACAGTTCTACCTAACCAGGTAGCTAAGCCTTAGACTTCTCTTTAGTTCTAGGGATCCCACCATCCTTTTGGTTTTCTTTCCTTCTTCTCTTCTCCCATATCTACTCACTGAGTCAAGCCCATTGTTTTCTCTGAATTAGTCTGAGGTCAGGCTGTATCCTCTGTGGCTACTGCCACTCTTTGATTGATTAGTCCAAGGATTTCCAAAGACTGATCTTCTAGTTCATATTATCCCCCCATCAGGGTCAATGTTACTTTGACAAAAATCTTTTCCTCTGGCACTTTTTACATAATAGGTGTTCACAATCTGGTGATATTAAAAAGCCAGCAGTGTTTGCATCAGCAGATTTTGTACCAGTTCTTCGTTATCTGTTCACTACATCCAAACTCCTTTGCTTGGTTTTTAGGATTTTCTACTATTGTCCTATATCACCAAGTTCATTGTTTATATTGTGCCTCAGTGTGGAACTCCTTCATCCAAGAGAGAAACACCAGGCTGGCTGACACTTTTGCACAACCCAGCACTCTCTCATCCATGCTTGTGCCCATTGTATTCTACACACCGTGAGTGCCAACTTTCTGTCCATCTTCGATTTTTCCCTTCAGTTTTAACCTCAGCCATATCTTTTCCTATCCTCGTATTTCTTCTCCAACCCTTCCCAACCTTCAAGATACGTGTTCCTGAGTAAATCTCTTGTGTGCTATTAGACTAGCCCCAAAGAGCAGAAGTTCTCAAATGTAACTGGAAATGAGCTTCATTAGGCTATGAGCTTCTTCAAGACAAGGATCATGTCTTATTTAACTTTATAGCACCAGCATCTAGACCAGTGCCAGGTACATCGTTTGAGTGCAATAAAATATACATTTTATAAACAAACACCACTCTATGGTGTTGGCCTCATTGGCAGAAGAGTTTGAGCTTCCTCATCTGGAAAATGGTGCTCAGAATATCGACATCATAGGTAGTGAACACTAAATAAGAAAAGCTACATGAAGGTCTTAGCACAGAACCTGGCACAGAGAACTGTATATTAATGAGTTCGTACCTTCACATTATGTTTTTAGAACTGTCATCAGAATTGCAGAGTTCCTATAATTGCTCCTCTACAGCAGGGTAGTTTTGCTAGAGCCTCCTCTAGAGTAGTACCAAACTCATGTATGAAGTTTGTAATTATTATAGGGGAAAAAACTGGCCCAGCAGGAGAAAAATCCACAAGGACCACTGCTTACAATGCCCCTGGTTATGATTTTTGGTGTGGAGTTTGGCTGTGACAGTTGAGATAGACAGATATGCAGATATACACTGATTCGTCTTTTTCAGGGATTCCATAAATGCATACTCGGTTAGGACAACAGGCTTCATAATGGGAGGGACCATTTTTCCATTTCTTTCCTCACTTTTTTTTTTGAGATGGAGTTTCACTCTTTCGCCCAGGCTAGAGTGCAGTGGCATGATCTCGGCTCACTGCAACCTCCGCCCTTCTGGTTTCAAGCAGTTCTCCTGCCTCAGCCTCCTGAGTAGCTGGGACTACAGGTGCACGTTACCACACCCAGCTAATTTTTGTAGAGACAGGGTTTCACCATGTTGGCCAGGCTGGTCTCGAACTCTGGACCTCCTGATCCACCCACCTCGGCCTCCCAAAATGCTGGGATTACAAGCATGAGCCACCACACCCGACCCCCTTCCTCACTTTTTATACAGGAGAGAAACTATATGATCAATAGGCAGAATAGTGTTTGGACACTCTGATGTGTTCATTTTAACACTGAACCTTACATGTTTATATTCAGCAGGCAAAATAAAAATTTTTAATCCAGGGAAGCAGTTAGTTAAATCACTCTCATAGATTTAATAACTTTCATAGTTTTGGAGTGGCAGTTATCCCTAATCTAACTATGCCTTTAGTTTTTCTATCTGTAAAATAAGGGTAATAGTCTACTCTCACCCTCTTCTTAGGAATAGCAACTATTATGGTACAGAGGAAAGAGCACTGGAATGGGAGTCAAGAGAACTGAGCTCTATCCCACCTTTGCCTAGCTGCACAGCCCTTGGGAAAATCACTTCAACTCAGGCCCCTCACCTCCGAGAAGTCCAAACTAAGCAACCTCTAAGTCAGTTCCCAGAGTAAGAATGCTATGCTTTTTAAAAAATGACAGCCGGCTGCAATGGCTCATGCCTGTAATCCCAGCACTTTGGGAGGCCAAGGTGGGTGGATCACCTGAGGTCAGGAATTTGAGAATAGCCTGGCCAACATAGCAAAACCCCATCTCTATTAAAAATACAAAAAATTAGCCGGGCATGGTGGCAGGCGCCTGTAATCCCTGCTACTTGGGAGGCTGAGGCTGGAGAATTGCTTGAACCCGAGAGACGGAGGTTGCAGTAAGCCAAGATCATGCCATTGCACTCCAGCCTGGGCCACAGAGTGAAATTTTGTCACACACACACACACACACACACAAAAGACATAAGTGGCCCTCTTCTTCTACCCAGAATTGCCAGATAAAAGGAGACTTCCTTTGCACCAGGTAGAGAGTGGGACTGGGCACGTGCTGTCCACGGCAGGTGTGTGGTGTCAATGTGCCAGCCATATACATCAATAGTACCACACACCAGGCAAGAACTCAAGCAGGGTGAACATGTCTGTTTGGAGACAAGGACCCTAGGGAAGTAGAGGCATGAAGATTACTTGCACAAGGATTATTACCGATTTTTGTACAAAAATTGAACCTATTACTGGGCATTCTTTTCAGACTTCCTGAGCTGCCCATCAGCCCTCTGACTCATGACTAGAGGAATTACCCATAGATATCCCTGAGTGGGGAGGGAATGGAAAAAGAAATGGGAGGTTGCCTCTTATGCCTCTTGGGAGCGTTATTCCCTCCTCTGAGGATGAACTGAAGTGTAACAGGTGAAGAGCTCTCTTCGTATTCACTTGATGGTCATGCCAAATGCAAGGCAGACCACCTCAGAATCTGTATCTGCCTACAAATACCATCATATTTCCCAGTTGTATGAAAGAGCCACAGTGTTTCTAGCCAAAAGACTTGAGTTTAAATCCCACCTACATGAACTGTCTGGCTTTAGGCACGATGCTCCAGGTGTCTGAGTGATGGAAGGATCACAAGAAATAGAGATGCACAGAGTGTTTATTCTAGGACTGGCTACAGCCTCCCTGGCCCTCGCTCCTGTATACATCATCTCCTGCCCAAATACTATTTAGAAGAAGATTTTTTTTTAATAAACTCTCTAAGATTGATCCCTTTGTCAGGGGTATTTGAAGAAGAAAGAAGGGGCAACACCATAAGCCAGAGGGGACAGCATACCGAAATCCTGCAACGCTGGGGAGAAAGCTCTGCTTTCTCTATTGTCATCTCACCCCCACTCTCAGGCCTGCCCCAGCCACACCTGGGCTCTCCCTCCTTCACCTTAACTTGGTGACATGTCACTTGGCCCATTCTGGATTTGGCTTCCGCTCCGCTTGTGGTTTGGCTTCCACTCTGCTTGTGCAGTCCCTAACTGTTGTGGCCCGTGTCAGGGTGGGAGGGGACATCCAGGAAGCCCTGTTCTCAGAACTGTTCACACAGAAAGGGAACCTCAAAGAGTCCTACCCCACTTCACTTGGGATGTGCATCATGGCAAGAAATGGTGCCATGGCCTGTGGCCACCACGGCCACAGCCTAAATGAGCACCCACCTCTGGCTCATAGCCAATGGCAGCCTTGAAAACACAGGACCTGAGTCACTCCACCCAACAGAACCAGTGGTTAAGGAGTCTCTTCTGTGAAAAGATGCCTAAATCTTCACCTCCAGCCCTACTCAGAGCTTTTGCTTTACTAAGACCAGAGGGATTATTTAGTGTCAGTTTTAAATTGCTACTTGTGCCATTCTGACACAAGGAAAATGCACAGGCTTGGGAGTCAGACTGTCCTGGGTTGAAATCCCAACTTTGCCATTTACTGTTTAGGTAACATCTGGCAAACTGCTGGATCTGGCTTAGGCATGTGTGAAATGGGGACACGGAGACTTCTGGACAGTTGCTGTAAAGGTTAAGCAAAACTGCACGTTGTAAATTGCCCAGTCCTCGTCAAGCACCTAACTCAAGAGTGACTGCTCACATTTTTTTTTCTTGTTTCCTTCTCACCAGAGAAAGACTAAATTATCCCAAGTATGGTTTATTTATAAGAGTTCAAAAATTCTGCTGAAAGGCCAACCATGTAGTTATTGAACAAGTTCCTGCCTGATTGTTTCCGTTCAGGTAGTAAAGTGTCCAAAGTAAATGGATTCATTTGTAACATAGATCGCCCCTACAGCAGGACTGCTTGACAGTGTGCCTGCTAGCTGCTGTGTCCCCCCGGCCAGCCCCACACCAGATTCCAGCCTGAGGTTTGAAGGAAAAGGGCCGTCAAGTTTGTCTAGGACTTTTAGACGCTAAATGAAGATTATGATGGAAACTGTCCTTCACAAAATTAAAACTATCCTTTTTCCTAGGAAGCTCTCACTGATAGAGAGGCTTGTTTTGATTTCCAGATTTATATTGAGACCATTTATATGCAGGCATGTGTGTGAATGTAAGTGCGTGTCTCAGAAATAACTAATCCTAACACAGCAGAATGATTTGGCTTAGTCTATAGCAGCCAGTCTAATCAGAGTATTTCATAGTCTATCTCACATCTTGCAGGAGTTTGTCCATCTTCGTCAGATGGCTCATTATGCCAGCCAAAATGACAAGCTCTACAGGCCCACTGACCCCCTTGTTTCCTCATGTATAGATAAAACTCAGAACACATGAACTCGAAAGACACAGTGACTCGATTTGCAAAGTCCCAAAGAACCACTGCAAAAACTTAGCTGCCACTTGCAATATAAATGTTACCATACCTTTGCTTTCATGTTAACTACCCTTCATATTTTAGGAAACTACAGTACAGTTAAAACTGAAAACATATCCAGACATAGCAAACACAAGTTACATCTTGTAATTATTTATGCAAGTTCCTTAACTTTAAAGCCACAAACCATTTCTACAGTAATTACCACACTGCAAGTACATACAATTTTAGTTCTGAAGGACAAACCTATATGCTTCTCTGTGATTTCATAGTGCATTGCTTTAAAAAATTTCTGCAATTCAATCTAAAACACCCAACTTTCTAACTTCAAGCAAAGTCTCCACAAAAATGAATTCTTCCTGCCTGAAGTCGGTAGCAGTAACAGAAATACAAGTCATAAGCAGCTTTTAAAATCAAACGTAATCATAATGTGCTATTGAGGTGCCTTTGCTTAGAGGAGCAACTGTAAGTCCCAAAATTTGTGGGATTGTGTTGGTTTTGAATGCCCTGACCCATTACCAAGCTTTGTATTCAGACAAAGCATCCCATTTTCTGGTTCCAAGAGAATGTCAGCATACAGTTCAATTTAAAGAGGTATTTGCACCTCTGAAAGGGCACAAAAAAAAAGAGAGAGAGAGAAAGAGAAAGAAAGAAAAAAGAAATAAAGAAAGAAAAAGAGAGAAAGTGGTACAAGCAGTTCTTATAAAAAATAAAACTATGTGTCACTATTTCAACTTGTCTTTATTGAAACTGCAATTTTCTAGTCTGTTTTCTTAGATCTGCAGTATCTCTGTGTAACACTGTTTCCAAGCTCAATTAGGAGGATTTTTATTTCATCCCCATAAAATATCTCCTTTTTTATGCCCTTTGAGTGCCCCAAGTGGGTTTATAATTACGCAATCTTTATTGAAGGAGTACAGATGAAGTAACAATTCTCATTTCTAATTCCAATTTTCTGGAAAGACATTTAAGTCTTCAATCCCTGGGTACCTGAAAAAAGCAAACAAGGTACAGATGCCTGTAATTTTTCCTATTTTTAGTTTTGGAACGAATCTTTTCTTACGGCAATGAAAGCAAATGAAAAAACCAGTCCTTGAACACTTGCAACAAAAGACTATCACTTTCTACTGGAATTGACATTGGATTAAAAAGCTAAAGTTTGAAAGTAAAATTATTTTGCTACTCTTTAAATATTTAAGCAGTATGAAAATAAATTAGAAAATAAATACGCGTATTTCCCTAATAGTGCACACCACTTGGGTGACATTCTGTATACTCCTATTTTTGCCATGATGTGGATTTTTTTCCCATCAAATGAAAACCTACAGAAATAAATTCTGAAACAGATAGATTGTTCCCCTCCTTCCATTCTCATGCCAATGAAATATTTCAAGTGAACTGTTTTCTGATCACAAATATCACGTTTTTTTAAAAAAATCAAAAAGCAGTTATTTAAAAGAATACATACTATTATTAAAAGTTAGTCAAGACCAACTAATAAGACCTCAAAAATGAACATATTTCAAAGAATTTTGTTCTCTTCAATAGTTGCATGAGTTTTTTTTTTTTTTTTTTTTTTCCCCAGGAAAATGTGCAAATATCAAGGTTACCTGGGTCTGCTGGTCACTTCTAGTTTTTGGACTCTTGAAGATGGTGAGTTTTGCTAATGATGCGCGGCTGTTTAAGAACCAGGTGGCTTTTCTGGCAATCACTCTTCGTGTGCCATCTTTTATAAAGGTGCTTCTTGTTGCTAAGAGATCAGTTGCTTAGAGACCAAACCATTAAAAAAATATATATGTCAGGGGCCAACATAAATTATAGCCAAATTTTGTCATTTCAGCTCGCCCCCTGAATGTTTGGCTTTTGTAATAGATCGTAGCGTACCAAGAGAAGCTAATTACTAATCACAAATAGAAAACTGACCATGAGGAGGAGAAAAGATCTGTGCGTACGCTCCTGTGAACAGAGAGTAATATCATGCCTCCCTTCCATGGAGTTACATAGTTGCTGGGCTCTCTGAAACTTTGGCTCCTCGTAGGGGGTCCTAGACATATGCCGTAAAAATAGATTCATGCACACACATAGATACCTGTCCCAGGAAAACTTGAATGCAGGGTGGAGTATGAAGATGTGGGAATTGTGGGGCTACTTTACAGTCTTTTTCTAAGGAAAATTAAAGAAAAATGCACTGCTTAGGAAAATGTATGTCGGAAATCCGAAGTGATCTTAGCCTTTAGCCAGATGTTTTATGTGTGAACGTGATTGTCACTGCATCAGGTTCAGTTGTGTACACCTGGGGTTCAGGGGGTGCTTGGGTAAAAGTCTCTCTACCTTCTATTTTCTCTCCTGTACTGAGATATGGCATCCTCTGAGGGAGGAAATACAATCGGTTAAGTAAGGTAAGGTTTGACTTGGGGAGAGGAGCCTTTCTCTCTTTTCCTGGTGACACTGCCCCTTGAGACCCTCCTCTCAAATTTACTGTCGGCTAAATACTGTCCCACATAGGGACATTTACATTTTAGGAACACATTTTTAAATGAAAGACTCAAGTTCCTTTAAGATTTAATGGAATAGTGGCATTCCAAGCTTCTTAACAGGTAGGATGCAAGATCTTTGGAGGCAAAATAAAGCTGGATGCGAGCCTCCACTGGATAACTCCATAACACACCTCCTTCCTGCATTTCTCCTTTTTCTACCTCCTCCATTCTTCAAGGTCTCTGTGACTCTGTCCTGGGTGAGAAGAAAGCAAGCAAGTAAGAGACCAAAGACTTGGATTAAAAGCAAGATGAGAAGTAAAAAGAGTACCTAGTGATTTAAAGATTTGTTCCCTTCCTAGCCTCCAAAGTGCTTGCCATTCAAGAAGCCTTCATGCCCTCAGCTTTATTGGGAGGGCATCCTGGAATGAACCCCACTGCGCAGGAGAGGCAAGGTGAGGCCTGGGGGCTGGGATGGGAGCCCAGCAGGAAGATGAGAAGGTTCCCATTCCACTCTGTAGTGCTGGTCACTGTCAGATTGGCATCAACCCCCACATCTCCATCTACAAAGTAGGTGGAAGACCCACAACCAACTTGAATTTGAAGTAGAGATATATGCCAGAAAAAAAGAAAAGAATGAAGACCTGGGCAAGTGGGATGTGGCTAAGGCTCAGAAGAAATTTCCTCAGCAAGAGGAAAAAAACACTGACTTCCCCCAAACCAAGCTATGAGTGAAAACTGACACATGCACCGATGACATATACATTTCCCTTAAAGTCTCTTCCTTCTAATTCCCCAAATTTCTCTTTGTGGCTTATATTTTGGGATAGAAATGGAAGCAGAAAGGGCTAATAGGGAATTAAAGGTGGAAAAGGCAAGAGAAATAATAATGTCTGGGTATACAGTTGCTGCCTAGCACCTGCTAGGTGAAGGAATGAGAGAGAAAAGAGGAGGCTGAAAGAGAAAGAGGCTGTGAACTCACTTTATGTTCCTTGAGGGCAGAAACTGTTGTATTCTCCTCTTTTCCCAATTCCAAGTGTTTGCATGGGGCTTTTGCATTTAGAATGCGATTAAATGTTTTTGTTAACTTCGAAGTCAAAGGAGAAACAGAGAGAGAAGGGATGGGTCTAAGGGGGTTGAACTGTTACTCCATCCTAGACCCCATGTGACTGGCTCCCTCCATAAGAGCCCGCTCTGCTCACATTTGTACTTTGGACTTAGATCTAAAACTAAAAGCCTGCCCTTCTTTTTTTTTTTTTTTTTTTTTTGAGACGGAGTCTCGCTCTGTCGCCCAGGCTGGAGTGCAGTGGCACGATCTCGGCTCACTGCAACCTCTGCCTCCGCCTCCAGAGTAGCTGGGACTACAGGCGCCCGCCACCATGCCCGGCTAATTTTTTTTGTATTTTTTAGTAGAGACGGGGTTTCACAGTCTTAGCCAGGATGGTCTTGATCTCCTGACCTCGTGATCCACCCCCCTTGGCCTCCCAAAGGGCTGGGATTACAGGTGTGAGCCACCACGCCCAGCCAAAGCCTGCCCTTCTTCTTATCTATCCATCCTGGTCTCCCCATTTTAGGGGGGCTCTGGTTTGGCTCTTTCTGCCTTGTGGCCATTTGCCTTGGACTCTTAGCTTTGACCTCTAGGACATGAGGTCCTACACCTCATTTTGGCCACTTCCTACCTATCAGGAGGTGACTTGGGCACCATTCTGGACACTAGTCCTTGGCAGGCTCCAGGTTCTCATCTACATGGGTGGAGGTGGGGAGATACTGTGGTCTGTAATGAGCCACTGCCCTCACTCAGTGTGGTGTGGTGAAGAAAATAGGCTTGGACCCATGAGGGCTTGGCTTACAAATGTTCCAACTTGAACCTTGGAAAAAAAATTTTGGTACAGCTGTAACTGTGTCAACGAATGTAGTCCAGTGTCATTTTGGGTCTTGCAGTGTGGCAGGTCACTTGTCCACAGGTACCTGGACCACAGCACTCTCACATCCTGACCAACCACTGCTGGGAAGCTGCCCAGCCCACATGAGCTCCATATTCCAGTCTCAGGAATGGGAAGACAGCACAGTGAGAGATGCCAAGCTCCGGGGCATCCTCTGTGGAATTGACTGCCACTGCAGGCCCAGGCGCCCGTTACTGGGGAAACCAGTGTTCCCTGATGCCACCCCCACTGAGCATCCAGAGACCCTGATGCTATCTATTGCCTACTGCCCAGCTGCTGCTAACTCCGCCAGGACTTGCTCTTTCCCAGTGGAAAATTCAGCAGACAACATTTCTAGAAATGCTCACACAGCCCCCTTGCTACACAGCCCCTTCTACTTTAGAAAGGACCCACTCCTACCCCAGGAAGACTCCAGTGTAGTGACCACAACTCTATTCTGTTTCTCCAGGAAACTGTTCTTAGAAGAGGCCTGAAGAGAAACATGACTGACTAGGTAAGATTAGAGGCTATACCAGATGTTTGGGTCACTCTCTGGAGGTTCCTGGGGCAGCAAGTAGAAGCTCAGCCAGTACTACGCAAGGGGGCTTTTTCCAAGCCCTTTCAGGGGCCATGTCCTGGACAGAAACCTACCCTGAGGAGCCAGAGCACTGCGGGCAGGAGAGGAGGACCTGCCTGGAGAAGTCACATCCAGACATACAGCCCGGCAGCTCCTATGGAAAAGCAGGACTTGAGCAACAGGGGGCAGCAAAGCACAACCGCCTTCTTCAGCTGAGCCCTAGGGCAGCCTTGGGAGGCAGGCAGTGAGGGGCAGGAGAGTTGGCCCCCCTCTCAGGGGACAGCTGCTTGGCTGGCCAGAGGTAATGGCCAAGTTTGAATCTGAAGTAGAGATATATGCCAGAAAAAAAAAAGAAAAGAATGATGCCCTGGGCAAGTGGGATGTGGCTAAGGCTCAGAAGAAATTTCCTCAGCAAGAGTAAAGGGTACACTGACTTCCCCCAACCCAAGTTATGACTGAAAACTGACACATACACCAATGACATATACATTTTCCCTTAAGTCTCTTCCTTCTAATTCCCCAAATTTCTCTTTGTGGCTCATATTTTGGGATAGAAATGGAAGCAGAAAGGGAAGGGCTAAGAAGGAATTAGAGGTAGAAAAGGCAAGAAAAATAATAATGAGAATAAACCAAATAAAGAGAAATAAACCAAGCTTGCCCCTTGTTGGTTCCCTCTCTGAATTCTGAAAAATCCTTGTCACAGTCCACAGGGACCTCTGGAATGAGAAGAACTGAGACAGAGAGGCTGGAGTAAAGGAGCAGCAGACCTCCAGACACATGATGATAGTTACCCTTGCTGATTTCACCCCTTTCTCCGGTCTTACTTCATCCTTGTAGATGGAGCCCCTAAGATACAACACTTCATCTTCTTGTTGGGAAAAAGCTGAGTGTTGGGAAAAAAAGCTGAGGCAGGGCTTGCATGTCTGACATAATGTCCAGGGCTCAGTGCATAAAACCCCTCGTGGCCTCTGGAATGAGTCTAGACTTGCTGGCTCCTTGCTTCTAGCTTAAACTGGAAGAACATGCTCCCTATTATCTCAAGTAGCAGAATATGTTCCATATGCTTCAAAGGAAATGCTAAACTATCACAGCTGTAGATCATGTGCTTGCCCTTTTGACCCACACATTCTCACCACCTGTTTCTTTGTTTGACCACCAATAAATAGTCTGGGCTTCCAGAGCTCAGGGCCTTCACAGCCTCCATACTTGCGTTGGCCACCTGGACCCACTTTCTCTCTCAAACTGTCTTTTCTCTTTCCTTTGACTCTGCCAGACTTCGTTGCCCCAAGGCCTGGTGTTGGATCTGATCACCCCAACATTCCTGGCTGCCCAACGTGGGGCGACAAAGGCCCTGGTGAAGGAACACTAGAGCATGTGAAAGCAGGGGATGCATTGTCAAAGGACACCCAAGGATGACTAAAGGAAGCTTGGTGGGAAAGCTGAGGGCTCGGAAGAACCAGGGTAACAACAGGACAAAGTGAAAGCAAATATTCTGCTTATTTAAGTTTCTTAAGGCATTTATTATGAAGAGTGGGGGTGAAAGTTAGTACTCAGAATTTGTTATCACTCTTTAGTACGGTAAAGGAGTTTTGCCCATGGTTCCTGGAACAAGGGACTATGGAGTTGGATGAATGGGAGATAATTGGCAGAGATTTTAAAAAGGCGTATAAAGATGGAGCAAAAATTCCAGTTTTTTTTGGTCAATGTGAGTGATAATAAAGGCAGCTTTTGAGCCATTTCAAACAGATGATGAGGTAGATTCAGATGAGGAAGAGGAGGACGAGTGTAAAGAACTAATTTCAGATTCTGAATGTGAGGAACAGAAACCGGAGGAAATTAAAGAAAGGGAAACTGAAAGAAGTATGTTTTACTAGCCCGTTGGCTCCACCTGCTGAATTAAGTGAATGGCCACCTCTTCTCTCTCCCATTAATGGGCGAGAAAATGAATTAGCTGAAAAACACCACTCCTGTAGTTGCAACATTAAAACCTGGAGCAATTGGTGGTGCTATACAAAATTCTATTCAAAAAGCTAGAGCCGAGGGAGACCTTGAAGTATGGCAATTTCCCATTACTATAATCCAGCAAGGAGGGAAGGAATTCAAGCAAGCCATTACTCTGAATACGTTAAGGCTTGCGATGGCATTGGAGGTAACTTACATAAGGCTACTCTTTCAGCTCAGGCTATGGCTGGATTAAGAGTAGGAAAGAATATGCCCCATTTCTCAGGCTCTTGTTCCAATTGTCGGCAATTTGGACACAAAAAAGGAATGTAGAAAAGGAAATCAAAAGGCAAGAACTACTACCGTCAATCAACAGAAAAGCCCTGGTGTATGCCCCCATTGTAAAAAAGGCAATCACTGGGCAAATCAGTGTCGTTCTAAAGATGGACAACCTCTTTCAGGAAATGGGAAGAGTGGCCCACCTCAGGCCCCTCAACAAACCGAGGCATACCCGGCACAGCCAGTGCCCTCACAAGCGTACAACAATTGTCCCCTGCCACAGCAGGCAGTGTTGCCATAGACCTTTGCAGCACAATTACCATCTCCCTGTTTCCTGGGGAGCTGCCAAAAAAGGTCCCTACGGGAGTTAGAGGACGCTTACCCTCAGGAACAGTTGGTCTATTACTTGGAAGGTCTAGTCTAAATTTGAAAGGTGTTGCTGTGCATACAGGAATAATTGACTCTGATTATACCAGAGAAATTCAATTAGTTATTAGTTCCTCAACTCTGTGGTCTGCCTCCCCAGGAGAAAGAATTGCTCAGTTGCTGCTGCTACCCTAAACAAAACTAGGAAGCAGCACAGTGAAAGAACAGGCGACTTTGGTAGTACTAATCCTGCAGGAAAGGCTGTATATTGGGTTAATCAAGTGTCTGACAAAAGACCTATTTGCATAGTGACTATTTAGGGAAAGGATTTTGAAGGACTAGTAGATACTGGAGCTGATGTCTCTATTATTGCTCTAAATCAATGACCCCGACACTGGCCCAAACAAAAGGCTTCCATGGGTATCATTGGCGTAGGAACCGCCTCAGAGGTTTTTCACAGTTCCTTGATTTTACCATGTCAAGGACTGGATGGCCAGGAAGGGACAATTCAGTCTATTATTACACCTATTCCTGTCAATTTATGGGGAAGAGACTTATTGCAACAATGGGATGCTGAAATATCTATTCCTATGGATCAATATAGTAATAATAGTAGACAAATGATGAGAAATATGGGATATCGACTTGGAGAAGGACCAGGAATATAAGACACTGCATATGTAATTGCATTTAGCTTTATTAACATTAAAATTTTTAAATTTACAAAAAGATCAACCCATAACTGCAGTGAAACAACACCTAACAGGACAAAAGGAAAATAAAAAGGCTGGACAAGATACATGGTGGAGGAATGCACATACAAAGAGCTGGGAAAAAGGAAAGATAATTATATGGGGAAGAAGATTTGCTTGTGTCTCTCCAGGTGACAATCAGGTGCCTGTGTGGGTGCCCACCAAACATCTGAAGATCTATCATGAGCCACAGCATCTAGCGGACCCACCTGTACAGTGCAAATTGAAGGTTTGAGAAGCCTCCATTTGCTTTCTCTGTGCCTTCTATTAGAAGGGGCCTGTTTCTCATTATCAGTGGAAAGTTCTACCTCATGGAGATGAACGAACCGTGTGGGTGCAATCCCCATAACATGGGGACAGATCAAGAAAACCGCACAGGAAGCTGAGAAACTGCTGGAGCGCCAGGGTTTTACCTACAGATGCTTAACGGACCAATGCTTTCTGACTGAGTGCCTCTCTACCCTGAATACAAGAGACCCTAATAGTTAGGCAGGAGTATCATTGCCCCCATTCAGCATGGACCTTCATCCTGAAACCCCTAGGATTAAGGGTCCTCTTGTAAAAGGGAAAGGGGAGATACGTGGGAAGCATTCAAACCAGAGCGACTCCATTTTGAATAAGGGCTAAGAACAATGAAGTTGGATCACCAACTGGCAATCAAAGGCTGCACAGCCTGCAATTGCCTTGCTCAATTAATTTAAAAACAAAAAGAGGCCACCTTTTATGCTAGTAATAATGATAGCTGTGGCGGTTTTACAAAAAAGAGAAGGGGAAAATGTTGGGAAAAAGCTGAGTGTTGGGAAAAAAGCTGAGGCAGGGTTTGCATGTCTGACATAATGTCCAGGGCTCGGCGCATAAAACCCCTCGTGGCCTCTGGAATGGGTCTAGACTTGCTGGCTCCTTGCTTCTAGCTTAAACTGGAAAAACATGCTCCCCATTATCTCAAGTAGGAGAATATATTCCATATGCTTCAAAGGAAATGCTAAACTTTCACAGCTGTAGATCATGCACTTGCCCTTTCGACCCCCACATTCTCACCACCTGTTTGATCGCCAATAAATAGTCTGGGCTTCCAGAGCTCAGGGCCTTCACAGCCTCCATACTTGCGTTAGCCCACTTGATCCGTTTTCTCTCTCAAACTGTGTTTTCTCATTCCTTTGACTCCGCCAGACTTCGTCACCACCAAGGCCTGGTGTTGGATCTGATCACCCCAACATTCTTTTTTTGGTACCAGTCACCACAGTCTCACTCCTAAACACCTTACTTGCCCCCCATCCAGACGGCACCAGCTTTGTCAGGCATCTGCGTCTCCACATGCATACCCACCAGTTCTCCAATAACCACCTAAAGGGAAGGCCAGACCCATTCTACCACTTGGGTTCTTGGGAAAGATTTGCCCTCTCACCCGCAATGGGCCTGATCCAACTCTCCAGGAGAAGTCATCTATAACAACTCTACTCCTCTCTCCTGCTGGATCGCCCCTTCTCTCCCTTGCTCTCTCTTTTTACCCCTGCCACAGAAAACCTGGCTTCCTTCCTCACCCAAATCCCCAGAGTTCTGGTCAACACCTCTTATTTGCATATAAATATTCTCTCTTCTACCTCTCCACACATCATAGCTCAAATCTGGGACAGATGCACATCTTTAGATGAGGGGGGCTAAAATAAAAGCCAGGAAGCACTCAATTAAATTTCTGTCTTCAGGCACTTGTTTGTCTGTTTCGTTTGTTTGTTCTTTTCCCCTGGAAGGTTGATTCCTATCTGACCCACAGTATGGTACCATCAGCCAGTATGGTACAAAGTGCTTATTCCACTTAGCTCGTTGCATTTCAAAGCCAAGTGTGCCCTGACTACCAAGCATGTCCAAAGCCCATGGTGTAAGGAAGTCTCCTTGGACAGCACAAAGGGAATCCTCCCCAAGAAAAACGAAGACCCTTCCACCATGAGTACCCCCTTAAGAAGATACCACCACCTCCTCCATTCTACTCTCACCCCACTCAGGGTTCCCCAGCTGTTTTCATTCTGCAGATCTGTTGCTTTGTACCTGTGCAGCAAGGCAATCAGATGAAAATCACCCATAAAGAAATAAAAGGCAGGGACCCAAGCATAGGAGGATACATTGGCTGAAGTACAGGTGAGAAGTTGACCCCTGACCCAGGAGATCTTGAGAGAAGTGAGCCACAGCAGATTCAGAATATACCTCTAGATGGCCTCTAGAGGGGACAGGAGGTCACTCTAGTCTTGCTGAGGCTGATTCTAAAAGAAAGAGCTTTTGGCTGAACCTACCCAGCACATTCATCTGTGAGGTGGGTGGCATCAATAGAGGGCAGGGTTGGCAAGAGTGGAGCCGCCACCAGGTGTCCCACCTGGACATGACTTATCCAATGACAGCTAGTGCACATAGTGATGAGCTCAAGATCTAAAAATCTAATCTAAAAATAGGACTTTAGGAATGAGCAAGAAAATTTATTAGTCCTTCCCTTCTTGCCTATCTTGTTCTTCCCAGCACCCCTGGACAAGCCCAGTCAAAACAGTGGAAAATATATCCTTTAAGAAAAAACAACCGAGGCTCCTCAGTCAAGGGAGAAGAAAGCTAAACATTGCTGCGGGGTTCACCCTATTGTCTCCCACAGGCATTACTAACGCAATGCGAACCTTGATACCTGTGTTCTCTGGCATATCAGGCAGGTCTGCTTGGAATTGGCCCGGAAACAGAGCCCACTTGAATTTGGGGCTTCTTCACACCAGGCTGTCTCACATGCTACAAGTGCCACTTCTGAAGCTGTGTGGGCCTCGTCAGCACTCCTGGGCAGCCACAGCTCAGACATTGGTATCGCTGCTGTGCAGAAGGCAGCCTCTCCCATGCAGGCTTTGTCTCCTGGGCCCAAACACCTTTCCCCCTCCCTCTGCCCTGGCCAGGTCTCCATCCTACCCTCAAATGCCCTCACCTTCCCTCATGCCCTCCAACCAGTTGTTCAGTTAAGACCCCCAAAGTAATTATTCAACTGAGTCCTGGTTTTCTTCAATGGTCTGGGGCTAACACTATAAAATGGAACAGAAGTACCACCTCCTTGGTGTCTGACCTGAAGCAGTCCCAGGTTGCCAGCCAATTTTATTGGCAACTAAAGTCTATGTGCATCTTACAGCTGAGTTGAAGGTGGAATGTTCAAAAGCTCAATGCCTCAGTGGAAAAATCAATGGGTAAATAAATCTGATATGCATAAGCTAAAGAGTATTACTGGAGTAAAATATGAGAATAGAGAGCTGCTTTTGTCTAATACTTTCAAAGCACCATGAGTTTGACTAAATTTCTTAAGGCACTGGAGTCTCTATTTTCCCCAGTCTAGATCTCCTACAGCAATCACAAACCTCTCAAGAGTAAGGACCATGTCTTACTCATCTTCCTATCCCTGGCCTGCTGGTGTTGGTAGCGCTCAGCAGTTGTGCAGTGATTTTTGAATGAATGAAACCACTTACCCTTTGCCTCCTGTCCCCAGCCCCTACCATCCCTGGCCCTCATCAGGTCCTGACAGCTGAGTTACCTGTGTGCTCAATCCTGCCATACTCCCAGCCCAATCTGGAGACAGGAATTCTTGTTCAAGCTGCCACCGCTCTGCCCACTGTCCAAAGCAACTCACCGCCCACCCCCCATAGTCCACCCCTGGGTTGGCCACTAGTGTTCCACAGCTGCTACTTGAGTCACAGCTTCTCCACCATCCCACACCCTTTGGGGGTTCCTGAAACCTGGAGTCTTGCACCTCAGGTTTCACCACCGCGTTCCTGCTTTATCTAAGGGAGTTTCCTCATTTCAGATAAGCAGTCTGGTAAGTGCTCCATCCTCTCACCCTTTGGCATGCTCCTGTGGCCCACTACAGAGAAACTCTCCTCTCAGCCTCCTCCTTTGTTCTTGTCCCCACTCACTCTCCCATCCTTGCTTTTTCCTAAAAATCAGAGTCCAGATCTGACCTTCTGGCCCCACAAGCCTGCTCCTTGTTAAACGCAGACTGTTCTCAGGCATGACAGCTGTGATCTGGGCTCTGCCTTGCTCCTCTGGTGAGACACCCTTCCCCCATATCCTACTGTCCATTACAGAATTGCATGGGGGATGGCTGTGCCCTTTGCCCTCCCAGCCGGCCCCACCCATAGCGACTAAACCAACACCGATGAGACAGCCCTGCCGTCTCCCAGCCTAACTTGCCAAGCTTCATTATGAGCAAAAGATCTGCAATGTGGCAGTGACCTCCCCGCAACATAACTGCATTCTGACCTCCTTCTTGCAGTGCCAAGAGAAATGATGGTGAACTAAGTGCGGGGTGTGGGGTCGTTCTCAAATGCGGTCATTGCTACAGAACTAGGGTTTTTGGTTAGTTACATTCTTTGTGGAAGGACAGGGTGGTGGGTACAGGTCCCTGAGAAGCAGACATGTGGAATTGTTTGAGACAATCCTACTCCCTGTGGTACTCTCTCTATGTATATATTTCAATGAAGGTAATTTACCTCATGCTTTCCTAAATACATAAATCTTTACATTTCAAATGCCTTGTTAGACTGTACTCAAGATTCCAGAGACATTTTAAAATAATTCATTTTCAAATCATAAATTTGGGAAAAGGGGGCCTGGGATAAGCAAGTTGACTGGGCCACTGCTTATGCCATTCCCTGCACAATTCTGGGCATGGAGCAGCTCTCCTAGAGCCCCTGCCCCTGACTCCTGCTCCAGGCTTCACATTCCCAGACCCACACTCTCACCCACAGGGACGTGAACTTGGCTCTGCTTGTCATCATTCTGGGTTTCTTCCCATGGGAGGCTTTTAAACCAACCTGTCTCACATTGGCTGGGTCCTTTGGGGCCTTCTGCAATGCTACAATGGCAGGTGTTTGCCTGCAGCTTCCCACTGTGCCCCCTTTTCTCCCCACTCTCCAGCCAGCCAGGGTTCCTGGGCATCCTCTCCCCACCCCTTGCCAAATAATTTGAGGCAACCTTGTTAATCTTCTCTACAGCTATTTGCGTTTGAAGCCTGTTTGGAGTGAATCAAGGACTGAAAGCTCACCCCGTGAAGGGAATTTTTAATATTTAACCTTGAAGGGTGGGGAGATGAGAGGGGAATGGGATAGAGAGGGAGGGGCTGCGGAAGAGTCTTCTTCCAGCTCCCCAACATCCTACACAGCATTCATGCTACCAGTCCCAGCAGAGGCTGGTGAGGGCCAAGCCTGAACAGCACCCCCAACTTCCCACCATGCCTCTGTCCCCCACTAAATGCCAAGCCTACTACTGAGTGAGTGGAAGTGATATAGCAGGCCTGAAACTGAGGTTGAGTTGCAAAACCATCTTTTGAGTGTGGTCTCCCCTGGGGTCACAGCCCCAGTGAGCCCTCACTTCCCTAACTCCTTAGAGTTTCTATTTAAGATTCTGTTCAGTTTCCCAGGAACTACCTGGGACTGAGGCATTGTGTTTCCCTTTGCACAGTGCCTGGCATATAGTAAGCACTCAGTAAATGTTAGCTATTAATAATAAAAAGAAGAAACCCTGGATAGCATCCATGGGGTGCTTGCATAGATGCTGCTAGGAGCAGCCATGGTGGTGAACAGCAAAGTTCGCAGCACATGGTGGACCATTCATTTACTGTTTCTGAACTGGAGGAAGTTTTGGTTCTTTAAAGTGGAAAAAGAATGCCTTCTGACCACATGATAACAGTAAGAGCCCTTTTTTATTCCTAAGTCTTCAGAAGAGTGAAAAAGGTCTTCCATGAACTGGCTACACATCCTGTTCAATGCCTAAGATGGAGATTGACAACCAAACCTCACCTGTTTTCTGCCTTGGCTGTGAAAATTCCAATTGGCCAGGTGATATAGGGAGCTTTCAGAGGACCTGGCACTTTGTATGGAAAGGGGTAAGTGTAGGGAGGTGTGTCAAATCAATTAAGCAAGTGCTAGTTGCAAGATACATGCCTAAAGCCAGGGAAGAGAAAGATGAAGAGTTGCGGGGCCACTCTCAGAATTAACGTAGAAGCCCAGGACCACTGCATTGCCTTCTTCCTTCCCTCCGAGCGTCATGTTGCTCTATACATAGGGGTTGAGATTTTGCCTCCTTTTCCCAAGACTCTGGACTTCCAACTGGTCCTCTAGTGCTGCCCTGGCTTTTAAGCAGCTTGGCTGGGGCCCAGTCATTGATCCTCTTGCCTAGGATCTTTGCCCTGAGGACCAGAGCCCAATGCCCAAGTACAGGTGAAGCCCCATTTCACGTTGAGCATCATTATGGCCCTAAAGCATTGCCCCAACCTCCAGATTGGAGGCTTTGGGATAGACACGGGCTACCCTGGTTACCCCATCCCATTGGATTCTGTCACTGAGGTCCCAGCATGCCATGTGATTGAGCCATCCTAAGTTTGGCAGAAAACTAGGTTTGAGGCAGATCATTAAAAACCTTGAAAGTAAAGGTATGGAACTGAGAGTGGGGGCACTGGCAGTTTTTGGGTGGGAATATGATCTGAAACATGCTTCAGGCAGTAGTGGCGGGCAGAGAGGATCGGGTAGGCAGAGACACTGGTTGCATGGGCCCAGATGACATCCCTTAATATTGAAAGGACAGGACCAACGTGAGAGGTGTTTCCAGAGAAATGGGCTTGCGGAGGTGTAGAGGAGGAGAACGTACATTATTACAATGAAAAACTAGATGATTCCAAGCCCACTAGAGAGGGGAAATGTTCATGCTAATAAAAAATGGGGAAGGAGACCAGCATTTGACAAGTGCTTATTGTATAATGAGCATTGGTAGCATTCACAGAACATGAGAAAAAAGGACTTCATTTCAAAGGCCACACAGAAAAGTGTACAACTAGGATTCCAACCTAGGTGTATGACTCCAAAGTCTTGATAATTTCTCTAAAGAAGCCGCAGCAAGACCAACGTAGAGAGGGAAGATGACAGCCTTGAACATGTTGAAATGTGGGCATTGAGGACTGGACATAGATGAGACTGGCTGAGATGACTCTGGGAGTCTGTTGCAGAGTGGTTATCATGGAAACCCCACGAGTAGGTCAAATCTCCAACACAGAAGATAATCAGGGAAAAAAGCTCAGGCTAGAACCATGAGCAATACACTCAGCTTAGGCACTAATGAAGAAGCAGAAAAGCAGCCACGAGGGTAGAGGTAACTTGGAGAGGGTCATTTCACTGGAGTCCAAGGAAGAAAGTAGAAAAAAAGGAAAGAGAAGCCATCAGCTTAGAACACTTTACACTGACAAATAGGGTGGGAAAACAAGAAAAGGCTGGCTACTTTAGCAGTCCAACACACTGTGACCTCTCGTCAGTCAGTCACTCAGTCAGTCAGATGCAAGGCAGAGAAGCTATTGAGACAGCAAGTCTGGACTCTTCTTTCAAGAAATTTGGCAGTAAAAGAAAGAGGAGAGACCCAATAAAGGTGGATGAAGGTGAAGGAACTCTCCTTTGGACCACCCTAGCAATCAAATTGGACAGGCAGAGTCACTCGGCTCTCAACCCTGGTGATAGTCAAAGAGAGAAATCATCTCCAACTAGGGTTAATTATTGGCCCTGAACAGACTACACTTTAGTGGCAACCGTTTTATAATGTTTCTCCTTTCAGCCCCAACTCCTTGCTGGTAGTGAGTTTATAACCACCACCAGCCTGCAGAATAATTTATTTCAACACAGTGCTAGGCTCCTGGACATCATCCAGTCCAGTCCTCCACTCCCCACTGCAATGGGATTGACCCAGCATGTGACGACAAGGTGCCTTGTGGATCCCAAATTTATGGAAAGCTTTCAGCATTTTCGCAAACTGGCAATCATCTCTGTCACAGGTTTAGTCTGTCCCTTGGCATATGCTTTTCAACAGTCTTGAGCCTTTGAATTGGGAAGGCAGCTGTCTGGGGAGAACAATGTCAAATAAACCTCAGGGGAAAGCTTCCTTCACTTGCACGGGGGCCAAGGGAGCTGAAATCCTGCCCCTGCTTTCCTGCCAAGCTTTGTATCCATCCAGATGGGCCACCTTTTCCTCAACTGCACAAAGGAGCACAGGGTAGTGGGGGTCCTGCCTATACATTTACACTGGGGGAAGGTCGGGGTCCTTCTTCATGGGCAGAAAGTAGCTTTTTTTTTTTTTTCCAAGAGATGCCATTTCCTTTGACTGGGGTCCTTTAGTGGACACAGGTCTGGTCCCCAAACACCAGGTGCTCTGATTCTCTGCTTGGCATTGAGGGGCATGTCTGGGAGAATATGGATTGAGTGCTCCACTGCCCATGGTGTCTTGGGTAGAAAAGGCCAGCCTCCAGAGGAAGTGACTAAATAAAGCAGGGGGAAGGACCAACACAATTGGCCGAGCTGTGGGAACAAGGAACAAGGCTTAAGAGTTCAGTGCCTTATAATGGACTTTGGGGATTTGGGGGAAAGGGTGGGAGGGGGTGAGGGACAAAATAAAACACATTGGGTACGGTGCACACTGCTTGGGTGATAGGTGCGCCAAAATATCAGAAATCACCACTAAAGAACTTGTTCATGTAACCAAACACCACCTGTTCCCCAAAAACCTATTAAAATATTAATAAGTAAAAGAGTTCAATGCCTGGTAAACAATATTGCCAACTGTAGAATTTGCACAATTGTAAACAAAATATTAGCAAGTGTGAGCTAAGAACTCCCTGGAATGAGCCAGTTGAGACCAGACTACAAGAGGTTAACTCTTATTTTTAAATGGAACTACATTTAGTCAAGAACCACTTGTGTAGGGTATGTCTTCAAATCAGACACTGTTGCCATTTGCCAGAGAAAATGTGCTTTAATTCCTTGATGCCAAAGAATGCCTGATACGCTCTCGCTCTCCCTCTCCCTCTCCCCACGGTCTCCCTCTCCCTCTCTTTCCATGGTCTCCCTCTGATGCCGATCCAAAGCTGGACTGTACTGCTGCCATCTCGGCTCACTGCAACCTCCCTGCCTGATTCTCCTGCCTCAGCCTGCCCAGTGCCTGCGATTGCAGGCGCGCGCCGCCACGCCTGACTGTTTTTCGTACTTTTTTGGTGGAGACGGGGTTCCCCTGTGTTGGCCGGGCTGGTCTCCAGCTCCTAATCGCGAGTGATCCGCCAGCCTTGGCCTCACAAGGTGCCGGGATTGCAGACGGAGTCTCGTTCACTCACTGCTCAATGGTGCCCAGGCTGGGGTGCAGTGGCGTAATCTCGGCTGGCTACAACCTCCACCTCCCAGCCGCCTGCCTTGGCCTCCCAATGTGCCAAGACTGCAGCCTCTGCCCGGCCGCCACCCCGTCTGGGAAGTGAGGAGCGTCTCTGCCTGGCCGCCCATCGTCTGGGATGTGAGGAGCCCCTCTGCCTGGCTGCCCCGTCTGGAAAGTGAGGAGCGTCTCTGCCCGGCCGCCATCCTGTCTAGGAAGTGAGGAGCGTCTCTGCCCGGCTGCCCATCGTCTGGGATGTGAGGAGCCCCTCTGCCTGGCTGCCCAGTCTGGAAAGTGAGGAGCGTCTCTGCCCGGCTGCCATCCCATCTAGGAAGTGACGAGCGCCTCTTCCCGGCCACCATCCCATCTAGGAAGTGAGGAGCGTCTCTGCCCGGCCGCCCATCGTCTGAGATGTGGGGAGCGCCTCTGCCCCGCCGCCCCGTCTGGGATGTGAGGAGCGCCTCTGCCCGGCCGCGACCCCATCTGGGAGGTGAGGAGTGTCTCTGCCCGGCCGCCCCGTCTGAGAAGTGAGGAGACCCTCCGCCTGGCAACCGCCCCGTCTGAGAAGTGAGGAGCCCCTCCGCCCGGCAGCTGCCCCGTCTGAGAAGTGAGGAGCCCCTCCGCCCGGCAGCCGCCCCATCTGGGAAGTGAGGAGCGTCTCCGCCCGGCAGCCGCCCCGTCCGGGAGGGAGGTGGGGGGATCAGCCCCCCGCCCGGCCAGCTGCCCTGTCCGGGAGGGAGGTGGGGGGGTCAGCCCCCCGCCCGGCCAGCCGCCCCGTCCGGGAGGGAGGTGGGGGGTCAGCCCCCCGCCCGGCCAGCCGCCCCGTCTGGCCAGCCGCCCCCCGGGAGGGAGGTGAGGGGCGCCTCTGCCCGGCTGCCCCTACTGGGAAGTGAGGAGCCCCTCTGCCCGGCCACCACCCCGTCTGGGAGGTGTACCCAACAGCTCATTGAGAACGGGCCATGATGACAATGGCGGTTTTGTGGAATAGAAAAGGGGGAAAGGTGGGGAAAAGATTGAGAAATAGGATGGTTGCTGTGTCTGTGTAGAAAGAGGTAGACATGGGAGACTTTTCATTTTGTTCTGTACTAAGAAAAATTCTTCTGCCTTGGGGAAAAAAAAAAAAAGAATGCCTGATACATTGTATAATGAAACCAGAATAATTGAGCTACTTGTTCATTACAAAGATCTCTAGCTGAATACTCAAAATTCTTCAGCAGCTGAGTGGGCTTGGAGCGAATTAACAACGTGTTTTTTTTTTTTTTTTTTTAATTAATTTGAGGTAGGACACAAAATATACAATAGAATTTTTTGTGAAGCACTGCTGAAGGCTTTTTACTCCAAGAAGGATCATACATTATTCTTTGTTGACAATGCCAGGGTGATTCAGAAGGACAAGTAAAATGTTAGCCAAGGCAATGCACAGGAGCGCAGACCAGCCGCACTCCAGCCCCTCTTCTCTCAGTTTCCTTAGGATCCTCTATTACCCGCTCCCCTCCATTCCTAGGCCCAGCCTGTCATTCCTCTCTATGGAGTTACTGCCAGATTGCCTTGCCTCACTGTAACTGGAACATCAATTTTCCCCATGAATCTGTGAGCCCTGCAAAGTCAGAGACTGTGCCTTGCTAACACCCTAGTCCTCAAAAGCACACAACAGAGTACTTGACACCCAGGAGGCTCTCAGGAGGCATTGCTGTTGAGTATAGAAAGCTAGAGTTAGGTAAGACATTGTGGAATATCATGGAAAAATCAGTTGAATGGAATATAATGGAAAAACCAAGTCTAAACTCAGAAAGACAGATGTGGGACAGCACTGAAGCATGGTCTCAGCATCTTCCCATCTCCTGGGCAGATAAAAGGACATTCAAGTTGAGCTGGGTCCCTCGGGTCCAGTTCTGGATGGCTTCGGGGAGCCAGCCAAGCCCTTCCGTTAGGAAGTCCTGGCAGCACGGAGGTCTGTGGAGGGCAGAGAAGAGTGAGAAAAGAGAGAAGTGACACAGTCAAATGTGGCCAGACCAGGAAAGGCAGACAAAAAGAATGTTTCTGGGAGCACATGAACGTTCTCAAGAACACAGACAGGTTGAAGATGACCATGACCAAGGACAGACTCCTGGATTTCCAGAAGCTGCTTGATGATTCTTCCATAGATTCCAGAGAAGGGAGGCTAGAAGCTGGATGGCAGGGAGGCCAGAGAGGCTGGGGCCTGGGAAAAAGATTGCATCTTTCTAGAGCCAGCATGAAGGGGAATAGGCAGGGACAGCAGCAAGCAGAGGCAGGCAAGTCAGTTGGGGGCCAGGGAAGGGGACAGACACGGGAGTTTCATTTTAGCAGTAACCCTCTGGGCAGGGGTTTTTGTAGAAGAGGCCTTGAGAGAAAGAGTCCGAGGAGAAGAGGAAAACTCCCTGAGACCTGAGGGAAAGAGAAAGAAATGGATGTCGATTTGACATGCTTTTGTGAGTGTCCCTCTCCCAAGTCAAGGTGGCAGGTGGGGGCATGACAGGGTTGGAGACCTTCACAATCACTTCTCTGCAGTGTGGGCCCGTCTCTAAAAAGAACAGACAGGCAGTCATATGGATCCATGGGCCTTTGTCAGAAGGCACTGGCACCTCTAAACTGGTGATCCCCAGCGCCAATCCATGGGGCCAGTGTACATCCGCGGGAAACTCGCTAAAATTACAGAAAATGAGGTACATTTTTCATAGTGCTAAATTCAGTTTAAAAAGTTGTTCCTTTATGCTGAGATTTATTCTCCTCACTTTTTTTGGTATTAAAATGCTTCATGTTTGCCGAACATTAAACAATGATGGTAGATCAGAGTTTGAGTTTTTTCCCTCAATGTCCTTACTTAGCAAAATTTAAAAATGGTGTTCTTAGTGGGTCCTTCCTCCTACCACCATTTATTTTTCATATTCCTGTTTGTAAAATAAATTATTGGGGAGCAATTGTTCTAAAACTAATGTTTACAGACCTTTACAGTTTTAAAAAGACAATTTTAAGAAAAATGAAGTATTTTTGAACACCAAAGGGTAGAAGTTTCTGGTTTGCTTTCCCAGATAGGATTTACAACCTCATGCCAGTGTACCAGTTGGATTGCGAACTGTTTTCTGTGAGGCCCTGGTTAAAAATGAGCAGGAGGCCAAGACTTTTTGACTCAACTGTTTCCAAAAGGGCCAAGTGACGACTTTTGTGTCCATCTCTCTCCAGAGACACCAATGAACAGGTTTGAGGTGGGAACAGGTTCGCGCAGCCCTAGGATCCCAGACCTTTAGACCTGGAAGAACTTGAGAATTTATCTTGCCCACATTATTCTGATGGAGCAGATTTACTCAAAGCCATGCAACCAACTAGTGGCAGAGCTGAGACAGGCCCAGACTCCAAACAGCCCGGCCAGCCCTCTCCCTCATCTCCACATGCCCCCATGCTTAGGTTTACACCAGCCTCCTCTTTAACAGATGAGCCTCAAGCCAAACGATAGCTGCTTTTGCCCAGCATGCTAGGTCCACCGGGGGAGACAGAGTCCCATGGAGTAAAGTGCATTTTCTCCTTTGTCATAATGGCTGTTTGCCTCAAGCGTTCAATGCCTTCCTGATTGTGTGACTCAGAGCTGCTTGCTGCAGCCTCTCATTCCCCTCCAAGAGGGGCTTCTCTTTCAATGACCCAGGGGTCAGTTCTAAGACCCAGGCTCCCATAAGCTACCTCAGCTTCCATGATTTCAATAAGGCTTTCCTGCAGACACCCCCAGTGCTCTGCTCTGCTCCCTCCCCTGTCTCCCTCCCTGCTCAATGCCTACTGCAGTAGGGGTATCTTGTTTCTAGTAAACTCTACCTGGTGTGGGTCCCAAATCTCCTATATTGGCAATAAAATTCTCATTGTAGTCTCCTTGTAGTCAAACCTGTTCATTGGTGTTTCTGGAGAGATTCACTGTAGGCATGACACACACACACACACACACACACACACACACACACACACACACACACACACCCTAGGCCTGATGGGGGCCTAACACAGTAACCTTACAGTGTGACTGTAGGGGTATTATAAAGAGGGGCATTAGGAGAGGATTTAGGCTACTCTGAGGAATGGGGGAAGATGTAGGAAGGCTTCACAGAGAAGACGTTGGAGCTGGGTGTTGAAGCAGGAGTTAGATGTGGGGAGAGGACCTTCCAAGTCTGGCTCCCTGCCCCTGGATATTGAATTAACCCCAGAGAGCAAAGCATCAGCTGAAGGGGAGTACTGCATCAAGAGGCCAGGAAGACTCACCAGCTGGAATGCCGCCACTGTTCAGGTGGCATAAAAACCAAATGGTCCTTCCTTACTGATTTGGATATGCCACCAGCTGATATTTCAGAGTTATCTGTCCACTGACTATAAACTGAGATTTAGCACCCTGATGTCATTTAAGTTACTCTGTGTCTGGTGCTTGTTTAATTAACTTATTTAGATTTTGTACAATAATTTAGTTTTATGGAGCCCATGCTAAGAAAAATAAAGTGTGATAATCGAAGCTCATTGAAACAAAGAAATCCAGAAACATTCTACTGATCTTTGTGGAAAGAGCATTCACATAGGAATCAGGAAGAGTTGGCTTCCACCTCTAGATCAGCTAAGTGCCTCAGCCCTAAACCATCATCCACTTTACTTTCTCATCTGTAGAAATTTTCTAGGGAGGGAAAAAGCAGACTAGATGGTTTCTAAGGACTCTTCTAGCTTGGCCATTTTTAGGATTAAATTCAAGGGATTCCTTTTGTGAACAGCAGTCCAAAACATTCCCTTCCATGCCCATCAATCATGTTTAGCATTTGCTTCTGAGGCTCCGAATTTCCTGGCTTTCTGAGGAACTCTTAGCATTGGTAGTTTGTTGACTTAAAAATAGCTCAACTGCTGCTGATCATCATCCCACATTAGCTACTGCTGAGGAGAAGCCAGCAGGGCTGAAGGAAGTTAGAAAAAAGGAGCTGCGTCTGGGGCAAAGAATCACCCCTGGGATAATGGGATCACTGCTTTTCCTTAAATGAGCAAAGCAGGCCTGAGCTCATTGCTAATGTGAGCTTGCCCACATGGCTAGTGGGAAGTTGGGAGAGGAGTGGCTGGGACCAGGCACCCCATCTGCCACCCCCATGCTCCATGAAGTTTTGCTGGAACCGGCAAGGCCTTTTTCTGCCCCAGAGGGCTTCACAAAGAGGTGAGGGGCCTTCCGCCAAGAGAGAGGACCCTTCCTTCCGAGGTCCTGTGTACTCCTTTCCATTGTTGATGGGCATCTTCTGTCTGAAGGGCTACTGGGCTTCTTGCCACCACCAGAGCTTCCATCTGATCTCAGGTTTACATGGCTTTCTGTTGAGCAAATAAATTCACACTCATCCCCGCCTCCAACAAGACAAAGGCGATTCATTCACAGGAGCTGCTGCTCAGCTGACAGATGTTTTGGCCTTCTGGTCCTGAAGTCAGACATGCTGCTGACCCCAAAGGTGAAAGGCTCTGTCACCCATTCTAATCCCCCTTGGCCAGTTGCTACCCAGGATCATCCAATAATTTTGACATTTGTCTTTCCTCCTCTACTCCTGCCTCCACAGCTCTTAGTGGCTCTTAGAGCTGTTTCCAGCGTGGCCTTTGGTCAGGACAGCTGGAGAATGGAAAAGATGGGCCATGTGATCAGGGCTGCTTTGCCACAGCTGCTCAAATTCTGTGTTTGCAGACCTAACTGTGCCTTTGCAAACAAAAGGCCATGAGGAGTGTTTTCATGCAGTTCCCCACACACAGAATGAGCACCCTCAGTGAGAAGTTCCTTTACAGGAATTTAATGGCAGCTGAAAAAACAAGTGCCACCTTTCTGGCTTATCCTAGCTTCGATGCTCAGCAACCTTCTACTCACTTGTTCACAGCCCAGCAGGGGAGATAAGACCTTTGCTAAACACCCTCATTTTAGAGTGTAGGGGAGCACCCAACCAAATGGTTGTTGAGTCCAGAAGAGGGCACACTGACCTCCCACTGGACACTCATTGAAGGTTCTACAGAGGAGGCGACATTTGAGCTGAGCCAAGAGGAGAGGTAGGATTTCACTGGGCAGAAATGGGGATGGGAGTGCTTTCATTCATGCAGTTACATTTGTTTGAAAGCAAGAGAATGCACAGCCAATCTGAGCAACAGGAAGAGTGAAACGGCAACCGGTAGGCAGGACCAAACCATTGTCAGTGTGCTTCCACAGCGTGTCTATCAGCTCCCCTCAGAGTCCTGAGCCACCAGGAAGTACTGACCCCAGTTTGAGTAAAACTCTTATTTAGATGATTTTCTTCATAGAAATCCATTAAAAGGGTTTTGAGGAGGAAGTGACTCCTAAGGAGCCTTTAAAAAGAGAAGGCAGATCCATGATCTCTACTTCTTGTCTAGGCTCTGTGGAGTCTTTCAACATTTTTCTACACAATTTACTGGGTTTTATGCTCATGACCTAAGCTACAACTCACGAGAGGGCCGCACGCAGCCTATTAGCTTCTCAGTGAGGAATAAGACTCTCAAGAAATCACTTTGGTGCATTTCAACTGCTTTCATAGGAGAGATCATCTCTGGGGCAGATGATTGGGTGTGATAGAGGTTTGAGTCACCTATAGGAGAATTGAGTGAAACTGACTCCTTGTTCCCCAATCAGTTGTCAAGGCAGAGAGTTTCAAAAAGAAGACCACAAAGGTGCTGCTCCTCCCACCACGCCTGCCAGGCCTGGAGCTCCAGAACCCCCTGTGCCAGCAGCCTGAATGCAGCATGTGAGCAGTACCAGCAGCAGCTCCTCCTCCAACCCTATACTGGGAACCAGCCTCTCCGCTGCCTTTCCCTCCTACAGCAAACACGCTTGCCCCCAAATTACACCGCCATTCTATGCCTTTCTTATTGTATCAAATGCTTGAGGATCCCTGTTCATGCAAACTATTTAGTTTAAAAATATATGGTAATGAGGACATTCCTCAAAGAAAATTGTAACCCACAGAGACATAAAACGGTGGTAGGCCCCAAACTGAATTTGGACACCAATATTATTGAAGGCCAGCAAAATGTTTTAGGAGAAACAGCAGGAAGGAAAAAGAGGCCAACAGAAGTGAATAGGAGGCTAAGAAAGGGAACTACCTTTCCAGGGAAGACAATGGAACCAGTTCACAGGGTGGTGAACTGTCAGAAGGGAAGTCAGATCCAAAGGTGACTGCCACATTAAGCATTAAAGAGGTATTTCGCTGGGGCTTGGAATGATCAAAGGAAAACTGGGCTTTTGAGGCAACCTACTGGGGGCAGACAGAAGCTGGAAAGACCAGCTGAAAGAACAGCTATATGAAGAAATCCCCAGAAGGCAGGTTTCTCATACTGGACTTGGCTATGTTGCCTCCTCTCTCTGATACCCTGAGATTCTTTGTTCTCCTGTATGGCTGTTCTTGCCCCTCAAAGGCAGACATTGAGCATAAAACTGAGATAGCACAAAGCTTCCTTTCCAAGTTAGATCAATTTAGCCTTTCTGGTCCTAACTTGACCAGAGGCAGGCTTCATCTCATTTGGGATGCCGGGGCTACACCTCCAAGACCAAGGCTCCTTCTGCCAAGGCAAGTACATAAAAAGTGAAGTAGAAAATGAATGCTTTTCCCCTCCCAAGGGGTCTTAGGATTGGAGGCCAGAGCCCTGCATACTGACCCCTATTTGGGCTGACCCCCCGCGTGCCTTCCTTCCCTACTTTTTCTGGCCATCCAAGACGTGCTAGTGCTCTCTCTGGCCTGGGTCTTCTGCTCGTCATCCTTTGATTGACTAGACCTGATTTGTCTGTCAGCTTCTATTTTATCAAATATCACTGGTTGCTTTGTCTTTGCAAGGCTAGGGTTACTGCTGGCTAAATTCAGCCCACTGGGAATGATTAGAATCCTCGGAAAATACTGGTTATGCTGGGATTTAAAAACAAAAGTCCAAAGCATGTGGTGCCACCAAAGATAAAACAAAACTTATTCTTGAAATTTGCACAAATATTATAAAAGTTAAGATTTTCATAATTATTTCCCTGTCAGAGAAAAAATATTCACAAGATTCCTTCTGTAACCTCCACAAAATGTAGAGCTGCAATTCTAAAATAGCAACAGTGGGGAAAAAAAGAACTGGGTATAATAAAGTGTAGGCTTCTTAATCTCCCCCTTTATCACCCAGTTACCCCTTCTTGATCATTTTTGGGGGGTTCTCATCAAGTACCTCACTGTCATGTTCTTGCCATCTAAAGTCACATTCAGTCTTTTTTTTCACCTCTACCTGCCATCATACTCTTCAAAGTATGTGTCCATTCTGGCTCTGCTGACAGGCATGAGCTAGTCAATAATCTGGAACTATTGTAAATTCAATTGAGCAGTCCTGGGCATATTCACTTTTTGGGGTTTTTCCATCTGCCATTCTCCTGTGAAGGAGCATTATTCCCCTGAGGGAATTCGCTGACCAAGAGGCCTTGCCTAGTCCCAAAGGTGTGTCATTGGCTCCACCTGCGAATCACAGACTCATAGAATCATGGGGCTGAGAGTTGGTTTAACTGCCCTCAGAGGGCCCTTGTCAAATCCAAGTCTGAGTTCTCAACTTTTAGCTAATTCAAAACAGTGGCCTATTTTCATCAGGGCAATGGTAGGCAAGATGTTAAAGCAGGCAAAGCGTGATCCTTGGTGTCCTCTTACTAGAGAAGGTGGCCAGGGTTTCCTCAGCCTTTTACCCTTCTCTGGCTTTCCCCTCTCCCCACTGTCCTCACAGATCACAGCCTCAAACTGAAGGTGTCTGGCTTCATAACTAGCACCACCTCCAATCTCTGCCTGTGGAAAGTCCCCTGCCATCTTTCGAGGTCCAGCTCAAACGCGACCTCCTCTGGCAGGCCTTCTTTGATGTCCAGCCCACGTCTTTCTCTCTTCTGAAGTCCCACAACCCTTGAAATTGCCCTGGGTTGAAACTGTACTCGGCACTTTTTGCCAGTAGACAGTAAGCTCCTCAAAGGCAGGATCCATGTCTGATTCATCTCTGGGTCCCTTGTAGGGCTATGCCCCATAAACCCTCAAGGAGGCTTGCAGGCATGGCTTGGGGAGGAGTAGGCTGTGAGGAGCTCAGGCTGGGAGTCTGCTTCTTCCTGAGGCTAGTAATTTCCCTTCCCTCTTGGTCTCCCAACCCTGAAGGACCGCTCTTTCTCTTTCACAGTCTTCAGCCAACTGTCACTGGGGGACAGAATCCTTTGGAAGGCTTCAGCTGTTAACAGTTTAGAATGTCGCTGTTCCCAGGAGCCTTTGCACTAAATAGTGGAGATGGGGTGGGCAGATGTGGAGGGGTGAAAGAGGTGAGTGAGGTTGAGAATCTTCACTCCCCAGTGACCTGCACTCTGATTAGAGAATTTAGGCAGGACAGGCTGGGCCAGGGAGGCCTTTTGAGGGTGAGAGAGCTAGTTCTTGACACCCTTCCAATCATAGCCCCTTAGTACTCTGAACTGCTTTTCCTCTCCTTCTGCCTATGCCCTTTAAAAAAAAAAAGATACATGTCCTGGAACATGCTAGTCCTTAAATAAGTAGTAATTAGTATTGTCATCACTATAAAGTCAAGAATGAAAACAACATAAACATGTGAAAATACACACAGCCCAGGCTAAACACACAAGTGCTTAGAGATGCCAAGTAGGAGATGTAGGTGGGTTTTTTTTTTTTAGGCAGAGCTTCTGAAAGTCAGTGTCCATCTGGGTTTTGAGGCATCTGCCTTCTTAGTGGAAAAAACTGTCTGAGCAAATACAAGGAAGTGAAAACCAGCAGGTTGTGTGTACACAAGAATGGCTAATAACTGAAGAGATGGTCCCTCTAAGGGGCAGATAAGTAGAGCTGATTAGATGGCAGGAGGCAGTGAGAGGGCAGAGAGGAGCCAAGTTGAAGGAACACCTGACAACCAATTCACCTTTGGCTGCAATTGCACGTGTCCATGCCTCAGTAAGAGGAAATGTCTTCTAGGAGCCTGAAAATCCCGGGCTGAGGATGATACATGGGACCTCATCCAAAGCAGCAAGTATAAAGGAAGAGGCAAGATGCAGGATGCAGCAGGGTGTTCAAATGCAGAGAGGAGGGCAGTAATAGTGGTGATAATAGTGGTTTCAGCCTTTGACGCTCAACAATTGCAGCAAAAAAGTTCAGAAAGATAAGACCAGGGAGAAAAATAGACGATCAGGGAGGAGGAAGTCATTAGAAACAACGGTGCTCTCAGGGCACTTTGGTTTAAAATATTGACCTTGTATTTAGTATTTTGCTAGTGATTTCAAAAATTAACATTTTTATTGTTTTTCTGGGTTGGAAGGTATACTGAGGGCTTGACAAATGTTGAGTTGAAGTTCTGGGCTGGCCCCACTCCCTGGTGCTAAATTTGCACAAGTGATACCCCTTATCTTGGGGGTGTTGTGGAAACCATTGCTTCCACCCCACTCATCTCTTTTTAGCCCTTAGCTAGTCAGTAAATCTTGACAAATTAAGTCCTCTTTACATGGCTTGTGCTTCTCCCTACAGTGTCACTAAGCTAATACATGCTGTAAAGTGTGGAAGGGAGCCAGCAATGCTTTCCAGAGATAAAACTCTCTCCCTATTTTTTTCCAACCCAAGCCCACTCCCATGTCAAGTTAACCATGGTTTTCAGTGGATGGTAAGATTATGGGAAATGTTTATTTCCTTTAAGCTTTCTTCATTTTCCAAATATTAATTCCATAGCTAACTTTGTTTGTTTCAATGAAAGAAAAGTAGGTTGCAGATTATTGGAGATTATTGAAGTTATTCTTAGAAAGTCTTCTGAGAGAATCCTCCTAAGTCATGAAATTCCCAGTGACTTGACCATGTCTCTTTGTCTCTTTCAAGAGAAAATCCTCAGCCTAATATTCAAGGTTTTTAATTTATTTTTTTAAATGATGCATGACAAGAAACCCTACAAGGTGAGCTTTAAAAATGCGTTTCTAAATAGAACATTTGCCATTCATCCCTCAGGTAATTGTGTCTCTTCCTTTTTTTTTTTTTTTTTTTTTTTTTTGAGACAGGGTTTCACTCTTGTCACCCAGGCTGGAGTGCAGTGGCACGATCTTGGCTTACTGGAACCTCCGCCTTCCAGGTTCAAGCGATTCTCCTGCCTCAGCCTCCCGAGCAGCTGGCATTACAGGCGCCTGCCACCACGCCCAGCTAATTTTTGTATTTTTAGTAGAGACAGGGTTTCACCATATTGGCCAGGCTAGTCTCAAACTCCTGACCTCAAGTTATCCGCCCACCTTGGCCTCCCAAAGTGCTGGGATCACAGGCGTGATCCATCGCGCCCGGCCACGTCTCTTCCTTTCAATGTAGGATGTCACTCATGAGCATCAATTCTTCACTGCATTAAGGAATGTGTGATTTTAGAAAGTGCCTGAGTATAGAATTGTGAGGGTGTGGCCTATGTCTTAGGCCTTGGAGAAACTCAGCTAGCAGAGAAGAATGGAGAAAGTGGTCATAACGTTATGATTGTCTCAAAACTAAATGCAGATAATATGACCTTGAGCTGTGAAGCACAAGATGCCACAGAGACAGGGATGTGGGATGATGGCAGTGATAGACAGGGACACAGGATGAAAAGGGCTTTGGGCCTAGTGAGACCCTGAGCAGAGGAGCCAGCTGGTACCATGAGATAATAAATTTGTGTGTGTGTTTTCGTTTGTTTGTTTTGAGACAGAGTCTCACTCTGTCGCCCAGGATGGAGTGCAATGGTGCAATCTTGGCTTACTGCAACCTCTGCCTCCTGGGTTCAAGCAATTCTCCTGCCTCAGCCTCCTGAGTAGCTGGAACTACAGGCATGCATCACCACACTGGGCTAATTTTTGTATTTTTAGTAGAAACGGGGTTTCACTATGTTGGCCAGGCTGGTCTCGAACTCCTGACCTCAGGTGATCCGCCCTCCTTGGTCTCCCAAAGTGTTGGGGTTACAAGCATGAGCCACTGCGCGCCACCTTGTATTGCTTTAAATTAATAAGCTTTGGTAATTACATAGCAACAGAAAACTAATACAGTGAGTAAAGAGGGAAGTAAATGTTGAGGACCGAAAGGATGCTACATCTGGGGCGCTATGAGAAGCTGGGAAGCAAAAAAGCACCCTGGCTGGCTGGAGTCATTCTGTCAGAGGTGTTGAAATATAGTCAAGCAAAGAAAACCTGCTCTCCTCCTTAGGAGAGCAGCACTTGAATCCCCCTGGCAGGGATTAAACCCAAAGTCTCCTTTATGAGAGGAGTGCTCAGGTGACTGGTGCTGGATATGGCTCCATGACTTCTACCCAAGAAAAGCTTGGTAGGGAGAGTGGACTCAAGACAGAGGTGAGGTGTACACACTCGGGTACACACAAGCACTGCCATTTTGTGGTGCATTCCCAGTTCTTTCAGAATATTGGAGAAATAAAAGCACAGCCAGTTTATTTTTCCTCCAAAAGAGCCAATATTTGGGTTTTCTTTCTTCTTTTTTACATTTTTGGAAGGGTGACAGCAGTTTTTGTTTTTTTGTTTTTTGTTTTTTTTCTAAAAACTAGTGAATCATTTTAATGTTTAAATCATAAAGGATTCAGAGGGACTATTTCTTTAACGTTGGAAATAATTGGAAGTTATGTAATTTGCACAGAAAGAACAAATAGCTTAAAAAAAACCCTTTATCTCCTTTTCTTGCACCATCTCAAGGGCCCTAAATCCCCACTGGAAACATTTTTAATGACAAAGTTATCTTTATGAAATTGCAAAGTTCTAGTAAATTAAATAATAGAATATTAAGTACCTATTCTGTGAAAAAGCACGGCACTGTGCCATGATGATGTCTATAACACAGAAGCAAGTTACAGACATAGAAAGACAATTAACAATACAGGATAATTGTACATGGCACAAGGAGTCCAGACAATCAAAGGTGGAATTGCTAAGGAGGAGGGAAATTATCTAGAGTCCAGGCAACCAGACTTAAGCCCTTCTTGGAAGGAAGGATGACTGTCCATCAGTGGTGAGGAATGAGAAGAAGAGAACTGAAAAGGCACGGGTAAAGTTGGGAAGATCAGAAGGGTCTAGACATATTGATGATAATAAGTAAACCAGATAATGGCAAGCCAGAGATAATAAGTAAACCAGGTGGTATTCACAACAGGAAGTAGGGGAGATGTTTGGAAAAGCAATCAGTGGTGGAAGTTTTGATCGCTGAGTCTAGACCTTTCCAATCTGCAATGGAAAGCCACTGGAGGCTTTTGGAGCCAACGAAAGCAAACGTGCCATGAAGATCCATGATTAGTAGTGTTTGGTTTTGTTTGGATTGGTGGCAGGGAGCCTGGTGAGAGTTGATGGCACTGATGAGGACCTAGCCAGGGCAGTGGCAATGGAAAGGAGAGGAGAAGGTGGCATTTGAACTACTATATACAGAAAAATCAAAAGGACATGATGCCACCCTAGAAAATCTATTGATGTCACAAGGCTTCAAAGATTTTGGCTGAGACCTTGCTTCTTTGAGGGGGGACAAGTGGTCTCAGGTAATCTTCTTTCTCTTTGCAGAAGAATATAATTTTAGTGTGCTTACTCTAACATTCTTACAGAATTAGCTCATGACTAATTAAGAGTGTCAGAGATTTAAAAAATTAGTCATGTCTGGCACAGAGCATGGTAGTGGTGTGAAAGAGCTGCCCGGAGCAAGTATGTGACAACTTTTAAAGATGCTCTTTGGGTGCAGGTTGGTGCCAAAAGTGCTGCTCGAGCTATGAGATTCCATGGGCTCCCGTATATCATCATCTTTGGTTCCCAGCTAAGCTGTCAACTTCTGGGTTTGCCTCAATTTCCTTCTCATGGAAATAGGGCCTCAAAAGAGGAGCACCCTGAGAAATGTATGTGATTAGCCCTAATGCCAGTTTCATTTTCCCCCACCCAACCACTTGACATTGTTCTTTCATCCTCTCTGCAGCAGTTGTGAAACTGAGCCATCAACTGTGCCTAGAGATCACTGAAGTGAAGGACCGGAGACACTAAAGCTAAGAGTTAACGTTTATTGAGCATCTACAGTATACCAAGCCCTCTTCTAGAAACAAATGAACACAAAGTTCTTGGCACAGTGCCTGGCACAGTCAGGCTCCATCAAGTTTCATTTCCTTTCTCCCTGCTATTAAATGAGAAAGAGGGCATGAGGAGGTGGGAGTAAAGGAGCCAGAAAGGGAAGGTAGGAGACTGGCAAGAAGAAGCTCTGGCTGCTCTGGGATGCAACATGCAGGTTCCCGCAACCCTCCTGGAGTAGGAGGAGAAGCTGCCCCTCACTGACCACTCAGGAAGGAGAGAAGCTTCCCATGTCAACGCCCCCAGCTCTCATCTGGGTCAGAGCCAGCAATGAGGACAGGTGGGAGAGTAGAAGGAATGACTCTTCTCCCTTGGGCTGCCTCTGATCCCCACCAAGTCGGTCCTCTGTCCCCAACTTACCCTCCTGGTCAGAGGAAAATGTCCTGGGAAATAATCCCTGCCTTCTCTTGTTTTTTCTTCCTTTGTTTCATAGTTAGTTTCTGCATCATTTTAGTTTTTTTTAAAGAGGGGAATAAGCACTTGATTGAATTATATCCCAGGGAGGTATAGGTCTGAAGAACCTGAGATCTGGCTTCCCAGTGGGCATCTTCCTCTCTTGTGAGCCCCCAGACTCTGCTGTCAGTGGTAAGGTCTCCTTTCCCCAAACTCCTCCCCAGTATGGCTCACATGTCACTTAGAAGACTGCTGGGGCTCTAGTGGTATGAAGAGGTACATATTCAGACCCCAAAGTCTTAGAGGCCGGCGCAGTAGGTAAACTAGATAAACAGAACCCACACTCAGGAGACCTGGATTCTAGTCTACAATTTGCCAGCTAATACCTTGAGAAAAATCACGTCACTTCTGAGTCTCGGTCTCCTCGTCTACCACACAGGAAACACAACACTTATCACACAGGCCTGCTGGATTGCTGTAAGGGTGGTAAAATAACTCATGCACAGGGTACCCTTGCTGACACACGGCACCTACTTGTGCTCGCTAAATGGCTGAACCCTGATTCTTCCCTCCCACATTTACTTCCTTTCCCAGATCCAATCCTCTGGCATTACATCAATGCAGAAAGAGAAGGTAAGTGCTTTCAAAGAGAAAAGGCAGCAGAGGTGGGCTGGGGGAGTGTTATGGACTGAGTGTTTGTGTTCCCCCAAAATTCACATGTTGAAATTGAATCCCCAGTGTGATGGTATTATGTGGTGGGACCTTTTGAGGTGATTAGGTCATGAGGGTGGAGCCCACATGAATTGGATTGGTGCCTCTGTAAGAAGAGGTACCAGACGGCTTTTTAGCTCTCTTTCTGCTATGTGAGAATACAGCAAAAGTTGGCAAAGACCCTTGCCAGAACCTGTCTCTGCTAGCACCCTGATCTCAGATTTCTAGCCTCCAGAACAATGAGAAATAAATGTTTGTTGGTTAAGCTACCCGGTCTATGGTAATTTGTTATAGTGATTTGAACTAAGACAAAGATATGGTTAATCTGCTTTATGAAGGATTATCTCCTTGGCAGATGGCCCCCAACTCCCCCACTCTTTATTTTTAAATATCAGATTCTATCTACTAAAAGTGCTATCTGAACACTCTCCATTGTCTTCACTTCCCTTTTGAGTTCTGGAGCCCCAAAACAGACTGTGTTCTCTAAGTCTATGTTTAGTAGGCAAGAAGACTGTTAAAAACAGGTAATCTAGGCATTTGTAGAGTTCACAAAACAAAAGGAGAATTTTATATACTGTTTTTTAATATATAGTGCTTTACTGTTGGTTCCGCTCAGAGGAGAGAAACAATGATAGAAGTTTCTAGAAGGGCAAAGCTCCAGAATCAGGCTAGAAATTGCTCTCTGACAAGGTGTTGTGGTTCTCAGATCCACAAGATGTCTTGGGAAAGAAGCTTTCAAGCTTGGATCTTAAATTTTTACTGAAAATCCCTTTATTCCACTCGCCCATGAGCTACTTGAGGGTGGGCACTATGTCTTAGTCATTTTTGTGTCTCCAGGATATAGCATATGGTGGGCACCCACTACGTCTTTGTTGAATGAGCATTGTTTTAAGTGTCTACCCAAATAAGGTAGAAAACTTGGAGCCATAGACTCCTGGGACCTGCCACCACCAGGCCAGGGAATATAGGATTCCCAAATACAGGTTCTATTTTGGGATTCTGTCCGTGAAAGTCCTGGGGAAGCACTAACCAAAAAAGATGAATTCCAACTGTGTTGCTCAACTTCTAGTTCCAACCAAATGGAAGGCATGCATTGCACACTATCTCCCTCACTGATTACAACCAAACACTCTTAACAAAATACAAAAAAAACAATTAACTGAGGTCTCTGAAAAGTCCTCTAAAAGCAGCTAGATTGCGAAAAGAAGTCAAAATTTGCTGAATGACCAATATGGTGATGGTGAATTTCCTGGAATTTGTTTTCTCCTGGCTTTGGCCCAAGGGTGAGCTGAATCATGAGACCTCCCAGCAGTCATAGACAGCAACAACCCCAAGAAATGGCCCATCTTTCTGGATAGATAATCTGGAAAAGGGGCCTCTGCAAGACAAAAAGTGTGGGGAAAATCTTTGTCTTTTTTTCTCTCTCAGCTTGGACACACAGTCAGATGCAGCCCCCAAACTGTATCGCCATCACCTTGGCAGCAGCTTGAGCACTAAAATCTCAAGAGAAAACCTGTCCCTTTGGGTACAGAAATTCAGAAAAGGGGTCCCTGTTATGTCAAAAGTATCAGGGGAGTCCTCACTTTTTTCCCCTTGCACTTTGCTCTAAGGTCTGGCCAAGTGGCATGAAACTTTGTGACATCATCAGCGGCTCCAGCTCTGAGAGAAATCCATCCTTCTAGCCAGAGGACCAGGAAAAGGAGCTGGTCCTTTTCCGGCAAGACGGAACTCTTGCAGAGGAAAGAGGGGGAGAAAGGGATTCCATGTAGGAGCCAGCACAAGTCCTGACCTCACCTCCAAGATGTGCATGTGTGGAACACAAACAGCATTAACAAAGGCTTTGAAAACTGAGCTGACGTTGAGACCACTGCCTACACAAGATGAGACAGAGCTTGCTGTTGAACTTAACGGGGTTGATTACCTGCTAAAACAAAACAAAACTCAACATGCTTTATGATTTTAACAGGACCCAGAGTCTCATAGTATACTATATGAAATGTCCAGGAAACAATTTAAAACTACCCAAAGTGATAAGGACCAGGAAAACATGACCAGTTCTCAAGGGAAAAGATAAGACAATGTTGGAACTGGAAAAAAAAAACTCCGAAGCATCTATTATAATCATCCTGCGTGACATAAAGGTGAATGCTCTTACAATGAATGGAAAAATAGAAATTCTCAGTCAAGCAATAGAAATTATATAAAAGAAGAACCAAATGGCAATATATTAGAACTGAGAAACACAATATCTGAAATAAATTCACTGGATGGGCCCAATAGCAGAATGCAAATGACAGAGGTAATGTCAGTAGACTAGAAGGTAGATCATCAGAAATTATCCAATGTGAAAGATAGAAAAGTGTTTGAAAAATAATGAATAAAGCCTCGAGGATCTGTGGGACAATACCAAATGGTCTAATGTTCATGTCATTGGAATCCTTAAAGGCAAGGAGAAAGAGATTGTTATAGAACAAAATATTTGAAAAAACAATGGCTGAAAACTTCCCAGATTTGATGACTGACATAAATTTAAGATTCAAGTAGCTCGTTAAACCTCTAACAGGATAAATGTAAACAAAACTGAATGTCCCACAACTCCCTACCTTCCTACCCGCCAATGCCCTCCTCCTCACTTATCTGGACTCTGAAAGCATCTGAGCTTTTGACCCTGGGGTAAGGGAAGTAGCACATGAATAGGAGTCAGACCTCTGGGGATTTTAACCCTGGCTCACTGACATGTGTGAGGGCTGGAGAAAACCAGTCTTTCTGCCTGGGCCTCAGTTCCTCACCTGAAAAAAATCTCAGGGTTGAACTAGACAGTCTTCTAAGCCCCTTCAGCTCTAAAATACCACCCTTTATGAACTCTTATGTGAAATTTTTCTGTTCAAAAATAATATTATATATCAAACCCTAATGCTATGAAACAAAAAACTGCTTTTCTGCCAAGAGTCTTTTCAATCCTTATAATGGTGCAAGTGACTGAAATGAAGATGGTCACAGAACAGAACCAAAAATGGAGTTCATAGCAACCAGAATGGAAGTCAGCTTTCCCAGCAGCTTCCGGCAGAGCCCTGCAAGCACCATGGGAAGCCTGGAATTCATTGGAAAGGACAGGAAGCTCTGTAGAAAACTTTTCATTTTCAATAAATGCATTTCCAATTTCATCATGTTTTCCAGATGCTAAGGCACAGAATATAATGCCCCATTGCCTTGGACTCTGAGTTTGGCGTCCAGTCTGTCAGACTATGTTAACTCACCCATATATGTAAACACATTAACAAGCACCGTTTGCATAGCATTTTACAGTTTACAGAGCAGCTCCAGATGCATTACATCATTTCATCCTCCCAACCTCTGAGGTTGCAATCATCTGTTTCCTCAGAAAAAACAGTCTGAGAGAAGTGGAGGTTTTCCTCCAGACCATCCAGCCCTAGCTTCTCTGGCTTCCAAATTTGTCCTCTTTCCCATCACCAAGAACCAAAGTCCTGGGTAATGCCGGAGCCACGCTGTGAGCACCAGCCTTTGGGCCAGGGGCCGATTATCCCACATTTGCAGAACAGGCTGGAGAAGATTCAGATCTTCTCAGCTCATTTCTCCAGATAGAAACATGTTGCTGAGAGCTGGCTCCAAACCCTTCTCTCCCGCTTCCATTCCCTCCTTTGCCCTGAGGCAGATGGCTTGGCTTGGAGAGGCTCTCTGGTGTTAGACGCAGCAAGTTTTTCTTTCCCACACCCCATATATGATGGCTCTTTTGAAAATATCTTTCCTCCCCTCCCTCCAGCTGCTTGTGAGGGTGCAGGGCTTTAACTCAAGCAGACTTGGGGATGGATGGGACTCCTTCAGGTTTCACTGTTGACTGGCCTTGAAGAGCTTTGTGGCTTGGCCCCCACTTGCTCTCCTCTCTGCCAAGGCGTTGTGGTTCCCTCCCACTCTTGCACCTTCATGTGGCCCCCACTCTGCCCTGGTGTGCTGGAGGTCATCTTCCCTCCCTTCATGAGCCATTTTCAGCTCATTTTTTGGGCATATTGTCTCTTCATTTGCAAGAAAAAATACAAAGTAGTCTCTGTGAGTGTGATGATTCTGAGTCATTGCATACTGTCATCATTCTAGAACAAAAAGATGTCAAAAGGTGAGTGGATTGATTTCATCTGCAAGGGAATAGGCCTTCTCTTCTTTGTTTTATTCTCTTCTTTGTTTTACCCTTGATGACTCATTCAACCTGAATCAAAGCTGAGTAGTCTTGGCCTTCAAATAGGAGGCTGGGGTGGTGGGGAGCAGAGCAGAGGCACCACCTAAACTGGGGCCATAGGCCTGAACCTTAGGAGCCATGTTCTTATGGCATGGAGCCTGCAGAAGGGGCTGAGAAAATAGAGAGGTAGCATGCAGAGCCCTTGCTCACGTTTGGACCTCGGTTTTCCCATCTATAAAAAACTTAAGGCCAGGCACAGTGGCTCATGCCTGTAATCCCAGCACTTTGGGAGGCTGAGGTGGGGGGATCACTTGAGGTCAGGAGTTCAAGACCAGCCTGGCCAACATGGTGAAATCCCATCTCTACTAAAAATACAAAAATTAGCTGGGCATGGTGGCGGGCATCTATAATCCCAGCTACTCAGGAGGCTGAGGCAGGAGAATCACTTGAACCTGGGAGGCGGAGGTTGCAGTGAGCTGAGATCATACCACTGCAGTCCAGCCTGGGCGACAGAGTGAGACTCTATCTCAAAACAAACAAAAAACCTCAAAAGGATCACACAAGAGCAGGTTGGGAAAGGGCTGGGGTGCGTGGTCTCAGTGTAAATATTTCCCTGACTGACTGTGCTTTCCTACCTTGGAATTGGAACCTTGATTCAAGAAAGGTTCAACGCTCACCTGGCTTAGGAACCTGGAGAGATGGAGAGAACAGGCTTTGCTGTCAGACAGACTTAGGTTTGGATACTCCCTCTCCTCCTTCCTCGCTGTGTGACCCTAGAATAATTACCCAACGTCTCTGAGTCTCGGTTTTGAGAGGGTGAGTAATTATTCTAGGGTCACACAGCCAGGAGGGAGCAGAGGGAATATCCAAACCTAAGTCTTCCACGGCCTTGGATTCATGTAGTCTCCCTGATGGGTTTGCTGGCCTCACTCACCAGTGCGGCCTATGAGGCAGGACTCTGCAGGAGCCTAGAAGTAGTGAAGCAACACCCTGGGACAGCAGCTTTCAACATGGGGACTAGACCACAGCAGGAGGCCTATGAGAATAAAAGTATTGATTTTGGGAAAGAGGGACTTTTTGCCTTTATCATGGTGGAAGCCAGTATCTGTGGAGTCTCAGGCATGTTGGGCTTTTAGTGGTCCACAGACCCCCTGAGGTTCCTACATAGGTGGCCCGGGGGTCCATGAAAAGCTCTGTGCCATTCTGGGAGAGTGATGAGATTCATCTCTGTAGTCCCTCCTTTCAATAAGAGTTTTAGTAACACCCCCTGGAGAATCAGTTCTTTGGGACTCTCCCAAGAAAACCATGACCAAATCATGCTAAACAAATCACACACTGTTCTGCCTTAGAACTCTAACTTGCATCATTGTTTAGCCTGGAATGTCCTCTCTACCCACCAAAATCCTACCCATGTCGGAGACCCAGCTCCAATTCTAACTCTTCTAGAAAGTCCTTCAAAATCTCTCTAGCCCATTGCAATTTTTCCTTGCTCAAAACACATGGTCATGCCACCATTTTCTTCCTGGAGAATGGCTATTGCTTTTGTTTGTCAGCCTCTGTCTTTGTTTCTTCATAAGTGTTGGTTTCCTCCATTTTCCTCATTTCCTACTTCCGACCCAGTCTCCAAACCTGTTGGTTGTACCTCTTAAAGATGTCTCAAATTCCTCAACCTCTCTGCACCTCTCTGGGCTGTTTCCTGGTTCAAGCCACTGTCCCTGGCAACAGCTCCTAATTGACCTCTCTGAATCCGATCCTGCTTGCTTTCATCCACTCTCTACCCCGAGGCCAGAGGACTCTAACATACAAATCTGCTGCTTCAAGCCCTTTATCTCACTGGCCTTGAGATAACACAGAAACTCTCCAACAGGCCTTTCAAAGTCCTTCACTTACGGGCCCCTGCCTACCTTGCTGGTTGTGTTTCTCAACACTCCCCACCTTCACCACCACCGTCACCCAGGCCTGCTGCAGTCCGGTCAGAAGGTTATGCGTGCTTCTGCACATTCTCTCCATGGGGAGTACACTTCCGTCCCAACTGCCAGACCCCTCATGGTGCATGCTTAGCTCACACATACTCAGTCTTCGGGTTTCCACTGTAATGATATCTCACCCACTCAGCCTTGCCCACCCTACCCCAGTCTACACCCAGAGTACCCCCTCCCCTCCCCATCACTGCAATCTTCATTTCATTTTGTAGTTGCTTGTTTACTTGCCTCTGTCCTTCACTAGACTACAAGCAATTTTAGAGCAAGAACCATATCTGCACAGTTTACTGTTGTATACCCAGTTATATGGTTCTTGCTCTAAACCCAGTGCCAGGCTCAGTGTCTGCTGTTGGTAGAGGCTCAAGAAATAATTCTTGAATAAATGAATGAAAAGTAGAATGAACCTATACATCCAGGCCCTCAAGGGCAGTGACTATTCCTCATGCTTCCCTGGATCTCCCTTCAGTGCCTAATTCAGGGCCCTGCAGATTCTGGGTGCCAAGGAAAGGAAGTGATTGTTTGCTCTTAGCAAAAAGGCCTCGTTATTTTAATAGCACGCTCCTCTATTTCTTCATGTTTCCCTCTCTTCAGATGGAAACTTGAACTACGTGCTGGCAAGAATGTGGCTGACAACACGGTGACCTGGATCTGCCTCCAGGGGTGCTGGCAGAGCAGGGCTCTCACGCAGGGTTAGGAGATGCACAGAATTCAAGGCTTCCGAGTGACAGTTAGCAGAACCTGAATGGGCTGCTCATCAAGGAAAAAGCCCTGATGGAGTCCAGGAACTCAAGTCCCAGTTCTGGTTCCTTCGCCATTCAGCTGTGCCATCATGGGCACATCACTTAGCCTCACTGGAGTTCAGTTTCCTCAGTAGTAAAATGTGGTAAGGTAAGGGGAAGGACTAATAATTTATCTTCACTTACAACTCTGAGTTATTATTCTATGAAAAAAATATGTTGGCTGGGCATGTTGGCTCATGTCTCTAATCCCAGCACTTTGGGAGTTTGAGACAGGAGGATTGCTTGAGCCAGGAGTTCAAGACCAGCCTGGGCAACATAGCGAGATCCTGTCTCTACAAAAAATAAAAAAGAAAAAACATGTCATCATATTTCCACTAGAGGTGAAGAAAAATTGGGCTGTTTTCAACCTAAAAGTCAGGACAATTAACTTATCTAAAATGAGTTAAGTGTTTTGTAATAATAATCTCATATATTAGATAGGGCTTTAAACTTCTTAGTGAGTTTTTATATTTTTGGTTCTTTCAGTAGCTGTGGCAGAGGCACTGTATGGGTTGTGAATATCTGTTCTCCCAGTCTCCCCTATCAATTTTATTAGAAATGGCAATATGGCCAGGTATGGTGGCTCACCCCTGTAATCCCAACTCTTTGGAAGGCCGAAGTGGGTGCATTGCTTGAGCCCAGGAGTTGGAGAGCAGCCTGGGCAACATGGGGAGACCTCTGTCTCTTAAAAAAAAAAAAAGGAAGAAAGAAAAGAAAGAAAGAAGGAATGGCAATATGTGCAGTTAAAAACTATATTCCCCAGCCTCTCTTGCAGCTGGATATGACCATGTGACTAAGTTCTAGCCAAAAAGCTATAAGCAAAAGTGTCATGTGCAGCATTTAGGAAGCCTCCCTTAAGGAAGAGAATGCATGCTTTGCCCTTTTCATCCTTTGCTGGCTAAATGAGAATAAGATGTCTGAAACCCAGGCAGCCATATGGGACTATGAGGTAGGGTGCCAAGAGTGCTGGTGTGGCAAGACAGAGGGAGCATGGGTCCCCAACACAAGGAGCCACCTTCCCAGTCCTGGGCTACCCTCCTTTTAGGATTCTTTTGGCATAAGGGAAAAATCACTTCTTTTTTTTTTTTTTTTTGACAGAGTCTCACTCTATCGCCCAGGCTAGAGTGCAATAGCACATTCTCAGCTCACTGCAAGCTCTGCCTCCCAGGTTCACGCCATTCTCCTGTCTCAGCCTCCCGAGTAGCTGGGACTACAGGCCTCCACCACCATGCCTGGCTAATTATTATTTTTTTTGTATTTTTAGTAGAGACAGGGTTTCACCATGTTAGCCAGGATGGTCTTGATCTCCTGACCTCGTGATCGGCCTGCCTTGGCCTCCCAAAGTGCTGGGATTACAGGCGTGAGCCACTGCGCCCGGCAAGAGAAAAATCACTTCTAACTTGCTAAATAAATATTATTTTTGTTTTCCTGCCCCAAACCTAATCCTAACTGAGAAAACAATGATCTGCTTTATGCAAGCCCCTGTGCAAGATGCTGCAGGGGATGCAAAGGTATATGGGCTTTAGATACACAGAGATTTGGGCAAGAACATTCACCCCCACACAGAATGCAAGAACATTCTGTCTAGGGGTGAAAGAAAGGCCCAGAAGAGTTTGATATGGCAGAACCATGTGGGCATGAAGAGGACTCATGGGAGCTGTGGTGAGGGAATATGATGGAAGGTTCTTGAATGCCAGGCTAATGAGGCTGGAGTTCATCCTGTGACAGAGCAGATAATCTTGTTCCAATGTACAAATGAAGAAGCCCAGACCTCAATAGGTTGAAGGACTTGTCCAAGGTCACCCAGCCAGGGAGTGGCAGAGCCCATCTCAATTCTCCTGACACTTGGTCCAGTGCTATCCTTCAATTCTGTGCTCTTTGAGAGAATCTGGGGCAGACGGAGTATAAAGATTTCACACTTTGACACAGCCAGGGAACACGACTGTATCTCCCCACCCCCATCACACCCCAACATGTTCAAGAGGGGGCTTTGGGTGTTGCTAGAAGTGTAGGATCTGGACCTATCCTTAACTCAGAGCACTCTCCCTGGGCCTCCTGTGTAGCTCCCCTCACAAGGCTGTCACAGCTGGGGTGCTATCCCACTGTGTAGTAAGTACCAATGTGTCTAGCACAGTGCTCGGTGCTTTATGTACATGATCTAATTTACTGCCCTCAACAGTCTAAAAATGTAAAAAAAAAAATTTACAGGTGAATATGAAGAAACTGAGGATCTAAGAAATGAAGCCACTTAATTAAAGCCACTCAGTTGATAGCAAAGTGGAGATGCAAAGCCATGTTTGTTCAGCTCCAAAGATAAGTTCCAACAACCACATTCTAACATCTTCCTGATCCCTGCCAAAGCACAGAACAGTCTCTTGTCCCTACTCAGACTCCAAGGACTTACCTGGTTTGATGGGCTGACCAGTGCCAGGGACCTCCTGTCAGGCTCCAGTTGGTCACGTTCTACTTGGAGCCAGGAGCCAGTTTCCCATCACATCACTCATGCCCCGCCCATGACCCCACATGGGTCAGGGATCTCCTGGAGAGGGGGCAGGCCTCTGCCTTCTGTGACCTCAATCTTCCTGGGACTCTTAGTCTTGGTTGGTCATGGGGCAGGGGTGTCAGAGTTTTCCCAATCTAGTTTCTAGATTTCACAGATTCCAGAGGGCTGTTTCCTGGGATCAAGGACACTTTGTTTTTTGTGTCCTGACTGTGGCTGTCATGGTTAGAATGCATTCATTATGAATCGAGCTGACATTCTTTCAGGAAACAACTGGTCATTAGAACAGAATCTTCTCTCATTACCAGCATTTGGAAAGTTGAGTTTCATTTTGTCGGTCATTCAATGTGCATCTTTCCAATAATGTGGTATGTCCAGCATTCCAGCATGAACCACATATTTCCCCAAGCTGACCATACAGCTTTCTTCTGGAACTTTCACAGGAAACACCCTGAGATGTAGCCTGCAGAGCTGAAGACGACAGATGAACCTCAGCCCCTCTGCATTCATTGCGCAACTATGAGGGGACAAGCACTTTGCCCTCAGTTGTCGTCAGCCCACACTATTCCTGTCTGGCACAGCCTTCCTTCCCATTGGCCAAACTCTCACCATTCCTTTTCAAGCTCCGCCTAAGTGTCTCACCCCTACACCCTTTCCCTTAATCAGGCTGAAGTTGGAATGTGTTCACCCAATTTTATTACAACTAAATATATTCAGCTTAGCCTAAGCTTTAGCAGATTTTAATAGTTATTAATGGAATATTCATCTATTTCCCTATACGCACTGTAATCAACATTCCCATTCTCAAATGCACTACTTAAAGTATCTGAAGATCAGACACTTTAAGTAATTTAAATTTATGACAAAGTTTTCTGAAGATATAAGCAGATCCTGTTAGATACAGATGCACATACAATTCTTATGAACAATTTCATGCACTGTAGCATGATCAAAATATCTGACCAGAGCCTGTCACTGCACCTTGTAGACATTCTTACAAACAGCTCTTATCTAATCCTCATAACCCATCACCTGTCACCCATAAGGGACAACTAAACCATGGATCCACATGATTACTGAAGGCTTGTTTCTTCATTGGCTGCAGGAATCTCATGAAAATCATGTCTTCATATATAGCAAAACTTTGGGCTTATGCATCCTTCTAGGAAGAATAAGCAGTTAATGGGCATGAAAGGCCTTTGAACCCTATGTAGCCCTGCACGTGTGCAAGCTGCTCTTTTAAGTGGACAGCAAAAGACAGTGGCAGACGTCAGGCTGGGCTCCAGATCCAGCTCTACCTTAATAGTCAGGTGATCTCTATCAGGTCATTTGTATTCTCTGAACCTCAGGTTTCTTGTCTGCCAATGGAAATTATAATAATGCCTGCCCTGCTGTGAAGTTCAGATGAGCTCATGGATGTGAACACCTTCTGAGGGTCACAGAGCGACACTTGAATGCCAGCCATCATTTGTTCACGTATATTAACTCTTACTTTCTACAACACTAGGAGATAGATATCATCCCCTCCTTTCACAGATGTGGAGACTCCAATGAGTAGACCTTTGAGGATCTGACCTTCCAACTCAAATCTCCCCATCCAATGCTCTTCCCCTCTGTGCTCAGGCACCATCCTCGGCTCCCATCCCTGCTCACAGCTGCATCATGTGCATACTGTGAGCATCACATTGTATAGTCTTACCTTAAGTCTGGGGTCCAATCAGTTGTCAAGAGCCACACACTGGGAAGAGGGAGATCAAGGAAAACCAGCCAAGCTCCTCCCAATATGAGGATGTTTGCCAAGTTCCAGGGAGCACCTGCTACCCCCAGCCCTGGGTGAAGTAAGCACTGGAGAGAACAGACAGGATACAATGGCATTGCCCTGAGAAGGCTTTTTATCTGGCTGAGGCAAGGACTTAGAGACACAGGTAAGCAACAGTCAAGTACAAAACAGCACATGGTTAGGTGCCAGGTGAGTGAGGAGACCAGATGGACATTTCAGGTACTCCATGTAAAGACACTGGCAATTTCTGAAGCTCCTTGTGGCCCCAAGAGGCCCAAAAGCTGTCTCAATCTGGGAAGACACCAAATCTGTATGATCTCTCCTTTTTCCTTAACCCCACTTCTCAGGTCCTCCTCTCAGCCCTGTTCCTTCCTGTCCCCAAAGCTCTGCCTTATCCTCTTCCCCTCTAACCCAGTGCTGTCCAATGGAGATAGAATGTGAGCCATGTAAGTAATCTTAAATTGTGTAACACACATATTAAAAAGAGAAACAGGTGAAATTAATCTTAATATATTTAATTCAACCCAGCATATTCTAAATGAAATTATTTCATCATGTAATCAATATTTTAAAAATGATTGAGAATTGTACATTCTTCACATCAAGCTTTCAAAATCTGGTGTGTGTTTTATCCTTACAGCACATCTCAATTCAGACCAGCCACACTCCAGTGCTCGACAGCCACCTGTGGCTCACGGCCTGTACTGGACAGTGCAGCTGGAACCCAATGGGTGGGTTCTCTCCACCCTGTGCCTTCAACCCATTCCTGTCTCCCCACTCCAGCCTGCTTACTTCATCCAGGGCCTTGCTGTCTCTTGCCCACACCCAAGCTACAGCCTTTGAACTTCCCAACCACCCTGCACACTGCTGGCCAAGCCCCACATAGAAGTCATCTGTGACCCACCAGTGCCTCTCCATTGCACACATAATTCAGGCCCTTCACAATCATCACTGATGGACCCTGTGAGCACCCCTCCCCATCCACCCACCATGCCCCTAGATCCCCCATGACTGCCTACTGTTGGGGGAGCCCACCACACTTTCCTTCCCAGCCTGTGCTCACCCTGCTCCCTCTGCCACAATCCAATTTCCCTCATGATGCCCTGCCCAGTGGCCACCTTCTCCAGGAGCTCCTTCCCCATCTTTCGATTCGAAATCACTTACGCCATCCTTAGAGTCCTCAAACCAGTTCATCCACCCCCTCTGGCCCTAATTTCGTCTGCACATCTAGGGGTAGATTATCTCTGGGATCTTTAAGAAAAGACCTTCTAACTTGATCATATCTCTCTCTGTCTTGTAGATGATTTTTTAAGGTCCCACTTATGTCCCTCACTCATCTACAGGCTCCATGAAGTCAGATATCAAACATTTCCATTGCTACATTCTCCAGGCCTAATCTGCATCCTCCCAGAGTGGCTCTTCAGTGAACATCTACTGAATTGAACAGACATGCACAGAGCAGATGGACAGCACTAGGGACTTGTCCTCTGGCCCCAGAGGCCCATGAAAGAGTATCCAGGCAGGCTGGACTATGCTGGGAAGGGGGAAGGCCTGGGCCCTCATCGAAAGGGAAGGACCCCAAAAGGAAGAGAAACCCATCAACATCCTGTTAACTAAACGGAGAGAAATGCTGTTTAGGGGAAAAAAAAAAAAACATAATAAATAAAATTCCTGAGAGAAGCTGCTAAGTCAGGGAGCACCACACTCATCCCCTTCTGCAAGAGAATGAGAAGATGGAGCTACAGCTCCCGTCCCACATCAGCATCTGGTGTGGCCTTCCCGCCACGGGCCATGGGTCGGACCTGGCTCCACAGACAAAGGGGCTGCTTAGGCTGGGCTTGAAATAGGCTGAGTGAAAACCTGCGAGCCCCTGGCTGCTTCCCTGTGCATGGAAAGGAGCTGTTGGTGAGTATGGAGATCTCTGCCCTTGTCAGAGGAAGGCTTCCTCATCACAAGGCAGGGCAGGTGTCTGTGCCCAAGAGCTGAGCAGAGAACAAGCAGCCAGTGGAGGCTTTCGCCTGAACTGTGCAATCCTTACCTGATTGGGAAGTGCAAGTGACAATTAATAAATTAATAGCGAGTCACTTTATGTAAATACCTCTCTTTTTGTACACTATATTTAGAGAAACAAACTGCTTTGGCATTTAGAGATAAATTTTATGTAAGAGTTTATTGCTGCTTCTGCTGTTGTTACTGTTCATCATCCAGATAATAAAAGCAAACTAGAAATACTCAAATGCCAGTACCACCTCCAATATATAAAATATATCCTAGGCCCCTTTCAGTCATCACATTCTTAACTTTTAGGAAGAGCCCTTGTCATAATCTGATGCTTGACAAAATGTTTTCCATCCTTGCATCACCCCCACCCCCGCTTCCCCACTAGGATTTTGCAAGTGCATTTAACTGTAACAATCTTGAGGGAACACTAACTCACTGGGTGGCATTGGGCCAGCCTCTACTGTGCTGGGTCTCACCAGCTGGATTCAGCACCTCTCAGTTTCTCTCCCATTGTGGAGACTTTTTCAGCTCCATGAGTCCATAACCTGTGATCCCATTAGGAAACAATGCAGTTGCTAGAATTTCATGTCTGTAGGGAACACATCCACTTCTGGCTGAACTGTCCCTAAAATGCTGCTAACACAGAGCTTCCAAACTTTCAAGCCTCAATAATGGCTCCAAGGAATTCAGTGTTTTCTTCTGCACCAAATGAATGCTGGAGCTACAGGAAGGGCCCTGGACAAGCCTTAGTTGGCTTGGTTTAAAGAAGGAACTTGACCTACTGCCTTCTTCCTGTTTTCCCTTGCAGTGGCCTCCAGGGCCACTGTCTCTGGGCCTCTCCCCAAACCCCTACCACTATGTTATCACCACCCTGAGAGTCCAGGCCCTTGGGTGGCCCACAATTGCTCACCATGCCTGGCCTTTCTCCAGCCCTCTCTCTCCTTGCCTGCTGAGAAGCTCCTTCTTATAGGAAGCTGCTCTCAGGTAGGGAGTAGCCACACTCAGGCATAATACTTCCTAAAGAATTTAAGTGCAGATGTCCTATAGAAGGAAAAAATCAACTAAGCTTCCGAAGAAAGTAAAGTAAATAGTAGAACTTGTGGGATCAATGATAAACGGAGATGGAACTGTTTTATGGCATGAAAACCTTCCAGCACAAAATTTTTGGATTTGGATGTGTCTCTACTTTTTTTTTTTTTTCCAACCATGTGGTCTTGGGAAATTTATTTAACCACTGTGAAATTCAGTGTCTATGCCTATAAAATGGCTATGGAGTCACTGATCTACCCCCACAAGATAACATGAAAGTGCTTGCAAACTGTAAAGCTCAGCACAGACCTCAATGTCCATGCCCTGCCCCCAGCACCCTGCCTCCTCCTCTGCCAGGGTGTCATCTTCATCTCAGCCCTGACACTCAGAGCCCTGGAAAGAAGAGGGAGGGATGTACACCGGCGCTTTCCCTTCCAGCCTTCCCATACTGCATCCCCTCCCCACCTCCCAACTCACCACAGGGATTTCCAAATGTTGCTTTGTGTGTGCGGATTTTTCCCCCCAAGAACACTCCAAATTTCTGGAATCCACAGGCTGAATTTCACCACAGGGTTTCTGACACCGCCTATGAAAGGACAACGGGACTCTGTGCCAGGGCGGAAGGGAGGAGGGTCTGTGTGGAGTTTTCTACGTCATGGTTAAAATCAGGGGACCTGGGGATCTTGCTTTTTTTCCCTCCCTATCCAAAAACATGTCCCTTCTGACAATATTCACAGAATCTCTCAGCTCCCCCTACCCAAAGACTGGGCAGTGTGATGACAGGCTTGGTCCAATTTTACAATCAAGCAGCACTTGGAATGGGGCTATTCCCACACATGAAGGCCAGTCAGAAGACACCCCACCAGCCCCAAAAAGAGTGGACACACTAATTTATGTAAAGGTAGACATTTCTGGTCATTGCCAAAGATGAATATTTTATAAAGGCATAACTTCTTGGGAATTATTCTAGTTATTTCTAGGTACCATTAGCCTCATATAATAACAATTTGTTCCCAAATAAGTTTAGGAATTTTTCCAAAGATGCTAACATAGAAATAAGAGTGAATAAAACAAAGCCGATTTATAGGCTACCAGAACATTGTAAAGAGAGGGGCCATCACACTGATTGAGCCCCACTCTGATGAATTAAGTAATGTACCCTGTGTGACAACATAACAGACCAATGAGGTTAGAACCAGTTCTTCTAATCCAGGCCAGCTCCTGGCTGGTTGAGAATGAAATGGCAATAAAATAATATAAACTAAAACATAATTATTAGCCAAAAATAAAAGGCAACTTTAAAACTGGTTAAAAACGAAATGTCTACTTAAATCCAACTAGCAAACAAACACATAGAAATTAAAATTGAGAAAAAGCAATGGAAGATGCAAATTTTAGACAGGTAGAGTAAATGTTAACAGGAAATCCTTTAAGTTGTCCACTGATCTAGAATTTTTATTATCAGTTCTAGGGACCCTAGGGGTTATAATTCTGAGGTGGAAGTGATTTTATGTTGGGAAAACAAAAGTCAGAGGCAAAACAATAACAAAATTCTGGGGTGTGTTACAAATTAAAGTCAGAAGTAGATCTGTAACCTCATTTTTGGTGAAAATGAGAAAGCAGGATAAATAAAGAAAATACTTCCTTTCCCCTCCTCACAAAGGGAACAAAATACCAGTTACAAGAAAAACAAAATAATTAAGAGAATTCCTGAACCAGGTAAAATTTCCAAGTTTAGGGCACACGGTTATGTGCCTGTAGTCCCAGCTGCTTGGGAGGCCAGAAGATTGCTTGAGCCCAGGAGGCTGAGGCCAGCTTGGGCAAGAAGCAAGAGACCCTATCTCAAAAAACATTCCCTGTTTGCCTAGGGTCAGTGTCCAAGCCAAGTTGCTACAGGGTGAAGCCCTTATAGTGGATCTGAATGGCAAGCTGAAGACAGATGTCCTGTGGGTGTTCTTCACTGGCAGGGTGTAGGAGTGGTGAGGACTGAGGAGTCTGGGAAGAAAGATCCCATTGTAAGGACTTGCAGCCCATAGATATTCGCCTCCCCTGCCACCCACTTTTTCTGCTCTAGCCTCTTGGGCTAGCAGAGTATGACACTAACCATGAGGATTGAGCTTCATACTTATCCAACAAGTACAGATGCTCCTCAACTTACCATGGTGCTACATCTCTATATGCCCATTGTACGCTGGAAATATTGAAAAGTTGAAAGTGCAGGCCAGGCGCCATGGCTCATGCCTGTAATCCCAGCACTTTGGGAGGCCGAGGTGGGCGGATCACGAGGTCAGTAGATCAAGACCATCCTGGCTAACACGGTGAAACCCCGTCTCTACTAAAAATACAAAAATTAGCTGGGCGTGGTGGCACATGCCTGTAATCCCAGCTACTTGGGAGACTGAGGCAAGAGAATCGCTTGAACCCAGGAGTCAGAGGTTGCAGTGAGCCAAGATGGCGCCACTGCACTCCAGCCTGGTGACAGAGTGAGACTCCGTCTCAAAAAAAAAAAAAAAAAAAAAAAAAAAAGGGCATTGAGTCCACCTAACCTACCAAATATCATAGCTTAGCCCAGCCTACCTTAAATGTGCTCAGAACACTTACATTAGCGTACAATTAGGCAAAATCAAAGCCCATTTTATAATAAAGTGTTGAATAGCTCTTGTTATTTATTGAATATTGTACTGAAAGTGAGAAACAGAATGGTTGTATGGGTACTTGAAGTACAGTTTCTACTGAAAGTGAACTTCACACCATTATAAAACTGAAAAATCATAAGTTGAATCATTATAAGTCAGAGGTGTCTATAATTAAGATAATTCCTGAGTCCTCCCCAAATGTTCCCAGTTTGATTAGGGTAGGTGTCCAAACCAGATTGCCACAGAGTAAAGATTTTTCTTACTGAGCACTGTCAGCTTAATGCACAGTTTACCCCTGGACCTCCCAAGGCCCAGCTTCCAAGTGGCCAGAGGCGAAGCTCTTCTAGAAAAAGAAAGGAAGAAAATTGCATGGGCTGCCTCAGATGTCCAGAACTCCAGAACAATGAAAATGAGACTGAAATGAAACTCACAGTAACCCAACACAGATCTTACAGTTAAAGAATTCTTGCTGTAGAATTTTCAACTACGATAAAGTTGAGAATGTGGCTCAACTTTAAGCATTATAGTAGTAAATCCCAGGGATCTAGACTTTCAATTTTCTTTATCAGATTTGTCCAAAATCATGCTAAGTACCTAAAGAAAAGAACAATGTGTATATGACATAGTGGTGTCCTTGAAACTAAAAAATTACAAGTTATGGAATAGAATGGAGTTGTATAACAGAAAATGTTCTTTTTTAAATTCATTGGCCAGTAACATAGAATTTTGAACCTGGAAGAAACCTTAATATGAGACCCAGGTTTAGGATAATGATACCATCTAACAAAATGAGACACAGGGCTTTGGAAGGGGCCAGGGCAATGAGAGACCTGAAAGTACAAGTGTTTTTAACTTCGTGGTGTATCTACTATAAACACATCACTGTGTAATTCCTCTGAATCGTTGTTTACTGCATTTCATTGAACCATAGGCTTTTAAACCTGGAAATATGAACTAGCTTGCCCATGACCATACAGGTAGTTGTGGGGAAAGTCTGGGGTCAAGCTCAGTCTTTTGAATCCAAACCCAGAACTGTTTTCCCTACTCCCACTACATTTCCAATGACTCTGCATGCACCACTAATCATCCAAAAGCAGCTCGTATTTTTGGTTTCGGGTAGTCAGGTCTTAATTATCTAGCATCTTGAAAGAATAAACATGAGTAACATTTAGAAGTAAAGTCACCTAGGACTTAGTCCAGCCCTAAGGCCAATGGGTGATCCATGGTGCCATATGCCAGGCTTGTTACTGCCCAGATCTCTCCTGTTTGTGTTCATCACTGCTCTCCATTTCTTTCAGAATCAAGCGCCAGGGCTAATTAAACTCCTGAGTAAAGCCAAGGCACCATTAGGGGCTCAGTTGGTGAGCTGGCTGGTAGAAAACACAAAGCAGTCTCCTGTGTTTGATTTCCACAGACACTGGGATTAAATGAGTAGAGCCATCTAATGTTCTCACCCCCCAAATCATGCATGCATGCATTCACTCATCCATCCATTCACTAATTCATTTGACATTGTTCTTTTTTTTTTTTTTCCTTTGAGGCAGAATCTTGCTCTGTCATATAGTGGCATGATCTCAGCTCACTGCAACCTCTGCCTCCGGGGTTCAAGCGATTCTCAAGGATCCAGTGTCTTCAGGATCCAGGGTCCACAGGTCCCTTGGGGCCAGGCTCAGCCCAACAGACAGATGCGTGTTCTTCACAGGCACTAGTTCAGTTGAAATAGTGGCTCTCTGCCACATCAGACTCAGTGTCCCTTCTTATAACACAAGACTCCGTCTCAGAAAAAACAAACAAATGAAAACAAACCAACAACACATAACTTGTAACTCTCCTTTTGTTATGCTCAAATGAAACCCATAGATAATATATCTACCTACACATAAAATTTCCTCCCAAAATTCATAATATAAAAAAAAAATGGAATACACTCACTGGGTTATAATCAAGAAAGAAAGAAAAGCAATTTTATAGAAAAATAAGTATTTCAGTATCTAAAAAATCTTGTACATGACTACACTGGAAATCCTACTAAGTAGTTAGATGTCTGCACCTATGTGTAGAGTCGCCATGAATGCAATAGATTTAAATGCACACAGAGTCACATGTGTTTTTAGTATGGCTCAAACACTGTGATTACCATTGCCATTTGTAACATGATTTTCCAAAATGGTGAACAATCTTCATAAAGTCCTGAACAAATATGTACCATCTTCACTCTATGCTGCATTCCTGAAAAATTCAGTGTATTTTAAAACTGCAAAAAATAAATCCTGTGTGTTTATATATAAAATGGGGTTGGATGCTAGATCCACCTATGTATAAACAAGTTTTCATGGACATAAACATTGAGCAGGACATTTGAAAGTGATGAGGGACAGTCACTTGTGATGTGGATGGTCCTGACCACTGCAGAGCATCTGACATCCCCCCCTACCCATCCACTAAATGTCAATGGCATCCCACATTCACCGTCGTAACAAACTGTGATAGTAACAAATGCCTCCACAAATTTCCAAAGATAGCTCTAATGGGTGGAACCACCCTCACTGGGAATCCTGAGTTACAGGGCAGGGGTGTGTGTGTGTGTGTGTGTGTGTGTGTGTGTGTGTGTACATGTGTGTGTACGTTAAGTGTGACTTCCAACAGCTGGAGTTGAGAGTCATCTGATCCCCCTATTGCTCCCTGTGATGGTTAATTTTATGTGTCAACTTGACTGGGTCATAGGGTGCCCAGATATTTGGTCAAACATTTTTCTGGGTGTGTTGGGGAGGGTGTTTCTGGATGTGATTCACATCTAAATGGAATGAGTTGGAGTAAAGCAGATTGCCCTCACCAATGCAAGTGGCCTCAAAAAATCAGCTGAAGGCCTGAATAGAGCAAAAAGTTTACTGTCCCACAAGTAAGAGAATTGCTGCTGCCTGACTGGCTTCAAGCTAGGATGCTGGCTTCTTCCTGCCTTCAGATACAAACTGAAACATTGGCTCTTCCTGGGTTGTGAGCTTGCTGGTCCTCAGACCAGGCCTACACTCTCGTAGGTCTCCAGCTTGCCAACTTACCCTGCAGACTTTGGGATTTGTCAGCCTACATAATTGCATGAGCCAATTCCTTATAATAAATCTCTTTCTGTATACAACCTATTGGTTCTGCTTCTCTGAAAAACCCCGACTAATACACTCCCACACAAGTCTGAGCCATGTTCTTGCCCTGGCCTGCCTCCTCCCTTCTCGTCACTGACTCTGGGATGCCGAGCTCTTGGCCACAACAGCCCTTGGTTCACACTGAGATGGTCTGGAGCACTCTAACAGGAGGCTACTGCTTCACACATAGGGCCCCACTCCAGACTCAGCAGGAGCCAGGCAATGGCAAACCAGAGGGGCAGGAGACACTAAAAAGGCACCCTCTGAGAGCTGACTGCCCCCAGGATTTCCACCCCTTTTCAGTGTCTATTTGGATAGTAAGGCTAGGGGCCTTTTGAGAAACAGCAGAAGACATGGGTATTAGTAGTGCCCCCCAAGAGGTATAATGGGAAGGCCAGCAAGGCCAGGGCCACTGATGGAGGGAAATTTTACAAGGTAAACATGTATAGAGAACTCCCTTCAAATACCACCGGGGATGAAGAAAGTTTCCCAGTGGAGAACCATCTGTCAGTGGGCAGAGGGTGCTGCTGGTATGAAACTGATCACTCCTCTTCAGCGAGTGAATCCTGTGGTCAGGAAGCAAGATCTCAGAAAGAAATTGTAAGGGCACTGCCCTCTATCACACTTTCACTCATTCAAAAATGTATTGAACATCTACTACATGCCAGGTATGCATGAGGTTCTGGGAGTATTAGATGAGCAAGATACAGGAGTATTCCCAAGGAGTTCACAGCCTAACAGGGAGACAGACAGGGAGCGACAGGCCATTGTGAAATGACCAGATATACACCAGGATGGGTAAATACAATTACAGTGGGAGCACACAGTCGGAGCAGCTAGCCCTCCCTGGGATGTGGGGCTGGAGGGCTCCCCAGAAGGGACATCAGATGTGTGTTTTAAAGAATAAAGTCAGCCAGTCAGAGAAGGGGAGAAGAGGAAAACAGGCAGAGAAATGAGCATGATAGTGGCAAGGAGCAGGGAGGGAGCAGGCACCTCCCGGAAGCTGGAAGAAGGAACGTGAGGCACAAGGGCGGAATGGTGAGAAACAGGGCAGAGAGAGAGTAGGCAGGGGTGGGGTTGTGGAGAGCCCTGTGTATGAACATATCACATGGACCGAAGAATCGAGTCTGGGCTCACAAACTAGCAGACTGGGAGTAGAAGGTGCACTTGGAGAAGTGGCACAGCGACATCGTTGAGGTGTGTTGTGGACCCAAACTAAGGTGCAGGACAGAAAGGAAGAGGAGGAGAGAAGGGGCATAAGAAATGTCAAGTGAGGAAAGGATTTATACACATACACCTGTAAACATGCACAACTGATCAGTAAAATATGAAAAAATCTTGCTATCATTAATAAAGTGATAAAAAATAAAATGATATGGTACCTTCTTCTGTCGTACATGGAGTTACACCACTGGTACTTGGCCCTTTGAGTCTAGAGCTCCAAAGAGAGCCCTGGGCAACAGGCAGGGTTTGGGTATGTGGTGGTCAGAGGCCTCGGCAGTGGATAAAATCACCAAGGAAGAGTCAACAGAGTGAGGATGTAGGGCACAACCCTGGAGAACACTAGCAGTTGGGTGCACAGAAGTTGAAGAACAGTTCAAGGAGGCTGAGAAGGAACAGTCGGAGAAGTAGGAGGAAAACCAAGAGAAAGTAGTGTCATGGAAGCTCAGAGAGGAAGGAATGTCAAGGAGGAGGAAGTGATGAAGAGCTTTGAAAGTTGCAGAGACTTCAAGTAAGATTGACCTTTAGACTGAAAAGTTTTCATTGTATTTTGCAAATAAGTCATCAGCGACCTTGGCAGGATGGGTTCAATGTTTGGTGGGAGAAGAAGCTACATGGCCGTGACGTGGCGAATGAATGAGGGATGAGGAAGCGCAGATGAGGAGTATAGCCACATTAAAGATGGCTGGTTGACTTTGGGAAGAATAAGGTTGTTTTGGAGTTGTAAGGAGACCCCCAGAATTGAGTTCCTGTTTTCTCCACCACAATTCTAAACCAATCGGGTGGTAGGATGAGAGCAAGGCAGATGGAGATCAAAACGTCAGCTTTATTAGGGATAAAGCTGACATTGGAAATGGTAACATTAAATGTTCAGCAACATTTTTTCCAAATGAGAAAGACAGACCCACTCATCACAGGCAGCACTGAACACCCGAGGCCTTCCTGCAGAGAGGCTGCCCCTGGAGAGCTGGAGCCACGTGAGAGTAGACTAGAATGAGAGCTTGCTGATAAGGCTGGCTACGAAAAGGAAAGAGGAGAGGTGAAGAAGATGAGTCAGCCAAGACATTCCTCCTCTCTGGGGAGAAGAAAAGGAGAAGCGGAAAGAGGACAAGGGGCATTTTAGGGAAATCTCTCCTCATGGAAATAAGGAATGGGGGCAAACCTGTAAATACTGACCCAGAAGGAGATAAGTATAGTTAGCATCTTTTTTTGCATCTTTGCAAGAGCATATGTATTTGTATGACCCAGAATGGTTATTTATGTGGTAGGACTGGATAGAATGGGGGCGAGTTCAGGGGGGCGCGACTTCTTGCTCTCTGTAAAGAAGAAAGGTACTGAAATCACACATGGCTTTACTATTTTTCACATTTGATTTTTAACACATACTGGTTAGTGACTTTTTGCAAATTATTATCATTACATAGCAACTCTATCTTATTCAGTGCTCTTTACATTTCATTTTGCTGGGTATTAACAGAGTAATTCTTTCCTGCTTTGTTATTTGCATTTGCCTGGTATTTTTTCTTGACTTTTTATTCTCAATTTTTATCACATTTGTTAAATGTGTTTATTTCTTGTATGTGTGTGTATATATATATATATACACACATACACACACACACATACATATATATATACAAGAAAGCATATAACTGTCTGCTTTTTATTTTACCAAATCTAATAGTCTCTTTTAAGAATAATTCTATTCACATTTAATAATACATTGAATTTTATTGCTTCTATTTTACTTAATATTTATTACTTATTTAAGCCCCCTTGATGTTCTTTATATTAATTAGTTATCAAGTTTCTGTTCAATTATTTTCTTTCTCTTCTTAATTTGGGAGCTCTAGTCTAGTTTTTCATTCTACCAGGTCCTTCTCCTTTTTGTCACTGGTAGTCAAACTCATTCTTTTATTCCATTATACCAACATAAGAGTCCAACTATTTCCCCAGATTCTCTCCTCTCCTGCTGTTCCTCCTCCCCCAGCATGAGGCCTTTAGGACGCTTTCACTTCCCACTCTCACACACCAATGTGAGACCTGTGGAAACTTCACTTCCCCTCTTTCTCCTTTAGAACTTTTTGTTCCAGGCTATTGTTAACATTTCCCTTGAAATATGTCTCTTCTATTTTCAGCAATTATATTACACATTCCTGAACTGTCTATTATTATCTGTCTGAATTTAACTGACGATGTGTTGTAAGGCTCCTTGCTCACCACTAATTTTTTTCTCCCTTTTCCTCCTCTTTCCATCCTGTAGCCTTTAAGCTGATTCATCTATTGTTTGGTTAGATCTTAACACCCTTTTATCTGGTGGAAGATATGGGTGACAGGTCTTTTCCTTGCATATTCTCAACTATGTTTCCTTGACCCTGACAGAGGAGTGGGGTCTTGCTACAGGATTCTTGGTGTGCAGTGTTTTTCTCTCAGTAATCTTCACACGATTGGCCTCAATCATCCCTACTTCAGGTGTCATAGAAGAGAAAGTTGATGCCCCCATGATCCTTCTTCCCCTATAAGTCACTTGTACTTTCTTTCTGGAAGACTGTAAGATTTTCTTTTCATCCTTAGACTTCTGGAATTTCTCAACCTATGAATCATTTGTCTTGCCCATAACTTGCCAAAACCTTCCAATAGGCAGACTCAGGCCCTTTCTTAACTTGGGAAATTTACTTCCTATTAACTACTACTTTTCTTTCCTTCAGCTACTGAATTTGTCTGCAGATCTTGTCATTTGGTTCCAGAAAGTCTTTTTGTGCTCTACTGGAATGTTTATGTCCTAACGTTAATATTTTAAATGTATTACTGTTCCCTAGTGGCTTGGTTTCATGTGAGCCTCTTCTAAGAGCATTGCTGTGCCCCCTAAGTATAAGGGTAATGTTTTCTTTTGTCTGCTCTCTGGGCTCAGGGCCAGCAGCTGAGGTGCCTTCTCAGAAGGGACAAAAATGGTGGTTCTCAATCCCCTATCAAGTCACTGGCGGGGAGACTCTCATTTTCCTGTTTTCTCACATCTCCCAGGCTCAGGAGTAGAGATAGACTCAGCACACCTGTACAACTCCCTTACCTCATCCAGCCAGATCCATCTGCCAGGATACTCACTGATGCCCAGATACTGGTGCCCTCTTATGATTACAGAATCGGGGGTGGTTTGGAGACCATGTGTTTACTCATACAGCTTTAAGAAAGTAGCACATGTTTAGGGTCCACAGTTTGACCTAAAAAGTCACATTTTCTAGAACTCAGCACTTTCTTGTTTCATTTGGAAAGGTGGTTTTAAAGGCTGAAGTTGGCCCTGGTGGAGGTCAGAGATCATACGTGGTTTCCATAGTGACAGAAGCCAGTGCAAGTCTTGGCAATAAAAGGTAAGCTTCTCTTAGCCGGGGCCACTCCTCTGGTCCCTGGCTTGAGTCTCCAGGCTCAGCAGATGGGGTGTCATCTTCTCCAGGCTTAATATTGGCAGGAATCCCTTTTGGTCACTCCCAACCAGTCTCTCTGGAGAGGTGAGGCATATCTATTCTAGCTTGTTACTCTGCCTTTGCAACCCAGGAATGAAAGGTCTTAGGCTATCAGGCCCCAAATTCACTTTTTTTTTAGGACCTATATGCACCTATTCACTGCAGAGATGACAGTTCCCCTACATGGTTTTTAGGAAATCATGTTCTTACATCATTGATCTCTTAAAATCCTCCTTAATCTGCTAGACCAGGCTTGGCTTTCTTTCCTGACTAGCTTACACATTCTAGCATTCAGTGTCTGCTCCAGGTTTGTTTTTAAGCCTTGGAGCCAAGTGCCAGTCTGAGCTGTTTTCCACTCCATCACTTTGAATCATTTCCCTGCTCTATTGTTTCACTTCCTGTCCATCATTTTGAGCATTCCTCAGTGGCCCAAGATGGGGGCCAAAAATTTCCTACTTTTGATAAACAGGGCATGGGTGAACGTTGATGAGGTTTCAACAATGTGACCTTGGGCAGATCACTTAAACCTCCTGAGCCCTGACTTCCTCATCTGTGAAATGCTTATAAAACCTGCCCTGCCCCGTTCACAGGCTTATTATGGAACTCAAATGACATGAGAAAGCACTTTGAAAACTGAAGTGCTCTACACATGTAAGGCTTTGTTTTATCTTTCAAAAACAGTGGCTCGAGTTCCATAAGTGGAGCTTTGCAGTATTAACTTACTTCTGTGGATTTTGCAGTTTCAAATTCATGAGCCATTCTCATGATTGCACAGAATCCACTCTTAGAGCTTCCTTTACATTTTCATTGTTTCTGAAAACAATCACTTTTTCATTTATTGAAAGGCCATCACTCCAGGTGAAAAAGGAAAAGATTTCTTTCTACAGCCTGTCACGGTTACAATTTAAAGCCTACTAATGTTGGAATGGCAGATTCAGGTGGTTGATGTGGTAGATGTGGAGATGTGGGGACCTGAGGGTCCCCCTTCAAGAAAGGACTGACTGCCTGGCTGCAGAGATTAAGATTAAAGCATGCTTCAGCTGCAGAGAGCCACCTGGCCCCAGGTCATACCTTCCCAGGGCATCCCACATCTGTCCTGTGACTGAGTGAGGTAGGTAAAAGCCCAGTCACTCTGGCCTGACACAGGACACTCTGATGAGCAATACACAATCCAGAGCTTCCCAGTGGGTTGGCTGAGGCTTTGCAGGGTTGGACTGTGCTGGATTTCTCCCTCTGCCCAATCCTGCTTCTCCTTCTTTCCTTCATAGGTGCTGATCCCTAATAACCATTTTGTACTCCAAATTCCATCTCAGCACTTGTTTCCAGAGAATCTGATCTGTGACAATTGGGTACACTACACTAGAAAGGTGGAGTGGGGTGGGGTGGGAGGGCATGTTTGTTGCAAAGAAGGAGAGAAAACAATGGGAAGTGGGGATTTGAAATGGCATCACCTTCACAACCACAGACAGCTCCACGTCAAACAATGAGTGGGCAACTCAAAGGTCTAAGACACTGCTACTACGATAGGCGGAAATCTGTTGTTACCAGCCCGACTTGGACCAAAATCTCACAACGGAAGCAATATCATCTATTCTTATTCCCAACCCTAGAGATAAGCAGATTTGGTGCTCTTACCTGGAAGCACCAAAGGCTAACTTCCAAGAAAATGCTAACAACACACTGTGTTTTATACAAAAACCCCTACTAGTATCAAGATTGGCTAAATGATCTAAATTTAGTCACGGTTCTGTTTTTCAACTACCTTTTTACATACAGATGAAAGAGAAAGTTACATTTTCTAGAACTCAGCACTTCCTTATTTCCAGGTGGTTTTAAAGGCTGAAGTTGGCCCTGGTGGAGGTCAGAGATCATACATGGTTTCCATAGTGACAGAAGCCACTGCAAGTCTTGGCAGTAAAAGGTAATCTTTTAAAATGAAAATCTGTCATCCATCTACCGACTCCTCCCCATCCCACACACACGTAAAACTCCTCATTTGTTTCCCATTGCTTTTACAGTAAAGGCCTCAGCCCTACAAGGAAGGTCCCACCCACAGAGTCTGGTCCCTGCCTTGGTTACAGCCTCATTTCACTCCCTCCTCCTTGCTCCTGACGCTCCATGTGGCACCGCATTGGCTTCTTACGGTTCCTCAAATAAGCCATGCCATCTCCTGCCATAGGGCCTTGAACGTGTTGTTCCTCCTCTCTGCAATTCTCCTCACCCCTATCTTCGCCTAGTTTACAACTCAGCTTCAGGTGCCAACACAAGCATCCTTTTCTCAGGGAAGCCTTCCCTGAACCACACATCCAACTCTAGGACAGGCTCTTCAGTGATATGATCTCAAGGAACTGCATTCCTTTCTTCCAGAGCATTTGTCTCGTGGCCGCATTTAGAATTGCACCCTCATGTCTAATATTGTTTGGTAAATCTGTCTCCCCACTCCAGGCTTCAGGAATGATGCCTGGCTTTGCTCTCCATGCTATTCCTGGCTCCTGGCACAGTTCCTGGCAGATAGTAGGCACCCAATTACCATTTGCTGAGTAAATGAATACATGAAAGAATAAAAGAAAGAAAAAAGGGAGAATTGCTGACTTTGGTTGGATGGTGTGAAGTTTCTTGGGGTTTAACAGTAGGAATGGGGAGTTAAAACCATAAGAGGCTGAGTGGAAGATGCATGTGGTGACAACTTTTAGGGTGGCTCTCTCCCTAATCACCAGTGTGGTGGAAGGGTGGTGGGGCAGTAAAACCATCAAAAGTCACAGTGTAGCTGTCAATCTCATCACTGAAGACAAGAATACCCAAGTGCCAGGCCAGGAAAATTATTTACTTCACAATCAGGAAGAAATGCTGTGGAACTAAAGTTGGGGTATATTCTTGAATTTGATTTTATTCTCCAGAGCCCTAAAGTTAACCAGCTGGAATCATTTTTAAGGACCATTCTATTTAACTTTTGGAAATGAAGCATCTGCCTTTTAATGGAAAAACTACTTCTCATTGTAAAGATAGCACACAATGTTCTTGGCTGCTTTGGTCTCCAAAAAAAGGGAATTGAGATATCTCCCTGTGTCCGCATTATATCCTGAGCCTCCTGTGTCAACAAAACAGGCCAGATTGATAGCTTTTTTTTTTTTTTAATAATAAGTAAAAAGTAGCAGCCCATTCTGTGAAGTATCAGGCAGGGCAGGCTATGCAGGCATATCTGCCTCTCAAGAAATCTCAAGAGGCTTAGGGATTCACACTGAAAGGCTCCATATAACCAACCTCAAAGCCATGGTATTCAGACGAGAACCCAAGTTTATCGTGCATTCAAAAGTTCTGTTCCTCAAAAAGCATCTACAAAGTGTGATTAGCTAATGAATCCATTAATCAAATATTCCTACTTGGCACAAGTCCCTGCTGTGAGAGGACAGTTAAGATAGGTCCCTGCCTTAAGAATATTGTAACCCAACTGAAGAAATAGGATGTGGAAGAACTAAGATGTCGATTAACAGCACAAGGCACAGAAGAACTAAAGTGTCAACTAACAGCACAAGGCACACACAGTGTAAGTCTCAGCCAGTTCATATGGCCCATATCCAACAATACCAACCCGTGTTGAACATTTATTATACAAGTGCTTTACAAGTATTTTCTTATTAAAGCTTCACAACCCTATGAAATAGATACAATTACAGTCTCTTTAAAGAACTTGAGTAGCATATCTAAAGTCATGCAGTTAAAAAACAGTTTCAAGGTCAGGTCTGATTCCAAAGCCCAGGTGCATAACCACAGAGCCCCTGCAGCTTGTAGAGCTCACAGTGCTTGGGACTGGCCTAGGAAGTCAAGGCTAGATGAGGAAGGGTACTCGGAGTTAGGCCTTAAAGTGGGCAACACTGAAATAGGCCAGTGATGGAGATAGGTCACTGTGTGGCACTGCGGTGGAAAGAGGGTTGGAGAGAGAAGATAGAGGAGAAGAGGAAAGAGGGCAGAGCATGGCAGCTGCTTGGGCACAGCCACTTTAGGGTGAGAGATGAGTGAAGATGTCTACCTTGTAGGCCATATCAACATGTCCCCCTTCTTCTGTGAAAAATGCCATCATCCCACACAGGAAGAGTTGGAGAGGGATCTGACAGTGGAGTCTGGTAGGAAAGGAGTCTGGCTTTTCATTTGCGCTTCCTTCTGCCCCTCTTGCCCCAGAGCAATATCCCAGGCTTTCCACCAACCCAGCCCACGGGGTGGCCATGCTACAAGCCTTTTGAGTCCTGCATCCCAAGAGGGGCAGCTTCTTGGCCTGAAGTTGTCTAATAGAGCCTGCCTGGCTCCAAGCAGGCCTCATCTCTGCTCTGTCTACTGGATCTGGGCTCTGAACTGGGGTGGGAGGTGGGGAAATGGGGAGGCTGGTTCAGGCTACCACTTCCTCTCCTCACCATTGGATAGCCAGCCTTTCAAGGAAAGTAGGGGGCCAGTTCTGTGGCATAGAACAGTATAGTTCTTAGGCCCTCCTATTTCAGAAAAACACTCAAGCAGTGTTTTCCCTCTGCTCTCACACCACGACAACAGTCATCAACACAGAAGACTTCTGCGACCAAATGTAGGGGATTTTCCCCCACACACCAAGCAGCGGGCACCAGCTGGGTGTCCTCCAACTCAGTTCCAACACTATCTACCTGGAAAGAGTGTCTGATCCCACAGGTTGAGGGCTCAGTCAGATTAAGAGATACATACGCGACGTCTGGAAGATCCCGAGCACAGGACCTTCCGTCCTGATAGGATAAGTTCTTCTTCACCTTCCTGTTTGCCTCCACGTGTTCAGCCCTCCAGAAACTCCCTGAACCCTGTCCTTTGGGCCTTTTATGGAGATTTCATTTGTTGTCCATGACTGAAGCATGTGATTGAACAAAATGTGATTGGACAAAAAGGGTATGATCTAATCTCAGCAAGGTCTGTCTGTCCAGATTCTTCTTCCTCTCTTTGTGCAGCATTCCTTCCTCCAGGGTATGGGGCATGACCTCCTCTGGAATGAGGGTCTTATGACCCACAATCAGATTATAGAGTCCCGCCTTGGGTGGATGAAAGGAGGGCAAAGAAGGCCAGAGAAATATTCTGTTTCCTGAGGCCTAAAGCACCTCTACATTATAGCAAAAGACCTCAGCAAGTGTCATGGGAGTTATGGACAAGAACCATGGACAAAAATCTATATACATGTAATCATAAGATCACACCCCCCACCACACACCACATTGTTCTACATAGAAGTGCCTTCACTATACAGCTTTTCATTTATTCATTCGTTCATTCACTCATTTATTCAACGGGTAATAGTGAATTCCAAATCAGGAACTGTGCTATGTGTTGGGGGTGACATGGCCCCTAGCCTCAGGAGGCTTCTATTCCATGGTTAATGGTGGGTATTGCTGAGAGATGATCAGTCAACAGTAACTGCAATGAATGTTAGGATAAAGAGAAGCCCAGAAGGCTCCACGGTGTTCCAGCTGCTCACAGGGTAATCTGCCTGTCTTTTTTACTTCCGTATCTCCAATGCCCATTATCATACCAGGCACAGGAAGTGCTCAGTTAAGTGTTTACTGAATTAAATGAAGATCTGAATGATGCTGAGTGTCAACCCTCCCTCTCAGTGGCTCCTCCCCATTGGCCCTAAACCTGATACCTGGATGAAAAGAGATAAGGATACATGACAGTTCTTCAAGTAGGTCACAGAACGTTTGAGTTGGGAGGAAATGGACAAAGCTTTTTACATCACTGCCATCCCCTCCCAGTCATCATATCCCCACAGTGGGGGTACTTTATGAAACACTTGGACCTTCATGCTTTCCTAATTTCTTCTTATCCTGTATGCTCTTCTAAGAATACTGAAGTTGGTCAATGTTCCTATTAAAACTCAGGAATCTAAACTTTGACTCAGAATTTCTGATTGAGATGTCACTTCAGTTTCCTTGTGCATTCTCAGAGGCTCTACCCTGGCTCACCCTGGAGAGTAGGGGGCAAGAAGTCTGATACTACTCAGCTTTCTCTCCTGTGCCAAAAAATCCTACCTGCAAGAATTGGTATGTGTATTAGTCCATTCTTGCCTTGCTATAAAGAAAAGCCCGAGACTGGGTAACTTACAAGAAAAGAAGTTTAATTGGCTCATGGTTCCACAGGCTGAACAGGAAGCATGGCAGCACCTGCATCTGGGGAGGCCTCAGGGAGCTTTTACTCATGGAGGAAGGCAAAGCAGGAGCAGGAACATCTCACATGGTGGGAGCAGGAGGAAGAGGGGCCAGGAGAGATGCTACACACTTTTAAACAACCAGATCTCATGATAACTCACTATCATGAGAACAGCACTGAGGGGATGGTGCTAAACCATTCATGAAGGACCACTCCCATGATCCAGTCACCTCCCACTGGGCTCCACCACCAATACTGGGAATCGCAATTCAACATGAGATTTGGGTGGGGACACAGATCCAAACCACATCAGAATGTGAATCTTTGGGGAGTAGATGGTTACAGAGCTCCTACCATTAAGTCAAAAGGAGCTTGCTCTCTGATCATTTTACTGGTCTCCCTCAGGTGCTGAAACAGTGTGGTCTCTGATAGAGGAAGTCCTTTCTCTATAACTGCTCCAGCTGGCTCATTGGCGGGGAGGCACCTCTTCCTTGAGTTATTGGGCTATGGAAACAGCAATCCTGCCTTCTGGTTGGGTCTCCCAAATGGGAGACATCCAAACAGAGTGATTTTTTTTTTTTCTTAAACAATGTCAAACCCGAGGTTCTTAACATGGGGCTTGAAGATTGCTGTCTACGTTAGTTTCCCATAGGTCCTGGGGCCCCAGGGAAGCAGAGCCATTCTAGGAGAAGCTGAGAAAGATCTTGAGTGAAGAGGTTCTCTGAGGAGACTCAAAAGTGACTCTGCATTTGGTTGACAGTGACCCTCGAGGCAGAGCAGGTATTGGGCAACATAAAAGTTGTGAGGAGTAAATGAGAGGCATGGGAAAACATGTTTTCCTAGGGCTAGGTAAGAACCCAACCATGGCCCAGCTCTCCAACCCTTAGGCCAGAAAGCACCTCCTCATGGTCTTGGGACATGCTCAAAGCCTCCCAGCTGAGTAGCAACAGAGTGGCTTTAGAACTAGGTCTCCTGATTCCTGGGGTTTTTTTCCTCACCATCCTGCCATTTTCCAGATATGGATCTCATCGGAGAGTTCCTGACTTGTCAAATCCTGGAACTCTCCTTTCAAGGACGAGTCCTGTTGGCCAGGCAGTCCTGGGCTTTTCTGGTTCTGATGGGTGGCCTTTTTTGCCTTCCAGTGCCAAGTGTCTCCTTGCCCCTATCCATCCCCTTCCTGGGAAAGATCATCTGGGGTCTTCAGTGGCCTCGTGGAGCCTCATGGCCATGGTGGGGAGTGATGCGCAGCCTGGTGCTCGGGCCAGGACCAGACCTCCCATGGACAGTGGGCACGTGCCTTAGCATCTGGGCATGCTGATCTTTTTCTCCAAGAGGGCAGTGTGGGGGTAGAAGGGGGTGGAATCCGGAGACTTCTCTCCATAAGAATTCCTGCTCTCCCCCTCAGTCTGACCCTTGCTTTGCCTGTCTGGGCCACGGCAATGCCCTCAGGCAGAGCAGTGGGAAGAGGAGGAGAGGGTTTGCTCAGCTGGCGGGACTCTGGGAGCACGAGCCCTGCCAGCCCCTCCTCCGCAGGCTGCCTCCACTGGCTCCTCTCCTGCTTCTGCCCGCCTGTCCCTCTGGGCTGCTCGGGCGCCACCACTACTGTCCCCATCCCGCCCCGCCAGCTGGGCCAAAGGGTGACTTGACTCACGACGCTGCCACCAGCCCACGGCTTGCCCGAGGCGTATAAAGGCTGCCAGGGCCGCAGGCTGCCAAGCCCTGCCCTGCCCAAGGCGCATAGAGCATGGCCCGAGGCGCTGAGGGAGGCCGTGGGGACGCGGGTTGGGGCCTGCGTGGCGCCCTGGCGGCCGTGGCGCTGCTCTCGGCGCTCAACGCTGCGGGCACGGTGTTCGCGCTGTGCCAGTGGCGCGGGCTGAGCTCGGCGCTGCGGGCTTTGGAGGCGCAGCGGGGCCGGGAGCAGCGCGAGGACAGTGCCCTGCGCTCCTTCCTGGCCGAGTTGAGCCGCGCGCCGCGCGGGGCGTCCGCACCACCCCAAGACCCGGCCAGCTCAGCTCGCAACAAGCGCAGCCACAGCGGCGAGCCCGCGCCGCATATCCGCGCCGAGAGCCATGACATGCTGATGATGATGACCTACTCCATGGTGCCGGTAGGCGGGGTCTCTGTTCCCCGTGGCGCCCCGGCCAGGTGGGCGGCTGGGGGTGTGGGGCGAGGACGCCGACGCCCTCTTCTCCCCTGGCCAGGCTGCGAGGTGCTGCGGAGAGGGCTGTGGGCATGAGTAGCTGGGGATGTCACCTTGGCAAGCACCTCAACCCACTGGAGTCTGTTTTCTCATCTGTGAGGTTGGGGACAGGGTGAAGGAGGGAGTCTCTTCTACCTCTGACATTCTTTGAGTCCACATGTAAACGAAGGGCGAAGGCAGTGTTTCTAAGAGCCTATTTTCCTTCTCAGCTTAGACAAGTTTTCGTCTCCTGGTGTGAATGGAGCCGCAGCAGCCTTGGGGCTCCGCCTGTGCCACTGACCTGTGGGTGGGGCCCTCTGAGAGGATGGAGGCGCGTTTCTGAAAGAGCGTAGGCTTTTTCAATAAAGGGATTCTTTCCCTGGCATCAACTAGTGGTCTGGCTTTTCACCTGGCATCGCCTCATTCCTGCGAGATGGCCGGCCTAATTGTTTCCGTTTAAGTGAAAACAGCCCTAGTTTTACTGCCCACCTGGGACCTAGATGCTGGGAAAGTTGCCCCTGGATCTCAAGCAATTCCAAATGAGGGACGTCAATATGGTGCAATTTTTTTCTTAAAATGCAGTGTCAAAGCTGAGGTTCTTAACATGGGACCTGCGGATTGGTCTCCCCACTGGGCTCCAGGGAGTACACGGAACTGCAGAAATTGCCAAGTGTGTGTGCCTGTGCCCTCCTGCCCATGTGGATGAGGGTCTGCAGCTTTTCACTAGATCTTCAAGGGGTCCCCCATTGCATGCCTCCCCCAAAAGGTTTAAGAAACACTGCTCTGAAGAAAGTCTTCAAAGCCTCAAAGATTTGTTTTCCAGTGTTAAGTTTCTTTGCTTTTGCCGCTTTTAATTCAATAGGTATTTAACAAATACTATTAGATCACATTGCAGTTCCCCATTCCATTTCATTATTTATTACAATTGCAACAGTCTTGTTTCACTTTATAATTAGAAAGATTTCGGCTATTACCTCCAGTCAAGTGTGAGCCATACTTCAGAATCCTAGGTATTTGAAAATAAATTGACTTAAACTTCCGTTATCACAGAAGCTTTTAAATAACTTACATGAGCTGAAATGCTTTTAAAACTACGTAAAAGTACTACATACTTCAAATACATCTTTTGAGAGAGATCAAGTTTTCCATTCCTCACTTCATTTGTTTTTTAAATTCATGTTATCATTTAAAAATCTGGACCTAAGCAGAAGTTTCAAAAAAGGACTGCTATAAGATGAAAAAAACCTCCTTAGGGGAATTCATTCTCGCCCTTTCAGCTCTCTACCCTACATTTTAAGGCTTTTAAAAAATCCTCAAAAAGGGATACATCTGAGCATCATTGTTTTACATTTTTAATCCTGCTTTTAAGGTAGAAGCTTTCGTATCCGAATTGCAACCTATTCCGTCACTAACAAATTGAATGGAGACACTCATCTCTGTGTCAAATTAACTCTAGGTGACCTCGCAGTGCTACCACTAACTCTGTTACAGGTCAGAGAGCAGAACTATCACATGTGTCAGACTGGATATTATTAGTAGATTATCATCAACTAACTCATCCCCCACCTGCAATGGGTATGTTTTGACCTTTTAGAGTCATGAGGGCCTGTCCCTGAGGCTAGGAGAAGGCAATCATCTTACTACTCACTTTCCTCTTGGGAGCAGTTCTCAAACAGTAGGCTTAGGAATCAGCTGGAAGCATATTACAGTGCAGATTCCAGGGCCTCTCCCTCAGACCTATAGAATCCTCTCCAGAATCTGCTTTATTAGAAGTCCTCTGACCCTCATCCCCCCACCTCCTATGCCATTGGTGAGTTCGGTGCAGATGGTCCAGGCACCACACTTTAAGAAATACTACTCAGTCTCTAACACTGAGTCTTTATTGTGCACAGGAATATCTTGGGGATCTTGTTAATATGCAGATTCTGATTCAGATGGTCTAAGCTGGGGCCTAAGATTCTGCGTTTCTACCAAGCTCCCACTGCTACCAATGCTACTGGCCTGAAGACCACATTTTGAGTAGTAAGGTTGCCTACTGGAACTATTTGGGGAGCTTTCAAACTTACTGATGCCTGAATCCCATCCCCAGAGATTCTGAATTAATTTGTTAGGCCACAGCCTGGGGATGGAGTGCTTATTCTCCAGCAGGAAGGACCTTGGCATAACTTCCTATCGATAGTAGCTGTGTTAGGCATCACACTCCCACCAGACCCCATCAAGGCCTTTGCTTCAGGACGAGGAGCCAATTTTATTACTGAAAAGCTTTTTAATTTATGACAGCAATATTCTTTCCATTCAGCTTCACAGTTTTCCTCATCTTTACTCTCTGCTTTTCTCAGAACAATTATTCATATAAGAAAACAATTTTATAAAAAACATCATTTGGTAGCTCTTGGAGAGAAGTTAAGAGAATGATCTAGTATATATCGTGGAGGCAAGTGTATACACTTCTTATAGGTGAAGGCTACACCTTCCCTGGCCCTTTTATACACCACCAGATCTTGAATGAGAGTGAGATCCAAGGTCCTCACTGTGAGGTCTTATGTCCTTAGAGGTCTAGGAACGAAGAAACAAACTCTATGCAGACTAATGTCAACATTTCAAAAAGCCTTCCAGAATGGTTCATTTATCCAAGATGAACCTCAATTTAACTGATACTTTGAGTTTCTCTACTGTTGGCTGAAAATACATCAACTCAGCATAAGAATTCTGTTTAGCTGAGCACATTCTTACCAGAACCTGGTTGGCAGCTGTAAATGACTTCATTAAAAAGGCAAGATAATTATTAAGTACAGTTAATTTGACACAGCCAAGAAGCACATTAAATCTTTAAAACCATGTGCATACTTTTGGGAGACAGTAATAAGAGGAGCCCTGGATGGGGCTTGGAAACTACTGAATTAGGCCAATAAGGAAATGGGGATCTGGTGAGCGGGGAGAGAGAAAATTTGACCCATCTGCTACTAACTCCTGTGGGAGATGCTACTTCTGTTTACTCTCTTTTTCTCTGACCTCCTCTCATATTCTTTTTGTTCTCTTCCCATCAGCTACCCTCTCTCATTCCTCTCTTCCTGTCTCACATTTGCTGATGTTCTGGTAGCTTTATCATCCTGTCTTTACTTGTCCAAAATCTAGGGTCAAGCACCCAGAGGGAGTTTCATAAATATTTTCATAAATTAAACAAACATAGAGAAGATATAAGACACTGAGACTGGTGATTACGTATCCATGATAATTGTTGTCCTTGAGGGACTGTATGCATTTCTACGCCCAGGATATTGTTCAAAATGTCCTTGGCACCTCTCTAACAAGAAAATCAGCCTGGCTACTTTAAAGCAGGAGTTACAATTCAAATGTTCTTTTAAGGAAGGCAAATATGATTCCATAATAGTCAAATGATGAAAAGGCATTTGATAAAATTTAACATCAATGCTTGATTTTTAAAACATGCAATAAAATGGGAATCAATGTATTCTTTCTTAACATGATAAAATGTAATTGTGTCTCACCCCCAAAACTATAGCTTTCCACTGAACTGTCAAATCCTGGAGATGGTCCTACTAAAATCAGTATTAAGACAGGGATGCCCACTATCACCAATAGTATCTCGAATTGTCCTAGGAGGACCAGCCAGAGCAACAAGACAAGGGAAAATGGTCTAAATATGTTAAGAAGTGAGAGTCTGGCTATATTCAGATCATACGATTATATACCTGGAAAATCTGTTGATAACCTACTACTAAAAATAACAGAATTCAGTGGGAAACAAGGTATTAAAATATTACTAAGAAATCAATAGACTTCTTATACCCAAACAATCATCTGTTGAAAGATATAATGGAAGAAAAGATGTGCAAAACCTGTGTGTGTATCTATATACTTACCTTTTGTGTTAAGAAAGGGCTGGGGGACCACTCTTGTAGAACAGAAAATATTTAAACCAAATGGTAAAAATAGTATGTTTTTGGATAGAAAACTTAGCATCATAATAAGTTAACTGAAAGTTAACTTAGAAATCTGATGTCATCCCAACATAAAACTATCAATAGATTTTTTTTTCTGGGATTAGACAAACTGATTCAAAAGTTCACATGGAAAAATAAGCATTCCTGGCAAGGAAACCGCTGAAAAAGAACAAGGAGGAACACTAGGTTCTACAAGATATTAAAATATAATTAAAGCCTGAGTAATTAAAACAGAGTGGGATATGAATAGATAAACCAATGGGACAGAGTGGAAAGTTCCGAAATAATCTTAAATACATATGGCAATTTAGTACATGATAAAGACAGTATCTCACACCAGGGAGGAAGAATGAATTTAATAAATGATTTTGAGACAACGGGCAAGCCCTCTGGGAAAAGATAAAGCCTGGAAAAGAATAGTTTTATTCTCACAATGTGTATAACAAGCTCTAAATGGGTCAAAGACTTACATTTTTAAAATATGAAACTAAAGGAAAATATGAGTATATCATTTTTAATTTTGGAATTGGGAAGCCTTTTCTTTCAAGTTATAATTCAAAAGCCAGATGCAAATAATAAATAAACAAATGTGACTATATTTTAAAAGCACATGAAACAGCAGCAAAACTTCGGCATAGCAAACAACAACAAAAATGAAAACACCACAAACAAAAGCAAAAGATAAATAACAAACTAGGAGGCCGGGTGTGGTCGCTCACGCCTGTAATCCCAGCACTTTGGGAGGCTGAGGCAGGTGCATAACCTGAGATCAGGAGTTCAAGACCAGCCTGGCCAACATGGTGAAACCCTGTCTCTACTAAAAATACAAAAATTAGCCAGGCATGATGGTGAGTGCCTGTAATCCCAGCTACTCGGGAGGCTGAGGCGGGAGAACCGCTTGAACCCAGGAGATGGAGGTTGCAGTGAGCCGAGGTGGCACTACTGTACTCCAGCTGGGCGACAGAGGAGGACTCCATCTCAAAAAAAACAAAACAAGCAAAACAAACTGGAAAACTCATATCATATCATAGATACATAATCTTTCTAATACACTTAATGTTCCTAAAAGTTGATTAAAAAAATTTAATAGGAAAATCAGCAACAGAAATGAGAATCCAACAGGAAAATGAGACAGTTCTCAGGCAAAGAAATACAAATGTCTCATAAGCACATGGGAAAAGATCTCTTCATTTAAAAATGTAGATTTCAACTACCCCAAAATATAATTTTCACCTAACACAAGCTTGTGCAATCTGTGGCCCAGGATGGCTTTGAATGTGGCCCAACTCAAATTCATAAACTTTCTTAAAACATTATAAGATTTTTTTGCGATTTTTTTTCCTTTTAGCTCATCCGTTATTGCTAGCATTAGTGTATTTTATGTGTGGCCCAAGACAATTCTTCTTCTTCCATTGTGGCCCAGGGAAGCCAAAAGATTGGACACCCCTAACCTAACAGAAAGACAAAACTACAAAAGTTTGACAACACACTGTATTAGGGAAGCTGAAGAGAAACAGACATGCTCTTGCATTGCTGTTCGGAGTGCGGAATGATGGAACCCATACAGAAGGCACTTTGGCAAAATCTGGAAAAAATTACAAATACTCTTTGACCCAGCAATCTCACCATAGATTTTATCACCTATGAATGACATATGTACATATTCATTGCAGAATATTTGTAAAAGCAAAAGACTGTAAATAACCCATATCTACCAATCCAGTACTAGTTAAATTAATCTATACACCCACTGGAATACTAAGTAGCTGTAGAACAAGAATGAGGAAATTCTCTATATAATAAGAGTCAGAACAATCCCCAGGATATATTCTAAGTGAACAAAGCAAGGCAGAGAAAAGTATATATTGTATTACCTTGTGGAAGCAAGAAAGGGAAAACTAATCAAAGAAATTAACAAAAGTGCTTACTTTTGGAGGGTATAAGGGAGGAATGAACCCCTCACTGTATAGCTTTCTGTATCATTTTGACTTTTGAACCATGTGACTGTGTTACTCTCTTCTTTATGGGAGTAAAAAGGGCCTTGTACCCCAGGTAATTTGGCAGCTGCTCCTAGGCCAGGGAGCAATAGAGCACGGTAGGGACTGCACCCACCTGAGGTTCATCTGCCTTGTCTAAAGGGGAGGCTCCCGCTGATGGTGACTGTACAAGAACCGGAGCCTCCTGCTTCCTGTGCCTGATATTTTTTTCTTTTCTGTTCTGTTCTTTTCTTTTTTATTTTTTTATTTTATTTTATTTTTTTATTTTAGAGACAAGGTCTTACAGTGTCGCCCAAGCTGGAGTGCAGTGGAGTGATCATAGCTTACTGCCGCCTTGACTAATTGGGTTCAAATGATCCTCCTGCCTCAGCCTCCTGAGTATCTGGGACAAGTGTGTGCCACCACACCTGGCTAATTAAAAAAAATTTTTTTTCTTTAGTAGAAATCTCACTATCTTGCCCAGGCTGGTCTTGAACTGCTGGGCTCTAGAAATCCTCCTGCTTCAGCCTCCCAAAGTGCTGGAATTATAGACATGAACCACTGTGTCTAGCCTGATTTTTTTTTTAAGAGAAGTACAAAATCTGTTTTTTTTAATGTGAAATCTCCTGGCTTTTAAATATTGACAGCAATTCAAAAAAGTTCTTTTTTTGTTTTTTTAGTTGGCTGACAGAATGTTGGCCAAACAACACTCACATTGTTAGGGGCCATGTTAGGACTTCCAATCATGCATTTGCAGAAGTCTCATCTCAGAATCATGAGTGGCTTTGAACCCAAAGGGCTTTATTTAGCTTGACCACAATGCCTTTATTTACCAGCCTGATTCTGAAAGTATAGTAGTTACTGTGTCATTGTGATTGTTGCTATTACTGATTGAGGTCGATGTGGTTTTTTGCAATGGGTTTGGTTTCAGTTTTTTGTTGTTTTTTGCTGTTTCTAAAAATCAATTCCATCTTCGGTGGACGGAGATTTCCTGTCACTACGGCTTTTCAAAAGCATGTACTCCCGATTCTTAGGGTAGTTCCCAGCAGGCGATTACAGCTGGATTAAGCAGTAACACATTATTATAGCAAACAGGTAGCTTTGCATTATGACTGCTGTAAGCTACACTGATATGAATCTAGAAATTCTATTGTTTATAGAGAAAAAAAATCACATTACCTACAGTCACAGCTCCTGTTTGCAGTGCTATATTTCCTTAAATTGGCTGTGCCAGAGTTTATTTCCCTTTCCCACTTCCTTGGACTGGGTTATTTCCAAATGTTGTAAAAGCTGAGGATTTAGACTGGGGTCAGCAAACTATGGCCTGTAGGCCAAGTCTAGCCTGCTATTCTACTTGTTTTTGTACAGGCTATGAAGAATGGCTTTTACATTTATAAATGGGTGGGGAAAAAACAAAAGAATAATAATATTGTGTGACATGTGAACATGATATGATATTCAGATTTCAGTAACCATAAATAAAGTCTTATTGGGATACAGTCATGCCCATTTGTTTACAGACTGTCTATTGCTGCTTTGGCACTACAGCAGCAGGTTTGAATAGTTGCAGCAGAGACCATGTGACCCACAAAGCCTAAAATAGTTTTTGTCTCGTTCTTCTCAGAAAAACTTTGCCAGACCTCCACTTACATCGTAATTCCCTGGAACGGCACTAGGGCTGATTTTTTTTTTTTTTTTAGACAGAGTCTCTCTCTGTCACCCAGGCTGGAGTGCAGTGCTGTGATTTTGGCTCACTGCAACCTCTGCCTCCTGAGTTCAAGCGATTCTCCTGCCTCAGCCTCCCGAGTAGCTGGGATTACAGGCGCTTGCCACCATGCCCAGCTAATTTTTTGTGTGTGTTTTTAGTAGAGACGGGGTTTCACCGTGTTAGCCAGGATGGTCCTGATCTCCTGACCTCGTGATCTGCCCGCCTCAGCCTCCCAAAGTGCTGAGATTACAGGCGTGAGCCACCGCACCCGGCCTAGGGTTGATTCTTAGTAGCTCGGGCTACTAAATCAGGGGTGCTCCAGCCTTGGTTAACTCTGGGGTCTAACACCTCTCCCAAGGAGATGGAATGCAAGACAGAGGCACCCTAAGAGTGTTGTTCCATGTACAGTGAGGCTGTAGGGCTGAGCCAGGCTGCTTGCTGGCTTCCCAAACTGAGAGCAAACAATGTTAGGGGAGCTTTTAGCCATCTATTATTCCCAAATGTAGGCCTTGTTTCAAACTCTATCTGTTCTCTTTGATTGAAGGAGAGAGATGCATACCACACTAGGTCCTGTGGGGTGAGGGGTTGGGGGAGCTGATGAGAGATTAGAGGCCTGATACAGGAGGATTAAAAAAGAAAGGGTGACCAAAGTCATAAACCCCATGCAGAGCCTGGGAAGTGGGTTTCCGTGGCCCTTCTCACTGCAGCGTGTGCACACGTGCATTTAGGACGTCAGTGCTGTGTACTCTGAGCACACCTGACACTGTATGCTTTGTTCCCATGTCAGAAGCCATCTCTAGGTATCAATTAAGGTTTGGGAGAGAGCTTGCAGCCATATCTCTGCTAAGATTGTGTCTAGTGGTGTTGGTGATGGGAACACACCTATAAGCCTAACTCATGTCGCAGGCAATGATGGTGCACAAGGAAGACAGGAGGGAGCTGGCCCCTGAGATCCATTGCATACACACAAATAAAGCATTCCTTGTAAGAAATTATTGGCATGATTCTCTAGGGACATATATAAGAAACAGGCGGGTCAAGGCTGATCATCTGGACCCATGAAAATAGAGCAGTTGTGTTGACCAAATGAATGGCATGAAACCATCAGGACCTACTCTCATGTCCCAGAACTATTAAAAGTCTCTGGTCTCTTTCTATGCAAAGCAGCAGAGGTGAGGGCAGTAGTAATGAGCCTCCTGAGGCTTTACAGACTGAGCAGGGTAGAACCTTCTGGGGCTTGGTGAGTTCTCGGCTCTTGTCTTTTTTCTTTTTTTTTAAGTGAACGTAAACTCAAGATTTTTTTGTCTTCATAATAAAACAAAAGATGACACTTAAAATGAGATATCTTGGCCCTTTCTCTTCTTATCTCCTCCCAGTTCAAAATGCTTGCATCTCTTGATAGCTAGCCTTCTCTTAGATCTGTTTAGAGACAGGGTCTCACTATGTTGCCCACGGTGGACTGGAACTCCTGGGCTCAAGTGTTCCTCCTGCCTCAGCCTCCCAAAGTACCGGGATTACAGGCATGAGTCACCATGCCCAACTGCTCTTGTCTTTATGCACACTATTTCACTGCCTTTCCCTCAATCTTCCCTGCCACTATGCCGGGGAAAAAATTGATTTTTGTCTTGGAACTCAGAGTCACATTAAAAGTACCTGAAAACTGTCTCTCCACTCTAGGGAGACAGCAGTACCCTGTGATCAGCTGATTATTTAGTAGCTCTGCCCACTAGACCACAGGCTGAGAGATCCTTTGGCAAAGGTCCCTCCTGGTGTGAGTTCCAGAATAATTTCTCAGATCACAAGTCCTTCAAAGCCAAGGGCTGGTTCATCCTTCTCAAGCTCTCATGCCAGGATCTCCCTATGGCAGTCACAGGCTCACCTGCCCATGGTACTGCTGCCACCTTCAGCCCTCATGTACCTGTCCTTAGCTCAAGCAACCTGGGATCTTTCTTCATTGTTAAGTTCCCAGCCCCATTCTCTCTCCCTAATTCTTTGAAGTATGTGGTGGTGGTAAGCAGTGTGGACTTGGAAGTCAGATGGATTCATATCCTGGACCCACAGCTTGGTAGCTGGGTGATCTTGGGCAAATCTTTTAACTTCACCAAGCCTCAGTTTCCTCATCTGTATGACTGAGAAAATAGTAACTACCTCATTAGGTTGTTCGGATGTTTAAGGGAGATCATATAGGTGAAGTGCACTGCCTGGTATAGTCAGGTTCTCAATAAGTGTTCATTGTTGCTGTTATTAAGATTTATCATATTCTTAGTTGATTCAGGCTGCTATAACTAAATACCATAGGCTAGGTAGCTTATAAATGACTGAAATTTATTTCTTATGGTTCTGGCAGCTGGGGAGTCTAACATCTAGGTGCCGAAAGATTGGGTGTCTGGTGAGGGTCTGTTTTCTGGTTCATAGATGGCACCTTCTCACCTTCCACCATGGTGGAAGGGCAAGGCAGCTCTCTGGGGCCTCATTTTTATAAGGTTATTAATCATTTTTATGATTTTATAAAATCATTTTTATAAGGTCATTAATCCTATTTATGTAGGCTTTCCCTTCATGACCTAGTCACCTTCCAATATCCCCACCTCCTAATATCATCACATTGATGATTAGGTTTCAATGTAGGAATTTGGGGGTACACAAATATTCAGACCATGGCACTCAATATTGCTTTGCCATTAGCCCTTTTTGCCCTATGCTCCTAGTGTCTTGTTTCTGGGTTTACTCTTTATTTCCATTTCCTTCAGGGTGCCAACTTGTCTGTTCATCTGTGCTTTTATCAGCTGCTGCTTTGGGATAGTATTTGGCCTCTTAAAGCCTGGATTGGAATCATACCAACCTAAATCATCTTGGCATTGACAACAAAACAGAGTTCCCCTTGATATGGCAACAGGGCTTCTTCAGAGATTCAGGATTTCACAGCTCCCACCCCTCTGAAACTGCCTTAGCAAAGATTATAATAGTGTGAAAATTATGACAGTGAAAGAAATCTGACCTAACTGGCTCCATCTTGCTTTTAACCTCCAAGCTTCCCTCGTTCTTTCCTCAAAGTAGGCTGAACTAACTTTGGAAGGAACTTATAGTTTAACTGTTTAACAACGTTGATATCAGCCCCTCCCCAAAATGAACTCCCTCCTGGCTTGGGAAGCACAGCACCTTTGTAAAACAAAAAAATTAGCCACAAGATTAGAAGTTATGGCTTAAGAGTCAGGCAGCCAGAGGCCACAAGATTACTAACCTCCCCAATTGCTCCTATAGATAACATGACTGTTGTAAAACATAAGATTGGTATTCAAGGTATTTTTTAGACTCTGCATTCTGATGGATCAGCTGGCACCACCAACACCAATAAACTGGTTCATCTGTCTTGTGGCCCCCATCTAGGAACAGACTTGGCATAAGAGGAGAGCTTCAACTCCCTGTGGTTTCATCCCTGACCCAACCAATCAGCATTTCCCATTTCCTAGCCCCCTCTGCCTGCCAAACTATCTTTCTAAAACCCTAGCCTCTGAACTTTTGGGGAGGCTGATTCAAGTAATAATAAAACTCTGGTCTCCTGTTTAGCCAGCTCTATGTGTATGAAACTCTTCGTTGCAATTCCCCTGTCTTGATAAATCGACTCTATCTGCACAGCAGGCAAGATGAACCTGTTGGGTAGTTATGCCTCTGCGTGACCACTGATGATAAGATTTGGCACTCACTGAAAGGCAGTCATCTTCACCACTCTCCGACTGGCTCAGCTATTGTTAACTTCTGTTGATTCCTGTTGGTGGCATTCCTGAAAAAAAATTTGTATGCTGGCATTTGGAAAATTGAGAAAATGTGAGTGGAAGGTAGAGCAAAAACAGGTAGAGAAAGAACAATTTTACTTCTTAGGGGTCTTGTGTTCTCCAGGATATTGTTGCCAATGTGGGAACTATCAGAACAGTCCTCGGATTTGATTAAAAAAAAAAAAAAAAAAAACCACAGTCAATTAAAAAAAAAAAAAAGACACTCTTTTATTCCCTCTACATTCCTCAAACTCACCACCACCACCACCACCACACACAAAAAAGAAATTCTTGGCCAAATCTACTTGACATTCAAGATTAATTTACATGCATTTTATCTACAGACTAAAGGTCATGTTGTTTAAAACAAGCTGAAGCTTTTAGGTTGTAATTAAGCTACAAAGGGAGCATTTTGCAGCCCATCCGTTGCTTTTATGTAGATCTTTAACAGCTCTATACTTTAAATGGATATAATCTGCTTCTAGTTTATCTAAAGTTGAAGACACACTTTTCTTTTCTGAAAGGTAGCCTTAAAACAACAAGGCCAACTAAAGATCGTTCAAAATGCAATTTGTGGAGTTTGTTCTGAATCCGATAGAGCAACCCCTTCATCTGCCACCCAGAAAAAGTCTGTGCTTGCCAAAGTGCTGGGAAACTTGGAGGTCCTGCCTAGGCTCTATATAAAAACTGTGAAGTACTTTATAATGAGTTGTGAATAAGTGTACTCCAAAATGTTGAGCTGGTGATGGCAAAATAATTCCCTGGTTTTTTTTGTTACTCAGTGGGTGAGTGTTGGAGTCTGGTATCCTTTTTACTGGAAGGTGGAAAATGCCTACCCCCACCTAAGCCACATTTGGGGACCTTGGAATCAGTCTCTAAACAGGAAGACCTTTAGAGGAAAATCCTTCACAGTGACTGTGTGGAAAGCATGGGGGCACTGAAGAAGAGAGAAAATAAGTCCTCACTAAGGAAATTGAACTCAAAATGGGCAATGGAGAGTTGTTGAGACTGGGGCAGGCAAGGAGGGTGAATCATTCCAAGTACAGGCAATAATATGAGCCAAGGTCTAGGGATTGAAATGAAAATGGTGCAAGTCAGGAAGAACAAGAAGCCAGACAGGCCTTCCTGTACTGGAGAGTTTGGAGTAGGGAGAAGGGAACTAAGGTTGGCTGGGTTAGAGAGAGGCTTGAATTTCTACTTTTGAGAAATTGAGAATGAACCTAATGAGGAATTGGGAGCCATCGTAGAACCTTTGCCAGGGAAGAGTCATAAAGGCTGTGGTTTTATAGGAGGACAGATCTGTTGGTGCAATGCAGGAAAGACTGGAAATGGGGAAAGACTGAAGCAAGAAGAAAGTTAGAAAGTTATTACATTAATCCAGGCAAGAAACAATTCACGTATGGCTAAGATAATGGCATTGGAAATGAAGAAGGGTTATATCCTAGAAATATCAAAAGAGAAGCTTGAATTAATTTTGCTAACTAATTGGATATAAGGAAAAGTGTTACTGGAAAGAGGTCCTTATCCAGACCCCTTAGAGAGGGTCCTTGGATCATGCACAAGAAAGAATTCAGGGTGAGTCCACAGAATAAAGTGAAAGCAAGCTTATTAGAAAAGTAAAGGAACAAAAGAATGACTACTCCAGAGGCAGAGCAGCCCCAAAGGCTGCTGGTTGGCTATTTTTATGGTTATTTCTTTATTATAGGCTAAATATGGGGTAGATTATTCAAGAGTTTTCTGGGAAAAGGGGCAGGGATTTCCCAGAACTGAGGGTTCCTCTTCCTTTTAGCCTATATAGAATAACTTCCAGCCATTGCCATGGCATTTGTAAACTGTCATGGTGCTGGTGGGAGTGTCTTTTAGCATGCTAATGCATTATTAATTGGCACGTAATGAGCAGTGAAGATGACCAGATGTCATTTTGAATGCCATCTTGGTTTTGGCTGGCTTCTTTACTGCATGCTTTTTTCTTTTTCTTTCTTTCTTTTTTTTTTTTTTTTGAGATGGAGTCTCACTCTGTTGCCCAGGCTGGAGTCCAGTGGCATGATTTCGGCTCACTTTAACCTCCGCCTCCTGGGTTCAAGCGATTCTCCTGCCTCAGCCTCCTGAGTAGCTGGGACCACAGGCACGCACCAACACACCCGGCTAATCTTTTGTATTTTTAGTAGAGACGGGGTTTCACCGTGTTAGCCGGGATGGTCTTGATCTCCTGACTTTGTGATCTGCCCACCTTGGCCTCCCAAAGTGCTGGGATTACAGGCGTGAGCCACCACACCCGGCCCTACTGCATGCTGTTTTATCAGCAAGGTCTTTGTCACCTGTATCTTGTGCTGACCTCCTGTCTCATCCTGAGAGATGAGAGGTGACTTAGAATACCTAACCTCAGCCGGGTGTGGTGGCTCACGCCTGTAATCCCAACACTTTGGGAGGCCAAGGCGGGCGGATCACGAGGTCAGAAGATCGAGACCATCCTGGCTAACATGGTGAAACCCCGTCTCTACTAAAAATACAAAAGATTAGCCGGGCGTGGTGGTGCGTGCCCGTGGTCCCAGCCACTCCAGAGGCTGAGGCAGCGGACTGTCTTAAACCCGGGAGGTGGAGGTTGCAGTGAGCCGAAATCGCGCCACTGCACTATAGCTGGGGAACAGAGTGAGACTCTGTCTCAAAAAAAAAAAAAAAGAATACCTAACCTCCTGGGAAGGCAGCCCAGCAGGTGTCTCGGCCTTATTTTACCCAGCCCCTATTCAAGATGGAGTCACTCTGGTTAGAACACCTCTGACAAAAGGAGCCACTTGGTCCAGATCCATTTAACATCAAGGATGGTGGTGCTATGGACAGAAGTGAGGAAACATGGAAGCGGGCTACTTTAGAAGTGAGGATGCTGAGTTTGTTTTGGGACTGAATATGACATTAAAAGAGAGAAGGAAAACTGAGATAAGAAAGAATATTCAGGGAAAGGAGAACATCCTGCTTCCAAGGAGAACTCTGCCTTCTCCATGTAAGAGGACTTTCCAAATTAAAAAGTAAAAGGCAGACCGCAAAATGATCTAAGCCTTTATAATGGTAAAGAGCGTGGGCATTGGAATCATACTGTGAGTTCACTTGTGGCTCCCCATCAGCCGTGTGACCTTCGGCAGGTCACTCAACCCCCTGCATCTCAGTTCCCTCAGCTTTAAAAAGGTGGCGATAGCAGTATCTAACCTACAAGTTATCATAAGAACTCAGTTCAATAATCTATGTAAAGTCCTTAATACAGTGCCTAGAACTCAATATATTTTCACTCATCAATATTATTTTAGTATTTTTCAAATGCTGCCATTCTGTGTTTCAGGGAATTTGGAAGCCTTGTAATAAAAAGAATTTGGAGATAAATCAAAAGAACTTGCCAGAAAAACAGCAGATTCTAGAATGACCCTAAAGTTTGGAATCTTGGGTGACTGGGACAACACACAGACCTCTAGAAAAAATACTGTTTTCCAGATAGGTGTTTTGATAGTTAATGGGGACTAAAAAGGAAAAATGTATTTTGGATATTGGATTTAGGGAGATTAATTATACTAAGCATAATTGGAAAATATTTGACTGTAGTTGGGCAACCCTTCCAGGTCCCCTTCCACCACATGGAAGCTTTACTTTAGCTTTCGCTTTCCTTTCACTTTCACTTTAATAAATCTTGCCACTGCACACTCTTTGGGTCCACGCATTTCTCTAATTGAGCCGTAACACTTGCCACTGTGGTCCACGGCTTCATTCCTTGAAGCCTGTGAGACCATGAATCCTTCAATTGAGAAAAACCTTTGATCGGGAGAAGACTTCTCGTCTCATTTCTGGGGGCCTGTCTGGGATTTCTCCAAAGCGGTGAGTAACACTGGACCCCTTTCACTTGCTATTCTGTTCTATCTTCTCGCTAGAAATTGGAGGAAGACACGAGGCACCTGTCGGCCATTTAAAAGTGACAAGTGCAGCCATCTGACTTAAGACACAGGTGTGAGGCTTTCTGGGAGAGGGCTCTCTAACAACCCCCAGCCCTCTGCGCTGGGAGCATTGGTTTGCCTGGAACCAGTTCCACCTTTTTCTACCTTTCCTGAGAAAAGCCAAGGGCTGACTAGAGGCGGAAAACTGTCATCCCGAACTCCCAGCACTGACCCGGTTGAGATCATGGCACAGCCAGAAGCCTCTACTCTGCAGCCGCCCATGCATGCATTCCATGCCTCCTGGTTCTAATGTCCTCAGATAAGACTTTCTTGAGGCCCTATCCTCTAGGATCTTTCCTACCCCTGAATTTAAGAATCATCTTTGGGCTAGGAGCCTAAGTTGAGGGAGGTGAAAATCCAAAGACCCTTGCCCATGGTGCCCCCATGGGCACAGACCTGTCCGTGCCCTGTCCCTCGTACCTGTCCCTAGGGACCTGTCCCTCGTACCCTGTACCCTAGGCACTATCCGGGACATCAAAAGGCGTGTCAGTGGCTGATAGAAGGCCTAGGACATTTTTCCTTTGGTGCCCTAAACTTACTCCAGATTATAGAGGCTACTTTAATTACCACCTTTCCCATCTGGGATCAGCGATTAAAACTGTAGAACTTCTCCACTCAAAGCAATGAGACTTATGGGCCGAAAACAATATAATAGATAATAGGTCCCCCCAATTCAAGTCCAAAGGTCAATGAATATTCTTAGGAGGGCAAATAGGTGACAGAAAATTCAGGTACGAAAAGCACTGTTCCAACCTTGGTCCTCCAATTTGCCAGTGCCTACCCTAAAACTGTTGTGCTTCAGTGCCATTTTCAAGGAATTTATCTTGCTGGGACAGCTCCAAGCCCAGAAATACGCTAACTGGTACCTGGTCTCTGAATTTAAAATACACCCCGAACCTAAGACTCACTCTTAGATGCAAAGGTAATTGTGGGCACGCTGGTAAGGAGCCACTAAAATCCAGCAGTCCCGGTCCCCTTTTCTGTGTGGCTAAAAAAGGACAGGAAACAAGTGCGGGCAAAACTGCTATGTCGGTAAGCACAATTAAATTCATTAAGCAGGGTTCCATGGGTGATTGCACACCCTGGAAAGAAAAGGACACCAGAACCATAGGGGATGCCCTAGGGCTAGTGCTCACTAGGGGATGACTAGGGGTGTGGGCACTTCTATGTTCTCCTTTCAGATGGGAGACGTCCCTCAAAAGCAAAACCACCCCTGAGGTGTATTCTGGATAACTGGGACCAATTTGACCCTCAAATGCTGAAGAAGAAGTGACTTATATTTTTCTGCAGCACCACCTGGCCACAATAGCCTCTTCCCGGAGGAGAGACATGGCCACCCGAGGGAAGTAACTATAATACCGTCCTACACCTAGGTGTCTTTTGTAAACAGGAGGGCAAATGGAGTGAAGTGCCATATATACAGGTTTTTTTCTCACTAGGGGATAACCCACAATTATGTAAAAAATGTAATTTACATCCTACCGGGGGTCCTCAAAGCCTACACCCATACTCAGGTCTCCCCATGGCTCCCCCTCCCACTAGTAAGGACTCTCCTTTGGCCCTAATGGCCCAAAAGGAACCAGACAAAAAGATAGTCAAGGAACCAAAAGCCACCAATGGCCCTCAATTGTGCCCCCTCCAAGCCGTGGGAGGAGGAGGAGACTTTGGCCCAGCACGAGTGCATGTCCCTTTTTCCCTCTCAGACTTAAAACAGATCAAACCGGACCTAGGAAAATTCTTAGATAATCCTGATGGATATGTAGACGTCTTACAGGGATTAGGACAATCTTTTGATTTAGCATGGAGAGATACTATGTTGTCGTTAGGTCAAACATTAACTCCCAGCGAAAAAGAGGCCACAGCTAAGGCTGCAGGATCCCTGGGAGTTTGGGGATCTCTGGTACCTAAGCCAGGTAAATGATAAAATGACATCAGAAGAAAGGGAACAATTCCCCACAGGCCAACAGGCGGTTCCCAGTGTGGATCCCCATTGGGACCTCAATTTGGAGCATGGAGACTGGAGTCACAGGCATTTACTGACTTACATACTAGAGGGATTAAGAAAGACCAGAAAAAAGCCAATGAAGTACTCAGTGATGTCCGCCATAACACAGGGAAAGGAAGAAAACCCTATGGCATTTTTAGAGAGGCTAAGGGAGGCATTAAGAATGCATACCTCAGCCAGGCGCGGTGGCTCATGCCTGTAATCCCAGCACTTTGGGAGGCCGAGGAGGGCGGATCATGAGGTCAGGAGATCGAGACCATCCTGGCTAACATGGTGAAACCCTATCTCTACTAAAAATGCAAAAAAAAATTAGCCAGGCATGGTGGCAGGCACCTGTAGTCCCAGCTGCTTGGGAGGCTGAGGCAGGAGAATGATGTGAACCCGGGAGGCGGAGCTTGCAGTGAGCCTAGATTGCGCCACTGCACTCCAGCCTGGGCGACATTGTGAGACTCTGTCTCAAAAAAAAAAAAAAAAAGAAGAAAGCATACCTCTTTGTCACCTGACTCTACTGAAGGCCAACTAATTTTAAAGGATAAGTTTATCACTCAGTCAGCTGCAGACATTAGAAAGAAACTTCAAAAGTCTGCCCTGGGCCCCGAGCAAAATTTGGAAACTCTATTGAATTTGGCAACTTCGGTGTTTTGTAATAGAGATCAGGAGGAGCAGGCTGAACGAGACAGATGAGACAAGAAAAAGGCCTCCACCTTAGTCATGGCCCTCAGACAGACGAACTTCAAACTTCGGTGGTTCTGAAAGAAAGAAAGGCTGGGCAGGCAACCCGCCTAACAGAGCTTATTATCAGTGTGGCTTACAGGACCACTTCAAAAAGGACTGCCCAAACAATAAGCTGCCCCCTCGTCCATGTCCCTTGTGCCAGGGGGATCACTGGAAGGCACACTGCCCCCGAGGGCGAAGGTTCACTGGGCCAGAGGCCACTAACCAGATGGTACCACAACAGGACTGAGGGTGCCCGGGGCAGGCACCAACCCATGCCATCACCATCACAGAGAGCCCCAGGTAAGTTTAACCATTGAGGGCCAGGAAACTAACTTCCTCCTGGACACTGGCACGGCCTTCTCAGTTTTACTCTTCTGTCCCGGATAACTATCCTCCAGGTCTGTCACCATCAAAGGGGTCCTAGGACAGCCAATACTAGGTATTTCTCCCACCCCCTAAGTTGTGACTGGGGAACCTTATTTTTCTCACATGCCTTTCTTATCATGCCTGAGAGCCCTACTCCTTTACTAGGGAGGGACATATTAGCTAAAGCAGGGGCCATTATATACTTATTGTTCACGACATAGGTAGCTATCCCCTGTGTGGAGGGAGGAGAGGGCTGAGCAGGAAGTAGGTTGAGAAAACACTCTTACAGATGTTTTTGCTCTGTACAAGGGATGCCACAGGGCAGCATTTGGAGATAATGGTCTTAATTCTTTTGTCCATTCCTCCCAACATCAGACGACTTGGTTAACTATGATTTCTGACTATTGGATGAATGTAAGAATGCTTAGATAAAAATCAGAAAGTATCTGAAGTTGTTTTTGAAGGGAACAATGTGAGTACAAAATATTGCTGTTGGCGGTTACTGAAAGATGATTCCAGCAGTACTCCTGCTTAGAAACTCCATTAGAGGCCTGGGGAAGACAAGTGATTCTCAGCTCACTTCAAAACACTCATCCCTTCCTACCCTAACTTCTTCTGCACTTATTTGTGTCATACAACTCAAACTTTGGTTTTCTACAATTTTGGCCTCTAATTTGTCACCTTTAGTCACCTTATCTCTTTAAATATGTCTCATGGTTTTTTGCTATGCCTCTACTGAAGTATTTGATGAATACCTCTTGACTATAGACTGATCCATGACTTGAATAGTGCATATATAAATTTGGGTATCTGCCAGTTTCTGAACCTGGTTTCTTGCCATACTAAGAGTTTTAGAGGTGGGTCCTAGAACATTAAAAAAATCCCATCCTAGGAATTCGTGCTACTCACCAAATAGGAGATGACATCAGGTATGGGTAAGACTGACTTAGAGAACTGCTCTACCAATCAAAGATTCATTCATTCAATATGTAGTCACTGAGCACCTATTATATCCAAGGCACTATTGTAGGTACTCAAGAAACAGCGTGAACAAAACATATATATATCCCTGTTCTCTTGAGGTTTATGTTCTGGCAGGGAGGAGACAAAAACCAAAGCAAATAAGTAATTTATCTATAGTGGTAGAAGGTTGATAAGTGCTATGAAGAACAATAAAGTGGTTGGGCGTGATTGCGCATGCTTGTAATTCCAGCTACTCAGGAGGCTGAGATAGGAGATTTGCTTGAACCCCAGGAGGCAGAGGTTGCAGTGAGCCAAGATCATGCCACTGCACTCCAGCCTGGGCAACAGAGCAAGACTCCATCTAAAAAACAAAAAGAACAATAAAGCAGAGAGGAGGATTAGGGAGGGGTAATAGGAAGCTGTAATTATAAGTAGTGTGGCTGGGGAAGCCTGACTGAGGAGGCAACATTTGAGCAGAGACTTGAAGGAGATCAGAGAATGAGCCATGTGGATATGTGGGGAAAGGGCCATTTGGGCAGAGGGAATAGCAAGTGCAAAGGCCCCGAGTTGAGAGAGCTCAGGGAAGGAGACTGGAGCAAAGTGAGTGGGAAGAAGAGTAATAACAAAGGAGGTCAGGGCCGGGCATGGTGGCTCATGCCTGTAATCCCAGAACTTTGGGAGTAGAAGGCGGGCGGATCACCTGAGGTCAGGAGTTCGAGACCAGACTGACCAACTTGGAGAAACTCCGTCTCTACCAAATATATACAAATTAGCTCAGCATGGTGGTGCATGCCTGTAATCCCAGCTACTTGGGAGGGTGAGGCAGGAGAATCGCTTGAACCAGGGAGGCAGACGTTGCAGTGAGCTGAGATTGTGCCACTGCACTTCAGCCTGGGTGACAGAGCGAGACTCTGTCTTAAAAAAAAAAAAAAAAAAAAAGAAAGAAAGGATGTCAGAAAGATGATTGGGTTGGGTGGGGGAAGGAGGGACAAGAGACCAGTTCATGTAGAGCCTTGAAAGCTATTGTAAGGACATTGGCTTTTATGGGGAATCTTTGGAGGGTTTGGGGAAGAAGAGTGACATGATCTCACCTGAATTCTCAGTGAATCACTCTGACTTCTCAATGATGAGAATCTGGCTTCTCAATGATGAGAATAGACTTTGTGGGTGGGCAAGTTAGGTCGTGGAAGTAGGGGGGCTATTTATATAGCCATTGCAATAATCCAGGTGAAAGATGATAGTGGCTTAGACCAAGTGAAAGCAGTGGAGATGATAAGTGGATGGGGTAAAGATATGTCTGATAGTTGAGCTGATAAAATTTTCTGACAGTTTAAATGTGATGTGAGTTGAGCTGATAAAATTTTCTGACAGTTTTAATGTGATGTGAGAGGGGAAAAAAATAGAGGAATTGAAGGACTTCAAGGTTAGTGGCTGAGCAATGGGAAGGAAAGATTTGCCATTAACTGAGATGGCAAAACTGCAGATAGAACAGGTTTAGGGGGAAGATGAAGAGTTCAGTTTTGAATGTTGTTACATTGAGATGTTCATTAGATGTCCAAGGGAAGATGTCATCAAGAAGTAGCTGCATACTTGGGTCTGGGAGGGGGTGCCAGCTGGAGGCATAGTCAGGAAATCATGGAGATGCTAAGCATGATATTATTCATTACTTGGACTTAGGGAGGCTTCATCAAGAGTCTGTCTATTCCTTATGAAACCCAGACTGTTATTTTTTCAAGTCCTTTATAAACAACAAAATTCAATCAATCAACTGTATTGTGAGCCTTTTGTGCCCACAGATTTTGCCTTATTTTTAAAAGCATAGGGCTCGGCTTATCATGTGTTTGCTGATGAAAACATCGGTACTTCTAAATCAGTGAAAAATATCTTGGAAAGAAGCTTAAAAGAAGCCTTTTCGCAACCAAGTAAAATGTAAATCAATATAACAAACACTCAGCGCCTGTTATGGGCATGTGGGTGCACACTGTGGGTGCTGAGGAACAACAAGAAAGGAACCCTCAAGGAATTCACAGGCGAGTGGGAGGGAAAAGAAAAATCCTCAAACACTTACGACACAAGCAATAGATAATAGGACCCTAAGAGGGATATGAATAAAGCCCAGTGGGCGATCAGGAAGCGTTTCGAGAAGGAGGCAGCATACCAGTCAAATCTTGAAGGATGGGAGAGGGGAATGCCCTTGAAGAGCAGGTGGTTCATTTTAGCTTGAGCACGATACAGGTAGATGCAAAGATGTCCAAAGATTCTTTATTTTACCTTTGCTTTTGAAAATTATTTGGACTATAGAATTCTAGACAGAAAATGTTTTTCTTTCAGCACTTAAAAATGTTACTCTACTATCTTCTCACTTGCATTGTCTCCATTGAAGAAGGCTGCTGTTATCCTTAGCTGTGTTTCTCTCTGTGGAATGTGCCATTTTTCCTTTGGCTGCCTTTAAGATTTTCTCTTCATCATATGTTTTAAACAGTTGTATGTCATTTTCTTCATGTTTCTTGTCTCTGGAGCTTCTTTAGCTTGTTGAATCTATGGGTTTATAGTTTTAATTGAATTTTGGAATTTTTTTTGCCATTGGTACTTCAGAAAAGTTTCCGTCCTCCCTGCCAGCACTGGACTCTAATTACACGGGTATTGGGCTACTTGAAGTTGTCTCATAGCTCACGAATACTCTGCTCACTTTTAAAAAGCATTTCTTCTCCATGTGTTTCATTTTGGATAGTTTCTACTGCTATATCTTCAAGTTCACTAACCTTTCATCTGCAATGTCTAATTTGCCCTTAGTCCTATCCAAAATAAGCCCTGTACTTATTTTTTCTTTAGAGACAGGCTCTCGCTCTGTCACCCAGACTGGAGTGTAATGGCACAATCATAGCTCACTGCAGCCTTGAACTCCTGGGCTCAAGTCATCCTTCTGCTTTGGCCTCCCAAAGTGCTGGGATTACAGGTGCGAGTCACTGCACCTGGCCTGGTTTACTTTTCATATCAGACATTGTAGTTTTCATTTTTAGAGTTTGAGTTGGGTGGTTTTTATATCATTTATATTTCTGTTTAGCATGTTCAATCTTTCCTCTAGCTTCTTGAACATACGAAAATGGTTAATAAAAATAGCCATTTTATTGTCTTTGTCTACTAATTTTTTTGTATCATTTCTGAGTGGGTTTCAATTAATTGATTTTTCTCCCTCATTATTGGTTGTGTTTTCTTGCTTCTTCAAAGATCTGGTAATTATTATTGACTGTTAGACATTGTGAATTTTACCTTGTTGGGTGCTATAGCTCAGTGAGGCACCCTTTAATTACCAAGGGGAAGAAATAGCCTTGAGTAAGTTCCACATGGCTGACCATACCAGAAACTACACATTCTAACCTCATGCCAAAAATGTCCTACTGTTTATTTAGCAGTCAAATAAGAATTCAAAGCACAAAAACAACAGAAGATAAATACAAGTGTGAAGCTGGTACTTCAACAAATGGCTCTAAAATTGGAGAATCAGCAGCCTGGAATTAAGCCAGACTAGCTGGGAAAAGTATTAGAGTCTTGGTAGTTCAAAGGTGTTTTTTAAAGAGGAGAGCCCAACTCTTGATGGATTGGACCACTGACACCAAGAAGGGGCTGCAGGTGTTTGATTATGGTGACAGTAATTTTTAAAAAATATGTTCATTTGTTATTTAAATTTTTTTCATTGTATGAGATTTTTTCATTAATTTTCTTTATTTTTAATTGGAGCTTTTAATCTTTTCTTTACTAATTTGCAAGTGCTCTTTATATAGGAAAGTTATTAATTTTTTGTGTATAATACACGTTTCCATATTTTTCCTGTAATAACAATTATAATGTTTATTGAGAATGTACAACATGCCAGGTGTTATGGTAACAGCATTAGGTATGTGTTTCAAAAAGGTCTTTATCTTATCCTGATAATAACTCTGTGAGGCAGTCATTATTATTATTATCATCATTATCATTATTCCCATTTTACAGACAGGTCATCGAGGTTTGGAGAGGTTGAACATCCTGTGCAAGGTCACACAGCCAGTGAGTGGACGAGCTAGAATTCAGAGTATGTCTGACTCCCAAGTCCACGATATTTACACTACACCTTTGGCCTCAGGTGTTGTCTACATTTTGTTTATGGGCATTTTGGGAACGGATTGGACGTTTTTCATTTTCATGCAGTCAAATCCGTAAAATCTTTCATTCTTGGGTTCTTCTTCTGCTTTTATGTATAGAATGTTCTTTCCTACCTCAAGATCTCAAGATCAGGTAAATATTCACCTGCATTTTCTCATAAATACGTACAATTTCAGTTGAAAGCTATCCTGTTACATTTGTATGTGTTTAAAACAGAGATAAAAAGAGCCTGTCCCCTTTAAGAAACAATTGTCCAGAATAAGTTGCAGGACTCACAAATAGGCAATTCGCTACCAAACAACTTCTTAAAAATAAAGTAAGGGCAAGGATGTGAGATTAGTAAATGGATTTACAGATGCTTCTTTTTTTATGACTGGGGAAGAACTGTCTCAGGGTCAGCTGCAGTAGTTAAGGAGATAGAACGTCAAGTTGTCACTGTGTGTGTGTCTGTTTCTGACCGGGGAGAAGAACAATCCAAACACAGCCATATTGGGAGAACACGGTCGGAGGCCACCTTTGGGAGTGGCTCAGGATTTCTGGTTCTGGAACTGGGTCAGCCAGTTCATGCAAGAAGGAGGCCTTGCTGCTGGCAGCTACCATCTAACCAGGCAACTGAGGGAAAAGCACAAGGACTTGTCATTACTGAGTGGCGGTTGCTTGAACTGAAGACTGGGCAAGGCTGAAAACCTGGGGCTTGATAGAGCCTGTAGGGCTCCAGGTGGGAAAAGGGAAAGGTTTAGGAAGGTGGTTATAATGACCAATGACAACTTACAATTAGTGCATTAAGGCACTTATCCGTTTACACCTGGTTGTTTCTATAAGTCTTAGTAAGATTTATTCAGATTACATTTTGAATTCAGTTGTCAAACTGAGCTGGTGATTAGACTTTCATGAATATCTTTATTAAAATAGCATGAATTCAAATAAGCGAGGTGGCTCACACCTGTAATCCCAGGACTGTGGGAGGCTGACGCAGGATTATTTGAGCCCAGGTGTTTGAGATCAGTCTGGGCATCATAGGCAGACCCCCATCTCTACATTAAATTTAAAAACTAGCCAGGCATGGTGGCACGTGACTGTGGTCCCAGCCACTCAGGAGAATTGCTTTAGCCTGGGAGGTCGGGGCTGCCACTGCACTCCAGCCTGGACAACAGAGTAAGACCCTGTCTGAAAAAAAAAAAGTATGAATTGAGGATTTTTCAGAAAGCAGAATTAATTGATTGACATTTAAATCATGACCAAATGTGTTTCGATAACAGTACAAACATGCAAAGAGTGTTTTTATAAGGACTTCTTAATTTAATCCTCATAGCCACTCCTTGGGTAAATACTGTCACCTTTCCTATTGCATTTCCTATTTCATCAGAGAGGCTGGGAACCTGTCCAGGATCTTGCTGTGGTTAGTAAGAAGAACCTCCTAGGCCATCTGCGGCCTCTGCTGGCTTATCCAGCCTTCCCCTTGACCTGGGGTTGGATCCTGAAGAAGAACACCTGGTGGGGGAAATCCTCCTTCGGGGACTTCAGGCATGCATTTTCAGATGTTCCCAATGCTAATCATTGTCACATGGAGTTTTTCTCCAAAGCCCTGATTTCAACTGAAAGTCATTTTGCCAGAGACATTGGCGTGCAGGCGTTTGCTGGAACTGCCCCTTCCAAATGAGATTGCTGAGGAATCCTGAGCAGAGCCCCAGCTCCTGTGACTGCCGTAGCCCTTGCGTGCAAGAGGGCTGGCCAGGGCTTGTGGGTGGACTTCAAACCAACACTTGGTAATTATTTGTTTAAGATTTTATTAGAGAATCAGGGCAATGATGGAGGCGGAGCGGGAAGGAGCACTGCTAGAGGTTCCACCCAGTCTCCACCAATTCAGTGCAGCTTTGCAGACTCGATTCAGCAAAACAAATGACTCGAGAATAAGCCCTACCCCTTGAAAGGCAGGCTGGCGTCCATCCCCATCCTAATCCACTTAGCAAAGCAGGAAGATCTAGTGAATACTATGGTTTCCCCATTGCATTGCATTTTCAGTGATGTCTTAGCCTCCTTTACATATCAGCACCCCAGTGTCAGCCTGGCTGACCCAGCCCAGAGCAGCCCTGGGTGCAGCCACGCAAGTGCCCTGACTCAAGATAGTGTGAAAGGCTTGTGTATTATTGCCCTACAGACCAGGCCACATCAATGGTCTCTGGTTTTGCTGTGATGTTGATAGAGACAGGAAGGGGATAGCCATGTCTCAGGAACCCTAACTAGATAATCCTAGCATCTCCAAGGTCCTGTTTTCTAGGGATTATTGGAGTAGCTGCAAAAATAAAATTATCCTAAACAAGCAGGCACAAAGAGAAGCAGGTATCCCCATGAGAGATTTTCAGTTTCTGTAAACAAAGTGACTGCCTGTCTGAAAGGAATAATATCATTGCTTGGGGAGCACATTCCCTTCCCATTTGAGCAAGTAATCAATGCTGAAGTCTTTTTTGAGTACCTACTATGTGCTTGATGCCATTCTGGTGCTGAGAAAGGGAATGGATAAGTGAATGTGGCAAACAGAAAAAGGACAAAATAGCCTCTACTATTCAGAGTCTAGTTGAGAAGTCAGCGTAACAGCGAAAAAGTGAGCCAGTGACTGGCCACGCTGCTGGGCACAGAAACGGGCAGTCAGTAGGGACTGGGCTTTTTGGAAGGCTGAGAAAGATTCTGCTGGACTCTGCAGATCCCTGGCAGGATGAACTGATAGAACACTTGCCCCCCAGGCCGCTGATGTGGGATGGCAGAAGATGGCTGGACAGGCTCACTTGAGCTGTTAAATGCCTGCGGCCCAACACGAGCTGGGGCCTAGGAGTCACACCCCAGAATTTCACTGTCGTGTTTCCAAGCAGCTGCATACAAGATATAAAAATTAGGTCAAGTTAGGATTTTAAGAGTTTATTGTGCATACAAAGAAATGTTCATGAACTAAGAGACCTCAAACTGGAAAGTGGCAGAAAGTCTCAAATTTACAGCAGTTACAGCTCAGTTTCAAGAGCATAAAGGAGGAAGCGTTTTGGCCTGTTTCAGGATTGGATGTCATATATTCTTTCTTAAGGCATATGACTATGTAAGCTGATTTGCCTATATCCGTTGGTTTAATTTCATTGAATCATGCTGATAAGATGAAAAGCTTACTGAGTGTTCTGTTTATGTTGAAGGTTTATGTTTTGGGGGGCAGGGAATCAGTAAGAGCTAAGTTTTGGTTATGTGGCTATGAGTAATTGGCCTTGGGTACTAAACTGTGGCCTCCAGTTTTATTTATTTACATTTAACAAAGGCAAGACCCACATTCCCGTTGGTGTTTGCAGAGTGCCCTCACCAAGTCTTGGCCCCTGTGTGAATTCCTGCCTTTCCCAGAAATGAGTCCAGGGTGTCTGACCTCAGCTTCAGATCCCATGAAGGATTCTTCTAACATCTGCGATCTAACCCTCCAGTGACAAGCAGGTGGACCACCACATTCATAGCCCCATCTCCCCAGTCCAAGCAATCTCAGCCAATGGTAAGGTGAATTATCATCTCCTGGAGCTTTTTCTAACAGGATCATTTGCATGCATATAATAACAGCAGTTTGCATAATTAAGGAGAGTCATACAAAGTATTCAGTTTTCTAAGAGATATGGAATTTAAGTTACAAAATAGATCAGACCTGGAAGATGACTTAGCATTTAAACAGTGTTCCAGCCAGCAAACTGTAACCTGTGCTTGGAGAACTTCAGAGAAACCATGACAGGCCTCATTGTTTTAGTAACACACAAACCAGAGTAGCTGATGATAATGAGCAGGTTTGCTCTCTTACTTTTGTGTGAATTCATTCTGAGAGTAAAAGGTGAGAGAAAGGGAGTTCAAGAGAGCAGCCAGCCAAACACTGTGAGGTTTCGAGTTCCAATGAGCAGTAGCAGCTTACCACATTTAGCTCTATTCATTCTGATGAGAAAGACATGCTTTTGATTTAAGCCTTTTACCTACACACAGAAATTGGCACATTTTAAATTACACATCTATTAGTAAAAATTTAATATCCTGTTTATATGAAAAGTACACTAAAGCAAAAATCTGTGTTTCAAGTTGAATTCAGACAATTCCTTTTGCAAAGCCTGAGCAGTACAAAAAAGTAGCAGTAGCTCACGTCTATAATCCCAGCATTTTGGGAGGCCGACACAGGAGGATTACTTGAACCAAGGAGTTCAAGACCAGCCTAGATAACATAGAAAGATTCTATCACTACAAAAAGTAAATAAATTAGCCGGGCATGGTGCCGCATGTCTGTAGTCCCAGCTACTTGGGAGGCTGAGGCAGGAGGATCTCCTGAGCCTGGGAGGTTAAAGCTGTAGTGAGCCATGTTCATGTCACTGCACTCCAGCCTCAGTGACAGAGCAAGCCACTGTCTCCAAAAAAGAATAAAAAAGAAAGTAGATGAAGGGGAAATAGTCTCAGCTCTGGAAGCAAGCTAGGTGAGCCTAAACCAGCTACTCCCTGCCTTCTTTGGGCATCAGCTTTCTCATCCCTCCTCCCCACATCCTCTGAGTGTTTCTCACCACCTCTTACCCAGCATCCTCTGATGGGATCAGAGTCTGAAAATCATCTGTCATGTCCAACCCTCTCATTTTACAGACAAATAACTAAGGTCAACCCCACCTGTTTACCCAGGGCAGCTCCATTTTTATTTGCTTTATATTTTGGGATTTGGTGCTTATATAAGGAAAATAAAAGTCTTATGGCTAATGAACAATTTGAAAATCACTGGACTTTACAAGAGTTCTAGTTCATTCTGTTCATTTGCCTAGAAACAACAGAGATCTGTCCAAGTAATTTCAAGTGATGGGGGTAATCGTGAGAACATGATGTTTGGGTTCACACAACACTAACATGCTTTCCATTCTCTCTGGATTACTAAAAACACAGAAAAGTAAAAAAAAAAAAATCACTTATTATTCCAACATACCTTTACAACCATCTCAATTAAAAAGTGAGAAAAAAAAATCTGCCAGGTACAGTGGCTCACGCCTGTAATCCCAGCACTTTGGGAGGCTGAGGTGGGCAGATCACCTGAGGTCAGGAGTTCCAGACCAGCCTGGCCAACATGGTGAAATCTCATCTCTACTAAAAATACAAAAATTAGCTGGGTGTGGTGGTGTGCACCTATAGTCCTAGCTACTTGGAAGGCTGAGGCAGGAGAATTGCTTGAATCTGCCTCAAGCCGGAGGTTGCAGTAAATCAAGTTGGTGCCACTGCATTCCAGCATGGGCAACAGAGTGAGACTCCATCTCAAAAAATAAAAAATTAAAAAAAAAAACCTATCCCCTTCTTATTCCCTAGTCTCAGTCTCTAGGGGGAAGAATATCAGTTGTTTGGTTTCATGAACCTCCCAGCTTTTTTGTGTACTTATACAAAAACATCTAGGGATTATTTATCAACCAAAAAGTTGTGTTGCATTATGTGGCTTGGGCTGCATTTTGCTTTCGTCACTTAACACCATGCCAAGGCTGTCTTTCCAATAGTACATATAGATCTATGTCATCCTTTAAAATTTGTTCAACAAGACCCTTATTGACAAACCTTTGCATGTTCTGCCACACAGTGTTGCATTGAGCATTTTTGTCCAGATATCCTTGTATACTCTTCCAAGTGGGATTCCTAATTTGTAGCATTTTCTTTTTAACAGATACTGCCAAGTTATGTCCCATCTCTGTTTAGTTTGAATTAAAACAAGCTCAAGCCATCTGATGCCAGGTCAGCAAGAAGTCTGTTCTTTTTCTCCTGGGGCCTCTTCCTTGGCCAAGATCCCCAAGAGTTCTGCTAATCCAATGAGAATAGTTCCCTTTTCAGAGAAAAAAACTGGAAAAGCTGGTCAGGCTGCCAGTAGGGCCCATTTGGGCTATCTTTTCCCCTAACGCTATTGTATTAGTCCACTTTCTGTTTATTATAACAGAATACCTGAAACTGGATAATTTATAAGAAAAGAATTTTTTTTTCAAGATGGAGTCTCACTCTGTCACCCAGGCTGGAGTGCAGTGGCTCGATCTCAGCTCACTGCAACCTCTGCCTCATGGGTTCAAGCGAGTCTCCTGCCTCAGCCTCCCAAGTAGCTGGGATTACAGAAGCATGGCACAATACCCAGCTAATTTTTTTCTATTTTTAGTAGAGACAAGGTTTCCCCATATTGGCCAGGCTGGTCTTGAACTCCTGACCTCAGGTGATCCACCCACCCTGGCCTCCCAAAGTGTTGGGACTATAGGCATGAGCCGCCGCGCCTGGCCAGGAATTTATCTTTTACAGTGATAGAGACTGAGAAGTCTAGGGTTGATGGGCTGCATCTCGTGACAGCCTTCTTGTTGGTGAGGATTCTCTGAAGAGTCCCAAGTGAGACAGAGCATCACATAGCAAGGGATTGAAGTGTGCTCACTCAGGACTCTCTTCCTCTTCACATGAAGCCACCAGTTCCACTACCATGATAACCCATTAATCCATGAATGGATTAATCCATTCTTGAGGGCAGAGCCCTCATGATCCAATAACCTCTTAAAAGGCCCCCTTTCTCAATACTGCCACATTCAGGATCAAGTTTCAACATGAGTTTTGGAAGGGACACTCAAACCATAGCAGCTACCAAACGTTCAATGCTGAAAACAAGTCGCCATGCAATGTAATATGTCCCTGTCCGTTGCTGCATTGATCTTCCCACCTGGGAGATGAACCTGATGGGCCCCATTGTTTCTTCTGGGAGATAATTCTCACTCCTCAGTGATGCTTACAGCCAACAGGGCATTCATCCTGAGCTCTCGGGGCTACTGCTTATTATTTTGCACTCAGGTTGACAGCCCATCGTTCCCACTAAGTCTGTCCTCCATGCTAGCGTGGCTGGGTTGGACTTTTTCCTGTGCTTCACCCACCCTCTCCCCAGCACCACCAGATTCTCATATCATGAACTGATTAGCAATTTATTGTCATCTTCTCTCAGAGAAACTCTTCCTTAGAGACGGTTGATGTGCTTTCCCACTTGAACCACTTCTCAGCAGAGAAGTTCCAGGCCTGGGACCGGGCACTATTCTAGACACAGGGTACCTTAGTCTCTTTTGTGCTGCTATAATGGAAAACCACAGATAGGGTAATTTATAATGAGCAGAAATTTATTTCTCATAATTCTGGAGGCTGGGAAGTCCAAGATTGAGGTACCAGAATCTAGTGAGGGCCTTCTTCCTGCATCATTCCACAGCAGAAGACAAAAGGGCAAGAGAGTGAACTCAAGCCCCCTTATAATCAGCATTAATTCATTCATGAGGGTGGAGTTCTGCAGACCTAAATGTCCTCCTTTAGGCCCCACCTCCCAACACTGTTATGTTGGGGATTATGTTTCCAACACATGCATTTGGGAGGACATATTCAAATCATAGTACAGGAGATGCAGACAAAACAAAGAAGTTTTTCTGCTCTCAAAATGCTTCCTTTCTCTGGGGAGCAGGAGTAGGTAATAAATATGTAAGCAAGATAATACAGTCATTCCTCAGTATCTGTGGGGGATTGGGTCCAGGACACCTGTGAATACCAAAATCCGCACACACTCAAGTTCCTGACGCTGGTCTTGTGGAACCCAAGTATATGAAAAGTCAGCCACCCATTTCTGAGAGTTTCGCATCCCTCAAATACTGTATTTTCAATCCATGTTTGGTTGCGGATGCAGAACCTGTGTATATGGATAACTGACTATATTTACTGATAAAAGTTCGTGTACAAGTGGACCCACACAGTGCAAACCTGTATCATTCAAGGTCAACTGTACTGAATAATGATAAGTGCTACAAAGACAAAAGGCCAGATGAGGTGATGGGGAGTGGCTGTCTGGGCTCCCTTCAGTTGAGAGACAGGAAAGCCTGACTTGAGGCATCAGTGAAGCTCACCATGTAAAGATGTGTGGCACAGCACGCTAGGCAAGGCCAAGACCAGCGACGAGGCCAGTGCGACTGGAGCAGAGTGACAGTGATGGGCAGGGAGGGGGAGAGCACTGGGAGATGCCCTACAAGGTGCGGGGGCAGGGCCACAACATGGATGGGTCATGCCTAGTACCCCCAGGACAATGACCTCTAAGGACTCTTCCAGCTTCAACCTTCTCAAGACCTCCCTCAAGACTTAAGAGGCCCTTAATGCAAAATATGACTCCTTAATTTGACCATCTAGATTTTGTGACTTTCAATTGGGAGTTTTCTTATTTTGATTCCAATTTTTAATCATTATGACCAGAAAAAAGTTTCTAACTTTATGGCCACACCTTTTCATATCATATATTTCATCTCAATACAATCTTATATACACAGCCCAATTTCGTTAAAAGACTATTCTTGAGTAAAGATTAACATAATTTACTGGTAAATATCTCAATTGACATTTAGCATACAAATGAAATCAAAAGGTCAGGAAATGAAAACTGCTTCATAGTTTTTACAGAAGCTGCACCTGCCCCAGATCAGTGATTAGTACCAAACAGAAAGGCTAATTTTCCCTATTGTTGCTTCTGTTGTTTCCAACCACCCCTTCTGCTGTGATCCCCCAGGCAACAAATGAAGCCATTGTGAAGTCTTTTCTGGTCCTCTCAATGGGCAATTACACATTTTTTAAGACAATAAATTTTGTTCCTAGTGCAGCTGATTACATTCATTTATGAAAATGACTAAAGGCAGTGAATCAATTTTTTTTCTGTCTGGTGATGTTAAGATAATCACCAGAGCCATAATAGAAAGTAGAGTGGACCTGGAATCAGGAAACCTGGAGTTCAGTCCCATTTCTTCTACCAGCAAGCTGTGTGATTTTGAGTAAATGATGGCATCTCTCTAAGCCTCTATTTTCTTATCTGAATTAAATGGATAAGTGTACTCCAACTCAGAGAGCTATTGGGGGTGAGGGGACATCCAGAAGTCTTCCAAGGCATTGGTAAACTTCCATTTCATTTCATATATATGTGTTTGTCATATTATTCATCGTTAAATTATCTGTACACATTTCTTTTCTTTCTTTTCCTTTTTTTTTTTTTTTTTTTGAGACAGGGTGTTGCTCTGTCACCCAGGCTGGAGTGCAGTGGTGGGATCACTGTTCACTGCAGCCTCAGCCTCCAGGGTTCAAACAATCCTCCCACCTCAGCCTCCTAAGTAGCTGGGATTATATATGCATGCCACTATATCCAGCTAATTTTTAATTTTTTCATGGAGAAAGGGTCTTACTATGTTACCCAGGCTGGTTGGGCTGAAATCAATCTTCCCACCTTGGCCTACCAAAGCACTGGGATTACAGACATGATCCACCACACCAGGCCCACATTTTCTACATGTGTGATATGTATGAATATTTCACAATAAGTTTCTAAAGCAGGCAATAAATAGCTGTTGACATACTTGACAAAAAGTAAATACAATATAAGTTTTCCTCTGGATCTCCTAACAGAATAAATCTAGATACAATACAAAAATTATTTTCCCCTCACATCAAAACATGGCATTTTGAAAAATAGTTTAATGGAAAGAGTAATCAGTGAAATTTTTGAAAAAGACAATGATTGTATCATGTTTAGTACAGCTCCCTTCCACCCTGGCCCTCCATTTTCCCCTCACTTGAGGTTTTCTAAATCTACACAAATATTCTGGAAAGATAAAGAGATTATCTTAAAAGCAGCAAGAGACAAACACATAGAAGCATTTCTGTGTGCAGCACTGTTTTACATGAACAAAAGTATGTTATATGTGCTGCTCTATATTTGCATTTTTTCATTTATCTTAGAGATCTTTCAGTAGCAGCCTATGAATTTAGCACAGTCAGATTTGTTTTTTCTGAAGCTCGCTGGAGCAGTGTGGAGAATGGGAAGGGGTATACGGTGGGTGTGAGGCAGCCAGATGTTTTCCTTATTCCCATTGGTTTTGAAAACGTCAGGCTAATGCCATGCTGCAGTGACCACCTGCCACAGGTGGTCATCCAGTGGGGAGTGTCCACATGGCATGAGAATCACTGCCACCCAGGGGCAGTTTCCACGTGCCAGGGACTGAGCAGGTGCATTCCTCAAGGCCAGGTGCTTATATTATTCAGAGGAGGAGATCAGAGTTCCAAGAGGTTAAGTACTTCATCTGTGTTCACCCAGTTAATAGGTGCTTCCTCCCAACCACTAGGCTCACCACCCCTTTTATTCAGGCCCAAAAATTGAGCCCTTCAGATGCTGTGGGGGCTGGCTCATTATGGTGGTGAAAGTTGGATTTGGCAATTCCCTCGTCATCCTCTGTCAGAATTCCATAGAAATTCAAGGAAATTCTCTTGATGATGTTGATAGATAAGCTGCTGATAGCGAATATTCTTAGATCTTTTAAGGGTTTCTTTCAAGTGTTATGTTAACTACAGTCATATGTCATGTAACCACATGGATACATTCTAAGAAATACGTCATTAGGCAATTTTGTTGTGTAAACATCATGGTGTGTACTTGCAGGAAACTAGATGCCATAGCCTACAACACACCTCAGCTATGTGGAAAAGCCTATTGCTCCTAGGCTACAAACCTGTACAACATGTTACAGTACTGAATGCTGTAGGCAACTGTAACACAGTGGTAAATATTTGTGTATCTAAACATAGGAAAGGTACCATAAAACAACAGTATAAAAGATTTAAAATGGCTCACCTGTATAGGACACTTACCATGAATGGAGCTACAGAACTGGGGTAGCTCTGGGTGAGTCAGTGAGTGAGTGGTGAGTGAATGTGGAGGCCCAGGACATGACTGTACACCACTGTAGACTCTATAAACACTGTACACTTAGGCTACACCAAATTTATTTTAAAATATTTTCTTTCTTCAACAAATTAACCTTAGCTTACTGTGACATGTTTACTTTATAAAATTTTAATGTCTTTTACTTTTTGACTTGTAATAACACAACACAAACACATTGTACAGATCTACAAAAATACTTTATATCCTTATTATGTAAGCTTTTTCCTATTTTTAAAATTTGGTGTTTTTTGTTTGTTTACTTTTTAAGCTTTTTTGTTAAAAATGAAGACACAAACTCACACATTAGCCTAGGCCTACACAGGGTCAGGATCATCAATATCACTGTGTTCCATCTCCACATCTTGTCCTATTGGAGGGTCTCCAGGGGCAATAACATGCATGGAGCTGTGACAACAGTGCCTTCCTCTGGAATACCTCCTGAAGACCTGCCTAAGGCTGTTTTACAGTTAACTTTTTTCTTCTAAGTAGAAGGAGTACAGTCTATAATAACAATACAAAATATGGTGATGTCAAGATGTCAGCTGGAAACTTTTTAAAAAGATTTTAAAAAGGATAACATAGTAAATGCACAAAGCAGTAATAGTCATTTATTATCAATTATTATGTACTATACATAATTGTACGTGCTATGCTTTTTACAATCTGCAGTGTGGTAGGTTTGTTTATACCAGCATCACCACAAACACGAAGTCATGCATTGCACCAAGACACTACCCCGTGACTGGACAAATGAGGTTTGCAGCTCCATTGTAATCTTATGAAATCACCATTGTGTATGATTCGTTGTTGACTGCAGCATCACTAGGTGGGACATCACTGCGTTTTCCTTGAACTTCCGCGGGTTCTCCTAAAGTTACTTGGTGACTTTTTATGATTGCTTTCTGCTCGTCTGAATAAAGGATGAGCCCAGGGCCTGCTGCCCACTGTCTGCTCTGATGACCCTCTCTCCCCTGCAGATCCGAGTGATGGTGGACCTGTGCAACAGCACCAAGGGCATCTGCCTCACAGGTAGGCTGGCCGCTGAGCAGAGCCGCTCACACAACAAGGACTTGTGCCGCTGAAGGCCCGTGGCAGAATGAACGCCTAGGGACACTTTGTTATAAAAATACATGTTGGTTTACTTTTACCAGATGTTTTTAATGAGCTGAAAACCCATTGTAATATGATTATGAAAAATAATATTTTCAGTATTGCCATAGAAATATAGCCATGGAAAATAACTAGGACTTGGGTAATTAGAAACGTGTGGTACCTTGAACCAGAGCCACAGATTATTTTCTTATTCCCATTAGTTTTTAAAAGGGGAAAGAAAGGAAGGGAAAAGACCTTGCTAATTAATACAGTTCTTTTATCAGAAGTACTTATTGGCCAGATTGGCCAGGTGTGGTGGCCCAAACTAGATGTTGCGGAGTGCTAGAGCAGTCCCCTCTGACTTTAAAACATTACCATGAGACCTTGAAGCCACCTGAAGCTTTTGCTGGATCTCTCAGTTGATGGTCCCAGTCTCTGGGGAGGCCGGGCTAGAGCTTCTCAGGGTTAAGGAACCCTGCACAGTTTGCATCAGGTTGTAGGAAGCCTAGCCTTTTTCCCCAATATTTCCCCCACCTCCCTCTCATTACCTGCCTTGCATTAGGAGTGCAATGTGAGTTTGCTGAGTGAATAAACCTGTGAGTATATGGGTATGTGAATGGAGGTGAGATGGTAAGAAAGAAACTCCCCTCAGGAACCCCACATCCAAGTCTGACTCTCTTTCACTTATTTTGGCCTCAGAGAGAAAAACTATAATTCTGTGACTTCTTGGGAAATGCTAATTGAATAACTCAAGTCATATTCCGGCCCTCACTGAAAATTAAAGATCTTCAGAACAGCTTGGTCCTTTACTCTGAAACTCTTGTAGCTTAAGCATCTTTCTTCCATCTCTTGAAGTCCTTTTTCAGAGTTACATGCGACAGTAATGAGTGCTAGAGAAATGGATGGATGGAATTACAGGCACAAAAGCCTGTTGAGAGGCACAGGAAAAGCCTCTTCCTTTTTGATTTTTTTAATATAGACCTGAGAGCCAGGCTGTACAGTGAATGCATGGGACGGAGCTATTGAGACCACTTAGGAGAGATTGGCAGAGAGTGGGGAACGACGTCTGCACTGGAAGTGGGTTGAGTAGGTTTTTCTTTAGCACTTTGAAGTGCTTTTCAAAAGACAGCACCTTCTCCTTTCATGCCAGCTTGAAATTGGGCCTCCTTTTGCACAGAAAGTTCTTCAATTAAAATTAGATGTGAAAAGTACAAGTTGCAAAGTGAGAGGATCCTTTGGGATAGACCACGAGGCCTGGATTGGGGGCAGGGTAGTGGGCAGCAAGGTGAGTGACAGGACCCAGGAATGAACTGGGTAGCTTCAGAGGGTGGACACAGAGCATTGGTCTCGAGCCCTAAGAGGATGCCTGGCAGGAAGATGTGCCAGAGCAGAACCTGGGCTTGGGGACTGGGAACAAGGTTTAGCTTCCCACTGGATTCATCTTTGAAAAAGCAGGCACTCATAACTTGAGGCTAGTCCAGCTGTGACCAGGTAACCTGGCTCCCATTCCTCTTCCTTGCCCAGCTGTTGCTGCTACGGCAGTCAGGACAGATGCTATGTGATTCTGTGCAACCTTTAACATCTCAGTTGGATCGTGAGGGTAATCCCCTAGCTAGAGTAATTAGTTATTCTGCTAGTACAGAGTTTGTCAAACAACACATGCTTTTCTGAATGCATCTTACTCTGGAGCCCAGATTTCCTTGGGGACCCAGAAGCATATCTTCTGGGAGAGCAGGCATCTTGAAGAAGCCATGTTATTGGGTTATTCTTCACTCACTGCATCCTCTTCGTGTGTATCTGTTAGAAAATATCTAAATCATCATGTTACTGAACTGCGTATTGGGGCAGAAGCACTACACATTCTCCTTGCAGCCAAGTGACCCTAATCCAGTTATGATACGTGTCTCTAGTCTCTTATTCTATGCCTAGGCAAATATCAATCACGGATCAATGCTGCTGAGCACAGCCTCATAGCATTCTTTTCTGCTGTTCCAGAAAGCCAGCACTAATTGACTGGAACTGGCACTTCTCTCTGCAGACTGATTTGTTTTTGGTGTTCATGGCCATCACAGACCTCAAGTTTACATAACTGGGGCATTGTGAGCCAATTTTAGATTTCAAGGGAAAAAATATCTAAGTGGCTCAGCTCTTATCAAGCATCCACCCAATTTTAATCGATTCTGGTTAGGAGTGTGGGATGGGTACAGTTAGCATGAGCTACATAATTTGCAGGGCCCAGTGCAAAATGAAAATGCAGGGTTTCTTGTCCAAAAGAAGCAGGAAAAAGGCTTTCTTCTTTCTTCCACAGTCTTGACCTGTTTTGGTGTGAGTTTTTATCTGCTACCTAATGTCATACTCCATGAAGCATAGAATACTTATGGGGCAAGTACAGACCCTCACAGGCACCAGGGATCCTTCCCTGTGACTCAGGCACGCAGGGCACCACTCAGCCCCACCTTTCCTGCACTTGTGCCCCAGCCCCTACCAGAGTGGAAGGTGGCAGAAGTTACTGATGGGGCAAGGAGTACAGAGGACACATCATGGGGCAAGGGAGCAGGTGGCAGTTCCTAGGAAGGTGGTGGGAGTTGGGACCCCACCAAGCCCCCTGTGCATACTTTATTGACCCATTGGACTTCACTTACACAAATTCAAAGACAAGATCACTGGGAATTTCTAGACGGCGACTGCAGAGCATTAAGCCCACACCTGAAGCCCCCTTGTGAGGTGAAACCCTATGCACCTGCATGGGTGGTAGGCCCAGGACACCAGCCCTGCATGCACTATTAGCATGATCATGGATGTCTGCACATATTCCTTGAGGATGTGCTATTCAAGAAAGGGAGAAGGGTCAGGAGCTGAGAAACAGTTTTCTAAACACCCAGTTGGCACACATCATGGCATTTGACATTATTTGACACATGTGGGAGCTCTTCCAGATGTCAGGCCCCTGGAGAGCCAGGCTGGCATTCTGAGAGGACGGAGGACATCCCGCCATCACCATAACTCCCTATGCCTCAGCACATTTTATGTCTGCCCGGACTGCTGAGCTCTCTGGGGCTGTCTTCCTTTCTCTTCTGAAATTCTCTCCTCATCTAGCTGCGGGGAATTAGACCTGCTGGATTTCCTCCTCCAAGTGTCTTCTGACAACTCTCTCTTTCCTGGTGCCTCTTCTCTCACTTGCCTCTCCCCAGGTGGGGTGTGGCCCTCCCGCTCTTCCATCCCCAATTCTAGCCTAGACTTTTTACTCTTGCCTTAAGACTAGCAGCTCTGGACCTTTTTAGGATCAAGAACCCCTCTAAGGATCTGCTGATGGTGACTGATTCTTTTCCCAGAAAATTTTCACACCACATCAGAGGGCCCATGACCACCTCCATTCCAGTCATCTATGATGCTCGGATAAAAATGCAGATTATTGGGCCTCACTCTAAATCCAAACTGAATTAGGAACCCCAGATGGGGCCTGGGTATCTGCATTTACTAGGCATTGCAGGCGATTCTGTGGATTCATATGAGAGGAACTCTATCCATAGGGCATCAGTGGAACTCTTGCAGGACACCCTAATCTAATCACCACAGTGAGAGCCTTGGCCACGGCTAACGTGTCCTGAATATACAGCTTCAGCCGGGAGCTCTCACCAACAGTACTGATGCATGGACGTGGTTATCAGACTGTCGTGAGAACTTTTGAAACCTACTGTGTACAGGCAAGTCTTGTGTCTTACAGTCAAATTATTCTTTCCACCAGTCTCTATATCCGAATTTGGCTCCCTCTGTCGTCGCGAACGATGATTAATTGATTTCCTCTGACCTCTGTTAACTGGCCACCTCACCCCCTTCCCAGTACGTGTTCGCCATCTGGTGGTAAAGTCATGGAGACACAGGCTGTACTGACCCTAGAGAATGTGGTACCATTTTAGCCAGCCATTTTTGCCCAGAGTAGGACTGTTATGTATTGAAAGCATATCCTCAAACACCTATTTCTCCCAAAAGTCCCCACGCCTGTCAAAATAGCCTCTATCCATCTGTATTGCAGGCCCCCTGTTATCTGAATGTCCTCCTCCTTTGCCTCCTACCCAATCAGATGTGGATTCTTGCTCATTCTGCTGAAATACCTCTTGAATGTCTAGCTTTCTCTACAATTCTACAGTCAGCTCATTTATCCACAAGCTTGTCACTGAGTTGACAGCTACAAAGATCCCCTAGGGTTTTTTTTTTTTCTGCAATGCCCATCCTCCATGTCTCTCTTCCTGTCTCTGTGTCACTGTCTCTCTCGTCTTGTTGCACCTAGTTCTATCCATCTACCAACGACAAAGAGGCTATCAAACCCACACTGCTTTCACAGCATCATCCCCCTGCCTAAGAACCTCCCATGGCTCCCTCCTGCCTCACAGATACCATCTACACCTCCTGGTTTGACATTCAAGTGCTTCTGCCACCCACCATACCCAGGTCCTTCTTCAGCCTCATCTCTACACACTTGGCCAGTCCTCTAACTTCCTCCCACCCTGAATCTTATAAGTCCCCACCTCTGTACCTTTACTCCTGGTGGCCCCTTCATGGAATGCCAGACCTCATCTGCTGCCATCTTAAGCCCCGTTTCTTCAATGTCGTGGCTCCAGGATCATCTTCTTGAGATGCCTTCTCAGACCACTGCATGCCCACACTTCCCCAGTACCCCTTGTCAGGGGTATGGGAGTGGAGACTTCACTGTAGCTCTCTCATACTGCATTATGGTTTCAAAGAGTCCATCTTTCCCACGTAGACTGTGAACACAACAGGATACAGGCACCAAGATTTCTTGGTGGAGTTTGATGCACATAATAACTGCTTAGCAATGCTTGTTTTGTGAATGGTCACAGGCTTAGATTTATGGAAAGACCTCACCATTCCAATATTGGTAATCATTATATGTGGTCTAAAGAGGCGGGCAGATCACGAGTTCAGGAGATCGAGGCTATCTTGGCTAACACAGTGAAACCCTGTCTCTACTAAAAATACATAAAAAAAAAAAAATTAGCCGGGCGTGGTGGCGGGTGCCTGTAGTCCCAGCTACTCGGGAGGCTGAGGCAGGAGAATGGCATGAACCCAGGAGGCGGAGCTTGCAGTGAGCCGAGATGGTGCCACTGCACTCCAGCCTGGGTGACAGAGCAAGACTCTGTCTCCAAAAAAAAAAAAAAGAAAAGAAAAGAAACAAAAGGAACTCAAGTGCTCATGTTACAACCTCATTAGCTTGTCTGAGTACTCAAATAGAATAGTCGACAATAAGACACCCCTATTTGTGGGAGCAAAATTCATGTGAACCCCTTAGATCCTTGAGTAATTACATGCTAAGGAAGGTATTTGTTACCTGATCTGGGCTCTCAATTTTTCTCAGGCTATTTCATGTAACAAAAGAGAAATCTAGCCAGCCAGCTTTCACTCCCGACTCCCCCCAGTGGCTCAGATGAGACAAGCTAGCTAGATTACAGCACTTGGAGAACTCCTGGGACGGCCAAATCTCAGCCCCACAATGACAGCACCATCATTTGCTAACCCCCATGCTAGGGCTGCACTCATGGCCACCAGCATTGTTACTGGCCCTCCGTTTATTAGGTTGACTGCTTGAGAGATGACTAATTTATCAATCTAGAGTGAGGACAGCTCAGAAATTAATCTTGGTTCATTGAAACAAGCAAAAGTGGTTTGATTGGCAAATGGGTCTTTGTTGAATTGCTTTAAAGGGTCTTTTGGCCAAATATAACGAGTTCTAAATACAAGGTGTCAAATCCATTGCTTAGGGTCAGTAGATAATTAGGAGATTTGAAGGTCGGGGGTGCTCTTTGTTTTCTGGGTTCGGTGCTGGTTTCTCAACTAAATTTTTTTTCCGTTGTAGGACCTTCTGGACCACCAGGTAAGAGCCCATGGATTTTCTAGTTCAAGGGGAGGCTGTGGGTGGCCAGACCCTAGGATCTCCCTGTTGGGACAGATGCGGGGAGGGCAAGAGCCTGGAGGCAGTCCTGGCTGTGTGTCTCCTTCTTTGTGCCCCTCACCTGAGGCTCTGCCATCACCATCCCCCCACTTGGCACTGCTTCAGCCAGAGAAGGAAGGAAAGAAGTGGGAAAGGATGTGGAAAAGGAATTGATGCCTGCTCAGTTTCACTGGTAAAGGAAATGACAGTAACTTCAGTGAATAATTTTTTTTTTTTTTTTGGTTAATGTCCCTGTTTCTGTGTTTTGATGCAGGACCTCCGGGAGCCGGCGGGTTGCCAGGACACAACGGATTGGATGGACAGCCTGGTCCTCAGGGCCCAAAAGGAGAAAAAGGAGCAAATGGAAAAAGAGGAAAAATGGGTATTTTTGGCAACTCTTCTAATTAATTTCCCTGTTATTTATCTCCATGATTGCATTTGGGTCGACTAAAACTGTGTGCAGCAGGGGTAAGGTGTTTCATCTCTGCACAGTTTAAGGCCGGTTTAACTCTTACCTAGAAGCCATTGCGTTCCGGGATACCAAGGGTATACTTCTTGGTCCCACCTTGACAGATGTTTATTTCAAACTGGAGAAGCCGTCTCCTGGGAACTGACTCGCACCCTTCTGCTGCAGATGGGAGGTGGAAGGAGCAGGAGCCCACAGCCCTGGGAGGGGCATTCTGTGGGCCGTGTGACAGCTGGTGCTGGTGCATGCTCTTTCGAGGCTCAGCTCCTGCCTTGCCCTCTATTGCCTCCTCCTGCCCAGCGAATCTGTGTTTGGTTGAAAATCAATGAACTGATGTTGGCCCCTGGTAAGGCATTTCTTGGCTAGAGGAATAGCTCAAACTGCTTGAGTGGAAAGGCAGCATCCTGGCCTCCCTGTGGCCGGCACTCAGGTCAAAGGGTCTCCTCTTCAGGGGCTACAGGATAACTATGAAGATATGGCTGGCATCTCGGAGGAGCTTCCTTTGCCCTGTTATGAGCAGGCCATCACCACTGGAGAAAAGGCCCAGAAGCACCAAGGCACGAGATGTGCCCAGGGAGCAGTAAGAATCAGGGGCTGGTGCAGGGCCTGGCAGGAGGCTGGGGCACAAAGGGGAAGATTCTGAAGGGCTCTGAGCACCAGTCCTGGGGAGCCGGGGTCAGGGCAGATCCACCTGAAGAAAGCTGGCACATGCTGTGGTGGGAGCTCAAAGACAGAGGGTAAGAAACTACTCAGGAGGCTCCTACGAAGGCCTGGCTCTCAGCCACCCGTCAAAGCCACTGCTGAGGGCAGAGGGAGGTTGTTTTCAGCCGGAGACTCCACTGCACCATCTTATTTTCAACCTCTTGGCTCTGCTACCCAAACTCACTTGGACTGGCCCTGGACGAGAAGAAATGGTAGAAAATTCTTCCAGACAGCAATTACTCCTTTGGTCACCTCCACTCTTATTCTCATTAGCAATTGAAGTAAGGGCCAGTGGAGAGGGAAAAATTGTCGAGCACCTCTGACACTTGGCAGTGCCTACCTGCTTGTGTTCCAGAGGGCAGCTTCAGAGAAAACGGGCACACACCGTCCAAGCCAGCTCAATCCTCAGAAGGCCAGTAATTACCATTGGAATTACACAGCAGCAATGGATCGTTCATATAGGATAATAATTATAATTATACATGAGCATCGCTGTAGAATAATGATGCCTATTGGCTTATCCTGGGAAGACTCCAAAAATGTGATTCAGTCCTGAGGCCTCGGCAATGGGCATGATGAGGGCAGGCTCAGGGGCAGGAGGGCACCCTGCTAGAGCTGGGTGTGGGGCACGTAGGAAAGGGGTGGTTTTCAAAAAGGCTTGAGACAGATCCCTGGCCTTGAGGATGTGCTTCGCATGCAGCCTGCAACCCAGGGAGTGCAGAAAAGAAAAAGTGCATTTGTTTATGGAGCACATATTTGTGTGGCAGGTACCATTCTAGATGCTGGAGATTCAGAAATAAGCCCCCCTCCTCCACCTTCACGAGGCTTACATCCTAGCTGGGAGAGACGGATAATAAATAAGATAAATAAATAGAATATATGGTCTGTTCCATGGTGATAAATGCTGAGGAGAAAAAATATCATAGAAAGGGGTGGGAAATTTATGTGGGGTTAGAGGTGGTACATTTAGATTGGGAGGCCAAGTAAGACCTCCCTCAGAAGGGACCTTTGAGCAAATACCAAGAGGAGGTAAAAGAGGGTCTCAGGGTTTCTGGGGCAGAGGGCTCTGGGCAGAGTGTGTAAGCCACCAGGGTACCTGGACAGTTTAAGGAGCAGCAAGGAAGCCAGGGCAGCTGGACAGAAGGGATGAGTAGCTAACCTAGCCTAGTTGAGATCAGAGAGGTAACCAGGCCAAATCAGGTCAGCCCTGGGCATTTTAAGAACTGTGATTTGTACTCAGAGAAAAACGGGGAGGATGTGAAGTGGAACAGTGCTATGCCTGACATATGGATGAGAGGATGGCCTGACAGCTGTGCTGAGAGGCTATAGGAGGGAAGGGAAGAGGCTGGAGCAGAGGACAGCAGCAGAGAAGGGAGAAGGTGTTGGATTCTGTTTGTCACTGGAGGGTGACCCCAATCCTTGGTTTCTGGGAGATCTCATAGGAACTGCAGCAAAGACACCCTTCTCTACAGCAATCTCCCAGAGAGTAAGGCTTGCGGAGGTCAGCAGCATTAGACCGCGAAGCCTCCACTCATACTGAGAGTGGAAGTTGAGTCCCCGAGGCCCCCATGAGGAGTTCATTGTCCCAGGCCAGGGGAAGTGGGAGACTAACCACCAAAGGCTATCTGAAGAGCCCAGCTCGATGGGATCGCTCACTTCATGGGCCAGCTCAGGCTGCAGAGCGAGAGCCACATTGTCCTGTTCACACTGCTGAGGCCCCGAGGCTGCACTTTCCCTCCTCACCCACTCCTGAGCCCTGGGACAGATTCCCTTCATACCCAGCACTTGCAGGAAAGGGATAGGGAGGAGGGACCAGAGGCAGCAGGGCCACTGAGGGCAACAGGGTTCCTTCTGAGGGCCATGAGAAGCCCCAGAGGGCCGTCAAGTGGGAGACAGTGATGGGATCAGATCTGCTTCTCTAAATGCTGCTGTGGCTGCTGCATGGAGAGCGCACTGGAACCGGCAGGCGAATGAGCCAGAGTAGAGGCAGGGAGACGGCCTCCGTAGGCGGGGGACAGCGGGCGGGGGCGGAAAGACCCACAGGGATAAGTGATATTTAGGGGTGAAGCCAGCAGTTCCCAGTGGACAGTGGATACAGGGAGTTGGGGGTCAGGTAGGCATCAAGACTGACCCTAAGGTTGCTGTCATGCTCGACTGGATGGATGGGTAAGCTGCTCCTGCCTGAGGTGGGGAGCCCCGCACTCAACTCAGATCTAAAGGGACAATCGTGGACTCCGCATGGGATGTGCTGAGTTTCAGATGCCCTGAAGTATACAGGAGGAGGTGGGGCAGTGGCCTTGGAAAACAGGTCTGTAGTCAAAAGAGGCCTGGGGTGAGATGTATATATCAGGGAGTCATTGAGGCACCTGGGCATGTGGGCAGGGGTGAAGTCACTTAGGGAGAGAGCTTGGCAGGAGAGGAGGGGCTGGGTTTCAGCCCTGAGAAGCTCCAACCTCAGGTGACAAAGTAGAAGGGGATGAGTCAGCAAAGGAGACTGAGGAGGGGACTGAGCAGCAAGACGAGCACCAGGAGAGGGTGGGGACGTTCATCAACAAATACTTATTCAGCAGATGTCGAGTGCTATTGGGGAACTACAAAAGACACAGGCACTGTTCTGGAACTTTCCATCTTTGGTGGAGAGGCCAACATCCACAGTCAACAGCCATATCCACCTACCATCTCAACATGAGATGTATGTTTGAAGGGAAGAACGAGGTGCTCTGAGGTACAGTGATAGAGAGGGAGGGCAGGGAGGTAACAGCTTTGGCCAGATGAGAAGGGAGGGCCTGGCGCACACAGAGGGTGCGGTCACACAGCCAGGCGAGGTTGGAGGCTGGCCCTAGGCCTTTCCAGAGCTTTTGGATGAGCAGCCAGCTCCCAGGATGGCACTGCAGGTCCTCACGTGGGTACGCAACCTTCCAGGCCATTGCTGTGACTGTAGAGAAGGAAGGGCTGTCATTTAAACTGAGAGTTAAAGGATCATTCGTGGTTTGCCAGGCAGGGGTGGCATAGGAGAGGTGTGGGAGTGCATTCCACAAAAAGGGAACAAGTGTTGTTTCCAAGAAAAGGAAAAAAGCCTGTGTTCTATTGAGTTAGGGACCCATTTAGGGTGGGGTGTGCCCTCTAGCAACAACCTTTGGAACCATAATACATAGCCAGCATTTACTGCCGGACACTCCACTAAGGTCTCCGTACACTCAGCTCATCTAGTCCTCAGAACAACCCAAGGGCATGAATACTTTTGTTAGCCATATTTTTTCCAGATGAAGATACTTCTCTCTTTCTCAAACAGGCCAAGCTCACCCTTGCCCCAGGACCTTTGCACGAGTACTGCTAGGGACCCAGAGTAGACTGGGGTGGGACTAGGACATAGTGGCCTGTGCCCACTGCCCAGAATGCCCTCTTCCTGACTTCCCCTGTCTTCCTGAGCAGGTCTTAGCTCAGATGTCACCTCGTATACAAGATCATCCTTGGCCTCTGTGTCTAGCCCCTGTCTCACCTACTCTGTCACATCCCCTGCTCTTTTGAAATATTGACCCCTTCCTGAAATCACCCCATGGTGATTATTTGTTGTTGTACTGACAGTCTGACTCCCCAAGTGGGATCAATCAAAATATTGATCTTTCCCTGAAATCGACCCACGGTGATTATTTGCTATTGCGCTAATGGTGTGACCTCCCAAGTGGAATCAATCAAAATATTGATCCCTCCCTGAAATCACCCCCTGGTGATTATTCGCTGTTGTGCTAATGGTCTGACTCCCCAAGCGCAATCAATCGAAATATCCCTTCCTGAAATTACCCCATAGGGACTATTTGCTGTTGTGCTGATGGGCTGACTCCCCAAGCAGAATGTGAGGCCTGTGAGAGCTTGGCCATGTCTGTCTTGCTTAGTTCCTACCTTCAGTGCCTGGAACACACAGCCAAGGAGCTCAATAAATTCATTGTTGAATGACTGGATATAACTTGTCTAATGTCAAAAGCTAATAAGTGGAGGAGGCAGGACTTGAATCCAGGTTTCTCTGACTTCTGGACACCTGCTCTTAACCACAGTGACACTCAATTTGCGTGCTCAAGGGGCTTGGGCCCTGTTGTGAGAGCAGGGTTATTGGAGGTGCCGAAGAGCAAGAGCGAACAGGAAAGAAGCCTGGGCCCTGAGCGCTGGTGCAGTTAACGATTGAGAATATAGGGCTTCAGACACGCTCCAATCTGAGCTCCAAGGCTGAGTCTTCCTGGGAGGGCTGGGAGGGTTCCAGCCTTTCAGAGAGGCCTGCAGGACATTGTTGAGAACACACAGTTCAATGAGTATAACCTGCCAGTCAGAGACAGTTGATTTTTGTCCCTCTCATTCCCTGCCTTCAAGGCAGAGGGGAACGGTGAAAGGAGTTCTAGTAGCTCTTGCCTTTACCCCTTACTGGCCCTGAGGCCCTGGGCAAGTCACTCCAAGATGAGGCCTTGACCTCCTCATCTGTAGCCAGAAGAGGTTGGGTTATGACAACTCTAATATGGTTTCTGGTTTTAAATACTCCACTATAGTGTTGGTCAATGAAGGCAGGGACTATGTATTATAGATTTTATTATTCATGACATCTCTTAGCTAGGGCCCAGCTAAGGCCCAATAAATAATTGATGAATGAGAATGAATTAATGAATGCATGCATGAATGAATGAATGAGAAGACTAGAACATTGTGTCTGTATATAAGGGCTTACAATCCAGTTGAAAGAGAAGATATATCGTGCAACAGCAGGTACTCAGTAACTATTTATTCTGGTTGGAAGACTGCTCTATACTTCATAGGAGGCAATACTGCCAGAAGAAAAAGCCAAACTTCCCTGTGCAGAAGATGAGCAAATAGGATACTGTGCAGAGGATCCTATTTGCAGAGGATGGATTGTGCAGCAGAACTAAGCATAAAGGACGAGAGAGAAGAGTGATCAGCACTTTGGAGATAAGTAGAGGAGCGGTGGGAAAGGCGGGGGAACAGGGCCCAGTCCCAAGACACGAATAAGGAGGGCTTTCATTTCTGTTTTTTATGAGAATTTGATTTTTCGAGACGGTAACTGCAGCAGCATTAACCGCAGGGAGAGAACAGAAAGGCCTAGGCTCACAGGTTATGAGGCTACCCCTGGGTACTAGTGGGGACCCTGGCTAGATTGGGCTAGGACTAGAGGGTAATGGCCTTCAAAGTAAGGTCAGGGGGTTCAGCTCCACATATGCAGGAGGCAACCAGGAGCCATTATAAGACTACCCTGATAAAGCCAGAGTTTAAGCTCTGTAGCCTAACGGTTGCTTCCAGGAGACTGAAACATCAAAGCTTCTCAGGTTCTGACCTTAGAAAAGCTAAGAATGTTAGTGGAATAGCTCAGAGCCAGAGCTGGAGCCAGATGGTTTGTGTCTCGGCTCTTCCGCTTACTAGCTGTATGCCCCTGGGCAAGTTATCACTTTGTGCCACAATTTCCTCATTTGCAAAATGGGGACAATAATAGTATTAACCTCATAATGTTATTAGGAAGATTAAATGAGTTAATGTATATAAAGTGCTTAGAAGAGGGCTTGACACATTGTAAGTGCTATACTGGTGTTAGCTATTATTGTTGTTGTTTTCAAAAGTCGGGAAGGAGAAACTTTATTTTAGACCAAAAGGAAATCTAAGTGGAAGTGTTCTGTATTCATTTGGAAACACTAACTTAGATCTGAAGAGAAGAGTCAGAACTGAAAGAGACCTAAATGTCAATTGTGCAACCAGCATCTTCTATGAAGTCTGATGTTCCATTGCCTCAAAAGCAAGCAGTTTCTTTCCTTCCAGCTGCCTCTCATTTTCTCACTTAAGAGTTAATGCTGCAGTATCTTCTCTAAAAGTGAAATTCTTATAAAAACAGAAATGAAAGCCCTCCTCCGTATTTGTGTCTCAGGACTGGGTTTTGTGTGACACTCTCTGGCCCCTTTCCCCCGCCTTAGCAACAAATGATACTGCTGAAAATAAAACATCCTCCCTCACCCCATGTTGTGAAGATGAGAGTTGACCTCAACCCCGAGATATCACACAACTCCAAACTCAAATGCTGATGAAACTGTTTGTTTTGAGTGGGCGACACCAGAGAAAAACAGTAGAGAGCCACTCCTAGCACAAGTTACACAGGCAGAGTCCGGCCTTTCTTCTCTGGCAGAATGTGCCAACTCAAAGCCAGCCAGGGGTCCAGATCACATAGTGTCATAGTGTCACTGTGCACGGCTAGCATCCCTGACCTTCCCTGGGACAGGGCAGGGTAGAAAATGCCACACACAGGTTCCTGATGGTGAATCACTAGGTGATATTTAATTTCTGACATATCACGGCGAAAGCACAGCCAGGGCAATTTTACTGACAAAGACGAGGGGATGCTTTGTCAGCACTATAGTGGACAAGAGGGCAAAGGCAGACTCTATGTAGACAAAATGTCCCCCAACCCTTTCTTAATGAAAGCCATAAAATGATCATGCATTTCCCAACCACAGTAAAACTACAGCCTCAAGCAAAGGCCTTGAATAGTGTTAAATACCTGACCCTGTGGGGGGCGCATTACAACAGCTGCCAGGCAGCAGGAACATTTCCCTGTTTCACATATGGCCTTTCCGAGAAAGAAAAGACATAAGAGGAAGAAAGAAAAGAAAGGAAGGGGAAATAAGATGATGATGCAGAAGGCTGTTTGTGACTAGAATAAATGCCTGAAAAAGATATCCTTGCAGGAACCAGCAGATACCCTTTCCCTGAGCACTGCTAAAACTGGGTCATGTGAGACCTTTCGAAGGTGTCAGTTACACTTGGTGCACTGTGCAGGCTGGACTCTATGGCAATGCCCTCGTTTTTTGTCTCCTTCAGATAATGTGCCAAATTGCCTATTTAAAACACTGACAAAAGAACGTCTTCTCACAAAGAGGGCCGGGCAGAAGGGCTCTTCTCAAGTGAGTGAACCACTTTCCACCAAGATGGCCTGATGACTGAGGGCCCGGAGGAGTCAATGCAATGGGATTTTGGTGCTATTGTGAGGGAGGTATTACAAGCCATAACCCCTCAAAGAGGCATGATTTGACCCCCATATCACTGAATCCATGGCACAGCCAGTGCTGACAGTGGAGGGGCCCCCTGCTCCTCTTCACATCCTCTTCTACTGTGCTCCCCCAGTTCCACTGGACGGGCAGCCGCCACCCAAGCTTACCACTGGTAGTGGTGAGGACCCTGGGGCTTCTGATTCCCAACTGTAGCTGAATTTCATAGTTTTCACTAAGGTTTTTTTTTATTGGTTGGTTGAAATCTAGCAAATTGTTTTTGTTCACTACAGTTTTCTTCTAACAGTGATCGACACTTTGAGGCTTTTCCATGCACTGCTGTCTTCCTTAGAATAGTCTGCAGACAGTTCCTTGAATATGGAATATGAACATGAATATGGAAGAGCAGAAACCATTTTGAATATTTATTACTCCTCTGGGGTAAATGAAAGGTGCTAAGAGCTCCAGGTTTACGTTTTAGGGTAGGGGTCCCCAGCCCCCAGACCCATATCGGTCCATGACCTGTTAGGAACTGGGCCGTACAGCAGGAGGTGAGCGGCAGATGATTGAGCAAAGCTTCATCTGTATTTACAGCCACTCTCCAGTGCTCACATTACCGCCCGAGCTCCCTTCAGATCAGCAGCAGCATTAGATTCTCATAGGAGTGCAAAGCCTATTGAGAATCTAATGCCTGATGATCTGTCACTGTCTCCCATCACCCCCAGATGGGACTGTCTAGTTGCATGAAAACAAGCTCAGGGCTCCCAGTGATTCTACATTATGGTGAGTTGTATAATTATTTTGTTATATATTACAATGTAATAATAGAAATAAAATTCACAATAAATGCAATGCATTTGAATCATCCCCAAACCATCCCTCCCCACACCCCGGTCTATGGAAAAATTGTCTTCCACAAAACTAGTCCCTGGTGCCAAAAAGGTTGGGAACCACTGTTTTAGGGAATAATTAATCTGATAGCAATGCAGGGCATTTGGGTGTGAACTGTGGGGTATCACGTTAATTGATCCATATCTGGCAATAGCTTTGTACAGTATTAGAAACAACTTCCCCTCTCAAGGACCCTGTATAACTGTATACTCAAGAGTTCTAGTAGCCTTTTTATAGATTCCTTGAGATTTTCTACATAAACAATCATGACATCTGCAAACGGTCTTCATCCTTTCCAATCTGTATGCCTTTTAGTTATTTTTCCTTGCATTATTGCACTGGCTAGGACCTCCAGTAGAATGTTAAATAAAAGTGATAGGGTTAGATACCCTTATCTTGTTTCTGATATTAGGGAGAAAACATTCAGTCTTTCACCATTAAGGATGATGTTAGCTGTAGGTTTTTTTGTAGATGTCCTTTTCCAGACTGAGGAAGTTCTCTTCTATTCCTAGTTTGTTGACAAATTAAGAATGGGTGCTAAATTGTATCAAATGCCTTTTCTATATCATTGAGATGATCATATAATTTTTCTTGGTTAAATTGCTAATATGCTGAGTTACATGAACTGAATGATTCAAATTTTGGACTCTCAGCAGGCACAGAGTCAGGCAGTTAAATCACTGGCAGTTAGGTTTCATCCTTTAGAAACTTGTGTTGAAACTTTGTAATGATGGGTCCACCGCAGCCTTTAACCTGGGGCTAATTTAGCCCCACTACTAAAACTAGACTTTTTCAAGGACTCTACCCAGTATTCAGTATTTGATGAGATTTCCCCATGGTGGCCGTGGGAATGAGGACTTTTTCCTGTGTGAGCCCTGATAATTTTATAGTGAACAGTCTGTGAATTCCTTTCCCAGCCCTCTGGAATTCCCTCATGTGTAGAAGTCATCCTTCAGTCACAGGTTCAAGGGAGCCCTCTGCAGATCTGCAGGGCTGTTTCACGCAGCTGTCTCCTCTCTGCTCTTCTATCTTGCAAATTCTAGCCGTCTCCTTCTCCCCAAACTCTGATTTTTGGCCCCTCAACTTAGTGAGATTGACAGGCTATTTGAGATCCTTCTCCCTGTGCCACTGGGAACTACCTCCCAGCAGTGAACTGGGACAATCCAAGGGTGCTTTCACTGCTCAGGGTCCAAGGCTGACACAAGCTGTTACTTAGACCTTGACTGGTTTCTAGCAATGTGCGGAGGACAGCAATTTCTGTAGTCACAGCTCCCTGTGAACAGAGGCAGAAATTTCACCCACTACCTTTTGTTCACCATCCCTATTAATGGTTGTCTTAAAGCAACTTTACCTGTTTTGCTATTGTGATTGAAAGTATTTTGCATTGGAATGTCACAGAAAAGGGCATTGGAGATGGAATCAGAGGTGCTTTGCTCTCTGACTTGGCAGCATCTGTTATAACCACTGTAGGCCTTAGTTTCAATATCTATAAAATGAGAGTAAGGATGACTGCCTAGCCTACCACTCCAATATGTTGTGAGGAATAAACTAAATAATGTATTTAACACTCACTATTATGGCAGCAGACACACACCTCTGAGCATCATGGTTGCAGACTTCTCATTAGGCCTTCCTTACCTTCTTTCCACTGTTGCTGCCATCGCCCCCTCTTGTGGTTCACTCCTCTCTCCAACCTGTTGGCTCAGCCAAATTTCTCTAAAAATAATCCAGCAGGCCGGGAGCAGTGGCTCACACCTGTAATTCCAGCACTTTGGGAGGCCGAGGCAGGCGGATCACCTGAGGTCAGGAGTTCAAGACCAGTCTGGTCAACATGGCAAAACCCTGTCTCTATTTAAAATACAAAAATTAGATGGGTGTGGTGGCTCACGCCTATAATCCCAGCTACTCCGGAGGCTGAGGCAGGAGAATTGCTTGAACCAGGGAGGCAGAGGTTGCAGTGAGCCGAGATCGCGCTACTGCACACCAGCCTGGGTGACAGAGCCAGAGTCCATCTCAATAAATAAATAAATAAATAAATAAATAATCCAGCAGAGCCACCTGGAAATGCTGTTCTTTAATGAACGTATGGTCACACTGCTGCTCTAAAATGGTTATGAAATGCTGTGTGTTTGGTATATAAAACTGCTTCCCTGGAAAGCACAAAGCACAGTAATATAAAGTGGTGTGCCAGAACTTTTTGCACCATAGGCTAATATGTCTTTTGTTTTTTTGGTCAGGGATACCTGGAGCTGCAGGAAATCCAGGGGAAAGGGGAGAAAAGGGAGACCATGGTGAACTGGGCCTGCAGGGAAATGAGGGCCCACCAGGGCAGAAGGGAGAAAAGGGTGACAAAGGAGATGTGTCCAACGACGTGCTCCTGGCAGGTAAGAGGGGTACGCTGTGGCTCTCTTTGAGGGCTTGTGCGCCCAGAGAACTGCCTGGCTTCCAACACCAGGGCTGCTCCTGTGTCTTCTCTCCTTTATGGCCTTATGTGGCCATCTGTTTTGCAGCATGTTTTGGAGTTCTATGCTTTCAAAGAGGAGAAACATGAGCATGTTACTCCATGTGGCAAGACCAGATCTGGGATCTAAGTATAAGTGGTTCAGGTAATTGGGTCTAAAAGCCATGACCCAATTTCAATATTTCTTTTCCAAGATATATTGAAATCCAGCACAATCCAGAATAAGACAAGTAAGCAGGCAACTTACGACACCTCAGAGGACAACTGACAGGAAGCACAAGCGTTTGCTTCACTGATGAGGTTGAGCCATCCTCAGACCCTGATCCTAATGGCCTTTTTTCTTAGAATTGGGGCAAAATATTGTTGTGCCAAGCCCTGGTCGACCTCAGTAGGGATGGCAACAGATTCAAGAGCCAAAGAAGAGACCCAGGGCCAGCAAATGTGACATGGGGCTTTACTGGGGGCTTCATAGAGAGGAGAGAGTCCAGTGGTGGCAGGCTGGACAGGAGAACCACTTTAGGACAAAAACAGCCCAGGGGCCTTGGGCTAGATGAGCTAACTCTCTTACGTGCAGCCCAGGGGCGGTGGACTGAGCAGCCACTTGCAAACAGCATGCAATTTACCTGGCATTTTCGCTTAACACCTGTACTAGTCTGTTCTCACATTACTATAAATTACCTGAGACTGGGTAATTTATATATTTAAAAAAAGGTTTAATTGGCTTATAGTTCTGTAGGCTGTACAAGAGGCATGATGCTGGCATCTGCTCAGCTTCTGGAGAGGCCTCAGGAAACTTGTAATCATGGCAGAAGGTGAAGGGGGAGCAGGTACATCACATGGCGAGAGTAGGAGTGAGAGAGAGAGAGCAAGAGTGGGGTGTGAAGTGCCACACACTTTTAAATGACCGAATCTCGCAATAACTCACTTATTACCAAGGAGATGACCCAAGCCATTCATGAGGGCTCTGCCTCCATGATCCAAACACCTCCCACAGACCCCACCTCCAACACTGGGGATTACAATTCAACATGAGATTTGGGTGGGATATCCACACCACATCAGCCCCCTCCCCTTAACCACCTCCACCTGGCAACCTTAACTTAACCCAAAACTCAGGGCCCTAATTGCCTGCACGGCCCCTGTTCCGTGGGATGGGCCAGGGGCGCAGATGTTCCTCAAAACAAAGAACAAAGCTCTGGGTTGGCAACTCCCAGATTCCCTAGCTCTGAGCAGACATTCAGATGCATCTGCCATCCAGGATCATTCTAAGGATACACTTCAGTTATTGCCATCAGGGGCATTTCCCCTACAAATACAGTGGCTGCTTTTCCAGCTCAGGGGAAAAGCAGACAGTTGGTATTTGTGGGAGAAGAGGGTAAGGGGCAGAAAGCCACAAAGACAATAGCACAGAGGAAAGAGCAGGTGACAGCTGACTCTCATGGAGGAGCAGGAGGCAGAAGAATTTTTAAAGCACAGTACTTTGGAGATCACCTATATGATAAAAATATAACATGTGAACATAACTATATAGTCAGTAAAGATTTAGCAAATACCAGAGAACACCATTTCTGAATCAGAGACTTTGCTAGTAGCTGGAAATGAGGAAGACTTATCTGTCCTCAGGAAGCTAGGATGATGCTAAATGTTCAGAATAATGACCCTGAATCAGTTGCCCATCCAACCGTCTATCCATCCATTCAGACTTGATTGAGTGCCTATTGTTTACCAGGCACTGTGCTTCGACCCACGTATCAAGGAAAGATTGAACTGGGTTTAGTACATTTTGTTTCATTAACAGCAGATGTTGCTATGCAAAACATGTATAATTTAAGACGTGTTTTGACAGGGTAATATACATAAATGTGTTTGAAAAATATAAAATTTTATTACACTTCTGTTACGTAGGAAATCTACACATCCAGAGTACCATGTTCCTCCATGCTGCTGACCAAGTGAGGGGTGATGACAAACCCTTCAGAAAAGCACCATCCCTTATGAACCCCAATTGAAAAGACCAGGTCAGAGCAGAGGGTGTCCCCTGGAGGAGAGTGGAGAGGGCGTAGGAGGTTGGGCCACATCTGCTCTGCCTGCAGATCTCTGCCCCTTCCTGGTGGACAGAGAGCTGCCTCCAGCTTCTGTGGCCCCACTTGTCCACTTGTAGAGAGAATGAAAAGGTCTGGCTGTGAGGAGGCAGCTAAAGAGACCTTAGCTGACTACTCTCTTCCCTTCTTCCCACCCTCTCTCCCTTCTTCTCTTCCTCCCTCCCTTTCTCTGTTCCTCCCTCCCTCCCTCCCTCCCCTTTCCTTCCCTCTCTCCTTTCTCTCTTCTTCTCTCCCCTTCTCTGTCCCTCTCTCCCCTTCCCCCTTCTACCTCTTGCCTCCTTCTCTCCCTTTCTCTCTCTCTCTCTCCAGGTGCCAAAGGTGACCAAGGCCCACCCGGTCCACCTGGGCCCCCAGGCCCTCCAGGTCCTCCAGGGCCCCCTGGAAGCAGAAGAGCCAAAGGCCCTCGGCAGCCAAGCATGTTCAACGGCCAGTGCCCAGGTCACCACCTCTCCCCTACGGGGCCCACCTCTTCTGTCAATTATTCCAAACTCTTGGTCTGCTCCCCAGGCTCTGTGACCAGATTTGTTTTAATAGAGGGAGGAGGGTTTTGTCCAAAATGAAAGTTCCCTTCTTGCAAACTTCTCACAGGAGTTCTTTGTAGTCTGCCCCAGGGCTGAGGACCAGGGACAGTTTTAGAATTAGGCCTCCCACTCCCCTTCCCTCCTTCTGCTTCCTTCATTTACCAGCAGACCAGTCCTCCTCCTTGCTCTGTCCGCCATCCCTCCCCCCTGAAACAGTATGGAAAGCTAAGCTGCTAACTTTTTGCACTCTTGAGAAGTGAGAAGCTTGAATGATGCTCAGGAGATGAAGGGGAAGTTTGGATTGGTTAGGTCCTCACGAATAGTAACAACAGTGCTACATTAAGCCAGGCACAGGGCTATGTGCTTATTTAATTCTCACAACAATCCTATGATATTGAAATCATTATTGTGTCCAACTTACAGCTAATAAAACTGATACCCCAAAGAGCTAAGGAACTTGCCCAAGGTCCCTCCAGGAGTAAGTGGCGGAGCTACGATTCAAACCCAGCTCTGCCTAACTGTAAAGTCCCAGCTCTCAGGGCATCTTCCATTTAGATAGAAATTCACACTTTGAGACCTGACCCAAGGTCAAGCCAACCAAGAGCAAGGAATACTTGACCTCTGGTGGACTTGTTCTTTAGCCAATTTGTGGCACAGTGGCCACAGGGTTGAAAGCTAACTGGAAATCAAGGATTTTATTAATGGAAAATACTTCTAGGGTGATGCTAGGACTTCTCTCCCAAAGGGGTGACCTAGGATCCGTCATCTAACTGAAACTATGAGGAGGGCCACTTGCGGCCATCTCCTCAATGGCACTCATAAGGAGGATCCTCACTGGAATTTCTCAGCCTTGCTGTGGCCATTGCTGTCATTTTCCTAAACAGTCTTGAGTTCTGTTTGGTGCACTGTTCTTTCTGGAAGACGTTTGGGGGCGCACGGTCAGCTGTCAAAATGGGCGAATCTGTGCTTTCGAAGATGGCACCATCCCCCTCCCCAACTCAGTGGAGCCTGATTATAATTCTGCAATGTGAGACCACGGCACAGCTGCTCCTCTGCTGGGCTGCCGTGCAGTGCCTCCCCAGCCATTAGCATCGGCCCTTTGCTCAGCTTCCCTTGAAGAATGAACTGAGCGAGACCTCCCCTGAGAGAAGGGGGCTCTGACCCGAGCTTTTGCAGAATTCTAATTTGCCACAGGCTCTGCCAGCCAGTGACGGCCCTTGTCTGGAGAAGCAGTCTCCTGGGCTTAGCCTAATCTACCAGGGGGCTGGATCGGCAGGGGCTGGATGCAGAGCAGGGAAAATGGCTTTAAATGAAAGGCATTATCTTCCATTCTGCCTCCTAGAAAGGAGTCTTTGGTTGCCAAGCATTTGCATCTGAACTTGGCCCTCTCTCCTGCTCCAACTCCACATCTTTAATACCCTGTAGTTCCCTAAGTGGAAACCCCAGTTGAAACTCCGGGGGCAGCAGGGTTGCCCATGGGAAGTTGTAACAGATCCCCGACACCACTCTCATCAGGTGACAGAAGGACTTCAGGGAAACACAGGCTTATCCAGCTAGAAGGAAGCTTAGAGATCATGGAGGGTCGGGCTCCCTTATTTTACTGATAAAGGAGCCCTTCAGATTACCCTCAAGATTTCCATCAAGCAACCACAAGGTGATTTGAACCCCTCAGGATTTGAGTGGGCCTGAGGTTCAGTCCATGTCCTGTCCTCTTCATCCTGGCCACATTCATCCTCCTCCCTCCTCTCCCTCAGGTTTGCTTCTGCTGCCCTAAGGCACCTCTTCACCAAAGGTCTAAATTCAGCCCATTCATTAAGGGGGACACTGATAACCTGAGGAGGATGAGTCACAGCTCAGCTGTAGCCCCAAGCCAAATTGAACCAGGCCCCTGTCAAGGACCTGTGTTTCTCTAGGCTCTTAGACAGAGACAGTGGGGAAATGGTCATGAGGGGACTCCCATGTCTCTAGGCTGGATGGAATCTAGATTACTTCTTCCTCTAAATCGGTGTTTCCCTGCCTGATGTCTCTCCCAGGAAGATGCTGCATAAAGTGGACCACCCCATTCTCTGGGGCTGCTACTTCACAGCTTCCACCAGCTTCCCTGAAAATGAAAATCCTTCCAGAACAATGCAATCATGATAGTGATGCCACCTGCCAGACAGGCCAGGAAGGCATCAGCAAGCCTCTCATTTCCCCAAATTGCTGAGGCCTTGAACAGGCTGGCTCAGGCCACTTTGTTGCTTTTACTGACGTCCTTTTGGGATTGTATTATCTTAGCAACTGTACTCCTGAAAAGCTTCCTGGGAACTCAACAAGCAGGGCGAAGAATTTGGAAGGCTATGATTTGGAGTTGCTTGAAAGCAAGCAACCAAGGAATCTGGTGATCTATTGCAAGGGATGTTTATGAGACTAGAGTCTGGAATGAGGTGGGGAAGAGCAGCAGCTATAAAGTCCAACAAATCTCACTGTGCCAACCGTATCGGCTCTGATGATTATTGTTGTCATTTTAGGTGAGACTTGTGCCATACCAAATGATGATACCTTGGTTGGAAAAGCTGATGAGAAAGCCAGTGAACACCATTCCCCACAAGCAGGTATAGAAACAAAGCGTCCTGTCTTGAAATTCAGAAATTGAATACCTTCAAGTCATAATTGGCAGGCAAGTGACTTTCTTTTCTCTTCTTTTGGCAGAATCCATGATCACTTCCATTGGAAACCCAGTGCAAGTACTGAAAGTGACAGAGACATTTGGGACTTGGATAAGAGAGTCTGCTAACAAGAGTGATGACCGGATTTGGGTGACAGAGCATTTTTCAGGTACTTGCACTCGGCCTATGACCCATATCTGTGTGGTAACTGTATTTTTCATCTGTTGCCTACCTTTGGGCGTATTCCATTTGTGTGTGTCTGAAATCCCCGGTAGCTGGTGTAATAAATGTCTCTTTATTTTAGAAAGACCAATAAGTGGGCAGAAAACTTTCTTCCTTTGAACATGCTGGTGGCAAGCCTTGAAGTTCAGGTCACAGGGGCATGAGGAGGGTAACCCAGATATCGCCTGTTTTAGGACAAGTATCCAGAAGGAAACAAATAGCATTATGACTGCAGGCCTCATAAACCTCCAAACCATAATGGGAAAAAAATGTCAGAGATGAAATCCTTGTACACCATCCATCTTTCTCTAAGGTTGCCGCCCTCCCAGAAGAGTACTTTTGGCCATCTTTCCCAGCCACCTGTTGGACAGAGAGCCCAGGGAGAAGGTGAAGTTCCACCTTGCAGTCACACTCTATCTGAGCAGGTCCCTAGTTGTACTGTCCCAAAGAGATGTGGTCAGGAATTGCTAGTGGTAGTAACAGCGGCCTCATTAAAGGAGGGGTCTGGCCATAATCACTGGTTGGAGAAATAGCTGAGAAGAAATCAGTTCTTTATTTCATCAAGGCCAGTTATTCAATTGGGAACCTGGTAATAACTGCCCAGATTACCAGGATTCGGGGACTCAAAAAGAAAGTAATATTGTTCATTAGTAGTGGCTGCTGCACAGTGCAGGAAGAGGTGGGAGGAGGCAAGAGGTGATTGCCCAAGCGCCAAGTATCTGCTATTCCTGTTGAAGGCCTATGCCACTCTCATAGAGAGTTTGATAAACAGTATAGAGTGGGGTGGGAGAGGGTGATACATAGTTCTCCCAGGAGCAGCCAGGCCAGTTCAATGCCTACCACATTTGAAAGACATTTCAGAAATCCATATGGAGAATTGGACTTTGAGCTTGGGAGTCTTAGACTCTTCACACTGGACAAGGGACCTTAGGGAACATTTCACTCTCAACTTCCCGCCTTTGAAATTCCTCCCAAGGACTCCCTCCCAAGCTGTGATTGCTGGAGGTAGGTAACAGCCTCTCCCTGGCTTCCCTCCTACAGGCATCATGGTTAAGGAATTCAAGGATCAGCCCTCACTTCTGAATGGCAGTTACACGTTCATCCACCTTCCATACTATTTCCATGGCTGTGGGCACGTTGTTTACAACAACTCTCTCTACTACCACAAAGGGGGTTCTAATACCCTAGTGAGGTAAGTCGCACCACAGCACCTTCTCACGCCTCTCAGGCAGCACCTGTGCTGTGGTGCTTTTGTGAGCAATTAGGGGTAGGGACTGTGTTTTCATCATCTTTGTGTCCCTAGGGCTGACACACTGAGGTCAA